>NC_000004.12:71421381-72671381 GCF_000001405.40 Homo sapiens | reverse complement strand
TCATGTAAGGCTCCTATCTTATTTAAGACCTATGCACAATATTAAGCAATGGGCCTAGTATCTTCATACAAGATGGAGTTAGTTGTTTCTGCAGGCCTAGCATGGTCATGGAAATTGGGAGGTTAAGGTTCTCAAGGCATCTATCCAGATATCCCCATCCCAAGTCTCAGTGTCCTGATCCTTCCTGATTATGGTTCTGACCTTGACTTGGTGGGCCTGGTAGGGTTGAGAATCTGAATCTCTGCTACTCTTACAATTAAGTCCTGAGTCAGCTTCTTTACTCTATCTGCCCCTCATCTTCAAGAGATTATGAACTTCTTTAAATGCTTCCAGAATACCCTCTGACTTCTGCATTTTACCTTGAATTTTATCTCCCTGAACCTCTCATTATCTTTTTAACGACTTAATGGTATTCAGTGACAGCCAACTAATTTCATTTCTTATATAACTTTTTCCTCTGTGTTTCTCAAACATCAGAAAGTGAGTCCTCACACCTTAGGTTAGCTATATGATCTAGTCCTGGCTAAGCATGAATGGGGGCTGGGGGTAGGAGAGAACGTTTGATACTCAGAAACACAGAGGTGTCTTTTGGTGCTCTTCCGCCCAGTTTTAACAGTGAATAGTCATGAACAGCAGCCACAACCTGAGAAAGGGCAAAGTAATGTGGCGTTGCGACACCTCAGGGATAAGGGTGTGGGTCACTCCACCAGCAGAGGTGTCAGCTGCAGGTGAGGGCATCTAAAGTGAGTGGAGGAGGGGGATGATAAACACTAGGTACAGGCTGGAGGTCAATTACAGTCTTGAGGTGCAGCTCCTATACCTGCTAACTCCCTTTTTATATTTCCCCAGGAAATAAGAGCAAACCTGGAGAAGCTGTCCCCAAGTGAGATAAACTTGCTGTAAGAACAAGTAGATCTAAGCAAGGAAAGAATGCTCTTGTAGTGCCAACTGTGGCATTCAGCCCAGACCCCCTCTTCAGGGGCGACATATCTATCCTCATTGGCTGAGAAGTATAGACTACTGACTATTCAGAGACATGTCCCTCACTGGGAAGAACTTTCAGCTGTAGGGAATTGCTGGGTCCAAGGTTAAGTCCCCAGAATGGGGGTGACCTGTAGTCAATGACTGATGTACAGACACAAAAGTCCAAGCTCTTTGCCTCAAATGGGGACAATGCTAAAAGGTCATTTCAGCTCCAGAACTCACTGTGGAACTGACCGGCTGAGCCTTGGTTGCAAAAACGTTAAGAGTCTGCTTCTCCTCTGTCCGATCCTGCCTTCTTCACTTTCTCTTGAGAGGACTTCCCAGTTAATTTTTCAAACAAAATTTTTCATCTCGGAACCTGTTTCTAAGGAATTCTAGTTAAGACCGTATTTCATTAAACCAGTGTAGTCAGCTTTCTGTTAACACAACGAGATGCAATCCCCAATGGGGATATACTTTAAGAAAGATTCCTAAGAACTGAGGTCCTTACTGGTACATAGCAAATCACAGGTACCTAAGTCATTCTTATTTAACAAATGGCCTTTTAGTTAAAAGAGTCAAAGCTGTTATTTAAATGGAGGATAATTGATATTGTTACCTCTGTTTTTGAAAAATATGGATAGGAGAAGTTAACTGAAATCTTACCCAAGCAAGTAAATAGGTAAAGTATCAGGACAGAGATACAATCTCTCAAACTTGCCATCAGGTACAGAAAAGAACCAACGACTGCATAGATTTCATATAACCCTGAGCATACACTGGGATAATTATTACTTAATTTTATTGCCTTTTCTTTTCAATTAACTCAAATAAATTTTTTTACACGTATGAATTACTTTCTTCTGTTTTACAAGAGTTTTTTTTTTTTCTAGCCCTAAAGTTGAAAGCATAGATCATTTATTTTAATTCATATGTTGAGACAAATCAGGGTCATAAGTTTTTTGGCAAACAATCACATTTTATCTCAGAGAACACTACATTGACTCTTTCAAAAATAACTGAAACAGGTTATATTGGTAAGTGTTCAGACAAAAAATTTTAAGCCTTTGTGGTTTTTTTTCATTTGTTTTCATGACTTAACAATATTATCTCAAAAAATTGTGTTATATTTGCATTTCTGGCTATTTTTTTTTGCCCTATTTTTATTCCTACTGCAATTTAAGCAGTGCAGCCACTTGAAATACGACTCTCCATTATAAAATGAAATTTTTTCCCCAAGTGTTTCAAACTTAAGTTAGTATAAAATAAATATTTCTAGAATTTTTAAAGTTTAAATCTTTGCACAGTAAATCATAGCAGGATTGTCAGTTAAGGACTATATCTCTAACAAGCTTAAAATCTGAAAATAAGATTAACTTTAACTAAGGTTATTTTCATGCATCCATCTAATCATTTTTCAATCTTAGGAGAAATTGTGAAAAGAAAAATACTGAATGTAAAACACTTTAAAAAAATCTTCTAGAGATACTTTTATATTTGTTAGAAAATCTTCTACAAAGCAATAATTGAATCCAAGATGCTTCTTCTAATGTTTACGAATCCATCTATTTATATTCTCTGCCTCTCTGTTTCTTGTTTTCCTTTTGATTCCAGTTCTTTTCTTTACATTCAATCTTTTCCACCATCAATACATTAATTCTATTAGTTGAAGTCTAGCCCTATCATTTCTATGGTAATGGTAGCCTAAGTGGAGAGAAAAAAGTAAAGAAAGGAAAACAAGGGAATGATACAAGTGAAGAAAGAGACAGACAAAGATCTCTTGTAGTATATATTTACCCATATGTATATTAACTTCATGAATCTTCTCAATTTTCCTTCTTCCATTGAGATCCTTTGTTTCCTCAGTTCAAGACCCAAGAAAATAACAGAATCTGCAATTTGATATTGAATAGGCACAGGATTGAACCCGAATCCTAAAACTTAATAGTGATGTGACCTTGGGCAAGTTTTATTAAGCTCTCTGAAGCTCAGTTTCCTTCGTCATAAATGGAGTGCTTTCCTTGCAGGGCTTTTGTAACTAGACATATGCATATAACACATTTAGAACAGAGCCTGGCATTCATTCATTTATTCATTCTCACATTTGGAAAATAACAGAATGACCACTCTCTGTGTGGCAGGCATTATGTTAGGTCCTGTGTATTTAGATTTTGGGGAAATAGAAATGGTACATTTTGGTATAAAATAAATGTTAACTGTTAAAAGACTAGAAAGCTTACTTCAGAAAAAAGCTTAATGATTCTATGGGAAAGTAATGGAATGTGAGACTCAGCGAGAGAAGTAAACATGAAATTATTATTTATCCATCTTCAGTATTCATTGTGAAAAAAATAAACGAATGAGGAAAGTAAAAGATTTTTAAGTTATTAATATGTTTTGGGGGAACTTAGATACACTCTTGATGTTAGAAAATATTAAATCTGACAATGAATATTAATTCTGTTTACTTTTAAAGTAAACACTGGGAGAATAAAAGTATAGTATTTAGTATTTCCTGTCTGGTAAACAATAGAGAAGATAATCCTTCTACAGAAGAAAGTGGGGGGGGAGTTAAAAACTTGTGGAAATAGAAATCAGATTAAAATGTTAAAAATAAAAGAACACAGCATATACCTACTGACAATAAATGAAAAAGATCCCAACTCAAATACCTGGTGCTGCAGCAGCATTTGAAAACCTTGACAGAATCTCAGCACTGCCAGTCCTGCGCCTTCACATTATGAAATTGCTGAACCAACTCTGGAGATGCCTGCTCTCAGTCCTATCAGTTACACAATACATACCTTTCTGATTTTGCCCCTGTTAGTTGAATGTTTTTTCTTTATTCACAAACAAAATTATCCTCAACCGAAGTAGCTGAGAAGCGGTGGAAGTTACAGGACAGAGAGTATACTTATGACAGTTTCTGAAACTCCCATTAAGATATGAACTATGTATATTATGTAGAAAAGCTAACTGAAAGGTTTACACAAATTCCCTTAAAATATATTGTGATATATGAGCACATTCTTATAACACATTCATGCCCACAATTATTTTACCTACTAAATATTGTTTCATTTTGTTGTAGAAAAAAACGGGTTCTTGTCACACGACCTATGAAAACTTAGGCACGCGGACACATTGTAAGGTGAGTAGGACAGCGTTTATCGGGTGAAAAGGAAAAAAGGAAATAGAAACTCTCAGCAAACAGAGAGAGAGTCCTCCTAGCAGGCCCCCACTTTACAGATTGAATCCCAGGCCACCACACAGGATCTGGAGTCCAGGCTCCTCCCCCATGCAAATAGGGTGACTTCCTGAGGCTCCACCAGATCCTTTCAGTGCGCAGGTGGGCATTATTCAGAGAATCAGTGAGGAAAGGGCCGGCTTCATCCAGGACCAGCGGTTGGGTTTTAGGCTTGAAGGCAGGGTTTTGCGGGGGACCCTTGGCTGTCTCTATCAGTTTGATTGATTTTCATTTAATGAATTTAATGAAATAATTAACATTCTGCATTTCCTTAGTAAAATATGACTGAGTTCTGTCGCCTCCTGAGGGCTTGTGACTTGTAGTCTACTCTCTTAGAAATGTATGTACTACACCTCCACTTATTGAGTTAAAGTTTTGTTTGTTCCTAAACATTTCATGCCGGTTATATTTATTATTTTAATTGTATAATTTAATTAATTATTCATGCAAATCAATGAAGTATTAACGGGAAACAGAGAGAGATGTTTGTATGAAAATTAAATTAAATGCTTTAGAATGACCCAATAAAGAGGAACAGCTGAAAAAATGATGTCAAATTAGGTGTAGGCAAGATATTTAGGAAAGATTGTAAAACCATGGAAATCTAAAAGGATTTAACACATTTTTTGCTTCACCAGAGTATTTAAATTCCTTCACCTTTAAAAGAAACTGAAACTGGAAATCTTAGTCAGTATTAGGAGTGTGGTTTAGGCAAGAAAGACCAGGTGAAATTCCCATCAGTGATACATTCTCAAGGGAATGGCTTTCATCCTACATAAAAAGATTGGCACTTGCATGCATATTTATTTACTTTATGTTAACATAAAATAAAATGTTTATGATACCTTTAGTTTTTTCATTGCTCCCTAATTGAACTAACTTTTATGATGAATTAGTTGACTACCAGACCCATTTGCATTGGTTAAAAGCATTTCTATTGTTCTTAATGCATTTATTTTATTTCATAATATTCAAAGTTAATTAATTTTAGTAGGTGAATAAGTCATTTGGGTTTGCTTCTGACCCTCGGGAGTATTTTTGTCTTCCCAGTAAACTTTTGATGATTTTTCTGAAGTTGGGATAGAACTCTGACTTCACCCTGAATGTTCTAATAGCCACACTAGGAGATTTTGTGCACCATAAAGCACGGCCAGGTAAGTTTTCCTGTCTTGGCAATTTTAATAATATGCACCATTTCCACATGATTATAACATGTTAGCTATTTCTAAATTCTTTGTGAATTCTAAAGCTTCCTCTGACACCGGTAACTAATTTACTCTCATTTTACCAGCAGTTGACTTGTGATTGGTTACAAGAATGATTGCCACAGGCATCAGTTTTGCTTTGGAACACAATAGCTGGCTTTGCCTATATAAGGATAGGGAAGTCTACTGGAGACCGACTTCCTAAATTACCACTGAATTTCAAAATGTTTGCACAATTTAGAGTGTACATGTGGGTGTTCTTTTCCTGATACAATTCTGTCTTGTCATTTTGTTACAGAGTGAATAGCATCTCAAATATGGGGGGAATCATTTGAACACCATGTGGCTTATGGCAACCTGGCATATATTTGCAATTCAAAAGGTTAATAGCAAGCATGTGGGTGCCATTTGTTCTGAAAATCAAGGGGCTCAGTTATTAAATACACCATAATACATACTTAACCAATTAGGGCATTACTAGAAAACCTGACTTCCGGAAGGAGGCTACTTCACAGATTTTACAGCCAAGTATGGGGTGAGGGGATTACCAAATGCTGAAGTGTCAGTTCCAAAGTTTAACTCCTAATTTGCCAGGCTGGGAACAGCTTTATCAAGTTTTTCTCTCCTTCATTTCTCTGTTGATTTAACAGCAGAAAGGGTTTCCATATGGCCCAAATCCAGTCACTGCAGAGAGCTGGAGAGCTACAAAAACTGGCATTTACAACTATTTTCACATTATCTTTTTTTCCTCAAAAATTACCAGATTTTGGCTTCATTTTTGGAACCACATTATACCTGGCATAGTAATGATCCTTATAATCCTCCTCTTTTTGTATGTCTACAAAAGGGGAAGTACTTTCTTTGAAACATTCTCTGGCATCTTGCAGATACTTATAACAATTACTATAAAATTTTTTCTTCTGAAAAAATTCTAAAAAGCTGAAAATACAAACAGATGCTAGGGGTGTATGTCACACTCTGCCAGTACTATAGGACGCTGCTGTGGTGGAGTGAATATTGGTTAGAGGTGAGAAATTTAGGAGTTGCAATAGTTATCTAAGACTTAAGGCTATGTGGGCAAATAGCTTCACCAAGTGGCAATAAAATTCCAAATGTTTTAGGGCTACCGATATATAAAAGGATATCATGCTGATGGGTGTGCAAGGGCATACCTGTTACTAAATTGCTAAGATAAAAAGAGTAGTTCCTAACTAAAAGGAGGGATGTAGTCACTTGGTGTAAGGAAGGCAGGCATGATAGGACTTCTCCAATTCCGTTCTCTGGACTGGAGGGAAGGACTAATTTCTGAAGTATCACTTACAAGGTATTTTCTACTTTTTGACCCTGAGCACATGTCAATAATATTAATAATAAATAATATTATTTACCACATTACGTTATAATGGCCTGTAGTCTGCCTAAGGCTCAGGAATATGGAATCTGGAAGCAGACTGCTACTTGTGATGGTTTTCTAGCTCTGGCACCTATAATTGTTCTGTGCGTCAGTTTTCTTAACTGAAATGGGGGAGTAATCGTGTATTTACCTTGCAGGTCGAGGTAAGGATTAAACAAATTATATGTAAGTGCATGGAACAGGCCTGATCTAGACAACGTACTCAGTGCACATCAGTTATCATCTTCATGTGCCTGTTTCTTTCACTAGGACTAGTTTGTTAGGTCCTTCCAGGCAGTTGCCATGCAGTATTTTCCTTTGTGTTCTCAGTAAATTATCTGGGCATTAAAGAGTTTTGTTTTTAATTGAAGAGACCATCTTGTATTGTGGGTTTTCTTTCTGCTTTTGGCATTTGGTGGAGAAGGGGTGCTGTGGTGGGGATCAGTAGGGGAGGAGTGGATCAGAGTGCTATGGCAGAAACAGGCTGACAGCTTGATGCCCACACTGAAAAGTTTTCTGTTTTCTGTCTTCCTCCTCCGCATGCCTGCTGTGCAGCTCAGAAAGAATAAAAGAAGAAAAGGAGAAAGACAGTGGCCTCTGGGTTGAGACTGAATGTGTGGGAACGTGGGCGGTAATGTGAGGAAGAGAATGGGGAGATTTGTTTGCTAAAAATCTATAAAATGAAATTTTAGAAACATTGCGCCTATTGATTTCTAATTTCACCCTAGGGACCAATAATCTTGATGAGATTTCCCAGTAAGTTTGGGGTTAATGAAACCTCGTGGAAATCAGACAAATAAAATCAGAAAGTTACAATTAAATTCCAGGCCTCAGGAACATCTGTTTTAACATTCCTTGTGCTTGAATAGTGTTTACTTTATTTATACTTCTATTATGTCACTGATTATTTTGTACTTGTCTATTGTAATATCTGTCATAACAGATATTATGAGATCATGATTTATTTACCTTTTCACTCCCTGTATCTAGCATGATATCTTTCAAATTGTAGGTAAACAATAAATGTTTGAAGAAGAAAAATAAGAGAAAGAATAGAGAAAGGAAAGAAAAAGAAAGAAGACAGAAAGTCAGGAAAGTAAAAAGGCAGGCAGGAAAGAAGAGAGGGAAGGAAGTAGGGAGGGAGGCAGGGAGGCAGAAAATCCAGGCTCGTGCTTGTTTTTATAGTTGTTGTAAATGATTGCAGAAAAATTCTCTTCAAGAGGCCTAGGAAAGAGTATCGTATACTCTTTCCCAATAATATATTCCAGAGAATAATAGCATTATTTGAATGGACATGTTAGGAAGACCATAGATCTTTATATAATCTAATCTTTACTATGGAAGACCAAGTTTTAGGAATATAAGAAATGAGTTAAAAAGAAGTTTATCTGATTAAATTTGACAGCAAAAATACATTTACAAAGCCATACTCAGTAGTTGGGTAAATAAGAAAAGATAATGTTTTCCAACAAAAATTTTGAATAATGTAATGAAAATGCCATTCCATTATTCATCGAGTCCTTCTAAAGCACAAATATGAACTTTTCACCTACTTTTAATTCCCTCATACATTGTATAAACTAAATCATTACACTTTTGTTAAACCAGAACACCTTTCAAACTTTTTTTACCCTCTTGAGGTTGATGAATTGTTTATTGTTAAGCAATTTGGTTGCCAGAAGGAGACATTCTAATGAGACTTTGGAAACTAAATATGAAAAGTCTCATGAATTTGAAAAAAATACTGCACTTGTTGAGGAGTGCTTTGCTCAGATTCAAAGACTGGTTCAGCAGTGTGCCATTTTTTCACATATATTGCTAAGTATCTTAATAACTTCAACTTATAAGGCAGAGCCAGCCAGCAATTTCTAATACTACTCTGTCACCACTGAAGGAAAAATATCTTTTAAAAGAATTTCGATATTGTTAAATATCTGCTAGAGATAAAGTGGTGACAAGAGAGGAGGCACAATTCTTTCATAAATACGTTAATTCAAGTAAGACGTTCAGATTTGAATGATAAAGGAAAATACGCCACTCAATTCTAGTTCCCTTGGATACTAGGACAGAATTCTATATTTTGTGTTGTTTACTTCTAGATTGAGCAAATACGAATGGCTCAAATATACATTAGTTAACTCTAAGTATAATGTCTACTTCTTTAACGATTCTGAATACAAATGCCCACACAATTCCCCTTCCTTTCCTGTTTTAAAAGAGAAACCTGAGGCTTTTCTATCACATGTAACTCCTAGCTATATACTATAATATAGTATTATATTATACTAATTATATACTATAATATAGTATTATATTATACTAATTATATACTATAATATAGTATTATATTATTAACATGTGACTCCTACCTATATATGTATATATTTTACATATGGCTATTTCAAGCACCTCAGCAGTGCCTGGCAGGAACATAGGCAGCATTCAATAATTGTTTGTTGAGCTGAAATTACTAGTTAGCACTCAAGAAGTGTTATTTGAATGAATGGATGGATGATGACCCACGAGTAATGCCCCTTTTGTTGCCTGTCACAGTTATTCAATATACATTAGCATGAAATATCAGAAGGTCAGTCAGTCTTAGGGTCTATTCATAGAAGTAAAATGTTGCTGTCTTTAAATGCAGTAACTATGCCAATTTCAAGGACCATAAATGTATGCTGTATACAGCAAATAGTATTTCATGATTGAAAACCAGAACACATATTTAACCTTTACATCAACTAAGTGTCTGTTTTTCCTAAGCAAAGAGCCATAAACATGTCTTTTTACATTCATTGAAAGAAAAGAAATGTTCATTTATCTTTTTTTATATACTGGAGAAAAGTCTATTTCATTTTCTTGGAATTTAAAGATTGTTCAATTGATTTTCCTCCATCTTTTAAATAAAAAATGGGCAGAGATTAAACCTGGAGTGTTTTCATTTAACATGATTTTTTTTTTCAGGAGTAACAGCCAACTGTGCCAAAACTGTGAGAATAGAAATCATTTTCTCACTGCACTTGTGGGCTTGTGTCTTTGTAGAAGCCTATCTTTTGAGTCCTTTTCTGGGAAGATTTCTTACAGGTGGAATCTTGGCAGCTTTGAGATACATGAGTTAGTAACTGCCTTAGATGGGGTTCAAGTTAAGCCTGTCTTGCTGACTTCAATTGTACAGCAAAGGTTGTTCTATGCCATACTCAGATTATTATTAGCAATATTAGTAACTACTCCATAGATCCCACAGAACACTAAACAGGCTAAGATACACTGCTCAAACTGAATTGGCCAGCAAATGCTTTTGGAAAATGCTTTTCATTTATTTTAGTACTTTGGGAAGTATGTGTAGAAACATTCTTACCTCTACTGACCAGTAAATGATTCAAGAAAGTGCCAGCAAAATAATGTTTTTAAAAGAATATTTAATAATGAGAGTGGTGAGATGTTCATCCATGCAGAGGGAATAAGCAGAGTAAAAAAAACAAATATTGAAGTTAGAAACGGCATTGGAGATAATTTATATGTAGTTCACCTCTCATATAGAGCCTTTGCTTGACCAAACATTAGTCAGGCTCCTGAACCTTCTCGTAGGCCCATCTGTGCATTTCCTTGTAATATCCAGTTTCAACAAGAACCCTTCTAATTTATAGTTTAGCAAGCTTAGCAAGAACCTTACCCCCATCTTAGAGATATGATCACCTTTGATATCTGATTGGGATCCTCATCCCACATCCACCCTTAGGTTATCTTCCTGGCCTGTCCTTAGCAAGAAATCCTCTTACGTCAGTTTAGCCAGAATCCTCCTTACTCCTGATGCTTACTTTAAGAATTTTCCACCCACCAACTCCCATCCACCCTGCTCCCTGAATATAAATGGCTATTCACTTGCCCATGCTATATTTGGAGTTGGGCAAAAATCTACCTTTCCCATAGCAATACCCCAATGCCATCATCCCTATACCTGCTTTGGTGGTCCTGAGTAAAATCTGCATTATTATGCTTCAATAAGTAACATTGAATAATTTTTTCTTTAACACTTTTTTCATTTTTTGTTACTAAAATGAGTTCTAGGATGACAAATGACTTGTCAAATGTTGTAATAAACAGAGCTGGAGTTTCAATTCTGAACATCATTTTACTTATCTATAATAGGACACCTTAAATTCACATAATCCTAGGCATCCTGGAATTTTTTATTTATTTTTATTTATTTATTTATTTTTTGAGACAGGGTTTCGCTCTTGTCACCCAGGCTGGAGTGCAGTGGCGCCATCTCAGCTCACTGCAACCTCCGCCTCTCAGGTTCAAGTGATTCCCCTGCCTCAGCCTCCCGAGTAGCTGGGATTATAGGCACCCGCCACCACACCCGGCTAATTTTTTGTATTTTTAGTAGAGACAGGGTTTCACCATGTTTGGCAGGCTGATCTCGAACTCCTGACCTCAGGTGATCTGCCCGCCTTGGCCTCCCAAAGTGCTGGGATTACAGGTGTGAGCCACCACACACAGTCAGCATCCTGGAATTTTTAAAGAACTACATGAAAGTGAGAGTGCGACATTTAGTCCTGTTATGAAAATGGAGCCTTCAATATTCTAATGCTAGTGGAGAAGGAAAGGAGAAAATGGTGCCATTAAAGCATAGTTTAAGCGATTGGAAGTAAAAAGTGACTTTAACACATCTAACTTTTGGGACTGATAGTAGGGTATATGATTGAAAGCGTGACATTCAATGAAGAAAAGGCTAAAGACAAAATGATGCTACATGTTGTTTAATGCCCATATAGTGATAAAATAAAGAATTACATAGAAATAATAGACATGCAGTTCAGGATATTGGTTACATCTAAGGGAAAGGGATGGTGACTCAATCTGAAAGGGGTAACTAGTGTATTCTATTATAATAATTTTTTTTATGCTGGCAATATTATTCTTTAAACCTGTGTGTATCTTAAATATTGCCCAGTAACTTTTCACAAGGTTATGCAAGAGCAATCTTTCAGTTAAGGATGTAAGGTTATAGACTCATGCATAACTATGCTCCATAGACAACCTTTCCCATCTCACCACCTAAATACTGGTTTAAGAGACATAGACATGATATTAATGTTGTTTAGCTTATCAAAATTTAGTTTGTTACATCATGAGGCTGATTATCAGACTTGCTACTGGTGATCTTTCTTTTCTCTCCCACTCCAGTTTCTTCACAAGATACATCTTGCCTGACTTCTGCTTGGGTCCTGGCCCTGTTAGGTTCGTACACTTATTCTTATACAAACTCAGATCAGTAGACTGTCACACTTACCTACCTGTTGGCCTTCCTTTCTCAGTGTTGGGGAAAACCCCTTTTTCTGGGTTCAAACCTCTTCTGGTATAAACTACATAAATTCTAAGAACTTCTGAGTTTTTAGCAAGCAATTCATACAATACATTCTTCCTGGTAATTTCAATACATGTAGATCTAAGGAAATTGAGTACTTACAGTTCTGAATACAAAAAAACAATGGGAACATACTATTTTAATAAAAGTAAGATTTTTTTTTAATTGACCTGGGGTACTAATAGGTACATGGTTTTATTTTCACTGAACTCTTCTCAGTCTTCTGATTCATAAAGTTGTATTGAATTAAAGTTCTGAGAGTATCTGCTGTGTTCCAAGGATATCACTTAGCCCTTTCATCTAATTATTTTTCCCTGTTCCCATCATCCAGCTCCTGTTCTTTTTGAGCCATCAGAAAAAAAAAAATTGAAATTCTAACTTGTTACAACAAACTGTCCATCCAGATTTAAAGGTGTTATAGTGCAGATTCCTGTGTCAAAAAATCTCCTGGGAGTGATTATAAAGTGTGAGGCTGTGTGAGGAACTGCATGGCTTTCTGGCTACAGCATGGCAGTGGCCTAACTTCCCAGGAAACACCAAAGGGGCATGACTGTGCAGGGAAGTGGAGGCCAAGTTTGTACGTTGTCAGCAAGAAAAATCTAGTTGGCAGTGTACACCAGGCTTAACCTCCCATTTTCCAGTCCCTTCTTCCAAACCCAGGACTGTGGCATATGCTACAAGGCAAGCAAAATACCATATGAAGAGAGAATTAGTTTAAAATATAATCTATGGCATCAAGAAGCAGGTCCAGTGGCAGGGTCAGACGTTATAAGCTCTGGAGTTTGCCAGGAGTACATGTTCTGCTTTAAGATTATCCTTTTACAAAGAACTTAAAGGGTTTTGGCTTTCCTGATTGGTCCCCACTGCCAGCCTTGATGTTGATGGAATAACCATAGATGCCCTCATTTCCCCTCTGCTGGTCTCAAATGCCAGTTGTATGGAGATGACTTTCAGTGGAGGCATTCCCCTTTTATGATCCCGTATATTTTGGCTCAGCAGCCTGTAGCATCATAAAAGTCATTCCTCAAAACAACTGGTAGCTAAACTACAAAAGCATGGGCTTTTTCACATTGCCAGTGGGAGGGGCAGTTGAGAATTTGGCTTGACATGGACTTCTAACGGAATTATCCCGGATGTTATAAGGTATCTCAGCTACATACCCCCAGTAGCTTTTTGGCTTGGAAATTGGGAGTATTATTCAGGAGTTAGTAGGTTCTAATAATGAGTCAAGTGTCACTCTCTGGTTTATTTGATGTCACCTCAGGTGAGTTTTCAGGCAGCAATATTGATAAGGGAAAGAGGTAGGTAATAACTGAGGCAAGATCCCTGAGAAACTTCTCAAGCTATAGGTCATTTATCGAATTGCACATGTAGGGACTGTGAAGGGGTTTCATGATGATGTTATGAAGATGATTTAGACCATGTAAAATGTAGATTTTATTTTTGAAACTGGTATTTTCTCTTTTCAAATTTTCCTGTTCATAAGTTACCTACTTTTTTCCCTTGAGGTTTCTGTTTTTACCATTAATTCAAAAAGTTATGTGTTTATATGTGTGAACTGTACTTATGATTCAACACTACAGTTGTGTGACAACACTATAAAACATATACTAATTTATTCTAGGCACAATAATCATATATTTTAGTTCTTACCTTATGAAGATAGTAATATTCTCATCACTATTTTACTACTGAAATGGACAGGGAAGTTAAACAAGCTATTAAAAATCACACAAAGCAATTGTGTGACGTGTCAGATTGTAATTAATGGGATCTAATTCTTGTTTAGTTGAAATTTGTAGCCTTTAAAGAACTAAATGGTTTTTTGTTACATTATATTTAAAAATAATTTTATTTTTCAGTACTATAGAGAAACCCATATTTGGTGACATGAGTGGATCTTTTTGTATTTTTGTTTTTTATTATTATACTTTAAGTTATAGGACACATGTGCACAACATGCAGGTTTGTTACATAGGTATACATGTGCTATGGGGGTTTGCTGCACCCACCAACTCATCATTTACATTAGGTATTTCTCCTAACGCTATCACTCCCTCAGCCTCCCATCCCATGACAGGCCCCAGTGTGCGATGTTCCCCTCCCTGTATCCATGTGTTCTCATTGTTCAACTCCCACTTATGAGTGAGAACATGCAGTGTTTGATTTTCTGCCCTGGTGATATTTTGCTGAGAATGATGGTTTCCAGCTTCATCCATGTCCCTGCAAAGGACATGAACTCAACTTTTTTTATGGCTGCATAGTAGTCCATGGTGTATATGTGCCACATTTTCTTTATCCAGTCTATTATTGATGGACACTTGGGTTGGTTCCAAGTCTTTGCTATTGTGAATAGTGCTGCAATAAACATATGTGTGCATGTGTCTTTATAATAGCATGATTTATAATCCTCTGGGTATATACTCAGTAATGGGATTGCTGGGTCAAATGGTATTTAGTTCTAGATCCTTGAGGAATTGCCACACTGTCTTCCACAATGGTTGAACTAATTTACACTCCCACCAACAGTGTAAAAGCCTTCCTATTTCTCCATATCCTCTCCAGCATCTGTTGTTTCCTGACTTTTTAATGATCGCCATTCTAACTGGCGTGAGATGGTATCTCATTGTGGTTTTGATTTGCATTTCTCTGATGACCAATGATGATGAGCATTTTTTCATATGTCTGTTGCCTGCATAAATGGCTTCTTTGTCTGTTCATATCATTTGCCAACTTTTTGATGGGGTTGTTTGTTTTTTTCTTGTAAATTTGTTTAAGTTCTTTGTAGATTCTGGATATTAGCCCTTTGTCAGATGGATAGATTGCAAAAATTTTCTCCTGTTCTGTAGATTTCCTGTTCACTCTGATGATAATTTCTTTTGCTGTGCAGAAGCCTTTAGTTTAATTAGATCCCATTTGTCTCTTTTGACTTTTGTTGCCATTGCTTTTGGTGTTTTAGTCATGAAATCTTTACCCATGCCTGTGTCCTGAATGGTATTGCCTAGGTTTTCTTCTAGGGTTTTTATGGTGTTAGGTCTCACATTTAAGTCTTTAATCCATCTTGAGTTAATTTTTGTATAAGGTGTAAGGAAGGGATCCAGTTTCAGCTTTCTACACATGGCTAGCCGGTTTTCCCAGCACCATTTATTAAATGGGAATCCTTTCCCCATTGCTTGTTTTTGTCAGGTTTGTCAAAGATCAGATGGTTATAGATGTGTGGTGTTATTTCTGAGGCCTCTGTTCTGTTCCATTGGTCTGAATCTCTATTTTGGTACCAATACCATGCTGTTTTGGTTACTGTAGCCTTGTAGTATAGTTTGAAGTCAGGTAGTGTGATGCCTTCAGCTTTGTTCTGTTTGCTTAGCATTGTCTTGGCTATGTGGGCTCTTCTTTTGTTCCATATGAAATTTAAAGTAGTTGTTTCCAATTCTGTGAATAAAATCAGTGGTAGTTTGATGGGGATAGCATTGAATCTACAAATTACCTTCGGCAGAATGGCCATTTTAATGCTATTGATTCTCCCTATCCGTGAGCATGGAATGTTCTTCCATTTGTTTGTGTCCACTTTTATTTCGTTCAGCAGTGGTTTGTAGTTCTCCTTGAAGAGGTCCTTCACATCCCTTGTAAGTTGGATTCCTAGGTATTTTATTCTCTTTGTAGCACTTGTGAATGGGAGTTCACTCATTATTCGCCTCTCTGTTTGTCTGTTCTTAGTATGTAGGAATACTTGTGATTTTTGCCCATTGATTTTGTATCCGGAGACTTTGCTGAAGTTGCTTATCAGCTTAAGGAGATTTTGGGCTGAGATGATGGGGTTTTTTAAATATACAATCATGTCATCTGCAAACAGAGACAATTTGACTTCCTCTTTTCCTAATTGAATACCCTTTATTTCTCTCTCTTGCCTGATTGCCCTGGCCAGAACTTCCAATACTATGTTGAATAGGAGTGGTGAGAGAGGGCATCCTTGTCTTGTGCCGGTTTTCAAAGGGAATGCTTCCAGTTTTTGCTCATTCAGTATTACGTTGGCTGTGGGTTTGTCATAAATAGCTCTTATTATTTTGAGATACGTCCCATCAATACCTAGTTTCTTGAGAGTTTTTAGCATGAAGGGCTGTTGAATTTTGTCAAAGGTCTTTTCTGTATCTATTGAGATAATCATGTGGTTTTTGTTGTTGGTTCTGTTTATCTGATGGATTATGTTTATTGATTTGCTTATGTTGAACCAGCCTTGTATCAGGGAAGTATCCCTCAAATATTTACTTGTTTGTTTGCTTTTTTTCCTGTAATGGAAATGAAATTAAGTAGTAAGTAGAATGTCTGAAAATGCATATTTGAGAACTCTATTTTCTTGCCATTAAGTCTGTGCTTGTGCAATTTTGTGTATAAATTTCTTTTCAGTTAATGTTATAATCTAAACATTTTTCATGTTATAAAGATCTTCATAAGTATCTTTTGCATGATATTCCTTCAAATAGTTATAATAACAACTACCTATTCATTTTTCTATTCTGCAAACAGTTTTGAATTTTTTTCTGTCATAAATAATGGTGCAATAAATATCTTAGTGGTTAAATGTATGTGTATTTATAACAATTTCTTTAGAATAAATCCACAAAGATAAAATAAATGGGTCAAGGAATATGAATGTTTTAAAAACTATTGATGTACTTGTAAAACAATTTTTGTATATACTATAAAAATAATATGTGGATGTGAGTCAGCTGTGTTATCCTTGGTAAATTATTCATATAATTATAAATTGATATAAAATTATAAATCATATTTTCAGTATACTTCAGTTTAGCTTATAAAATCAAATGTGGAATGATGAATAAAATCCATGAAATATTTCTCAGATAATTGAATAGGTAGAAAAAGTTACTTTTGAAAAAGTGCTAAAATTCTTTAATAGATAGTTTCAGTTAAGCTTCCACAGCACTGAACAAGTATCTAATTGTATCTAGTTAAGTGTTTATGTTATATTGGTAAGTAGATATGTTAACCAGCAGCAGAAAATTAGATAAAATTTTAGAAATATTGGTACGTAGATCACAGTGTTTGGGCTACAAAAGAGGTAATAATTTGAGAAGAGGCAAGAATTTTTAAAATGCTGATCTAAATTGAACCATGATAGGAGTCATTCCCTAGCATTTTGTAGTCACTCCTCATTCATTAGCTATTAAACATGCCTGAAGCATAGCAATTCCCGTATATGTCACCTTGAAACTGTCTGAACAACCCCAATCACCGTATTTAATCCTTAAACTTCTAAATTAATGTATTTCAATAATAAAAAAAAGTACTTGAAAAGCTGTCTTCAAAGAGAGAGTGTGTCACAGACCTAAGTAAATTTAGAACCAAAGAGGATCTGTCTCAATAAAATGTCAAGTATGTGACCAGGAATATAGAGATAAGATGGATAGCCTAGTCTTGTGTGTGTGTTATTTCAACTTACATGAACTTCAATAAAATAAAAATAAAATACTAGCAGAGGTTTTAAAATTTTAATTTATGAGTTCTAAATTTTTTGCAGTCACAGATCATAGAAAATCAGATCTGGAAACCATACCTCAAACAACTTAGTGGTGAGTAAAGTCACAATCACCAATTGTCATTCATTGTCAATAAGAAATAATAGGATGACTTATTACCAACCTTTGTGTTTATATATTACATGTTATTATTATTACTATATTTACTTTATAAACATGCTTTTCCTCATCTCTAGAGAACAGCAGCATTTTTAATGTTTCCTGGCCCTTTCTGGGGCAGCAGATATTCAACATACCCTGTCAGCCTTCCCACTCTACTATCATACCATGTTTACCCAGCCTTTATATCACCAAAGTTATATCTGTGTTTGGACACACACACACACACACACACACACACACACACACACACACATTCTGCCCCAAGGTGGCAGAATATTAAGTGCCTCTCTTTTGAACACCAATCAACATCTAACTCTCCTGTTCTTGGTTTCAGCTCTCTCCTTTAATCCTTAGCTAATGGAACCCTAAAAGATTTCTCTTTCCTTCTCAATAATTTCCAGCTTTGGCCTTCACTAAGCACACTGAGGGACATACTTACTATGATTCTGGAGTTTCAAGCAAGCTTCTCTATAGGGAATTTGAAGACTGAAGTCAACCATGGGTATGGTGAATAGGCATAAATTACATCTTCATCACCCACATTTTCCACAATGAGCTCCATTTACTTATTTATTTTAATTTATTTCAATGTAATAGTATAAATTGTGGAATGGTAAAATCTAATTAAAATATGTATTTACCTCACAAAATTATCATTTTTGTGGTGAGAACATTTAACATTCACTTTCTTAGCATTTTTCAAGAATACAAGCATTTCAAGAATTTCATCATTAACTATTGTACAATATTGTACAATAGATCTCATATTTTTCCTATCTAACTGAAATTTTGTACCCATTGACCAACATCTCCACAGTCCCCCATACCCCAACTGCCCCTGCCTCTGGTAACCACCATTCTACTCTCTATTTCTCTCTATATATCTTTTTTTTTTTTGATGGAGTGTCGCTCTGTTGCCCAGGCTGCAGTGCAGTGGCACGGTCTCGGCTCACTGCAAGCTCTGCCTCCCGGGTTCACGCCATTCTCCTGCCTCAGCCTCCTGAGTAGCTGGGACTAGAGGCGCCCGCCACTACGGCTGGCTAATTTATTTTTTATTTTTTTTTATTTTTAGTAGAGACAGGGTTTCACCGTGTTAGCCAGATGGTCTCAGTCTCCTGACCTCTCTATTTCTATATCAACTTTTTTAGATTTCACATAGGAATGAGGTCGTGCAGTATTTGTACCTGGCTTATTTCACTTAACATAATGTCCTCCAGTTCATTCATGTTGCCACAAATGACAGGACTGCCTTCTTTTTATGGCAGAATGGTATTCCATTGTGTATATATACCACATTTCCTCTATCCATTCATTTCACTGATAGACACTTAGGTTGACTATCTTGGCTACTGTGAATAATGTTGCAATAAATATGAGACTGCAGATCTCTTTTTAAGACACTGATCTTATTTTATTTTATTTTATTTATTTATTTATTATACTTTAAGTTCTGGAGTACATGTGCAGAACACGCAGGTTTGTTACATAGGTATACACGTGCCACGGTGGTTTTCTGCACCTATCAACTCATCATCTATGTTAGGCATGTCCCCTAATGCCATCCCTCCCCTAGCCCCTCACCCCCCAACATGCCCCAGTGTCTGATGTTCCCCTCCCTGTGTCCATGTGTTCTCATTGTTCAACTCCCACTTATGAGTGAGAACATGCGGTGTTTGGTTTTCTGTTCCTGTGTTAGTTTGCTGAGAATGATGGTTTCCACCATCACCCGTGTCCCTGCAAAGGACATGAACTCATCCTTTTTTATGGCTGCATATTATTCCATGGTGTATATGTTTCACATTTTCTTAATCCAGTCTATCATTGATGGACATTTTGGTTGGTTCCAAGTCTTTGCTCTTGTGAACAGTGTTGCAACAAACATATGTGTGCATGTGTCTTTATAGTAGAATGATTTGTAATCCTTTGGGTATATACCCAGTAATGGGATTGCTGGGTCAAATGTTATTTCTAATTCTAGATCCTTGAGGAATCGCCACACTGTCTTTCACAATGGTTGAATTAATTTACACTCCCACCAACAATATAAAAGCATTCCTATTTCTCCACATCCTCTCTAGCAACTGTTGTTTCCTGACTTTTTAATGATCGCCATTCTACCTGGTGTGAGATGGTAAAGACATTGATTTTATTTCCTTTGGATATATAAGCAGTAGTGGAATTGCTGGATCATATGGTAGTTCTATTTTTAATTGTTTTAGAAACCTCAATACTGTTTACTCTAATGGCTGTACTAATTTACATTCCCACCAACAGTGTGCAAATGTTCCTATTTCTCTGCAGCCTCACCATTTGTTATCTTTTAACACAATGAACTCAACTTGAATGCATGTTCCCACAAACGAAGTGGGAAGTACATTTTGCTTGATCATGAATGGGTTTTATTAGCCATTGAATACGTTTTTTTCTGGTAAGCTTCTTTTTGACCACTTGCTCCTTCTACTCCACTCCAAAAACTAACATACCATGTTATACTGAAATGGAATTTTATGCCAAGCTAACTTTCTCCTCTACTAGTTTGTAAACATCTCAAGGGCAAAACAGAAATCTGTCTTATTCACGACTCTATCACTAGAACCTAGAAGAGTATCTGACCTTTAGGAACACTCAATAAATAGTTTTTGAATGAATAAATGGTGGTTTTTTTTTGTTTTAGTAATTAAACTACCTCCATTTCATCTTACTGGCAGCTCTTGTGAATCAGTATAACACAGGCTAAGTATAGTAAAAAAAAAAAAAAAAAAAAGGTCAGGAGGCTGAGCCAGTGATCAGAAGACAGGTGAGGAGGGTTCAGTAATTTTAATATCAGGATCACATTTTAACTTGTTTTCTTCTGATTAACAGATACACTTCAGGGGTGTCCCAACTGGGAAACAAATTGGGTCAGTGTGTGATGTTACATAAAAAAAAAAATCTCTCTAATAGTAATGTCAGTAGATTAATTTTTTAAACTGGTGTGTCATCCATGGTGTATTAATATTGTCATTAACTATATTAACTATCTAATCCTTTAGGGAATGACTTTTATGTTATCACACCTAATCTTAAAAAGATATATTGAAATTTATAAACTGATCACAGTGACACAGCTAGAGGGAGACTTGAACCTAAATTTTCTCCAAGTATTCTTTCCACCATGTCATAGATACAAGACCCTAGGGTGAAGCACTCAAAGATGGATCAGGCATAAACTCCCCAAGATGTACATAGTCCACAGGTAAGACTATTAGTCTTAATTCAGGTAGAAATTGTAGGTGCCATCAGATAAATACATGTAACTTGCACTGGGAGGATAAGGCAGTGAGGGCTGACTTGCACCTGGGAGATGAAGAAAGTCTTCATGGGTTGCCAAATAAATGGGATTTTTAGGATGCCAAGAATTTGGACATTTGGATTGTGAAGGAAGATAAGCTTAAATCGAAGAAAGCACATCAGCAAGGCTAGAGCTTGGGTTGAGGATCAGGTAACAGTAAGTAGCTTAGTGTGGCAAGATCTTAAATGGGTATAGTTTGTAATATGGTTGGAAAAGCCAACTGGGGCCAGATTGTGAAGGAATTCCAGAGTAAGGCACTCAAATTTATTATGGAGACAGTGATTACTCAGGGCAGAAGTTTTCTGAGTGGACCACTGAAACTGTGGAGCAGGGGGAAATAATATGCTTGCACTATGGCCATACCTTATGTATCCCATTTTTATCAAATCAAATATGTGTGCACCTGTTTCTTTGGCTGGTGTCAGGAAATCCTTTTATATTTCCTCAGGGTAAGATTTTCCTCGTATACCTCAGAAGGGGAAACTGAAGATCCTACGAGCATTTCCAAGAAATGGGCTGTCCCAGGGCAGTAAGCCCTGACTTCTGCCCGACAAAACAGGTCTGCTTTGAGCAGGATGTGCACTGCACACATTCAATTGATAGCAATGGGAAAAGCAGATATTCCATCTGTCCAATGATCAAACACATAAAATCACACAGGAATGTACAGTATGCTGGTTTGAACAACATAGACATTTGCCTAAACCAGAGAGAAAAGACCTGCCTGTTTATGTCCCCTGGTAAGAACATTAGTGAAGGAAAGCTTTGATGTTTAAGCAATCATATAATCGACTCTGCTGTTGGATCCAGAAGCCCAGGGTTGGTTTCAGGAATGAACACCAAACATTTTTAATGGCACTATGAATAAATGGAGGCATGTGGTGAAGAATGTTAAACAGATAGACTATTATCTCTGAAATGTTCTGATTTTGCAGATTTTGAACTTTGCCTCTCAAAAGTCACATTGTTAGTGTTGGTAGATTTAGGTGTTAGGTGCTATTCTCTGAAACAAACAAACAAAAAACAACTCATAGATTCTCAAGTATGGTGGGCAGAAAATTTTGGGCAAATTTTAAGAGGACAAGGTAGACGGAGAGGATTTAAGGAGAATACATCTGTCCTAGGATTTTATGATTAGAATTGGAGGCAATTTCTCACCCCTTTACTTTACCCCATACATCCAATGAATTTGCTCAGTTCCATTTACTCATCTTTGACAAAACTATAACCATCTGCCCTTTTCTGTCACAAGCTTAGTTGGGGAACTAATTGCTTTCTTTCTGAATAAGTGTAATACTTTTCTAACTGGATTTCCTGTCTCCATTGTCCTTTTTCCTCTATCAATCTGCAAACCATCTCTTCTTTCCTCTACCCAATCTGCAACCATTCCAAACTAATGTTCTTAAAATACTATTCTCACTCAGTTACTCATCTGTCCATACCACTTCATAGTGTTTCATTGCCTACTATGCAGCTGAGCATTCAAGGCACTCTTAGTAAGTTCACCAAGTAGCTGATACTCCTCCATTCCAGAATTTATCAACACATACCACGATTTGTGCTACACTAGTCTCATTTTCCTATTTCGCACTTTTCAGAAATTCCGTCTTCCTCTGCATCGCTATCCTCTTATTAATGTGCTCTTTCTTCTAACCTTCCTCTTCATCAGTCTGAATCTCAAAATTTTACCTGATTACTCCAATACACTTCGGTTTCTACGTTTGAGTATGGCTTTGCAAATTTATGTGTGAACTCCTAACGCTGGACCTAAAATATGGACTGCCTTATTTGGTTATTTATCCACTGTTCAGCTGAGTATTGTCTCCCAAAGCCATTTCATGTGCCATCAGGGCAAGAACCATTTACAGTTCCACTTTAGTAAACTCCACAGTGTTCAGTGATTTTATAGAGTTTGATAACTAAAACAAATTGTAAAGATAATAAATTTCAGAAAAAAGCTTCTAAATTTAGAATTATTTCTTTTAACCCACATTGTAGAATGTTATAAAAAAAAAAGACTGACCACCTTGTCTATATTTCCTATAAAAACAAATAGGAAAATGGATATTCTTCCAAGAAGAAGGTTTTATGAAAAATACAGTCTTTTTCGGATAGATAAATGCTGAGAGAATTCGCCACTACCAAGCCACCGCTACAAGAACTGCTAAAAGGAGTTCTAAATCATGAAACAAATCCTAGAAACACATCAAAACAGAAACTCTTTAAAGCATAAATCACACAGGACCTATAAAACAAAAAGACAATTTAAAAACCAAAAACAAAAAGCAAGATATTTTTTGTTTGTGAGTTTGGAAACAAACGGCTCTCTGAGTGAGAATTATGGTTGCATAATTTTAATGTGTAATAGATTATGCATTATATAAATGTTTTATAAAGAACCTCAGTGAAACCTCCACTTTTTTCTTAGGAATATCGACAGGATACTTCACTACTAGATAAATTTAGAAAGTGGCTAGGTTTGGGGACCAAAGGCTTCTTAGGACATCAGTCACCTCTGTAAATGGACTTTGGGTTTAAGACTGAGGTAGGCATCAGGGCACTAATGAGTGTCCACAAAGTGGAAGTGAGCTTTGAAAGAGGAAAGACTATTCTTCTCTGGCTAAAAGACTTGATACAACTCTGAACAGTTTCAGATGAGGTTTATCTCTATAAGCAGTTTAAAGCAACAGCTTAGAAGTTGAATGCTTTGAAACCAATGGTGGGAAAGACTAGGGAATAATCCATTTATTAAATCAATCATCAAAAAATTGCTTTTATATAACACCTTTCTACACCACACACTACTAGGGACAGAGCTTATAAAAATATTTTTATAAAAGTAACTATTGCCTTCAAGGAGGAAGAATGTTGAGCAGTATCCCTGGCCTCTACCCTCTAGATACGAGTAGTACTCACCCCTGTCCCAAGTGTAAAGAGCAAAAATGGTCCCAGATGTTGACAAATGTCCCCTCAAGAGCAAAATCATCTCCAGCTGAGAACCACTGCTCTCTGCTCAAACAGTGATTCCCAAACTTTTGTGGACACATGACTCATTTAAAATGCTAGTTTAAAATATGGGTCTCTGGGCCCTACATTCTAAAATTTAATTCAGCAAAACTGAGGTGGGTACCAGTAATCTGGATTTTCAGCAAACATCCCAGATGATTCTGATGCAAGAGAAATCTGAAACTGAAACTTTGCAAAACACTGTGCTTGAGGAAAACAAAGCTTAAAAAAAAAACATGGCTTTTACCTTCAAGGAGTTTGTCTTACAGTAATGAAGGCAGCCACGTGCCTCATGAGTTTATAAAACTGCAATATAAGGCAAAAAGTAGGTACTGGGTGTACAATATAAATAACTATTTCAGAGGTTTACAAAGCAAGAAGATCCTGTCTTTTTCAGAATTGGGCAAGTTAGGAATGTCTTAAAGGTAAGTAGACATGGAAATGTGAGGTTTGAATAAAGAATGACATATTCATGGATAGTTATGAGAGAAAAGGGGGTTCTAAGCAGAGGAAATGGCACAAGCAGAGGCACAGAGGCTGTAAATTTTATAACTAGAATCTGAGATTTATATCCCCCAAATATATTTTGAGACAAAGTATGAAATATGCCTAGTACTGTGTCTGGCACATAGCAAGCAACTACCAAATGTCTACTCTTTCATGATCATAATTATCCCTTCCCTAAAGGTATTACAACAACACCCTTCCCAGAGAACGCACTCAACATAACCAGTGCTAATCTGGAATCTCACTGTTCTTCTCTGTTTTATTTTTCACTGTGGGAGTGATGAAGAAATGTTTTCATGGTTGAGTTTTATGAATTTTAGTAGAGGGCTGGAGAAAGATGATATAAGAAGAAGAAAGAATAGGAAGTAAATTAATCTTTACAATTTGAAAATGGTTCTAACATTCCCTCTTCTATTTTATTTATTTATTTATTTATTTATTTATTTATTTATTTATTTGAGATGGAGTCTTGCTCTATCGCCCAGGCTGGAGTGCGGTGGCATGATCTTGGCTCACCACAACCTCTGCCTTCCAGGTTCAAGCAAATCTCCTGCCTCAGCCTCCTGAGTAGCTGGGACTACAGGCATGCACCACCACGCCCTGCTAATTTTTGTATTTTTAGTAGACACAGGGTTTCACCATGTTGGCCAGGCTGGTCTCGAACTCCTGACCTCAGGTGATCCACCCGCCTCAGCCTCCCAAAGTGCTGGGATTACAGGCGTGAGCCACCATGCCCGGCCATTCTCTCTTCTATTAATCTTTCCCTAGGAAAGTCAGTTTTACTAAAGTATTTAATATGAGATTTCAGGTCCTGGGTGAAGGGATGGCCCAAATGAAATACACTGTAGATTTTAATCCTCAATCCCGCTTCTGGTTTTCCAGGATTAGAACTCACTGCTCCCTGCAAGGCTCCTGATAAATGTCACAGACCACACCTCCCCTGGCCATTAGAACTAAACAGCTTCATTCTACACTGAACTAAGTGAATAAGCACTTATGCTTTCCCCTTGAAATCATTATTAAATCATTCATTCAAAAATTGCTTTTATTGTAACATCTTTCTACACCACACACTCTACTAAGGACAGAGGTTATATTAATACAAAACTATTTATATTGAAATACCTGCAATAAGTTTGAGGAGTTGAAGGGAAATTTTATTAAGCAACTTTGCAGCACTCGTTTCAGTCACCCCATCTTGGTACCTCTAAGCCCCTGAGTCCTGAGTCCTATATTCACTCCCCAGTCCACTTCTTTTTCTCTTTCTCTTTTTTTTTCTACAAATTATTTGTACCCATCTCAGCTTTACTGAATTAAATTTTAGGATTTAGGGCACAGGGACCCATATTTTAAACCAGGACTTTAAGTGAGTCTTATGTCTACAAAAGTTTGGGAATCACCATTTTAGCATAGACCAGTGGTTCTCATCTGGAGGTGATTTTGCTCTTGAGTGGACATTTGGCAACATCTGGAAATATTTTTATTCATCACAGCTAGGACATGGGTGAAAGGTATTAGTGTCTAGAAGGTAGAGGCCAGGAATGCTGCCCAACATCCTGTGAAGCACAGGACAATCTCTAGCACATGGCAAAACCCCGTCATAGAGCAAACAACATCATGTGCCTATAGATGATCAGTACATGCTTCTTGAATAACAAACTTGTGAAGTGGGTTGAGAAAAGCAAAGCCAGCACCCTTAATGAGGGCTCAGCTTTATTCCTTCTTGGATATGGCTGGTGGGGTTGCTTCACAGCTTTGAACCTGCCTAGTTGTATGGGGCCCCAGTGTGAATGGGGTTATGAAGGCCCAACACCTCCTAAAGCACACCCATTTAAGTGACATCACATTTATCACTCTTTATGTGAGAGGAACAACCTTTTTTTTTAAATGTTTACATTATAATATTTGTCTTCTTGTAGTTCTTTACATAGTTTCCTAAATTTTAAAACCACCTAATATTAATATGTATTTCTTTAGGTAACCCCAGTACTTCAGGGGTAAGATATAGCATGATTCTCTGTATCACAGACAAGGAAGCTTAACAAAGTGGTTCCATGATTTGCTGGTGATATGATGAATCATCACCCTTGTTAGGATTAAAAGCTACTGTTTTCCATGAGCAAGCCACCATCAGGCATTACCTCTCAAATACTTATTTTGATATCTTTTTTCCCTCATTAAAAAATAGTCTTCTGAAATCTAATAGTAGATGCTTGACATATCTCACATTTATCTTTTTATTGTTCTATCCTAAATGAATTGTCAGCCACCATAACAATGTAGCATTTCCCCTGTCTGAAGAGAGGATATGTTTAGATTATCTCTATGGAAGAAAGCTAGCAGCTCACTCTAACAGTGGTCAATTTGGAACCTTACAGCTAGCAATCTCAGCATGGGGATTATTTTTAAATGTAGGCCATTTAGAATTTTTGACAATGTTGTATTGGTATAATAAGCAAAATATTTATTTTCTAAGAATAATTATGTACAGTATGTATGTGGATATATACTATGTACGTATGTGTATATGTACATACACATTAATCTATAATATACAGACTAAAGATATAAAAATTAAGTACAAGATGATTTAAGAAGACTCATTTTTTGTTCTTCTCTTCCACCACAGTTTCACTCTTTTGATTTTTGTTTGGATGAAAAAGCACCTAGCTGATGTTGATAAAGGGATAGTTTATGCACATATTGGGGCAGAAGGTATGTAGAAAATCTCTGTACCTTCTGCATAATTTCCTTGTGAACTTAAAATGGCTCTAAAAAATAGTCTATAAAAAATTCTTTTTAAAGCCCCCAGCTTGGCTGCTCTGTATTTAAGTTCTCTGGCATTTGGATAATGCCTTGACTGTATAGCACCAGGAAAGAAGAGCACATGGATTCAGTTACAGTTTTCCTACTTAAAATAAATTATTATTTAAAAAAATTTATTTATGCAGAAACTTTTAGATATAACTAAAATGTTACATTATAGATTCCTCTACAACTTCTGTAAAAAACTTGGATACAGACTCTATTATTTTTCTTTTTTTAATATTTGAGAAATTCATTTCTAGTCTGCTCAGTTCAAAAGTAAAAATTAGTTTAAGAGACTGGAAAGTATTTAATAGTGTATAAAAACATTTTTTTGGGTGGTCTTTCTGTATTTCTGTATTTTCCTTCTCCTTATCACCTAGATTTTCAAACATGTTTCAATATGGACAAGTGGATTAAGGGGAAATAATTTCTAAAAGAAATGTATCTAAAGAGAAGAGGAAGGAGAAAAACAAAGACTAATTTTAAGGGTGTTTCATATTTTTCTCTTCATCATTTAGTACAAGGATAATGTTCACTGCTGTCTAATAAAATGAACCAAGAGTGAAAAGTTCAAATATTAGGCTTTCCTGTAATGCTGGTTTCAGAATGGCCTGAAAGCCAACATCAGCGGCGTGGCCGAGGGTGTTCATGTTTCTGTCTAGTCTGTGGTGGACTGCTGAGATGGCTACTTGAGGGCAAATAAAACTCCCAAAACCAAAATTTAACCTGCACCTCAGAAGATCAGTGACCTAAGGTTAAAGAACTTTGCTTCAAGTCTCCAGTTACTTCTCCTGCCTTTCACCAACCCCTCTCCCAAAATTGCCTCTTCAAAGCTAAACAAGCAAAAAAAAATCAAAACCCCAGACTTCTCAACAAAAGGTATTTTGTTTTCTATGCAACTGTTGTGTAGGCTATATAGAAGTAACAGGCATGGCAGAAGGAAACTTACATTAAATTAACATTCCCCCAAACAACTTAAAATCAATGGACGTGTTTTCCTCCAGAGAAATCCATAATTACTTTGGCTTCAGCACAGCAGAAAATAACAGAGTATCATAGGCAGTTTTCTGGGTTGACTATAGTTCAGATCAAGGGCCGCATATGCTGCAAACCTCTGTTAATGGCAAGTAACTATAGGGAACCTATGAAGCCATTTAGCAATTTAAGTGGTCCACATCAAAACTTCCAAATAGGTTGGAACAACAAGTGTTCATTTCTCATGGAATACCCTGAAATGACCAGTACAAAACATTAAAGTAACAGCCTAGTTATTTAAGACTGTGTCCTTAGACTAGGGTTGCCAGATAAAATACAGGACATCTAGTTAAATGTGACTATCAGATAAATAATTTTTTTCAGTATAAATATGTCCCAAATATTGCATAGAACATACTTATATTAAAAATTGTCACTTATCTGAAATTCAAATTTAACTGGATGTTCTATATTTTTATTTGCTAAGTCTGCTAACTTTACCTAAGAAGATATTTTCAAACTTTAATTTTAAAAATTCTGTTATTAAATACTAAAATAGCTGTCTATGTATATGTATATATATACTTAAATTTAAAAAGCCATGCAGGTATATAAAATGTAACAAATTAAATGCCAGTGCTGAAAGGCATAATCTGGGCAAAGACAGATGATAAATTTTTTTATTTAAAGAGAAATTTCCTAAACTGAGATATACTTAATCCATCTCTCACACTGCAAAATGATCCAAGTCACACTGATGCAAAAGGTGGGTTCCCATGGTCTTGGGCAGCTTGGCCCTTGTGGCTTTGCATGGTACAGCCTCCCTCCCAGAAGCTTTCATAGGTTGGTGTTGCTTAATAGTAATAATTATCTCATTCAGAATTCCTAGAATCATGAGGAGTTATTAGGAAGGAAAGTATAAGTATAAATGCTTCTCCCCTCTTAAGCGGTCTATGACCTCTCTTTTAATCTTTACTATTATAAACACTTTTTGTGTTACACTAAGGGGGATCAGATTTGTGCATAAGCTAGAATTTAGACATACCTAGGCATGTGACATGAACTAGGGGGCAGGCTGCCAAGAGTCTGCTCAGATGAGCAACAAGAGAGACTCCCAAGGAAAGCAGTGTCAGTCTCAAGCTTGGCCCAATAATAGAACAACTGAGTTGGAGAGGAAGAGTGACTCTGGGTCTGATCATGTCACTTGTTGTGGTGGTTAATTTTATGAGTCAACTTGATTAGGCTAAAGGATGCCCAGACAGCTGATAAATACATTATTTCTGAGTGCGTCTGTGAGGGTGTTTCTGGAAGGAGATTAGCATTTGAATCAGTAGGCTGAGTAAAGAAGATCCACGCTCACCATTGTGGGTGGACATCACCAATCCATTGCTGGCCCAGATGAAGCAAAAAGGCAGAAGAAGGGCAAATTGGCTCTCTCTACTTGAGCTGGAACATCAGTCTTTTCATTCCCTTGGACCTCAGAGCTTCTGGTTGGTTCTTGGACCTGCAAACTCTAGGACCTACACCATTGGTTTCCCTGGTTCTCAGGCCTTTGAACTTGGACCAAAATACACCACTGGCTTTCCTCGTTCTCCAACTTGCAGACAGCAGACAAAGGTTCCATTTCTCCAAGGAATCTTGACAAGAATACTTATATTAGTCATTCGTTCTTCCTGCATGAACATGCATCTAGGTCTTGTGGGAGCACTGTAAGTAAAATCAGAAGAAAAAAACCCACTAGTTTATTAAAACTCTTGCATGGGCAGAAGCTGCTTTAGTTCTCTTCTTAAATATGTCCTATTCCATTACCTTTGGCCCCTTGAGTGTTCTAGTATATGTTGAGTATCCCTTATTTGAAATGCTTGGGACAAAAAATGTTTCAGATTTCAGATTTTTCAGATTTTAGAATATTTGCATGTACATAGTGAGCTATCTTGGGGATGAGATCCAAGTCTAAACAGGAAATTCATTTATGGTTCATATATGCCTTATAAACATAGTCTGAAGAAAATTATATACAATATTTTAAATAATTCGTGGATAAAATGAAGTTTGTGTACATGGAAACATCAGAAACCAACAATGTCACCATCTTAGCTACACTCGTGGAAAATCTGTGGTTGTTTGGTATTATCAACACTTCTGACTCTGAATTAATATGCTACCAATAAGCAAAATAAGCAATCATTTGCTTATACTTATTCACATATAAGTACTTGTAAAAAATGACACACCATTAATACAATGAAAGAATAACATGTTCAGAGTAACTAACAGCACAATAGCATCACCATAGTAACTGAATCAGCTATTCAACAACAGCAACAACAAACTGTGTGTTGTGCACCTGTGTTTATATGTATATATATACACACACACATATGTATATATACACATATATTTATTATACTTTAAGTTCTTGGGCACATGTGCACGACGTGCAGGTTTGTTAAATATGTATACATGTGCCATGTTGATGTGCTGCACCCATTAACTCGTCATTTACATTAGGGATATCTCCTAACGCTTTCCCTCCCCCCTTCCCCCACCCCACAACAGGCCCCAGTGTGTGATGTTCCCCTTCCTGTGTCCAAGTGTTCTCATTGTTCAATTCCCACTTATAAGTGAGAACATGCAGTGTTTGGTTTTTGGTTTTTGTGATAGTTTACTGAAAGTGATGGTTTCCAGCTTCATCCATGTCCCTACAAAGGACATGAACTCATCCTTTTTTATGGCTGCATAGTATTGCATGGTGTATATGTGCCACATTTTCTTAATCCAGTCTATCATTGATGGACATTTGGGTTGGTTCCAAGTCTTTGCTATTCTGACTAGTGTCACAATAAACATACATGTGCATGTGTCTTTATAGCAGCATGATTTATATTCCTTTGGGTGTATACCCAGTAATGGGATGGCTGGGTCAAATGGTATTTCTAGTTCTAGATCCCTGAGGAATCGCCACACTGACTTCCACACTGGTTGAACTAGTTTACAATCCCACCAACAGTGTAAAAGTGTTCCTATTTCTCAACATCCTTTCCAGCACCTGTTGTTTCCTGACTTTTTAATGATCGCCATTCTAACTGTTGTGAGATGGTATCTCATTGTGGTTTTGATTTGCATTTCTCTGATGGCCAGTGATGATGAGCATTTTTTCATGTGTCTGTTGGCTGCATAAATGTCTTCTTTTGAGAAGTGTCTGTTCATATCCTTCACCCGCTTTTTGATGGGGTTGTTTGTTTTTTTCTTGTAAATTTGTTTGAGTTCTTTGTAGATTCTGGATATTAGCCCTTTGTCAGATGAGTAGATTGCAAAAATTTTCTCCCATTTTGTAGGTTGCCTGTTCACTCTGATGGTAGTTTCTTTTGCTGTGCAGAAGCTCCTTAGTTTAACTAGATCCCATTTGTCAATTTTGGCTTTTGTTGCCATTGCTTTTGGTGTTTTAGACATGAAGTCCTTGCCCATGCCTATGTCCTGAATGGTAATGCCTAGGTTTTCATAGGGTTTTTTTGGTTTTAGGTCTAACATTTAAGTCTTTAATCCATCTTGACTTAATTTTTGTAAAAGGTGTAAGGAAGGGACCCTGTTTCAGCTTTTTTTTTTATTATTATACTTTAAGTTCTAGGGTACATGTGCACAACATGCAGGTTTGTTACATATGTATACATGTGCCATGCTGGTGTGCTGCACCCATTAACTTGTCATTTACGTTAGGTATATCTACTAATGCTATCACTTGCCCCTCCCCCCACCCCACAACAGGCCCCTGTGTGTGATGCCCCCTTCCTGTGTCCAAGTGTTCTCAGTGTTCAATTCCCACCTATGAGTGAGAACATGCGGTTTGGTTTTTTGTCCTTGTGATAGTTTGCTGATTATGATGGTTTCCTGCTTCATCCATGTGCCTGCAAAGGACATGAACTCATCCTTTTCTATGGCTGCATAGTATTCCATGGTGTATATGTGCCACATTTTCTTAATCCAGTCTATCATTGATGGACATTTGGGTTGGTTCCAAGTCTTTGCTATTGTGAATAGTGCCACAATAAACTTACATGTGCATGTGTCTTTATAGCAGCATGATTTATAACCCTTTGGGTATATACCCAGTAACGAGATGGCTGGGTCAAATGTTATTTCTAGTACTAGATCCCTGAGGAATCGCCACACTGTCTTCCACAATGATTGAACCAGTTTACAGTCCCGCCAACAGTGTAAAAGTGTTCCTATTTCTCCACATCCTCTCCAGCACCTTTCATTTCCTGACTTTTTAATGATCGCCATTCTAACTGGTGTGAGATGGTATCTCATTGTGGTTTTGATTTGCATTTCTCTGATGGCCAGTGATGATGAGCATTTTTTCATGTGTCTGTTGGCTGCATAAATGTCTTCTTTTGAGAAGTGTCTGTTCATATCCTTCACCCACTTTTTGATGGGGTTGTTTGTTTTTCTCTTGTAAATTTGTTTGAGTTCTTTGTAGATTCTGGATATTAGCCCTTTGTCAGATGAGTAGATTGCAAAAATTTTCTCCCAGTCTGTAGGTTGCCTGTTCACTCTGCTGGTAGTTTCTTTTGCTGTGCAGAAGCTCTTTAGTTTAATTAGATCCCATTTGTCTAATTTTGGCTTCTGTTGCCACTGCTTTTGGTGTTTTAGACATGAAGTCCTTGCCCATGCCTATGTCCTGAATGGTATTGCCTAGGTTTTCCTCTACAGTTTTTATGGTTTTAGCTCTAACATTTAAGTCTTTAATCCATCTTGAATTAATTTTTCTATAAGGCGTAAGGAAGATATCCAGTTTCAGCTTTCTACATATGGCTAGCCAGTTTTCCCAGCACCATTTTTTAAATAGGGAATCCTTTCCCCATTTCTTGTGTTTGTCAGGTTTGTCAAAGATCAGATAGTTGTAGATGTGTGGTGTTATTTCTGAGGGCTCTGTTCTGTTCCATTGGTCTATATCTCTGTTTTGGTACCAGTACAATGCTGTTTTGGTTACTGTAGCCTTGTAGTATAGTTTGAAGTCAGGTAGTGTGATGCCTCCAGCTTTGTTCTTTTGGCTTAGGATTGACTTGGCAATGCAGGCTCTTTTCTGGTTCCATATGAACTTTAAAGCAGTTTTTTCCAATTCTGTGAAGAAAGTCATTGGTAGCTTGATGGGGATGGCATTGAATCTATAAATTACCTTGGGCAGTATGGCCATTTTCACGATATTGATTCTTCCTATCCATGAGCATGGAATGTTTTTCCATTTGTTTGTGTCCTCTTTTATTTCATTGAGCAGCGGTTTGTAGTTCTCCTTGAAGAGGTCCTTCACATCCCTTGTAAGTTGGATTCCTAGGTATTTTATTCTCTTTGATGCAATTGTGAATGCGAGTTCACTCATGATTTGGCTCTCTGTTTGTCTGTTATTGGTATATAAGAATGCTTGTGAGGGGTGGAGCCAAGACGGCCTAATAGGAACAGCTCCAGTCTACAGCTCCCAGAGTGAGCGACACAGAAGATGGGTGATTTCTGCATTTCCAACTGAAGTACTGGGTTCATCTCACTGGGGGAATGCCAGACAGTGGTGCAGGACAGTGGGTGCAGTGCACCGTGTGTGAGCCGAAGCAGGGAGAGGCGTTGCTTCACCTGGGAAGTGCACGGGGTCAGGGAATTCCCTTTCCTAGTCAAAGAAACGGGTGACAGATGGCACCTGGAAAATCGGGTCACTCCCACCCTAATACTGCTCTCTTCCAACGGGCTTAACAAACGGCACACCAGGAGATTATATCCCGCACCTGTCTCAGAGAGTCCTACGCCCACAGAGCCTTGCTCATTGCTTGCACAGCAGTCTGAGATCAAACTGCAAGGCAGGAGCCAGGCGGGGGGAGGGGCGCTTGCCATTGCTCAGGCTTGAGTAGGTAACCAAAGCGGCTGGGAAGCTCGAACTGGGTGTAGCCCACCACAGCTCAAGGAGGCCTGCCTGCCTCTGTAGGCTCCACCTCTGGGGGCAGGGCACAGACAAACAAAAGACAGCAATAAACTCTGCAGTCTTAAAAGTCCCTGTCTGACAGCTTTGAAGAGAGTAGTGGTTCTGCCAGCATGCAGTTTGAGATCTGAGAACAGGCAGACTGCTTCTTCAAGTAGGTCCCTGACACCCGAGTAGCCTAACAGGGAGGCACCCCCCAGTAGGGGCAGACTGACACCTCACGCAGCAGGGTACTCCTCTGAGACAAGACTTCCAGAGGAATGATCAGGCAGCAGCATTTGCAGTTCACCAATATCCGCTGTTCTGCAGCCACCGCTGCTGATACCCAGGCAAACAGGGTCTGGAGTGGACCTCCAATAAACTCCAACAGATCTGCAGCTGAAGGTCCTGACTGTTAGAAGGAAAACTAACAAACAGAACGGACATCCACACCAAAAACCCATCTGTACGTCACCATCATCAAAGACCAAAGGTAGATAAAACCACAAAGATGGTGAAAAAACAGAGCAGAAAAACCAGAAACTCTAAAAATCAGAGCACCTCTCCTCCTCCAAAGGAATGCAGCTCCTCACCAGCAACAGAACAAAGCTCGACGGAGAATGACTTTGATGAGTTGAGAGAGGAAGGCTTGAGAAAATCAAACTACTCCGAGCTAAAGGAGGAAGTTCGAACCAATGGCAAAGAAGTCAAAAACTTTGAAAAAAAATTAGATGAATGGATAACTAGAATAACCAATGCAGAGAAGTCCTTAAAGGACCGGATGGAGCTGAAAACCATGGCATGAGAACTATGTGATGAATGCACAAGTCTCAGTAACTGATGCGATCAACTGGAAGAAAGGGTATCAGCAATGGGAGATGAAATGAATGAAATGAAGCGTGAAGAGAAGTTTACAGAAAAAAAGAATAAAAAGAAATGAACAAAGCCTCCAAGAAATATGGGACTATGTGAAAAGACCAAATCTACGTCTAATTGGTGTACCTGAAAGTGACAGGGAGAATGGAACCAAGTTGGAAAACAGTCTGCAGGATTTTATCCAGGAGAATTTCCCCAATCTAGCAAGGCAGGCTAACATTCAAATTCAGGAAATACAGAGAATGTCACAAAGATACTCCTCGAGAAGAGCAACTCCAAGACACATAATTGTCAGATTCACCAAAGTTGAAATGAAGAAAAAAATGTTAAGGGCAGCCAGATAGAAAGGTCGGGTTACCCAGAAAGGGAAGCCCATCAGACTAACAGTGGATCTATCGGCAGAAACTCTACAAGCCAGAAGAGAGTGGGGGCCAATATTCAACATTCTTAAAGAAAAAATTTTCAATGCAGAATTTCATATCCAGCCGAACTAAGCTTCATAAGTGAAGGAGAAATAAAATCCTTTACAGACAAGCAAATGCTGAGAGACTTTGTCACCACCAGGCCTGCCCTAAAAGAGCTCCTGAAGGAAGCACTAAACATGGAAAGGAACAACCGGTACCAGCCACTGCAAACACATGCCAAACTGCAAAGACCGTCGAGGCTAGGAAGAAACTGCATCAACTAATGAGCAAACTAACCAGCTAACATCATAATGACAGGATCAAATTCACACATAACAATGCTAACCTTAAATGTAAATGGACTAAATGCTCCAATTAAAAGGCATAGACTGGCAAATTAGATAAAGAGTCAAGACCCATCAGTGTGCTGTATTCAGGAAATCCATCTTACGTGCAGAGACACACATAGGCTCAAAATAAAGAGATGGAGGAAGATCTACCAAGCAAATGGAAAACAAAAAAAGGCAGGGGTTGCAACCCTAGTCTTGGATAAAACAGACTTTAAACCAACAAAGATCAAAAGAGACAAAGAAGGCCATTACATAATGGTAAAGGGATCAATTCAACAAGAAGAACTAACTATCCTAAATATATATGCACCCAATACAGCAGCACCCAGATTCATAAAGCAAGTCCTGAGTGACCTACAAAGAGACTTAGACTCCCACACAATAATAATGGGAGACTTTAACACCCCACTTTCAATATTAGACAGATCAACGAGACAGAAAGTTAACAAGGATACCCAGAAATTGAACTCAGCTCTGCACCAAGTGGACCTAATAGACAACTACAGACCTTTCCACCCCAAATCAACAGAATATACATTTTTTTTCAGCACCACACCACACCTATTCCAAAATTGACCACCTAGTTGGAAGTAAAGCTCTCCTCAGAAAATGTAAAAGAACAGAAATTATAACAAACTGTCTCTCAGACCACAGTGCAATCAAACTAGAAGTCAGGATTAAGAAACTCACTCAAAACCACTCAACTACATGGAAACTGAACAACCTGCTTCTCAGTGACTACTGGGTACATAATGAAATGAAGGCAGAAATAAAGATGTTCTTTGAAACCAATGAGAACAAAGACACAACATACCAGAATCTCTGGGACACATTCAAAGCAGTGTGTAGAGGGAAATTTATAGCACTAAATGCCCACAAGAGAAAGCAGGAAAGATCCAAAATTGACACCCTAACATCACAATTAAAAGAACTAGAGAAGCAAGAGCAAATACCTTCAAAAGCTAGCAGAAGGCAAGAAATAACTAAGATCAGAGCAGAACTGAAGGAAATAGTGACACAAAAAACCCTTCAAAAAATCAATGAATCCAGGAGCTGGTTTTTTGAAAAGATCAACAAAATTGATAGACCGCTAGCAAGACTAATAAAGAAGAAAAGAGAGAAGAATCAAATACATGCAATAAAAAATGACAAAGGGGATATCACCACCAATCCCACAGAAATACAAACTAACATCAGAGAATACTATAAACACCTCTATGCAAATAAACTGGAAAATCTAGAAGAAATGGATAAATTCCTCGACACATACACCCTCCCAAGACTAAACCAGGAAGAAGTGGAATCTCTGAATAGACCAATAACAGGCTCTGAAATTGTGGCAATAATTAATAGCTTACCAACCAAAAAAAGTCCAGGACCAGATGGATTCACAGCCAAATTCTACCAGAGGCATAAGGAGGAGCTGGTACCATTCCTTCTGAAACTATTCCAATCAATAGAAAAAGAGGGAATCCTCCCTAACTCATTTTATGAGGCCAGTGTCATCCTGATACCAAAGCCTGGCAGAGACACAACAAAAAAAGAGAATTTTAGACCAATATCCTTGATGAACATTGATGCAAAAATCCTCAATAAAATACTGGCAAACCGAATCCAGCAACTCATCAAAAAGCTTATCCACCATGATCAAGTGGGCTTCATCCTTGGGATGCAAGGCTGCTTCAACATACGAAAATCAATAAATGTAATCCACCATATAAACAGAACCAAAGACAAAAACCAGATGATTTTCTCAATAGATGCAGAAAAGGCCTTTGACACAATTCAACAGCTCTTCATGCTAAAAACTCTCAATAAATTAGGTATTGATGGGACGTATCTCAAAATAATAAGAGCTATCTATGACAAACCCACAGCCAATATCATACTGAATGGACAGAAACTGGAAGCATTCCCTTTGAAAACTGGCACAAGACAGGGATGCCGTCTCTCACCACTCCTATTCAACATAGTGTTGGAAGTTCTGGCCAGGGCAATCAGGCAGGAGAAGGAAATAAAAGGCATTCAATTAGGAAAAGAGGAAGTCAAATTGTCCCTGTTTGCAGATGACATGATTTTATATCTAGAAAACCCCATCGTCTCAGCCCAAAATCTCCTTAAGCTGATAAGCAACTTCTTCTCTCAACTCGTCAAAGTCATTCTCTGTCCATCTTTGTTCTGTTGCTGGTGAGGATCTGTGTTCCTTTGGAGGAGGAGAGGCGCTCTGATTTGTAGAATTTTTGGGTTTTCTGTTCTTTTCTTTCTCCATCTTTGTGGTTTTATCTACCTTTGGTCTTTGATGATGGTGACATACAGATGGGGTTTTGGTGTGGATGTCCTTTCTATTTGTTAGTTTTCCTTTTAACAGTCAGGACCCTCAGCTGCAGATCTGCTGGAGTTTGCTGGAGGTCCACTCCAGATGCTGTTTGCCTGGATATCAGTAGCAGAGGCTGCAGAACAGCGAATATTGCTGAACAACAAATGTTGCTGTCTGATCATTCCTCTGGAAGTTTGGTCTCAGAGGGGTACCCGGCCATGTGAGGTGTCAGTCTGCCCCTACTGGGGGGTGCCTCCCTGTTAGGCTACTCGGGTGTCAGGACCCACTTGAGGAGGCAATCTGTCTGTTCTCAGATCTCAAACTCTGTGCTGGGAGAACCACTACTCTCTTCAAAGCTGTCAGGGACATTTTAGTCTGCAGAGGTTTCTGCTGCCTTTTGTTCGACTATGCCCTGCCCCCAGAGGTGGAGTCTACAGAGGCAGGCAGGCCTCCTTGAGCTGTGGTGGGCTCCACCCAGTTCAAGCTTCCCGGCTGCTTTGTTTACCTACTCAAGCCTCATCAATGGTGGGTGCCCCTCCCCCAGCCTCGCTGCCACCTTGCAGTTTGATCTCAGACTGCTATGCTACCAATGAGTGAGGCTGCGTGGGCATGGGACCCTCCAAGCCATGCACGGGATATAATCTCCTGGTGTGCAGTTTGCTAAGACCATTGGAAAAGCGCAGTATTAGCGTGGGAGTGACCCAGTTTTCCAGGTGCCATCTGTCACAGCTTTGCTTGGCTATGAAAGGGTATTCCCTAACCCCTTGTGCTTCCCAGGTGAGGCGATGCCTTGCCCTGCTTCAGCTCATGCTCAGTGCACTGCACCCACTGTCCTGCACTCACTGTCTGACAAGCCCCAGTGAGATGAACTCGGTACCTCAGTTGGAAATGCAGAAATCACCCGTCTTCTGCGTCGCTCACACTGGGAGCTGTAGACTGGAGCTGTTCCTATTTGGCCATCTTGGAACCGCCCCAAGCCCTTTTAAAAAATACATGATGTATGAATTAATAAATTTCTGATTTTTCTATGTGTCAGGTGCAATATATTACATGTCCTCCTAGATTCATTCATTAAAATTTTATTCATTAAAATGTTTTGAATTTTATTTATTTAAGAAATGTCTCCTCATCTTTATTTGAATAAATAGTTATTAAATTTGACATTAGGATATGTATCCCAAAATCTGGTAAGAAGTAAGAAGATACATTGCCTTAAAAAAACACAAGTTAACTGGAGACTTTAAAGAAGCATAAAATAGTTCAATCACTGTTTTTTAAAGCTACTTTTGAAAAGGGTATTCAAGCAAGATGTCAACATGGGGATAGGTAGGGTCAAACCTATGTGACATGCCAGATTAGTCCAGGAAAACTAGAGCAGGCATCAGGTTCAATCCACAAGCAAAGAGGCAGCCAGGATCAAGAACTGGAGCCTTGCCAGAGGCTGAGTGGGGTGGATGCCAGAGGAGTAGCAAGGGATGAGTAAGTAGAATAAGCCAAGAATGAGTAAGTAGAAAAAGCAGCAGAAGAAATAGGAGACAAGACCACAGGAATTAGGTGGGTTATCACCATTGCTTCTGGGCAGTGTCTCTTTGGCATGATGAAGCCTCATTTAATGCTCCAAGCATGAGGTCACTACATAGTGTCTTAAAGGTAATTTTCTGCACCTGATACCACTGAATTCCAATCTAATCTTCTACCCCTTAAAGTACGGTGTTGGGAGTGGAAGTAGAGGAACATGGGCGTCTGAGTTATCAGGGTTGTTATTATAGTGTGCAGCAGGGTTTCTGGCCCATTTCGTAGACCTGTGTCCATCCATATCCCCCAGCCACTGCCTTGGCACAGCAGAGAACCTGACAGAGCCTAGAATATATGATCATGTTTCTAGTCGATTGTTTTGGAAGCAGGAGAAGTGGGATTCCAGATGGAGCATGCAGTCCAACGTTTTACAGATTAAAAACAAAAAAACAAAAAACAACTTGAGGAACAGTGTGTTCAGCTCAAGCCTAGAGGAATCCATAGAAGAATGACCTTGGTATTAAAATCTCAGAATTCATGAATAATCATGGAGATTTATTTTGGTTTTAAGTGGCCAGGTAAAGGACTATGCCAGCAGCATTACTGGATTTGGTTCGTGATTCTTAGGGGTCCTATAGTGTCTTGGTATCTTTGACTATCATTCTTGTAGTGAAAGGCAGATGGTCTTGAACTTCTGTTTCCAGGGTCTGTGAGAAGTGCAAGTCTTTTATTTTGAACCTGAGCTATTTTAGTTGACCCTAAAATAGATGATGCTCAGGATGAAAATTCTCATAATCAATGTTGCTAACAATGAAACCTTTAGGCTTTCTTACTCTTACCAAAAAAATGGACTTCTTAAGCACAAAAAAGGCTGGGGGCGGGGGAAGAGTGAAAGGCAAAGGTAACATAAATGGCAGAGGCAAGTGTTCTGTTGCTTTGAGAAGGCAGTGCACCTTCTGAATCACTTGTTTCCTTCAGAATGGGAAATTGAGGTAAGAGTTGTGGAGAAAACAGCAGAAAGTCAAAAGACTGACCTCTGTAGGAAAACTATGTTTGGTCAGTCTTTTCAAGCCCTCTCTGCCAGGTTATACTTGCAAAGTTGCTGTGGGGTTATGCTATTGTTTTGCACCTTTTAAATCTTTTACATCACTAGCCAACTATATTATTTGGAATTTTAAATCATTCTCCCTGCAATTTGAGACCCTCAATTTTTTTTTTTAAGTGAAGAACATGTTGCTGAAGCAACTTAAAAATACTTGCATAAGAAATAACAGGGCCATGTAACAAACCTACACATGTACCCCCTGAATTTAAAAGAAAAAAGGAAAAAAGAAAATAACAGGGTTTTATAGAACAAAAAGAAGCAAAATGAAATAAAGGGCAAGATTAGTTCAATCATTCTATGCAGAAAGAGTACTTTGATTTTATTTCTTACATGATCTGCACATATTGGAAGGAAGGTATGACATGCATGGAATGGTGATGAGGCAAGGAAATAGATTTCACTTTGGCAACTCACCTGCTATGCACAGTGGCTGCAGCCTGAGTGTGAATTTATAATTTTCAATACTGTGATATAACGCCATAGGGAGGAGGAAAGGTGGCAAGTGATAAAGTTGATAAGTGCAGCCCTGTAAGTGTTTTTCCAGTGGATGTGTTGTCTATTTGTCCTCTACTTTGGATCATGGATAATAACAGAGGACAAGTGCACCTTCATTTGAGGATATTGTGGCAGATAGAGCCTAATAGGACCTCCATGAGTCATATCATTGTGCAATCCTCTCCCACAATGAGTGTGAGTGGAACCTACAACTTGCTTCCAATGAACAGAATATAGCAAAAGTGAAGATATTTTTAAGATATAAATTAAGTTCCTAATCAGATGACTTTTGAGTTAATCAAAAGGGTGGGTATCCTATGTTGGCCTAATCCAATGAGGTGAGCCTTAAAAAACAAAAACAAACAAAACAAACAAACAAATGAACAACAACAACAACAAAATCCAGGGCCTAGGCTTTCCCTGAAGCCAAAAACTCCAAGAATAGAGATCCTCTCTTTTTATTAATATTTCTATCTTTCAAGAAGCAAGCTGAAATGAATTCTACAGACTCAAGGAAATAAATTCTCCCAATAATCTAAAGAAGCTTGAAGGCTGATCTTTTCCTAGCAGAATCTGCAAATGAGAATGTAGCTTGTTTGACACCTTGCTTTCAGTTTTGTGAAACCTTAAGCAGAGGACCCAGCTAAGGTGTGCCAGACTTTTGACCTATACAGACAGTGAGCTAATAAATGGGTATTGTTATAAGCCTCTAAGTTTGTGGCAATTTTTAATGCAGCAATAGGAATCTATACAGACATCATATAGGGTCTCCGTAAAGGAAAAAGTGAGCAGAGGCTCACAGTTCAAGATGACCTGACCTTGGATTGGGGAATTTCAGATCTTTTTTCTTAAAAGGGTACCATGTTGAACATGGCAAGGAGCAGGGGGAAGATAACATGTAGAAAACAGGTTGTTTCCTTTTTTGTGTGAGTACATCTACAATGAGAAGGAGGTGCCACAGCCCAGGTCAACAGTAAAGCCCATCAAAAGGGTGCCCTAGAAAGTTATAAAGTTACAACAGGAGCAGAAGGTTTTTCATTCTACCTTGGAAATCAGGGAGTGGTGAATACCGGTCTACCAGTATTCTTGGCATATCAAAAGAACAGCTTCATGCAGCCAGGCTTGTTTGAAAGAGAGGGTTGGCATAACAGTGCCGTTGAAATGCATGCGCACATGTATCCTGGTAGGTGGAAACATAGGCATATTGGGCTTTCACTGATGAAGGCCTTCTCTGGAATAAATCTAGGATGGCGGAGATTAATTAGATACTATGGGAAAACGGACCAGCTCACTGATAAAATGAGAGTCAAGTAGGCAGGAGGCTCTGGATGACTCCCAGTGGTTCTGAAAAGTGGTGAGTTTTCTTGTAGGGAAATAAAAGTGATTTAGAATTTGCATCTAGCAAAGGCACAACCTGTGTTTATGTCTGAGTTTTCATCCATTTCTCTGGGTTCTGGGCCTTTGTCTTGTAATGGAACCAACATGACCTTTTAGTCTAAGATTTGCTTTTCCCACAAAGGATCTCCACTGAGACTATCCACCTCTTCATCTTCTTCAAGAGATAGTTAATAAGAATGTGACCTGGACAGCATACATAGCTCCAACATCTTTCATGGAAGTACTTAGCTGAATTAGGGATCTTGATATCAATCCTTATAATACACCGAGTATCCAAGAGTGCAATAGGAAGACAACAGGATGGCTGTGAAGGCATTACTTATGCCTACTGGGAAAGATTCTCCCTGAAGGGGAGACTTTTCCACTTACAGGGTACAAAAGGGATAAGCTGCTGTCTCAACACTAGAGTTCTGTTTGGGAAAATAAGCCCTATATATGTGATGAAAATAAGCCCTATATGTGTGATGAGGGCCTTGCACAGCCCCAGGGGTGGGTGCCATTCATACTCTCATGTAGAGAATGGCTTTCTGGACTTAAGTAATGCACAGTCTGCATGGATGTACACAGGGACCCAGGAGAAAGCTGGGGATGATTAAAGCCCAAGGGCTGACTTAATCATTGTGCAGAAGTAAAGGTTCAATCTGTGACCTGAACAATATGTCATGTTCTGCCTGCCAAGGTTGAGGTCCTGGGATTTACTTGGAGATGTTTTTAGAAAAATGGTATACATCAGAGCCTTGCCTGAGAGAGATCACTGAGAATCACTGAAGGACAGCAACCAAAATCATGAAAGATGGGAACATCGAAAGCAGTTGCTAAGGTAATCTGACTCATTATATCAGATGTTGTCTGTCATCAATATGATTATAACAGACCAGACACAAATCAATATCTGACAGATACCATTTCATTTAATGAATTGATCATGCTACAGTTTAAATAATTCAAACATATGAGTACGTTTGCATTCATGTTTGTCATCATCTAGTCATATATAAAACATGGATTTCAACATTTTTAACACTGAAGAAACAATGAAACCTCGGGAAAGTGGTGAATTTATGCTTTCCAATCACAGAATTCAAGAATGTGCTATTTCTGCAGTAGCAAAAGATGATAAATTTTCCTTCAGTCCATTCCGGGAAACAAGGAAGCAAATTTCTCTGTCCCAATATAAATGTTGTCTTTTATTTAATAGGGTTAAATTCACAACTGATAGCTCTATAAAATGTACTTCATTCTAGAAATGTTACCTATAACTTACATTTTACTTATAGCAGATGAGCAGAAATGCTTCAATCATGGCATTGTGACCTAAATAACATACAGGTGAGCATGCTTGTCTGAAAAGGATTCCAGCAGGGTTGCCTTTGCATAGTGCTCCTTTGAAAAAAAATATGTGAAGCCCTTTGTTTAAACAATATCAATAATCATATTTACTTTTAAGATGGCACAATCTGAATAGGATTAAAAGAAATACTAGCTTCTGCAGATAATTTATATGTATGTCTTTTCCCTCTGTTCTTAAAATATGAACATATTTACACATAATATCACCACCATCTCCTTCCTTCCCCAAAAAATAATAAAGCAAAATCCCAGATTCCCACCATTTAGCTTAAGAAGCAGAACCTTACTGAACCCTGGGATTATACAGTATGTATTCTGCTGCAACTTGCTTTTTTCACTCAACATTTCTCTTTGAGATTCATCCATGTCAGAGCTATATAGTGTCCTATTGCATTAATTATCACACTGTATTCACCCAGTTGCCTATCAATGGACATTTGTTTTTAGTGTTTCTGCTAATAACTATGCTATTGCAAACATTCTTTCTCATATCTCCTAAAGCATGTATACAAGAACTTTTCTACAGCAGTTATTTCCTAATATTCTTAATAGGACACCACACTTAGAAACTAACATTCCTTCTGTGGTTCACTGGCACAAACAAATGGGGCAGCTCTGGCCAGAGGCAATTGCCCAGGCTCTCTCACACATTGCAAGGACTAAGGAGAGAAATTTGGCATTCCCGTTACCTAAAGTGCACTATTTAGGAAGATGTGCTCTCAGGAAAATATCTGAGAGTGGAATAGCTAGGATGTAAGGTATGCATGTGACAGAAGTGTTTTTCAGATGCTCCATCACCTTATACTCTCAGGTAGCAGCAGAGCAGCAGCGGATGAAAGTTCTTGCCACTTGCCAACACATACTGTTGCCTCAGTTTCAAAATTTTATGAGTTAGGTGGATGCAAAATGTTTTTTTGTTCTGATTTTTAAACATCGCACTTCTCTGATTGCCTATTTTTCATGTTAGGGCCATGTATTAGTTTCCTAGGGCTGCCATACAAATTACCACGAATTTGGTGGCTTCAAACAACAGGAATTTATTATCCCACAGTGTTGGAGGTCAGAAATTTGAAATCAAGGTGTTGGCAGGATTGATTCCTTCTGGAGGTTTTAAGTGAGAAACATTCCATATTTCTCTCTTAGCTTGTGGTAGTTGCTGACAATCCTTGATGATCCTTGGCTTGTAGATGCATCGCTGTATTCTCTACCTCCTTTCTCACATGACCTTCTCTCTAGGTCTCTCTATGTCTTCATATGGCCTTCTTATAAATGCACCAGTCATTGGACTTAGGACTACCCTGATATATTATTACTTCATCTTTTTTTTAATTATACTTTAAGTTCTGGGGTACATGTGCAGAATGTACAGTGTTGTTACATAGGTATAACGTGCCATGGTGGTTTGCTGCACTCATCAACCCGTCATCTACGTTAGGTATTTCTCTTAAAGCTATCTTTCCGCTAGTCCCCCATCCCCCGACAGGCCACGGTGTGTGATGTTCCCCTCCCTGTGTCTATGTGTTCTCATTGTTCAACTCCCACTTATGAGTGAGAACATGCGGTGTTTGGTTTTCTGTTCTTGTGATAGTTTGCTGTACCTCATCTTAATTAATTACATCTGCAAAAATTCCTTTCCAAATAAGATCATGTTCTGAGGTTCCAGGTGAACATGAACTTTGGGGGAACAATATGTAATTCAGTACAATATACTTATAATTTTCTCCACTATATACTGTCTGTTCATATGTTTTGCACATTTTCTCTGTTGTCCTTGGCCTTATTCTTCTCCAGTTTATAATTTAATTGTCCATAAAGAATATTAATTTTTTGTGATATTAGTTACTAATATTTTTTCCAATTTGCTATTTCCTTTTGTTTTTTTTATGGTGCAACCTGGATTTTGAGTCATACTCTCAGAGGTTAATATTTCACATTTATATCTCTGATATCTTTGGAATTTATTTTGGTGTCTAGTATGAGGAATGAATCCAATTTTCCATATCCCTATATAGTTGTCCAGTTATTATTTGAAAATTCATATTTTTCTAGCAATTTGAGATGTCCACTTGATTATATACAAAGTTTCCATATTCAACTGAGTCAATTTATGGATTTTCAATTTGTCCATTTATTCTTGTACTAATATCACACTGTTTTATTTACAGGACATTTATATGTTAATAGGTAATTCCAGCTATCCATTCTCACACTTTTATTTCCCCACAGTATTTTTTCCTGGCTATTCTTACATTTAAACTTTAAAATCACCCTATCCATGAGTATGGCATGTTTTTCCATTTATTTGTGTCATCTCTGATTTTTTTGAGCAATGTTTTGTAGTTCTCATTGCAGAAATATTTCACCTCCCTGGTTAGCTGTATTCCTACATGTTTTATTCTTTTTGTGGCTATCATGAATGGGATTGTGTTTTGATTTGCCTCTCAGCTTGTACGTTGTTGGTGTATAGGAAAGCTACTGATTTTTGTATGTTGATTTTGTATCTTGAAATGGCTGGAGTTGTTCATCAGCTGAAGGAGCTTTTGGGCGGAGACTGTGGGGTTTTGTTTTTGTTTTTGTTTTGTATCTCAATTTCCTTCAGTTCATCTCTAATTTTGGTTACTTCTTCTCTTCTGCTAGCTTTGAGGTTGGTTTGCTCTTGTTTCTTTAGTTCCTCTAGGTGTAATGTTAGGTTTTTAATTTCCAATCCCATTAAAAACTGGGCAAAGGACATGAACAGACACTTTCAAAAGAAGACATACATGTAGCCAACAAGGCATATGAAAAAATGCTTAACTTCACAAATCATTAGAGAAATGCGAATCAAACCACAGCGAGATACCATCTTGCACTAGTCAGAATGGCTATTATTAAAAAGTCAAAAAATAACAGATTCTGGTGAGGCTGTGGATAAAAAGGGAATGCTTATACTCTGTTGGTGGGAATATAAATTAGTTCAGCCATTGTGGAAGGCAGTTTGCCTCAAAGAACTCAAAGCAGAATTACCATTCAACCCAGCAATCCCATTACTGAGTATATATCCAAATGAATACAAATTGTTCTACCATAAAGACAAATACACACATAAGTTCATCGCAGCACTATTCACAATAGCAAAGACATGGAGCCAACCTGGGTGCTCATTAGTGGTGGATTGGATAAATAAAATGTGGTACATAAACAACATGCAACACTATGCAGCCATAAAAAAGAATAAGATCATGTCTTTTGCAGCAGCATGGATGGAGCTGAAGACTATTATCCCAAGTGAACTAACAGAGGAACAGAAAACCAGATTCCACATGTTCTCACTTATAAGTGGGGGCTAAACATTGAGTATATATGGACACAAAAAAGGGAACAACAGACACTGGGACCTACTTGAAGGTGGAGGGAGGGAAGAGCGTGAGGATTGAAAAACTACCTATCAAGCACTATGCTTATTACCTGGGTGACAAAATAATATGTACACCAAACCCTGTTATACCCAGCTTACCTATATACAAACCTGCACATGTACCCCTGAACCTAAAATAAACATTAAAATAAAAACTTGTCTGGCTCCAGAAAAAAATGACATTAAAAAAATTGGTGTTGTGTTGTATTTAGAAGGTAACTTAGAGAAAATTGAAGTCTTAGTGATTTTGAATCTTTCTAACAAGAATATTTACATCTTTGCATTTTTAAAGATACATGCCATGTCTTACAGTGTTTTATAGTTTTCTTTCTATAGCTTTTGCACATTTTGTGTTAGGCCTTTGCCTAGGTATTTTATTTTCTCTTGTTTTGATGTAAATGGGATATTTTCTTCTAGTATTATCTTCTATATGGTAAGTTTTACATATTTGGAGAATTGATTTTATATTAATCTTGTTACTTTACCAATTATTTTATTGTTTGCAATTCCAACTTATTATTATGAGTCTTCTAGATATATAATCATATCATCTGTAAACAAAGATAATCTTAATTCTTCATTTTTAATTATTATTCCTCAAATTGCTTTCATTAATTTAATTGGCTCAACTTTCAATATTACGTTAAATAATAAGCTAGATTGTGGGCACTCTTTACATTATTCTTTTCTTAGTGAGATTATCTCAGTGTTTCTTCATTTAGTAAGATGCTGACTTCTATGTTGAGAAACATATATAATTTATCACAGTAAGAAAAGATTCATTAATTTCTATTTCATCAAATTTCTTATAAATTGGTGTTAATTTATGTGAAATGTATTTTTTGGCATAAATGGACATGATCATAAAAACTTCTCCTTAATAAGGTGAATTTTTAAAATGAATTTCCTAATGTTAAAATACCCATTTCAAAAACTATTGAATTCTGTTTGCTACTATTTAATTTTTAACTTTTTATTTATTTTTGAGACATGAAGCCAGAATTATTGCTGGAGATAAAGCCTTACTACATACTGATACAAGTTTTAATTTTCTGGGGGAATATGATAATTACATACTTATATATATTTGACCCTAAACAACACAGCTTTGAACTGCATGGGTCCACTTACATGTGGATTTTCTTCTGCCTTCGACACCTGTGGGACAGCACGAACAACCTCTTCTCTTCCTCCTCCTTAGCCTACTCAACCTGAAGATGAGGAGGAAGACATTTATGATGAGCCACTTCCATTTAATGAATAGTAAATGTATTACCTCTTCCTTACAATTTTCTTAACATTTTCTTTTCTCTAGCTTACTTTATTAGAATATCATATATAATATGTAACATATGTTTTAATTGTTTATGTTATTGGTAAGGCTTCTGGCTATCACTAGGCTATTAGTAGTTAAGTTTTTGGGGAGTCATAAGTTATACATGGATTTTTGACTGGGTGAGAGGTTGGCACCCCAAACCCCAAATTGTTCAAGGATCAACTGTACATTAAATAACTTTCAAAATTTGACAGAATTGCATGGAGTAATTGATAAATATCATATCATTATAATAGAAAATGTTTAACACATTTCTCCCAGTAAATGACAGGTCAAGAGAGAAAATAAAGTTACAACTAACACATAAGCAATGTAATATGAACACTTTAATGAGATTGCATTTCTGTACAAGCAAAGATTACTTAGACAATATCATCAAAATGTCTGGGAATTAATGCAGCTAAAGATGGGCAACATCTATGCAGCATATTATATGCTTTTATTGAAAGACACAGAAAGAAGACTAAATGTGATTGGACAGGAGGAGCCAATTTCACAAATTGACTTTTTTTTTTTTTTTTTCCTGAGACAGAGTTTCAGTCTTGTTGCCCAGGCTGGAGTGCAATGGCGCGATCTCAGCTCACTGCAACCTCTGCCTCCTGGGTTTAAGTGATTCTCCTGTCTCAGCCTTGCAGTAGCTGGGATAATAGGTGTATGCCATCATGCCCAGCTTATTTTTGTGTTTTTAATAGAGATGGGGTTTCATCATATTGGTCAGGCTGGTCTCAAGCTCCTGACCTCAGATGATCCACCCACCTCGACCTCCCAAATTGCTGGGATTATAGGCACGACCCAACACACCTGGCCTAACAAATTGAGATTTTTATGAATTTGATTTATAGATACAATTTAATTCCAATCCTTCCTAAAAATTGACAAACAGGATCTAAAATGTAAAAAAAAAAAAAAAAAAGAAAATAGGTGAAGAATAATCAAGACAGTTTGGAAATAGAGCAAGCACAACTATATTTAATCAGATTGTGCTGTAGTTGTGCATATATGTGTGTGGTTACTATATCAATGTTAAATTTACCTCATGAAAAGAATTGGAAAGTTGTGCCTTAAAAAATTTTTTTACTTTTAAGTTTTGTGGGTACATACATGTATATATTTGCAGGGTACATGAGATATTTTAACATAGGCACACAATCCATAAAAATCACATCATGATAAATGGGGTATCCATTACCTTAAGCATTTATCCTTTGTGTTACAAACAATCCAATTATACTCTTTTAGTTATTTTACAAGGTACAATTAGATTATTGTTGACTATAGTCACCCTGATGTGCTATCAAATACTAGGTCTTACTCATTCTTTCTAACTATATTTTGTACCTATTAACCATCCCCAATTCTCTCCCACACTCCACTACCCTGCCCAGCCCTTGATAATCCTCATTCTACTCTCTATCTCCATGAGTTCAATTGTTTTAATTTTTAGCTCCTACAAATAAGTGAGAATGTGAAGTTTGTCTTTCTGTGCCTGGCTTCTTTCACTTAACCCAGTGACCTCCAGTTCCATTAATGTTGTTGCACATAACAGGATCTCATTCTTTTATTTTTGCCAAATAGTTCTCCATTGTTTATATGTACCACATTTTCTTTATCCATTCATCTGTTGATGGACACTTAGGTTGCTTCCAAATATTAGTTGTTGTGAATAGTGCTGCAATAAACATGAGAATGCAGATATCTCTTTAATATATGGATTTTCTTTCTTTTTGGTATATACCTAGCAGTGGGACTGCTGGATCATATGGTAGCAATATTTTTGGATTTCTGAGAAAACTCCAAATTGTTTTCCATAGTTTTGTACTAATTTTATTCCCACCAACAGTGTACAACTCGCCACACATCCTCGCCAGCATTTGTTATTACCTGTATTTTAGAAAAAAGTCATTTTGACTAAGGTGAGATAATATCACATTGTAGTTTTGATTTGCATTTCTCTAATGATCAATGATGTTCAGTAGATTTTCATATACCTGTTTGCCATTTGTATGTCTTTCTTTGAAAAATATCTATTCAGATCTTTTGGCCATTTTTAAATGAGGTTATGAGATTTTTTTCCTATAGAGTTGTTTGAGCTCCTCATATATTCTATTATTAATCCCTTGTCAGATTAATAGTTTGCAAATGTTTTCTTTGATTCTGTGGGTTGTCTCTTCACTTTGTTGTTTGCTTCTTTTGCTGTGTGGAAGCTTTTTAACTTGATATGATCCATTCGTCCATTTTTGCTTTGGGTCCCTGTGCTCGTGAGGTATTGCTCAAGAAATCTTTACCCAGACCAATATCCTGGACAGTTTCCTGAATGTTTTCTCATCATAGTTTCATGGTTTAAGGTCTTAGATTTAATTCTTTAATCCATTTTGATTTGATTTTTGTATATGGTGAGAGATGGGGTCTAGCTTTGTTCTTATGCATATGGATATCCAGTTTTCCCGCACCATTTATTGAGAGACTGTTCTTTCCCCAGTGTATGTCCCTGGCATCTTTGTTGAAAATGAGTTCACCGTAGGTGTGTGAATTTGTTTCTGGATTCTCTGTTCTGTTCCACTGGTGTATGTGTCTTTTTCTATGCCAGTATCATGTTGTTTTGGTTAGTATAGCTCTGTGGTATAATTTGAAGTCAGGTATTGTGATTCCTCCAGTTTTCGTTCTTTTTGCTTAGGATGGCTTTGGCTATTCTGGGCCTTTTGTGGTTCCATATAAATTTTAGGATTTTTTTTTTTCTATTTCTGTGAAGAATGTCACTTGTATTTTGATAGGGATTACATTGAATCTTTAGGTTGCTTTGGGTAGTGTGGACATTTTAACAATATTGATTCTTTCAGTCAATGAAAATGGATTTTTTTTTTTATGTTTTGGTGTCCTCTTCTATTTCTTTCATCAGTTTTTTTACAGTTTTCATTATAGAGATCTTTCACTTCTTCGTTAAGTCCTAGGTATTGAATGTTATGTGTGGCTATTGTAAATGGATTTACTTTTTAAAATTTCTTTTTCAGATTGTTCACTGTTGGCATACAGAAATGCTACTGATTTTTGTATGCACTAGTTTTTGGGTGGAGTCTTTAGGTTTTTCCAAATATAAGATCATATCATCAGCAAACAAGGATAATTTGACTTTTTTCTTTCCAATTTGAATGCCCTTTATATCTTTCTCTTTTTCGATTGCTCAAGCTAGGACTTCCAGTACTGTGTTGAATAACAGTGGTGACAGGGAGCATCCTTGTCATTTTCCAGATCTTAGAGGAAGAGTTTCAGTTTTTCCCCATTCAGTACGATACTAGCTGTGGGCCTGTCATATATTACTTTTATTATGTTGAGGCATGTCTTCTGTACCCAGTTTTTTGAGAGTTTTTATCATGAAGGGATGTTGAATTTTATCAAATGCTTTTCCGGCATCAATTGAAATGATTGTCCTTCATTCTGTTGATATGATGTGTGACATTGATTTGTATGTGTTGAACCATCCTTGCATCACAGGGATAAATCCCACTTGGTTATAGTGAATGATATTTCTAACATATTGTTGAATTTGGTTTGCTAGTATTTTGTTGAGAATTTTTGCATCAATAGTCATCAGAGATGTTGTCCTGTAGTTTTCTTTTTTTAATGTGTCTTTTTCTAATTTTGGTATCAGGGTAACAGTTGCTTCCTAGAACAAGTTTGGAAGTATTCCCCGCTCCTCTATTTTTAAAAATAGCTTGAGAAGGATTGATATTTTGTAAAATTCAGCAATGAAGGCATAAGGTCCTGACTTTTTTAATGCTGAAAGACTGTTTGTTACAGCTTCAATCTTGTACATGTTATTGGCCTGTTCAGGTTTTAGATTTCTTCATGGTTCAATCTTGGTAGGTTGTATGTATTTAGGAATTTGTTCATTTCTTCTAGGTTTTCCAATTTATTGGCATATATTTGTTCATAGTGGCCTCTGATAATCCTTTGAATTTCTGAAATATTGATTGTACTATCTCCTTTTTCATCTCTGATTTTATTCATTTGGGTATTCTCTCTTTTTTTCTTAGTCTGCTTAAGTTTTGTGAAATTTGTTTATATTTTCAAAAAACTAGCTTTTTGTTTCATTGATATTTTGCATTGTTTTCTTCCTTTAAATTTCATTTATTTCTGCTCTGATCTTTATTATTTATTTTACTCTACTAATTTTGGGTTTGGTTGGCTCTTGCTTTTCTAGTGCTTTAAGATGTATAATTAGGTTGTTTATTTGAAGTTTTTCTACTATTTTCATGCAGGCACTCATAGCTATAAACTTCCCTCTTAATTTTGCTTTCCCTGTGGCCCCTAGGTTTTGGTATATTGTGTTTCCATTATCATTTATTTAAAGAAATTGTTCAATTTTCTAATTAATTTCTTCATTAACCCACTGGTCATTCAGGAGCATATTGTTCAATTTTCATGAGTTTGTATAGTTTTCAAGATACCTCTTGCTATTGAGTTCTACTTTTTTTTCTTCTTTTTTGAGACAGAGTCTCAGTCTGTTGCCTAGACTGGAGTGCAGTGGCGTGATCTCAGTTCACTGCAAACTCTGCATTCTAGGTTCAAGCGATTCTCCTGTCTTAGCCTCCTGAGTGGCTGGGACTACAGTTGCACACTACCATGCCCGGCTAATTTTGTACTTTTAGTAGAGGCGGGGTTTCACCATATTGGTCTGGCTCGTCTCGAACTGCTGACCAGAGGTGACCCACCCGCCTCGGTCTCCCAAAGTGCTGGGATTACAGGCGTGAGCCCCGAAACCAGCCGAGTTCTACTTTTATTCCACTGTGGTTAGAGCAGATACTTGGTATTAAATATTATTTCAATTTTTGAATGTTTTAAGACTTCTTTTTTGGCCTAACATATGGTATATCCTTGAGAATGATCCATGTGCTGAGAAGAATGTGTATTCTGCAGCCATTGGATGAAATGTTCTGTAAATATCAATTAGGTCCATTTGGTCAATAGTGTAGATTAAGTCTGATGTTTACTTGTTGGTTTTATGTCTGAATGATCTGACCAGTGTTGAAAGTGGGGTGTTGAAGTCTCCAGCTATTATTATATTGGAGCCTCTCTCTCTCAGCTCTAAAAATATTTGCTTTGTATATCTGGGTGCTCCAGTTTTGGGTGCATCTATATTTACAATGTTATATCTTCTTACTGAATTGACACTTTTATCATTATATAATGATCTTTGTCTTTGATAGTTTTTATCTTGAAATCTATTTTGTCTGATATAAGTATAGCTATTTCTGCTCTTTTTTGGTTTCCATTGGCGTGAAATATCTTTTACCATTTCTTTATTTTCAGTCTATCTGTGTCTTTACAGGTAAAGTGTGTTTCTTGTAGGCAAGATGGTTTGGTCTTGTTTTTTAATCTACTCAGGCACTCTATGTCTTTTGATTGGAGAGTTTAGTCCATTTACGTTCAATGTTATTATTGATAGGTAAGGACTTACTCCTGCCATTTTGATATTTGCCTTCTGGTTGTTTTGTGGTCTTCTCTCCCTTATTTCCTTCCTTCCTGTGTTCCTTTGGCAAAGGTGTTTTTCTCTGCTGATACTGAATTTCTTGCTTTTTATTTTTTCTATATCCATTGTATTATTTTTTGACTTCAGGTTACCATGAGGCTTGCAAATATTTTATAACCCATTATTTTATTTTATTTTGCTATTTAAAAAAGCAGTTTTACTGAAATGTAATCCACACATCATACAATTCACCCATTTAAAGTGTATAATTCAATGACTTTTAGTATAGTCACTTGATTGTGCATCTGTTACCCAACTGACTTTATTACATTTTTTGTTATGCCAAAAAGAAACCCTGTGGACCCCTTTAGTCATTCCCATCCCCTTTATCCCACCCCCTTCATCTCTGTATCCCCTACAGTCCTGGTAACCACTAATCTACTTTTTGTCCCTATAGGTTTGGCTATTCTGGACATTCCATATAAATAGCATTGCGCAGCATGTGGTCTACTGTGAATGGTTTCTTTCACTTAGCACAATGTCTTCAAAGTTCATCCCTGTTGTAGCGTGTGTCATAAGTACTTCGTTTGTATAGCTGTTCCTATAATATTTTCTAATTGTATTTCATTGTATGAATATGCTACATTTGTTTATTCATTTATCTCTTGGTGGACATTTGGTTATAACCCGTTATTTTAAACTGGTGACAACTTAACACTGATTGCATAAACCAACCAATAAACAAGGAGAAAACTAATAAAAACTCTGTGCCTCAGCTTCATCCTCCCACTTTTTAACTTTTTGTTGTTTCTATTTATATCTTATTATACTGTCTATATCTTAAAGTCATTGTAGCTATTATTTTTGGCCAGTTCATCTTTCATTCTTTCTATTTAAGATGAGTAGTTTACATGCCACAATTACACCATTATAACATTCTGTGTTTTTCTGTGTACTTTCTATTACTAATGAGTTTTGTGCCTTGAGATGATTTCTTATTATCATTAATGTCCTTTTCTTTCACATTGAAGAAGTCCGTTTAGCATTTCATATAGGACAGGTCTGGTGTTGATGAACTCTTTTAGCTTTTGTTTTTCTGGGAAAATCTTTATTTCTCTTTCACGTTTGAAGGATATTTTTGCTAGGTATACTATTCTAGGATAAAAGTCATTTTCCTTCTGTACTTTAAACATGTCATGCCACTCTCTCCTAGACTGTAAGGTTTCTACTGAAAAGGTTGCTGCCAGACTTATTGGAGCTTCATTGTGTGTTGTTTCTTTTCTTTTGCTGCTTTTAGGGTCATTTTTTATCCTGGACCTTTGAGAGTTTCATTATTAAATGCATTGAGGTAGTCTTTTTTGGGTTAAATCTGTTTGGTGTTCTAAAACCTTCTTGTTCTTGAATGTTGATGTCTGTCTCTAGGTTTGGGAAGTTCTCTGTTATTATCCCTTTGAATAAACTTTCTACCCCTATCTCTGTACCTCCTCTTTAAGGCCAATTACCTTTAGATTTGCCCCTTTGAGGCTATTTTCTAGATCTTGTACTTGTGCTTTATTCATTTTTAGTCTTTTTTCTTTTATTTTCTCTGATTGTGTATTTTCATGTAGCCTGCCTTCAAGCTCACTAATTGTTTCTTGTGCTTGATCAATGGGAAGTTGTACTTTTTAATTAACTCCCTGGCATAGTTTAAGTAGCATTAAGATCATTTAGTCTTTAAGGTTTTATAAAATTTTCCCTTGAAACCATTGTTTTAGTAATTTTGGAGAAGGGATAGAGAGGAAGCTCTTTGACAACTTCTTTTATTTCTTCTACAAAAATTTGACTGTTTAAAGTTGCTACTTCTATTGAAGCCATTTTTATAAGTTATATTTTCTTGAAAAGCTATATATTTTATCTAGTTTTTAAAAATTAAGTTGCATACAGTTGCACAATAGAATCTTAAAATGTTTTTAAATCCTTGTATTTTTGGTGAATATTGAACCTTTTTCATTTCTTATTTCATGTATTTCTCATTCTCTTCTTCTTCCTCATCTTTGTATATTTTGTTTTTTTCTTCAAGAAACCACTTTTATTTCTGTTTTTGAACTCAAATTACCTTAGTAATTTTTTCCATTTATTTTAGTTTACTTTGTTAGTCTTTTTCTATTCTTTTTGAGTTATGTTTTTTGTTTTCAGTATATTGCTATATGCTTTTAATGTTATAAATTTATTTGGAGGGCTGTTTTAGCTATGTCTCATAGATTCTGAACATGTTTCTGTGGGTTCAAACTCTTCTTCCGGTATCAAAACGATGTGTCTTAGTTTTCTATAGCTACATAACAAATTAGCACAAACTAGTAGCTTTAAACAATATAAATTTGTTACCTCACAATTTCTGTGGGTCAGAAGTCCAGGAGTGATTTAGCTGGGGCTTCTGTTAGGGGTCTCTCTCTAAGCTGCAATCAAGGTGTCCACTGAGCTGCATTCCTTTCGAGAGCATGGTGTTCTTTTTTAACCACAAGAGATTAACAGAATTCAGCTCCTTGTGATTGTAGGGCTTGTGGGACTACAATTCACCTTGTGATTGTAGGATTGTAGGACTGAAGTCCTTTCCAGAGTATGTTCTTTTTTAACCTCAAGAGGTTAACAGAATTCAGCTCCTTGTGTTTGTAGGGCTTCTGGGACTACAATTCTCCTCGTGAATGTAGGATTGTAGGACTGAAGTCTGCTTCTTTGCTGTCTATCAGTCAGAGGCTGCTATCAGCTCCCACAGGCCCCTGCAATTGCCATGTGACTCTTTCACAGGCTCTTTCAAATGCCACTCTACTTCTTCAGAGCCAGCAAAGGAGAGTCTCTCATTCCAATTTGGTAAGACTGAGTCTTATGAAATGTAACCTTATCAAAAAAGTGATCACAATTCCCTTTGTCATATTCCCATCACTCATCATCTTTGTCATAATCTATTGACTAGAAGGAAGTCACAAATTCAGCCTATGCACAAAGGGAGGAGATTAAGCGAAGATGAGTCTTATCGTGGGGCAATTTAGGATGTGTCAATACATCTTTATAGGTAATTTGAATTTTCTCTGAATGTTTGTTTGTCTTTGGTGTTCCTCAGTGTCACTCTAATGGTTTAGGTTCGGTTTTAATTGTTGTGCAGCCTGTCTTTGTATTTCTTGTAAGTGTGGATTTGTGTTTTTTTAGTAATTCTGAAAATTCTCAGACATTTTATCTTCAGTCATTGCCAGGGGGGTGCTTCTATTTGAGACCAGATAAATTACATTTCTTAGCTTGGATTTTCCATGAACACATGAGTAATATAAATTTGAAACCTAGATTTGTTGGAAAGCAGTATTGTGATTTTCAGTTTTAGTACAGACTAATATTGTAACTGTAATTTTTTTTACACCCAGAATCCTAGAGACAAATGGATTTCCTTTTAGTTTCCAATTTTTCTCAGTCAACATGTTCACAGAAAGTATAGCCTGTTTGGTTTTGCCAGCTGTATCATGGGGTTTCAAATGAGCTACAGGTCCTAGGGTTGGTTTACTGTCCCTTCATATGCATCCATTGACTCCTGATTATCTATATTTCTGGAATTGTAATTTATCTCCAGACAAGTCTTGTTTTCTACTTTCTCTTCCCATTCTGGTTTCAGCTTCTGATTCATTCATTTGGTTGGTTATGTTTTGCATTGTCTTTAGTGATTTTTTTTCTTTAAATTTCTGGTGATTTAGAAATTTAATCTTATTTTTGTCATTATTTACACAGTATCCCATTGTTTCAGAAGGGGAAGATATTTTATGATATAGTCATATTGTTAATGTGGAAGTACACATTTCTTAGCTGTTTTCAGTCATTACTTTTAATCTAATCTTGAATTTTTTCTGAAAATTAAGTAGAATACTTCTTTCTATTCATCCTGGATGTTCACTTTAGGTTTCTATGCTTTCCCTTCAGCTGACCTGTGTCTTTCGTATTTCAGCAAGATTATCACATAACACAGACCTTCGATTTGTTCATTTCTTCAAAGAGGGAGAACTTTTTTGTAATATTTCCCACAGTGGATCCTTTATTATGGAGGGAGGGGAGGTAGAAAATTGGTTTGCTAAAATGAGAAGTAAAAAATATTTTATTAGAAAACAACTTAAAATGCTTTATCATAACTTTAATAAAGATGTAAATTTATTTTACCACAACTTTTCTTTCTTAGGCTTAAAACAATCTCTGCCTTATAAATCTGAAAGTTAGAATGATTAATTTTACCAACTGTCGAGATAAATTTGTCGCGTCTTGAATTATAATGGGACTTTGTGAGTAAATGGCTTGCAGATCTTTTTTCATCTTCTATATTGCAGAGCTGCTTCTACTTTTCAATTAAACTCCTAGAAGATATATATCCATTTAGTGTATATACTAAATATATAAAAATATACATAATATAATCTAGTATATATACACTACATGTATATACATATATAATTTAGTATGTATATATACTAAAAATATATATATATAATATGAATATTTGGGGGTGCTGATAAATTGCTAATTCTCTACCTACATATTCCTTCTGCTTCTACAAGGTGGATAAGACTACAATGTTTGCATTTTCAACAAGTACCCCAGGTGAATCTGATACACAAAGACTTGTAGTCTTAATCTAAAAAATCCTGTAGTATACTGGTTCAACAAACCTTTTAGTCAAAATCCCTTCCTTCTCTTCTATGCGTGTCTGTCACAGTGCCTTTGACTTTAGGTGATGTCAGAAGACTGGCAAATACTGAACTGAACTGGGTTCTAAATAATTGATCTATCTGCTGATTATTCCAGGCCTAGATTAATTTGTTTCAAGTTCTGGGTCTTTGGAGTTATTCTGAACTGGCACATTTTCATTTTATTATGTTTTTAATATTTCAGTTATAAATTATAATTTTGACATTTGATAACCTTCTTAGAAATATTTAAATGTCTCCTTTGGCTGTACAATCCTACATTTTTATTCTTCCAATTCACTATCAGTCCTTTTTCTTTGTCCCTTTCTCCTTTTGCAGTAATGCTATTGAGGTTATGAGTACCCAGTATTTATTTTGTTTTTCCTTCTAGTTTTGCTACTTATATATTTTTCACTGTTATTTTCTTGAATTATCTTATGATTTTTATTCACTTCTTCATATAATACCTCATTTAATAATGTTATTTATATAAAATACAAATTTTACATAAAATACAATTGAGCATGGTTAACAAGATTTAGTTATATACTTACTTTTTTGTAATCTGATTCATTTGTCTTTTGATTAATACCATCTTATGACTTTAATATACCTCTTTGTTTGCTTTTTTGAATTTACATACATAGTTTTTCTAGTGTTAAACTGAAAGAACCATAATTTGATTTGTAGGTTTTTTTCTATAAAATGAGTAATTTATTGTAACAGTAGCATTCCATTTAATAAGCACCTCAAAGTTATATTTGGCCACTGTCAAGACAATACTAAAATATCTTGCACTTAGGGAGTTTGCCTTCTAAAAGGGAATAGATTAATAGCACATGGAGTCATTCATATCTCATGTCTTTATTGTTTGAAATTAAGTCTAGGGTGATGATTTGCTAGAAAAGCTCTGCAGACACTGAAAGCTTCAGAGGGGCCTGAGATATTAAATCTAGTGGCTTAAGATGTCATCCTACTGTAGGAGGGAAAGGAAATACAAAAAACTAAACATGAGCAAGATGAACCAATGACTGTTTTCTTTGTTAAAGACTTCAAGCAAATTTATCTCATAGTGAAAAGGAAAAATACAACTACCCAGGGGCTTTCTTGCACCTGTCCTTTGCTCTCCAGTGGCCACAACCAGGTATCTTGGAGATTTAGCTACAGTGCTTAGGCATTTGGGGCAAGAGCTCTCCCCGTGTGAAACACAGCACATATGCAGGGAACGACTGGCGATTAGAGGAAAAGACTGGCGATTAGAGGAAAAGAGCTTCAGACTAGCAGGAACACAATTGCAGCCATAAGGTTGAATTAGGAAGGAAAAAAAAATGTGATCTGGTGAACTTTAATCCTTGCTTTTTTGTTTACTAAAAATTTCATTTCATTCTACTTAATAAACCTATAGTTCAATAGACTTTTGCACCAGAATTGACCATTCTCATAGCTTTTGTGGGTTTTTCATAACATCAGGCAACAAATATTTAGTTTCTTATTTTGATTCCAAAGATCAAATATAGAGTATCAGCTAATGGAATTACTTAAAATACATACTTATACCAACACATTCATACATCTTCCTCGAATCGTCAGTTGCTGTGGTTTGGTGCATTGTTCTCTACCAGGGATTATTAAAATGATGATTGATTATAATAGTAGCAAATGTGTTATTGAAGTCGTTTGTGAAGAATGGTCTTAACATCTTAAGTTTTTAGGATTCCTCTGCAATACTATTTTGAATTTGTTCAGCGAAACTCATTTATTTCCTGTATCTCTCAGTGAAGAGCATTTACCACAAATATCTGTAGATGTGTCAGAACTAGCTTACTGTAACTTAAAATTGCATTTTTAAAAAGAGAAAAAAGTGTATGTTCTTCCATAATAGTACTAGAAATGACAGATCAAATTTAAATATTAAATATTTGATTTAGATAGTTAACTCACATTTTCAAAGCATTAAAGTATATGAAGGGAATGTAATATGTTTATGAAAAAATGAAATTAAAAGATAAAGAAGTTATTTCTCAACATAAGCTTCATAAAGGTCAAGACACTTTGCAACTGATGACAACAGCCATGTAGTCCATCCCTAAAGAACTGAGGTTCTTGGGAATTTAAACATGTCAATGCAATCCTTTTTACATTATTAACTGAAGAAAAATGAATGCTCTTCCCATACATTTTAAGATAAAGAAATAAAAAGAAGTCAGAAGAAGCCAAATCAGTACTGTGAGGGGGATACCTAATGATTTCCCATCAAAAATCTCACAAAATTACCCTTGTCTGATGAGAGAAATGAGCGGGAGCGTTGTGGTGGAAAAGGACTCTCTGTTAAATCTTTCCTGGGCATTTTTCTTTTAAAGCTTTGGCTCACTTTCTCAAAACACTTTCATCTTAAGTAGATGGTATCATTCTTTGGTTCTTCAGAAAGCAGATGTTTTCATTCTTTGACTCTTCAGAAAGTCAAGAAGTGTAATGCCTTGAGCATCCCCCAAAACTGCTGCCGTGACCTTTGGTCTTGACTGGTCCAATTTTGCTTTGACTGGACCACTTCTATCTCTTGGGTAGCCATTATTTTGATTCTGTTTTGTCTTCAGGGTGTACTGGTAAAGCCATGTTTCATCTCCTGTAATAGTTCTTTGAAGAAATGCTTCAGGATCTTAATTTCACCAATTTAAAATTTCTGTTGAAATCTCACTCATCTAAAATTTCTGCAGTTGATTTGGGCACATCAATTTTGGCATACATCAAGTGGAAAGTGTGCTCTACTTCAATTTTTCAGTCAGAATTGTATAAGCTGAATGAATTGGCTATTGTTTCTGCTGTTAATCATAATTCCTCTTCATTTAGGGTATGAATAAAATGAATTTTTTCCTTGCAAATCGATGTAGATGATCTGCCACTGTGGGCTTCATCTTCAACATCTTTTCATCCCTTCTTAAAACGAGTTATACATTTGTAAACTGCCGATTTCTTTGGGGAATTGTCTCATAAAATTTTCATAAAGCATTAGTGATTTCACCATTCTTCAATGTAAACTTCACCAAAAACTTAAAAATATAGAGGTTCTTTTCAAACTGGTATCTTATTCCTCTTAGTTCCTTAAACTAGAATCTATTCAGACATGTGATAAATTAGTACAAGTTTATTTTGCTGCAAAATAATTTAGAAATTTATCCATAGTTTTTCATAATACACATTTTCCATAAACATTTTGAAGTTTCCTCCTAATACTTGCTTATTTATACTGCAAATCCTATTTCGAAATTGAGAAAGTATTTTAATGATGATGTGCTTTCTCATACGTATATCTTTCCGAGAGAAAAAGACACCATAAAAAGCAAATGTGTGTATCATTACCAGCAGCAGCAGAAGAAGAAAAGAAAGAACAACAACATCTGTATGTTTCCAGATAAGTAAAGTTTTTAAGTGAAATAAAAAACTAGAAATAAGGCTGTTGAGACTTTGGTTCTACTGGATGTTGTGTTTCTAATTCTGGTCTCTTCAGCTCCAGCTGATATTTTGAAGTGTCTGAAGCACTTTTTGTCTATCCCAATCAGAACTTTATTATGTAGAACAGAAATGAGAAAAGGAAGTCATGGGTCATACTTTGGAGTTTGCCTCCCAAGTGTCTCTTTCCTCATTTATTTATACATGTAGTCACACTCATTAGGAAAATCAGAAAAACTATAAAAAGAAGTTCCTAATATCTCAAATTCTGGTCCAGAATGGTATACAGGTAGAACAGAACACAATTTATTGTTAAACTATGAGTTTTTGTTAATAATGGATTGACTGATAACAAAATAATGATAACAATAGTTAACATTTCTTTAGTACTTCTTAGGATGAGGCATGTATTTTACATGTATTAGTTTATTCATTTCCACAACAACCTAGTAAATTAGGTGCAATAATTATCCATGTTTAAGGAAAGTGTAACCATAAAATTTGCCTATTTTACTAGAATACTTTCCGATTAAAAGTTAATAATTTTAACTATGATTAAATTTGAGTAGTTATTCTAAATATGAATACATAGAGTAAATAACATTTAGAGTGTATATTAGTCCATTTTCATGCTGCTATGAAGAAATAACTGAGACTGGGTTAATTTATAAAGAAAAAGAGGTTTAATGGACTCAACGTTCCACATGGCTAGGGAGGCCTCACAATCATGGTGGAAGGCAAAGGAGGAACAAGGCACGTCTTACATGGTGGCAGGCAAGAGAGCATGTGCAGGGGAACTGCCCTTTATAAAACCATCAGATCTCATGAGACATTCACTATCACAAAAACAGCATGGGAAAAATCTGCCCCCATGATTCAGTTACCTTTCACTGAGTACCTCCCATGACATGTGAGGATTAGGGGAGCTACAAGTCAAAATGAGATTTGGATGGGGACACAGTCGAACCATATCATTCCATCCTGGCCCCTGCCAAATCTCATGTTCTCACATTTCAAAACCAATCATGCCTTCCCAAGAGTCCCCCAAAGTCTTAACTCATTTCAGCGTTAACTCGAAAGTCTACAGTCCAAAGTCTCATCTGAGACAAGGAAAGTCCCTTCTGCCTATGAGCCTGGAAAATAAAAAGCAAGTTAGTTACTTCCTAGATACAATGGGGATACAGACACTGGGTAAATACACCTATTCCAAATGGGAGAAAATTGTCTAAAACAAAGGGCCCCATGCAAGTTCAAAATCCACCAGGGCAGTCAAATCTTAAAACTCCATTATATCCTTTGACTCTATGTCTCACATCCAGGTCACACTGATGAAAGAGGTGGGTTCCCATGGTCTTGGGCAGCTCTGCACCTGTGGCTTTGCAGGGTACAGCCCCGCTTCTGGCTGCTTTCACAGGCTGGCATTAAGTGTCTACAGCTTTTCCAGGCACATGCTGCAAGCTATTGGTGGATCTACCATTTTGGGGTCTGGAGGATGATGGCCCTCTTCTCACAGCTCCACTAGGCAATGTCCAGTGGGGATTCTGTGTGGGGGCTCCAACCCACATTTTCCTTCCACACTGCCCTAGCAGAGGTTCTCCATGGGGGCCCTGACCCTACATCACACCTCTACTTGGACATCCATACATTTCCATACATCCTCTAAAATCTAGGTGGAGGTTCCCAAACCTCAATTCTTGACTTCTGCACACCCACAGGCCCAACACCACATGGAAGCTGTCAAGGCTTTGGGCTTCCACCCTCTGAAGCAACAGCCTGAGCTGTATATTGGCCACTTTTAGCCACAGCTGGGATGCACGGCACCAAGTCTCAAGACTGTACAAAGCAGCAAGACCCTGGGCTCAGCCCACAAAACCATTTTTTCCTCCTAGGCCTATGGGCCTGTGACATGCCCTGGAAATATTTTTCCCATTGTCTTGGTGATTAACGTTTTGATCCTCATTACTTATGCAAGTTTCTGCAGTTTGCTTGAATTTCTCCTCAGAAATGGGTTTTTCTTTTGTATCACATAGTTAGGCTGCAAATTTTTCTAACTTTTATGCTCAGCTTCCCTTTTAAACATAAGTTCCAATTCCAAACCATATCTTTGCGAATGCATAAAACTAATGCTTTTAAGAGCACCCAAGTCATGTCTTGAATGCTTTGCTGCTTAGAAAGTTCTTCCGCCAGACACCCTAAATCATCTCTCTCAAGTTCAAAATTCCACAGATCTCTAGGGCAGGGGCAATATGCCACCAGCCTCTTTGCTAAAGAATAGCAAGAATCACATTTGTTCCAGTTCCCAATAAGTTTCTCATTTCTATATAAGACCACCCTCAGCCTGGACTTCATTGTCCATATCATTATCAACATTTTGGTCAAAACCATTCAACAAGTCTCTAGGAAGCTCCAAATTTTCCCATATCTTCGTGTCTTCTTCTGAGCCCTCCAAACTTTTCCAACCTCTGCCTGTTACCCTGTTCCAAAGTCACTTCCACATTTTTGGGTATCCTAATAGGAGTACCCCACTCTACTGGTACCAATTTACTTATTAGTCAGTTTTCCTACTGCTATGAAAAATACCCAAGACTGGGTTAATTTATAAAGAAGAAGAGTTTTAATTGACTCACGGTTCTGCATGGCTGGGGAGGCCTCTCAATAATGGTGGAAGGCAAAGGAGGAGCAAAGGCAAGTCTTACATGGTGGCAGGAAAGAGAGTGTGTTCAGGGGAACTGCTCTTTAGAAAACCATCAGATCTCATGAGACTTATTTACTATCATGGGAACAGCATGGGAACAGCATGGGAAATACCTACCCCCATGATTCCATTACCTCCCACTGGGTCCCTCTCATGACACATGGGGATTATGGGATCTAAAATTCAAGATGAGATTTGGGTGGAGAAATGGCCAAACCATATCAGAGTGCTTGTAAAAATAGATGTATTTTATATTAACAGAGAAATCTTCCCTCATTCTCAAAGATTATGAGTAAAACAGGTGTAAATCCCAATAGATTTAGAAAAAGTGAATAAGTTAATACTTTTTATAGATTTCAAAGGGGCTAAAAAAGCAGCAGTTCAAATTCTGACTCTGTGTCTCTGCCTTTCTGTCTTTCTCTCTCTCTCTCTCTCTCTGTATGTGTGTGTGTGTGGGTGTGCATTTATGTACATTTAGAAGATACACTTAAATTAGGGCACAGATTTTATATTAGATAGATAGATATTCTCACCGAATACATTTCTAAGTATCAATTTTCTTATCTATAAAAAGAACTATGATAACATACCTCATAATAAGTTTCAGGAATTAAATTTTATAATACAAGTGAAATATTACCCAGAGTGCCTCTTACATAACACATTATTTACCATTTCCTCATCCTGTCTTCTAATGGCAAAGCATTCAGAAATATATGCTGTATGGATATTAGTCTTTAATAAAATTAGTTGGGTCTCAGATGTTAATTTTTGTATAATTCATTCATTGCACAAAAGCAATTTCATAATAAATGCTGTTATAAAAGAACTTTGAGAGATTTACTATTTTAATATACTAAAGCAATTGATTCATACGTAAACAACTGGATGGTGAGATGACATATAAAATTATATGGATAGAGTAAAGAATTAAATTACACGAGCAATAAGAGGGCATGATGGTATATAAGGTGCTAACTGCTCTGCAGAGATTAAAAAGAAATTTACTACCAGGTATTGCAGCTTATATTTGTTTTCTCAGCTACACAGGATCACTTGAGGCCAGGAGTTTTAGATCAGCCTAGAAGATATGGCAAGACTCTGTTTCTAAAAAAATGAAAATAAATTATCCACAAGTAATGGTGCATCCCTGTAGTCCCATGTACTTGGGAGGCTGAGATAGGAGGAGGTCGAGGTTACAATGAGCTGTGACTGTGCCACTGCACTCTAGTCTGGGCAACAGAGTGAGACCCCGTTTCTTTAAAAAAAAAAAAAAGAAAGAAGAAAAGAAACTTACAGAAATAAAGATTATTGTGGAGTGAGGCTTTTAAGAAAAGCCTTGAGTAGACCCTGGAAGGATAGGTGATACACACACATCTATATGGGCAATAAAATGGAGGGAATTTTAGACTAGAGAAACTCTTAAATTAAGTTACAAACATAGGAGTAACTCCATATGTTTGTGCAGGCATATGAGAGAGATGCATACATGAGAACTTGTCTTGGTCACAAAGTTCTTATTAATCAGCAGTGAGAAATAAGATTGGATGGGTTTATGGAGGCAGGATTATGCATTCCTGAAATCCAAGTACAAGAGCAAGGTTTCATCATTGGCTTGGCTTGCAGCCAATTGTCCCAACGATTTCAGCTAATAATGTTGACGTTGGCCATACATACCCCATTTGTGAGTATGAGTAATGGGTGAATTTTTTCCCACTTATTTTATGTATTTTTCTGAGGCTTTATTAATGTTTTTAACATTTATTTGTTTTTATTAAAGGTAAAACATATTAATTCATTCACTTAATCAGGCACCAATCTGGAGATAATATGAAGAAACTGAATTAAATTTAAAATATGTATTGCATATTTATTGTGTATCACACAATGCACTAAGTACTGAGATAGTGGTGAATAAGAAATAAAACTTTAGCCCACTCAAGAGCATATAACCTAATTGAAAATATTAATTTCAAAAAAAGCGCAAGGAGTTTTGAGAAAGACATCTTAGGGTACTTTAACCTAGTCAATAGAGTAAGTAAAAATTCACAGAGGAAGAAAGACTTACACTTTCTCATAATGGAGTTATACAATAATTGCATGCATCCTCCCTGTTGTCATCTCATTTACTTGTTGGAGGTACTTAGAAGGGTGGCAGGTCTTTATTTATAGAAGTTTATTTGTGTATTGCTACCTGCTAAGTGATTCTGAGAAGAGGCAAACATAGCAAGAAAACCAAACAGCTCTTAAGGGGTTGTTGGGAAATCAGATAAAGACATTTAAGAATGGCGTTAGAGGTGAACTAGAATTTCCTTTTATTCCAGATTCACAGTCTATTCAAACTGGACTCCTCCATGATCTTAGGTGATGGTTGTTACTAGATGCTCAACAGGGGGTCTCCTGTGCTACTGCATTAAACTTCTGGAGGATAGCAATATGGACTTTAGTGGTTAAGGGAACTTGGTGGCTATAGCCTCTGACTTGCACATTAATAGGGTTCTGGAGCTTCCACCATCCAGCGGGCATGGCCAGTGTCAAGACGCCAAATCTCAGCCCTCATGACACAGCATTGGGCAGGATTGGCTTTCAGCAGGTGTTGCTGTCTGGTGCTTCTTCAGAGGTTGAAGCTGGGGCCATATTTAAGCTTTCTTACAGAATTCACTTACATGGAAGTTCCAAACATTGTTGTTCTGGTTTGAGTGTTTGACTCCCCAAATCTCATGTTGAAATTTGATCCCAGTGTGTTAGTGGGGCCTAATGGGAGGTTTCTGGGTCATGGGGGGCAAATCTCTCAGGAATAGATTAATGCCCTTCCCTGCAGTGAGTGGGTTCTTACTCTGTTAGTTCCTGAAAGAGCTGGTTGTTAAAAAAGAGACTGACACCTCCCTCTTCTCTCTTGCTTCCTCTCAACATGTGATCTCTGCTTACACCGGTTCCCCTTCACTGCCATGAGTGGAAACAGCCTGATGTACATGCTTGGGCCATGTGTCTGGCACAACCTCTTTTCTTTATAAATTGCCCAGCTTCAGGTATTCCTTTTATAGCAACACAAAATGGGCTGCTATAAAATATCAGTCTTCTGCAACTTGTTGATAGGTAATTTTTTTATTTTATTAATATTATACTTTAAGTTTTAGGGTACATGTGCACAACGTGCAGGTTTGTTACATATGTATACATGTGCCATGAATTTTTGAAAAAAAAATTGGGAGAGGGTAGGAAGAGAGTGAGGCATTTCCTTGGTTTTGCATATTTAGGAAACTTTGAATAAAGACAATTAGAATTTTTACATTCTGGGATGTGTTAATGTGCATTGTGATACTTAGGCTAAGTTACGATATGCAACATTTCCCAAAAGTAATTATGGGCCCTGGTAACAACTTGATTCATGAGCATTCATATGCAGTTTAGGAAAGTCTGCAACAAACTGTAACAGCATGACCTTGATTATGGTGAGATTTTTATTCCTTTGACATCTGTGGGATCCAAATCACTCTTTTCTCATTTCATATCCTTGACACAGTGCCTTTGGCCTACAGCTGAAACCAGTCCTGACTTGTCAAAGGAATTGACTGAAGCCAGATAGTGCTTTTTTTTTTTTTTTTTTAAATCAAAGGATGCCACACAAAAACTTTGAGAAACTTTACTCTCAGGAAGTCCTTAAATGCTATGTCCAAAATAAACTAAATGCCTCTTGCCCTAGCTTCAGTCATTTATTTCTTCTTCTGACCTAAGTGGAAATTCAAAGCAGCTGATAACTATTATATAATCATTTTCACATATTTATTTGCTGTTAGCAAAGTACTCCTTGGTTGTCTTTTTTTTAAAATGATGAATTGTTCTAGTTCCTTTTTAAGCTGTCACCCTGAAACAAACACTTGTTTTATTTCTAGAAAATAATCCCACCCATGTCTGTTGGGTGGCATAAGCCCTGCTAGATATGCAATGGTTCAGAGATGTGTTCAGAAACTCCCTATACACTTTTTTGTAAGAAATATGCATATTCCTACAACACATCTGTAATGGTTAATTTTATGTGTCAACTTGATTAGGCTAAAGGGTGCCCAAATAGTTGGTAAAACATTATTTCTCTCTGTTTGTGAGGGTGTTTCTGGAAGAGGTGAGCATTTGAATAAGTAGACTGAATAAAGAAGATGCTCTCACCAATGTGCATGGGCATCACCCAATCTATTGAGGGCCCAAATAGAACAAAAAGGCACAGAAAGGGATATATATAATGTATGTATGTAAAAATATCTGTATGTATGTAAATACAAATATATATGTATATATGTTAAATTTCTCCGGAGACCTCTGATACAACTTCCTTCGCTGCACTTAAACTGCAGTCCATTCATGGAATGGCCACTGATATTTGTGACTACAATTATTGAATTTACTCCTGAATTAGGATTGCCAGACAAAATAAGGAATACCTAGTTAAATTTGATTTTCAGGTAAACAACTGATTTTTTAAAGAAGTATTTAGCATATGCCCTACATACCAAAAAATTATTTATTATTTACTCATAATTCACATTTCACTGGGGATCCTATATTTTTATTTGCTAAATCTGGCTTCTCTAATGAGATAATTTGAAGAGCACCCATTTATAAAAGGAACAATTAATCCTCTTGATTTTAGTTTAAAATGTGCCACATACCTCTCTTCTGCCTATATCAGAATTAGTCTGCCTAATAACAAATTAGTCACAAGGTTAGAAGTTATGGAAATTATGAATAGAAAATGTTCCAAAATAATTAAATACCTCTTATTGGCTGTTTTGTTAATTTACTACTGATATCAATGTTTGAAAGAGTTTCTTACATACTGCAGGTGGGAAGTTTAGGAATTAGAAATGCCAACGGGGCTGTGTAATCTTAGGTAAGTGTCTTATGTCTGTGAATGTGTTTCCTCAACTATTCATGGAGATAATAATACCTACATTATAGGCCTGTGGCAAGGATGAGAACAATTTAGCTTTTGTAATGGGCCTGAAACAACATCTAGACTTCCTTTAGCAACATTCCATATATGTTGATGAATTGATAATATGTTTAGGAACCAGGGACATAACTGAACTAGACAAATTCCCTGCAGACAATAAGCACTTAAAGAAACAAAAAAGCAAGGGAAGTTTAAGTAATGGTGTGACCTAAAAATGTATGCTGTAAATATGAAGGGTCACACTAGAAGGCGGTATGTTACTCAAGAGTGAAAGAGGTGGGAGGATTGCCCTGCTGTGGTAACATTTCTACTGAGCTTGGAGTGAAAGAAGGAGCTGGCCCTGAGGAGACCTGTGGGCAGGGTATTCAAGGAAGGATTATGAGTGCAAAGGCAGAGAGAACTTGGATTGCTGGAAGATTGGAGTAAACAAACAGTGAGACTACAGCATGAATGAGGGCCAGCTTTTTTTCTAAAATATAATAAAAACTATTTACTATAAGACAGAATGAAGAAAATCCACATACAAAATACAAGCCCATATCTTTTAATTAGGTTCAGCATCATAAAATTTTATTTCAATCCTGGTACTGATATCAGTACCAGTATAAGAAAAAAATAATTATAAAAACTGTTACACATTCATTGAAAGCATATATACAGGCGATTAATACACCCTGCTCAGTAAGATGGGACCACCAATCTTACACTGTGGCTGTTGTGGCAATGTCAAAATGCTGTACAAGTTTCTTATTCTCGCCTTCGCAGTTGGGTATTGGTCTATGGGCCACACTTTGCATAGCTGGAGTAAGACAAAGGCAGACGTAACACCGGCCATGATAAGAAGTCAAAATTTAATTCTAAATGCTAGCCAGATAAGTCAATAATAACATGAAGAATGATGATTAATAGTGAGATTTGTTTTTCAAGTCAGTTGTGAATGAAATAGGATTCTCTTTATTCTAAGCTTCCTAGAAGCTTAGGTCTAATCAGGGTGAGCTCATTATGGAAGACGTCCATAATGGTAAAATGTTCACATTTTCCCAAGATGCCCACCATTTCTGTATCACCAGCTGGTTCTTCCTTTCAGTGGCATGCTGGAAAAGAGATTTAAATGGGGAGACAAGATAACTCAGGTCTAGTCTGGCTCTGGATAGTAGCCAAACTAGCAGCAAAACTTTGCCTGTTTCTTAACATTTCTCAGTTCTAGTTTTCTTACTTGTAAAAAAAAATAGAGTGGAGAACTCATTACTATCTGAGGTATTTTGAATTCTAAAATGTTATAAATCTATGGTTCTAATTGTGTCTTTTTTCTTTTTTTTATTTTATTATTATTATACTTTAAGTTTTAGGGTACATGTGCACAATGTGCAGGTTAGTTACATATGTATACATGTGCCATGCTGGTGTGCTGCACCCATTAACTCGTCATTTAGCATTAGATATATCTCCCAATGCTATCCCTCCCCACTCCCCTCACCCCACAACAGTCCTCAGAGTGTGATGTTCCCCTTCCTGTGTCCATGTGTTCTCATTGTTCAATTCCCATCTATGAGTGAGAACATGCGGTGTTTGGTTTTTTGTCCTTGCGATAGTTTACTAAGAGTGATGATTTCCAATTTCATCCATGTCCCTACAAAGGACATGAACTCATCACTTTTTATGGCTGCATGGTATTCCATGGTGTATATGTGCCACATTTTCTTAATCCACTCTATCATTGTTGGACATATGGGTTGGTTCCAAGTCTTTGCTATTGTGAATAGTGCCGCAATAAACATACGTGTGCATGTGTCTTTATAGCAGCCTGATTTATAGTCCTTTGGGTATATACCCAGTAATGGGATGGCTGGGTCAAATGGTATGTCTAGTTCTAGATCCCTGAGGAATCACCACACTGACTTCCACAATGGTTGAACTAGTTTACAGTCCCACCAACAGTGTAGAAGTGTTCCTATTTCACCACATCCTCTCTAGCACCTGTTGTTTCCTGACTTTTTAATGATTGACATTCTAACTGGTGTGAGAGGGTATCTCATTGTGGTTTTGATTTGCATTTCTCTGATGGCCAGTGATGGTGAGCATTTTTTCATGTGTTTTTTGGCTGCATAAATGTCTTCTTTTGAGAAGTGTGTCTGTTCATGTCCTTCACCCACTTTTTGATGGGGTTGTTTGTTTTTTTCTTGTAAATCTGTTTGAGTTCTTTGTAGATTCTGAATATTGGCGCTTTGTCAAATGAGTAGGTTGCGAAAATTTTCTCCCATTTTATAGGTTGCCTGTTCACTCTGATGGTAGTTTCTTTTGCTGTGCAGAAGCTCCTTAGTTTAATTAGATCCCATTTGTCAATTTTGGCTTTTGTTGCCATTGCTTTTGGTGTTTTAGACATGAAGTCCTTGTGCATGCCTATGTCCTGAATGATAATGCCTAGGTTTTCTTCTAGGGTTTTTATGGTTTTAGGTCTAACGTTTAAGTCTTGAATCCATCTTGAATTAACTTTTGTATAAGGTGTAACGAAGGGATCCAGTTTCAGCTTTCTAAATGTGGCTAGCCAGTTTTCCCAGCACCATTTATTAAATAGGGAATCCTTTCCCCATTGCTTATTTTTCTCAGGTTTGTCAAAGATCAGATAGTTGTAGATATGTGGCATTATTTCTGAGGGCTCTGTTCTGTTCATTGATCTATATCTCTGTTTTGGTACCAGTACCATGCTGTTTTGGTGACTGTAGCCTTGTAGTATAGTTTGAAGTCAGGTAGTGTGATGCCTCCAGCTTTGTTCTTTTGGCTTAGGATTGCCTTGGTAATGCGGGCTCTTTTTTGGTTCCATATGAACTTTAAAGTAGTTTCTTCCAATTATGTGAAGAAACTCATTGGTAGCTTGATGGGGATGGCATTGAATCTATAAATTACCTTGGGCAGTATGGCCATTCTCAGGATATTGATTCTTCCTACCCATGAGCATGGAATGTTCTTCCATTTGTTTGTATCCTGTTTTATTTCATTGAGCAGTGGTTTGTAGTTCTCCTTGAAGAGGTCCTTCACATCCATTGTAAGTTGGATTCCTAAGTATTTTATTATCTTTGAAGCAATTGTGAATGGGAGTTCACTCATGATTTGGCTCTCTGTTTGTCTGTTATCGGTGTATAAGAATGCTTGTGATTTTTGTACATTGATTTTGTATCCTGAGACTTTGCTGAAGTTGCTTATCAGCTTAAGGAGATTTTGTGCTGAGACAATGGGGTTTTCTAGATATACAATCATGTCATCTGCAAACAGGGACAATTTGACTTCCTCTTTTCCTGAATCAATACCCTTTATTTCCTTCTCCTGCCTAATTGCCCTGGCCAGAACTTCCAACACTCTGTTGAATAGGAGTGGTGAGAGAGGGCATCCCTGTCTTGTGCCAGTTTTCAAAGGGAATGCTTCCAGTTTTTGCCCATTCAGTATGATATTGGCTGTGGGTTTGTCATAGATAGCTCTTATTATTTTGAGATACGTCCCATCAATGGCTAATTTTTTAAGAGTTTTTAGCATGAAGCGTTGTTGAATTTTGTCAAAGGCCTTTTCTGCATCTTTTGAGATAATCATGTGGTTTTTGTCTTTGGTTCTGTTTATATGCTGGATTACATTTATTGATTTGCATATACTGAACCAGCCTTGCATCCCAGGGATGAAGCCCACTTGATCATGGTGGATAAGCTTTTTGATGTGCTGTTGGATTCAGTTTGCCAGTATTTTATTGAGGATTTTTGCATCAATGTTCATCAAGGATATTGGTCTGAAATTCTCTTTTTTGGTTGTGTCTCTGCCTGGCTTTGGTATCAGGATGATGCTGGCCTCATAAAATGAGTTAGGGAGGATTCCCTCTTTTTCTATTGATTGGAATAGTTTCAGAAGTAATGGTCCCAGCTCCTCCTTGTACCTCTGGTAGAATTCGGTGTGAATCCATCTGGTCCTGGACTCTTTTTGGTTGGTAAGCTATTGATTATTGCCACAATTTCAGAGCCTGTTATTGGTCTATTCAGAGATTCCACTTCTTCCTGGTTTAGTCTTGGGAGGGTGTATGTGTCAAGGAATTTATCCATTTCTTCTAGGTTTTCTAGTTTATATGCATAGAGGTGTTTGTAGTATTCTCTGATGGTAGTTTGTATTTCTGTGGGATCGGTGGTGATATCCCCTTTATCATTTTTTATTGCATCTATTTGATTCTTCTCTCTTTTTTCTTTATTAGTCTTGCTAGCGGTCTATCAATTTTGTTGATCCTTTCAAAACACCAGCTCCTGGATTCATTAATTTTTTGAAGGGTTTTTTGTGTGTCTGTTTCCTTCAGTTCTGCTCTGATTTTAGTTATTTCTTGCCTTCTGCTAGCTTTTGAATGTGTTTGCTCTTACTTTTCTAGTTCTTTTAATTGTGATGTTAGGGTGTCAATTTTGGATCTTTCCTGCTTTCTCTTGTGGGCATTTAGTGCTATAAATTTCCTTCTACACACTGCTTTATATGTGTCCCAGAGATTCTGGTATGTTGCGTCTTCTCGTTGGTTTCAAAGAACATCTTTATTTCTGCCTTCATTTCATTATATACCCAGTAGTCATTCAGGAGCACGTTGTTCAGTTTCCATGTAGTTGAGCGGTTTTGAGTGAGTTTCTTAATCCTGACTTCTAGTTTGATTGCACTGTGATGTGAGAGACAGCTTGTTATAATTTCTGTTCTTTTACATTTGCTGAGGAGAGCTTTACTTCCAAGTATGTGGTCAATTTTGGAATAGGTGTGGTGTGGTGCTGAAAAAAATGTATATTCTGTTGATTTGGGGTGGAGAGTTCTGTAGATGTGTATTAGGTCCACTTGGTGCAGAGCTGAGTTCAATTTCTGGGTATCCTTGTTAACTTTCTGTCTCATTGATCTGTCTAATGTTGACAGTGGGGTGTTAAAGTCTCCCATTATTATTGTGTGGGAGCCTAGGTCTCTTTGTAGGTCACTCGGACTTGCTTTATGAATCTGGGTGCTCCTGTATTGGGTGCATATATATTTAGGATAGTTAGCTCTTCTTGTTGAATTGATCCCTTTACCATTATGTAATGGCCTTCTTTGTCTCTTTTGATCTTTGTTGGTTTAAAGCCTGTTTTATCACAGACTAGGATTGCAACCCCTTCCTTTTTTTGTTTTCCATTTGCTTGGTAGATCTTCCTCCATCCTTTTATTTTGAGCCTATGTGTGTCTCTGCACGTGAGATGGGTTTCCTGAATACAGCACACTGATGGGTCTTGACTCTTTATCTAATTTGCCAGTCTGTGTCTTTTAATTGGGGCATTTAGTCCATTTACATTTAAAGTTAATATTGTTATGTGTGAATTTGATCCTGTCATTATGATGTTAGCTGGTTATTTTGCTCGTTAGTTGATGCAGTTTCTTCCTAGTCTCGATAGTCGTTACATTTTGGCATGATTTTGCAGCGGCTGGTACCAGTTGTTCCTTTCCATGTTTAGTGCTTCCTTCAGGAGCTCTTTTAGGGCAGGCCTGGTGGTGACAAAATCTCTCAGCATTTGCTTGTCTGTAAAGTATTTTATTTCTCCTTCACTTATGAAGCTTAGTTTGGCTGGATATGAAATTCTGGGTTGAAAATTCCTTTCTTTAAGTATGTTGAATATTGGCCCCCACTCTCTTCTGGCTTGTAGAGTTTCTGCCGAGAGATCCACTGTTAGTCTGATGGGCTTCCCTTTGTGGGTAACCTGACCTTTCTCTCTGCCTGCCCTTGAAATTTTTTCCTTCATTTCAACTTTGGTGAATCTGACAATTATGTGTCTTGGAGTTGCTCTTCTCGAGGAGTATCTTTGTGGCGTTCTCTGTATTTCCTGAATCTGAATGTTGACCTGCCTTGCTAGATTGGGGAAGTTCTCCTGGATAATATCCTGCAGTGTTTTCCAACTTGGTTCCATTCTCCCCATCACTTTCAGATACACCAATCAGACGTAGATTTGGTCTTTTCACATAGTCCCATATTTCTTGGAGACTTTGTTTGTTTCTTTTTATTCTTTTTTTCTCTCAACTTCCCTTCTCGCTTCATTTCATTCATTCCATCTTCCATCACTGATACCCTTTCTTCCAGTTGATCACATCGGCTCCTGAGGCTTCTGCATTCTTCCCATAGATCTCGAGCCTTGGCTTTCAGCTCCATCAGCTCCTTTAAGCACTTCTCTGTATTGGTTATTCTAGTTATACATTCGTCTAAACTTTTTTCAAAGTTTTCAACTTCTTTGCCTTTGGTTTGAGTTTCCTCCTATAGCTCAGAGTAGTTTGATCATCTGAAGCCTTCTTCTCTCAACTCGTCAAAGTCATTCTCCATCCAGCTTTGTTCCGTTGCTGGTGAGGAGCTGCATTCCTTTGGAGGAGGAGAGGCGCTCTGCTTTTTAGAGTTTCCAGTTTTTCTGCTCTGTTTTTTCCCCATTTTTGTGGTTTTATCTAGTTTTGGTCTTTGATGATGGTGATGTACAGATGGGTTTTTGGTGTGGATGTCCTTTCTGTTTGTTAGTTTTCCTTCTAACAGACAGGACCCTCAGCTGCAGGTCTGTTGGAGTTTGCTAGAGGTCCACTTCAGACCCTGTTTGCCTGGGTATCAGCAGCGGTCGCTGCAGAACAGCGGATTTTCATGAACCGCGAATGCTGATGTCTGATTGTTCCTCTGGAAGTTTTGTCTCAGAGGAGTACCCGGCCTTGTGAGGTGTCAGTCTGCCCCTACTGGGGGGTGCCTCCCAGTTAGGCTGCTCAGGGATCAGGGGTCAGGGACCCGCTTGAGGAGGCAGTCTGCCCGTTCTCAGATCTCCAGCTGTGTGCTAGGAGAACCACTGCTCTCTTCAAAGATGTCAGACAGGGACATTTAAGTCTGCAGAAATTACTGCTGTCTTTTTGTTTGTCTGTGCCCTGCCCCCAGAGGTGGAGCCTACACAGGCAGGCAGGCCTCCTTGAGCTGTGGTGGGCTCCACCCAGTTGGAGCTTCCCAGCTGCTTTGTTTACCTAAGCAAGCCTGGGCAATGGCGGGCGCCCCTCCCCCAGCCTCGCTGCCGCCTTGCAGTTTGATCTCAGACTGCTGTGCTAGCAATCAGCGAGACACCGTGTGCGTAGGACCCTCCAAGCCATGTGTGGGATATAATCTCCTGGTGTGCCGTTTTTTAAGCCCATCAGATAAGCGCAGTATTCGGGTGGGAGTGACCTGATTTTCCAGGTGCTGTCTGTCACCCCTTTCTTTGACTAGGAAAGGGAACTCCCTGACCCCTTGCGCTTCCCGAGTGAGGCAATGCCTTGTCCTGCTTCAGCTCGTGCACGGTGCGCTGCACCCACTGTCCTGAGCCCACTGTCTGGCACTCCCTAGTGTGAATAAGCCGGTACCTCAGATGGAAATGCAGAAATCACCCGTCTTCTGCGTCACTCACGCTGGGAGCTGTAGACTGGAGCTGTTCCTATTCGGCCATCTTGGCTGCCCTCACTGTCGTTTTTCAATAGAATAAACTTTTCAGAAAGAAAGGAACTTACTAAACTAAAATCAAATTAATCAAAATAATTAAAAATTATTTTTAAAACAAATCAAAATAATTTTACTCAAATTAATCAAAATAAAACTAAAATCAAAATAATAATTTGATTTTTATGAAACTGCTTGCAAATATTTGTATAGGTAAAATTTCTAGTAATTACCATATCTGCACTGGGTTTGTTATTTTATTAGAAAGGAGTTTTCAGCATACTCTGACCAAGCTGTGTATAGATTACAAATTAGTATTTGTTTACTTTCCAACTCTTTTATTCTTATTTCAATACTCCTTATCATATTTTACATTTCAGATTTATGGATTTTTATATGAGTATCCTGTGCTAATTTAGGGTGATGCCAAAAAACAATAAGCATCTGTTTACAGAACATTTTAAATGTAAATTTTAAAGTGGCTTAATTAAAGATGCTCTGGAAATTACCTATTCATCAGTTAAATATTTATTGAACACTTTGTTAAATATTTGAATAATATAAAAGTAAATGGTTGCCAACGAATCCTTTATAGGTTTGTTGGAGATTATGGTTTGTTGGAGGAAAAACTAAAAGCAAGTCAATCTAGAAGGTAAAATTTTTTAATTGAGAAAAGTACAAAGTGCTCTGGGAACCTAAGGCCCACAGTGGTTAATTCTGCCTTGGAGAGCTAAGGCAAGACTTGGGGATACTTGAATAGGGTCTTGAAGAATGACTGGAAAAGATATTTTAGTCAAGAGATTGAAAGTGTATGGCAGGTACTGCAGCATAAAAAGGCACAAGGGAGAAGACAGATAGTTCTGACAGGCATTTGGAGGCAACAGGCATGTACTGGCAAGGTTTGATTTTGAAAGTACTCTATCATGTTTCCAAGTTTGGAAATTATTTTATAATAAATGGGAATACACATTAGAGGATTTAAGTAGAGAAATAAGGAGAAGGGTCATTGAGAGCCAACAGTATCTCATTTTACCAATAGGACCTCACTGAATCCTGATAAACTTTCAGGTAGTTTTGACTTTCTAGCTTACAAATAAGGAAACTGAGACTCGGCGAGGTTCCTTAACCTTCCCAGAATAACAGAACGAGTAAGTGGCAGAACAGGCATTTCAATCTAATTGTTTGACTTCAAAGTTCCAAAGGCCATTAGCTTTCCAAAGACCAGGCACTTTACCATTCAGCACACTGCCTCCAGAAGAAGTGGATATGTTATTGGTGGGAAAAGTTCTCCTCTGTCTTGGCTCTCAGGCAACCCAACTTTCTGACACACCCTTCAAAAGGATATTACCCCAGTGCATTTTGTGTGCAAGGGGATGGGAATTTACCTAACTTGAGAATGTTGTGCCCTTCCTTATCAACAATGGCCTCACGGGGCCTGCCGTCAGGCTTTTCATCCCCTTCCAGCAGGTCTGGCGAGCAGTTCACAGGCTACATGGACAAACTTAATTAAATTCAAGTGAGTGTTTTTACCAAGACCTGACAGGCGCAGTTGTGTGCAGCTGAATAATTGAGTTGTGCAGATTTTTTTTTCTTTGCCTTCTTGGTGGTAGGCTTTTTTTGGGGGGTTTTGTTTTGTTTTCTTTGGGTTTCTAAAGATGACCCTGACACTTTTCATAAAGCTGTTTTCTAGTAGGAACGCCCTCCATCAAAGAGACGCAATTCGGTTGCCAGGCTACCATGAGAAAAGAGAACTCTGAAGTGACAATGCCGACCTTTTATTGGAGTATCCAGGGTCTATACTTGTTTAGTACAAAAGTACCTCCCATAGACCTCACAGCTAGAACTCCACAGTGTCACTACCTGAACCCCAGACTGTGAGACAAGAAGGCATAGCCTTGCCTGGCACAAGCTCACAGAGATGATTGAAAAACAAACCATGTCAAATCGGTAGTGAGGAAAAGAAAAGGTCACTTGAAGATCTATTTAAAAAATATTACTCATGATAAACACAGATGAAACTAATTAAGGGGCATTTTTCTGATGCAGCCTTCCGGTGCAGTGAAAAAAGAATGTCCAGTTGTTAGAAAGAAAGGAACAGTTTGGTTTTGTAGCTTATTTACTTCTATGTTTGGGCGCAGAGCACTTGCAATCTGTCCCTGAATTCTAGGAGCCTTCAGCATCTCAGATTTTGGCTCTCAGATTTCTTTTTTTAATGATCATTTTTCTTCTGGCTTTTTAAATATCACAAAGCTTACAACTCAGGGGTTTCTCAGTTACTGGTTCCCCTAGTACAGACAGTAATCATCCAGTCTTTGTATTGATTTCCAGTTTTCAATGTTAATTTCCAGTATAAAATACAAAACAGATGTAAATGATAGAGTAAACATTTTAATAATTTCTGTTGTTCTTGACATGTGACTCACTACTTGAAAGAATGTGCACTGGTAAAAATTATCAGTTTTTCACCAGTATTTAGATTTTAGAGTGGGCATCAGGCCTGAAAATGTTTGCATATATTTCACTAAAGTAGGTCATGTCATGCTATGGTCCAAACTAATTGAAGTGTGTATAAATTAGGTGTGCACAATATATGAAGTTTCCTTCTTTTGAAAATATTTTGATCTTATAGTTTCTTCCAACCTGATAATAGTGTGGAACTTTACAGTTCATAAAATGTTATCTTTCACATAGATTATTTTTATATTACTTTATCTTGTTCAATTCCTGTGATATAGATTGGGGTAGATGTTGTTATTTACCTTTTACACATGGTGAAAAGGAAATTAAGTGACTATTCAAAGTTACACACAATCTCTACCAAAACTAAAATTTTTCTCAAAAAGACTCCGGGCTCCTATGCTAGAGTGCATGGGGGGAAATTCTCACCCTCAGGCACTCAGTTTTGTCTTCTGCTTCTTTTTTAAAGAAATGGTTTTATAAAGGTCCTTTCTGTCTTCTCTGGAATTTGGAACGTCTTTGCATTTTCTGGAGAACTCTCTGAAATAATATATGCTCTAGCCATTGTTGATGAGAAATGAATTCTTCCACAGGTCTCTGTTTTTCTTTCCTCAGTCAGAGGACATTCTATGACAGTTTCTGCATTCACTGTAAAAAGTACCAAACTGTGATTAGTCAATAAATTTGCAATTTGGTCAAAGGTGTTGACGTGAAAATCCTCTGAAATATATAGTTATCAGATAACTAAAGCATCTGTTAGCATTAATTTAAGAAAATATTTAGTGAGCACCTACTATAAGAATTAGGGAAGATAAATTCCAAACAAACAATCGTTAAGAGGTCAGGGCTCTGAAAGTGACCCAGTGGTGCTCCTGGGTAGGTGTTGGCACTGTTTGTAAAATGCCTACAGGTGATTCTTATTGTCTACCATTTGTATTTGGAATATAACACAAGGCTTTCTCTCAAATCAGGAGATTTTGTTTGTTTAGAATGGTCTATAGAGCTCTGGAACGTAAATGTAAATTTTCCTTTATTGAAACAGTTTGTATTGAAAATTTATAGAAATGATGAAGTTTGATAATGTAATTACATCTGTTAGTTCTGCTCAGAAGCCATTTCTTTGTCTTCTGGTATTAGCATCTTGATTTTCTTCTGTGGACAACTTCTCTCCTACCTGCAAGCTGTCTGGTTGGGTGAATTGACCCATTCTTGTTTCCAAGATTTGCATGTGTCCCAAGCCTAGCCACTCAGCTAACAATTATTCCCTTGAAGATATATGACCCAATGTAGTGAAAAGGTACTTTTTTTCTTTTGGGGTTGTTAAAGTTGGAGCTATATAAGATTAGTACATGGAGAGATCTTGAAATTAAATTGAAGCCAACGCAAAGGAAAGTAGAGGCAAGAGATGAAGACCAAGAGCGATGGGATGGAGGGATAGAAAGAAAGAGATAGTGATAGAATGAGAATTATCATATCTTGATAACAGTATTTAACCCTCCCAGATCCAACTGTTTCTCAAATTGACATCTAGATTTTCAGCTACACAAGCCAATAAAATGGTATTTTGTTCAAGCCCTCTTGAATTAGGTTGTAGTCACTGGCTAACAAGAGTCCGGGCTGATAGGCAGGAATGGGGGATAGGGTGCTCTATCAGGAGTGAACAATGTGAGAAAAGACATGAAGATGATAAAGGGGGGGAATGGTCAGGAATAGCAATTGTCTAAACTGAATGGAGTACATGGTATGTATATGGAAATAATAGGGAAAAAGTTGGGAAAGAAAGTTGGGAAATTATAGTAGAATTTATATGATCAAGTAATGTATTCTTTGTTGCCTAGGCTGGCAATATCCAACAAAAATATAATGTGAAGTACATATATAATTTTAAATTTCTATTAATCACTTTGTAAGGTAAAATTTATTTTATCAATGCACTTTATCTAACCCAATATATTCATAATATCACCATTTTAACATGTAATCTCTATTAAAATTATTTTAAAGATATTTTAAGGGGTTTCTTTTTTGGACTGTCTTCAAAACCCACTGTGTATTTTATACTTCCGGCTTATCTGGTTATGTTTTGGTAACCATATTTCAAGGCATCAATAGCCATAAATGGTTGGTGGCTACTGTATTGAAGAGCACCATGAAGAGCCACTGACAGTTTTGAATAGGGCTATCACATTGTGAGGGCTGTGTTTTAAGAAGCTGAATCTGTCGTAATTTCCAAGATGATTTAGGGAAGGAAAGCCTGAAGCAAGAGGCCATTCATCGAATTATGTAAATGTTCCAGGCAATAGTAAAAAAAAAAACCTTAAAGTGATAGAAATTGTAATTAAATGGATATATATTAAAGACTTTACAAGGGTGAAAATCTATGGAATTTGACAAAGATTTAAAACAAGGGTGATAGAGTTAAGAAATAGAAGAGATAACAATGATTTAAGTTTCCATTAAGAAAAATAGGTACACTGAAAAGAATATCTTAGGAGTAAAAATGACTTCCGCTTTGAAAATTCTGTTTTGGGTAGTTGTAGGAAATCTAAGCTACAGATTTAATTAGGCAGTTAAAACTGTGGGTCAGTGACTCAAAATATGGGGTAGGTGAGAGGTACAGATCTGAAAGAAATATGTACGACTATTGAGGTTGTGAGAGATAGTATGTAACTAATGAAAAGAGATTAAGCATGGCTAAGGGAATAACTTTGCTGATACATATATGAGTAAAAGCAGAAAGGAAACTCATTAAGAATGTGGAAAAAGAGAGATTGGAAAGGTAGCAGAAAATAGATGTCACCAAAATCAAAAAAGACAGTTTCGAGGAGGCATGTTCAGCAACTTCATATGAGGTAGAGACCCATAGGAATGAAAGCATAAACGACTTTTGTAGCAAGTACTATGTGCACAATAGTTATGTGGCCTTGGCAATTCATGAAATAGTTCTTGCTTCAGTTTTTTTATCTGCACAAAGCAACTGTGAAAGTATACATCCCTTGAACCCCTTTATTGGGCTATCATGCCTTTTGGATTAGGTCAATAGGGGCTCACAGGCAGAAATGAATCAAGATTTTAAAGCACTATGAGATGAGTGAATGATAAAGAAGAAAAAATAAATATGAATGTGGTGTTAAGAATATTAGTTTGATAACTTGAAAGAGGGATCTAATCAAAGGAGAGATTCTTCAGGTTGGAAAGATCTGAGCACATTTGTAGGCAGAAGGTAAAAAATGTGTAGAAGGAAGAACTAAAGACAATACTAGAGGGTGTGTGGTGGAGCAAGCTTGCTGTGGAGGCAGCAGGGGATTCAGTTACAGATTCCACTGACATTTATCAAAGCCCTCTTCTACTAAGTACCTTGTAAGATGTTCTTACAGATGATATCTCATTTAATTATTATAACTCTGAAAGGGCAGAATTATTACCCCTATCATTTACAGAGGCAGTTGTAGTATTGTTAAGATCATGAGGTTAAAAGTCAGTCTCTCTGGGCTTAAATCCTAGTACTGCATCTAATTAGCTATGAAACCTTGGGTGAATTTCTTACCTCCTTCTTTACCCTTTCCTCATCTGTAAAATAATATCAACCTCATGGAATTGTACAGCGGTGGTTCTCAACTGGGTGCAGTTTTGCCCTTCAGGGGACATTTGGCAATGTCTGAAATCATCTTTGATTTTGATGACTGACACAAGCTACTGGCAACTAGTGGGCAGAGGTCAGGGATGCTGCTAAGCATTTTGCAATGCACAGGACAGCTTATTACAACAAATAGTGATCTGGCATAAATGTCAACAGTGCCAAGGTTGAGAAACCCCATTCTACATGTTAGCTATTAGTACGGCTACCACATTAGAAACTAAGGGCTAGAGAAGCTAAGTAACATAGCCAAGAACACACAGCTAGAAAATGATGGAGTCAGGCTTTGAACCTCTATTTTCTCATTCCAGGTTTGAATCTAATTTCCGTGTGTTTCTCATTACAGTGCAACTGCCAATTAAAAGTAAATTTGCACCTAGCATCCAGATCTTGGTTTCTAATGCCATTCTCTAATAAAAGGAGCCAGAACTCCATAGAGAAGTAGCCGATTCTAGGACTAGGGCAGGAAATATACAAGATAAGCCTGAAACATCTTGTAGTGCCTAAAGATAAAGAAATGTAAAAAAAAAAAATACAGACACTAACGATGGGAATATGTCAAAGTACACAGCAGAGAACTGAAAGAGTTTCCAATGGCCACATTTGGAGCAATTTGAGCAAGGAAATATTGTAGTATTGTGTTATAATCCAAAGCTTAAAATAAATACCCATGAGTACAAACCGATATAAATAAATGATTGACTATATAAATTAGTGAGGGACAATAAATAAATATCCCATGCAGAAGAATTGCAAATAATTAATGTAGATATTCTCTCCTCAAGGAAGAGGAGGCTAACTCCCCACTTCTTAAGTGTGGGCTGTGTCTAGTAACCTTTGTCAAAGAACGCAACATAAAAAATGGGAGGAGAAATAACTTTACAGGGGAGAATCCCGAAAACACTACCTTATCCAGGTGATCAAAGTTAACATCAAAAAGTTGTATTGCTGGTATGTACCCTTGATGTGGTGCAATGAAAATGACACTATCTCTCTAGTTTTCATTCTCAAAATGTATAAGCCCTTTCTTTGTGTGTGTGTGTGTGTGTGTGTGTGTGTGTGTGTGTGTGTGATGAAGTTTCACTCTTGTTGCCCAGGCTGGAGTGCAATGGCGCGATCTTGGCTCACTGCAACCTCCGCCTCCTGGGTTGAAGTGATTGTCTTGCCTCAGCCTCCCTAGTAGCTGGGATTACAGGTGCCTGCCACCACGCCCAGCTAATTTTTGTATTTTTAGTAGAGTCGGGGTTTTACCATGTTGGCCAGGCTGGTCTCAAACTCCTGACCTCAGGTGATCTGCCCGCCTCGGCCTCCCAAAGTTCTGGAATTACAGGCGTGAGCCACCGTGCCCAACCTGTCTAATCATTCAGACAAATCCCACTTGAGGGACATTCTGTAAGATAACCAGTATTCCTCTAAACCATCAAGGTTACAAAAAACAAGGGCAAAAAACAAGGAAAGTATGAGAAACTGTCACAACCAAGAGAAGACTAAAAGTGACATGAAAACTAAATGTAATGTGGTGTCTTGGATGGGATCCTGGAACAGAAAAAGGACATTAGGTAAAAATCAAAGGAAATCTGAATATAGACTTTAATAATAGTGTATCGATATTGGCTCATTACTAGTGACAAATATGTCATACTAATGTAAAATGTTAATAATAGGGGCAACTGGGTGTGGGGCTTATGGAAATGCCCTTTATTATCTTTGCAATTTTTTCTGTAAATTACAAACTATTCTAAAATAAAAAGTTTATTTTCAAGAAACATTACATTTCAATAATTGCCTTTAAGTTGAAATGTAGACATTTTCTTTCTCTTCCTACAGACAAAAAGCAAGGTCAACTAGGGCTTTGAGGAAAGTTGCAGTTAGAAGGGAAGAGATGGTTTTAATTCTCTAAAAAAAGTAGATATAAAGTGAGATATTCTGATATGTTAAAGTGATGGAGGGCATTATGTCTTTAAAGATGGTGTAAAATATTTGAACTAGTGAATTCAACAGATATTTTATAGTGAATGTCACGAGTAAGTACATTGTATAAAGTGTTTTAAATCATCAATGTGAAGAATGAAGCAAAATGTATGTAATGTATGTGAAACAAAATCTATTTAAATGATTATTTAAAGTAGAAATAATATTTGTATTGCTTAGATACTGAGAGAATCCATAAGTCCAATTCATCTGCATCAATGGGAATCAACTGATATTACAGAGCCAGTGCCTCTAAAGATATCACTACTTAGACCAAAGAAGAGGCATCTGTCAGGGAAGGCTGTTCAGCATAAAATGTTCCTTGACTATCTAATATCTATTTTTTGTCCCTCTTATTAAAAATTTCCCAATTTCCTTAAGGGAGGCGACCAACCCATCTAAAATAATTCAGTATCTCAGACATCCTGAACCTAGTGGTGGCCACACCACACAGCTGTGGCTAATAAGGATTACAGAGAATTTGCTGGCTTTAAGGAAGGTTTTGTCTTCTTGCTTAGACCAACTGTTCTTCATTGCTTTTTCCCTTCCTCCCTATAAGATAGGTTCTATACCTAGAGTGTAGCAATAACTTTGTGATCACGAGGCTATAATCCTGAGGATGAGGTCCAACACCGCTAAAGAGAACAGGATGGAAAGATGGACAGCCAGGTTTTTGGTAATATTTTTGAGCTGGGCAGCTGCACTATCCTGGATAGTATCTTCTTGTTTTCCAGATAATTAGTGTCACTCTTAGCGGAGCTTTATTCCATGTAGTTAGAGGTATTCCTTACTGAAGGAGTGTCCTCAACTGATTGTATATCTTCAGGGAAGACTTCCCATCAAGAGTAAAGGATGAAGACAGTATAGATTTAGTGAATGAGATTAGCTCATAATCAGTCAATCAATAGAGACATATCATCCCCAATTTCTGGTAATCTAGCTTTTATACAGCCAGTTTCCCCTTCTGACTTAGAAAAAGCCAATCTGCAAGGGGATGGTAGATTGTGTCATCTCTGCCCGCATTTCCTTGTTATCATTAGGCCTGTCTTTGTACCCAGATAATCTTGAAAAGAATTCATGGCAAATGGCCAATGCATTTTCTTAGAACATTATCTATTATATATTGATTTAGGAAAATACATTTTGGAATGTACAAGTGAAGGAAATTCCCCATACCTGATGACTTCTATTCCTCTGCCAAACAGTTAATGTAATGAAAAACAAATAAATAAAAACAATGCAAAACAAAATCGGAGTGCATGAGCATAAAGATGAAGGTTTCTTCCCCAGAAGTGTCATAGAGGAGTGTAGTGAGTTGGTTCATGAAATTTTTGAGAGTATATCTCTAGGTACGCATTATCAGTATCTCCTGTTAAATGAGAAATATTTGTCTTGTTGGTTTCATTCATGAGTGCCTCCTTTTTTCAAATGCATAACAAGTGTTCAGGTAAAAGTACTTGAGATGTTTGTAAGAGATTGAAAAAAAAAGCTTAGGAGGGAAAAACTTCTTTGGTAGGAAGTAGAAGACAATATAAAAGAGAATCTAAAAAATTCTTTCTGATAATTTACCTTAAGAGAGATTTTTATATATTTTCCTATTTCCTTACATTTTATCTGAAAACATTCAACTCATTCCTTAATATTTTGTTGCTTTTTACTGTCAAGAAAGTATATATGTCTTAGAGTAATATCATTGAACAGTTTCAATGATATTCAATACAAATGAAATTGTTCCCTTTGTTATAAAAGCTGTACCTCTAGTGTAGTCTACTCTTTAGATTTAAAATATTATTATTTTATGCACATTGTGGTAGAATGTATAATTGTTAATCCACAGAGAGAAATATGTCCTCTCTGAACAAAAAGGCTAAAGCGATCTCTGAAGTGCTGGCACAAACCACTCTTTGCAGCTGTTTTGGAAGTTGCCAGAAGCTGGGAAAATGTGAAGAGACCATATGCTTCTATGTGACTTTTCTTCCACTCATGGACCAAAGTAAGTCTAGCATTTTCCCAGATGTCAGTGGACAAACTGACCCAGTTGTTAGGCACTGTTTTCAGAAACATCACAGCCAGAGTAGACATAAAATTGAAAGCATAGGATTATATCCTAGGATGGCATTTTAGTACCCAAAAGGAAAAAACCTCTACATTAATACAGATTGTTAATGAAGCACATATGACTACTGATGAAATGACCAGTGGAATATAAAAGTAAGACATAACTTTAATCAATTCTGATAACCCATGGTTTTCTCACATGAGATTCGTTGAGGAATTTTTATTTGCTTGGATGAACAGGATTGAAATAAAGAAATGGTTGATTGGACACATGATCCTCTATAGGTGAAGTACTGGCAACTTGTACAAAAGGCCTGGCAAAATCTCAGTAGGCTATCAGCCCTTTCCCCTTCTTCCCTGTCCAAAGCCAGTGTGACAATACGGATCCTATTACTGCTTCTGGGAAACACAATTGATTCTAGGAGGTCATGGCAAGTGGAGATGCCCAAAGCGGCATTTATTCCCTGCCTACTTGGCCCAGTAGGTAAGGAGTGGGGCTCTTCTTTGGTTGGTTAGTAACAAATGCAACTGTGCCAGGCAAAGAATGGTGGCCTTCTGCCAGTAATTCCTGGCCATTACTTGCTGTCTTTGGCTTCAGATACTTCCTATTCCTCTCCAGGCCACTGTACCTCTGAACTAGCAAAGTATTATTAAAGTAAATCTCAAATTTTTATATTTATTTGTTTTTATACTTGAAAGACTTAAATAGAGACCTGCATAGTTTTGACAGTTCCATATCAGCTTGTAATTATGGCAACAAGAAATTAATTTCCATTGCCTCAGGTGTGCCCGAAGAGACAGAAAAGTCATCAGACACATCAGTTATTTTAGTTCAAAGGAAGGGGACAGCTCTGAAACATTGGAGCTTACTATTAGAAAAAAAAAGGTAGTAAATTTTGAATCTCTTTTATGTATACTCAATAAGATTCAAAGAAACGACATGATAAGTAATGAAAAAAACCCTAAGAGTAATTCAACTATAATTTAAAGAAAAGTTTAAAAATGATTGCCAAATTAAAATCAATAAAAGAGGTTGTGAAGAAAGGTTTGTCTATATAGCAAATTGAATTTTAAAAGTTTGAAATGTTCACTAAATTCTCCAAGAGCCCAAATAGATACAGATAAAAATGATGAGAGAAAAGATGGGATGTAGACAGAAGCAAGAAATTTAGTACACATATGACAAAGATTTCAGAAACAGAAAGAGAGCCAAAGAGAAATACTAGTAAAAAGATAATTAAGGGAAATTTGAATTAGCTGAGTCTGAGTTTGAAATTTAAAATGGGCTCAGTAAAAACAAGGCAAAATAGGTTTAAAAAGAGAAATTAGTAGCCCTAGTTTAAAGAAAATAAATTACATTTAAGCAATTTTTGAATGAAAGAGATGATTTCCAGATAGTCTAGATAGTTTAAAAACTACACAAAAAATAAGAACAATGAAAATTCAGTGTATCAAAGGTTATGGTAAATGACCAAAAGAAGCCATTCTAGAAAGTGAGAGACTACATATTTATATTATTAAACATGAATGAATAAATGTAATTTTAAAAATATGTGAACACATTTGAAAATGAGCAGTTAAATTTAAGAAAAGTAGGAGAAAGAAGCTAATTTATGCAAAATATAAATGAGCAATTACAAATTAAAAATCTATGGAAAACCATAAAAGCTAACAATGGGTTCTTTTAAAAACATAAAAATATATAATATGTTGGTAAATCTAAACAACAAAAATGAATTGAAACGTTAATAAAATGATACATCTATAAAAATTTAAAAATAAGATACATATAAGTCTACATTAATAATGGTAAAATCTTGGTGATATATACGATTTTATAGAAACTATAAATTAGTAAAATGGACTGTACAATAATGAGAAAGACCAGATAACCAGAGAAGTACTTAAAATGATATTATTTTGTAAGGCTCCTGCCCAGACAGTTTTACAGGTGAATTCTTCTAAATTACTTCCAAGGAAGAATGACTATAAAGAACCTAAGTAAAGAAGAAAAACTCAACTAGTATAAACCTAATAGCAAAATTTGACAAAAAAATTTGTGATTTTTTTTCTCCCTTCCCTTGTACCTCCCTTCTTTTTCTTTCCTGTCTTTCCTTTTGCTCTTATTCTTTTTGTTTGCTTGCTTATTTTCTGAAGTGTATATAGCTAAGACATTTTTAGGAAAAAAAAAGAGATGAACCATGAAATTCATCCTAAGATATTTTAATGTTATATTAATTAAAATAAAGTTGCCAGATTTTGTCTCTCCACGTATATACATATACATTATATATATACTATTACCTTTTTTTTTTTTTTTTGAGACTGAGTCTCACTCTATTGCCCATGCTGGCGTATAGTAGTGTGAATCTGGGCTTGCTGCAACCTCCACCTCTTGGGTTCAAGCGATTCTTGTGCCTCAGCCTCCCAAGTAGCTGGGATTACCAGCGCACACCACTACACCCAGCTAATTTTTGTATTTTTAGTGAGATGGGGTTTCACCATGTTGGCCAGGCTGGTCTTGAACTCCTGACCTCAAGCAATCTGCCTGCCTTGGCCTCCTAAAGTGCTGGGATTACAGGTGAGAGCCACCGCGCCAAGCTGTTACTGTGTTTTATACATATATGTGATGTCACTATATTACTGCGATATATAAATATAAATATCTAGACATTTTATTTTAATTACAGTAGCACTAGTATATCTTAGGATATATATACACACACACACACGCACAAATAATGATGTTTGTATGATACTATGTTATTACATATATGTCTATATGTGTGCATATGTATATTACATGTAAATATAAAAGTAATAGTATAACACAAGTATCACACAATAAAATAGGAAATGAATTTAATTTAAAGTGGAATTAACTAATAATGATACAGACAATATCAGGTTCTTATATACCTGGAGGTAGAAGTTAGACTAGGAAACAATTACATGTCTGAAAGAACACTGTGTTACCACCCTATTGAAAAAGACTGGGAAGAAGTGAGTTTGGCTCAGATACAATCTTTACATTCGTGATTTTTCTGAAAGCCCTGTTAACCGCGATAAATAGAAGCTGCATATCACGATAGTTCTGTAAGTTAGCAAGTTAAACAGCCTCTGCTTTGCATGATTTATAAAGAATTGTTTTATTTTGTTTTGTTTTCACCAGGCTGACTGAGTTTAAAAGAGCTATATTATCAATTTGTTAGAATGTCACTGCAAAATGTTTTACTTATGTCAATGCAGTAATTGTTTCAGAAAACTTCCTAAGATGGCTCATCATTTGTGTATGGCTTTTTTATTTTTTATTTTTGGTAACAGTAAGTTTTCTCTGATTGGTTAAAATAAGAGTTCAGTTTTGAAGTTACTGATGATCATGGGAAAATATTATGCAATAGATGCGATATGTAATATAAGAAATTAAATGTATGATGCTCTTTAAGAACTAATTGTAGTACTTGAAGAAGTAGAGTTTAGACATACAGCTTATGTTACCGAATTAGGCCTGGAGGATGGGATAATTTATGAGCAGCACTTTTTAAATGAAGTGCATTTTTCAGTTTATATGGTGGTTATCTGCCAGTGATATTTTCAGCTTGTTTTTATTTATGGGGAATGGAGTTTGGATTACGTACATGCTTAGCATCATGCACACATTTCAATACAAATTCAAAAGAAAAACATACAGTGGGACAGGAAGGAGTATCTTGTTAGTCCATGCGATAATGACTTGAGGTGAAAACCACTACATATGAACAGCCCATGTTATGGAGGCTCCGTTTTTCCCAAACAAGAGTTGTTTGCACCTAGGATTCTGATCTGGATTTATGCCTCCCCCATCTGGAATTTAAAGTGCCTCTCTTCTGCCACAACGGGATGAAGAAGTTCCAGATTACAATGCTATAGGGCTACACAATTAGATTTTTCTCTCCGAATAGATATAGTAGACCACTGAGAATTCTAAAGTCTATAAGTAAGAGAAAACCTCTGGAACTTTAAAATAAATCATTTGGCAATGATTTTCTTGAAGGAAGCTGTGAACATTTGCAGTTGGAAGCCACGAACTACCAGCAAAGAAGCTCTTATTAGGGGAAAGCAACTGGTCTATTTGAAATTAGCATGAAACAAATCCAGCTCGATTCACACAAATATTGTTCAAGCCAAGCTTGAACAATAATGCAAGAAAGTAAATCCAGACCCAAAGAGAAGTAAGGCAACATTCTCTTAGCCAGTCCAGATTCATACCAATTCCTTAGTGCACGGCAAGGGGCAGTTTATATTAGAGTTCCACTGTATACTGTGTATTTGTTTGTGCTTACACTAAACATGTGGTAAAATACATCTGGACTCTCCATCCATGCTAGGGACTTAATTTTTCTCAACAAATCTTATTTTTTGTATCTTAATTTTGTAAAGTCTCAACTTAGAGAATTCTCCTAGCTATTGCTACAAATAGGGGTGAACACTACTTGCTTATCATAATCTCATGCCTACAGGGAACAAATTTAGGTTTAGTATGTATGATTTAGCAACCATTATTGGGATGTTCAAGCAATGTTACTTTTCTTTCTTTTATTTAACTCAAATTAAACCATTTTTAATGCCCAGATCTTTGGGCTGGCAGAACATTCAGCCTCAGTTACTTGGTCTCACTTCCTGGAATCTTACACTCATTAAAATACTGAAAATGACCTCTCTAGGCTTGAGCAGTACAGTTTACCTGAGACTCCCTGTGTCCAAGCCTTTGTGTCTTGGTGGGGAACACAAGTTCCCGGGTTTCAGCTTCCCCAGGTCTAGCAGCAGCCTTTGCCCTCCAAGACCCTGCTCTCTCCATTGCCCTTGGCCTTGCAGGCCTTAGGGGAACCCAGATGTTAACATCTCTGTCTCCGTCTCTTTCATCTATCAAAGTCACCTACTTCTCTACCCTTAAGCCTCTGGGAAACAAAAGCAAGCAGGACAAGCTGTACATGGGGCATTTCTGTCTGTTATTTCCTTGAAGCAAGAGAACACAGAACTTGTGTGGGGGAAGTGAGGGATGGAGAAGGATAGTTACAAAAAGAATATAGAGAGAACAAGACACAAAATAAATATTTGCTGCTTCATAGGTTGTCAACATCTGTTATAGAATGCTCTCTTGATAAAACTTATCTCTATCTGCATATTAATAATAACACCATCTAGTCTCATGGAAGATGAAAAAACATCATTTTCTAGTGTGATCAAAGGGATTAATGGGACATTTATATACCTAGAAACAGGATTTATATAATGAACGTAAGAAAACAACAAGCAAGAAATATGAGATTCTACGTAGTTTTGAAACATATGCTATAATATTAGCATTAATTAAGACAGTCTGACTTATATCAACCAAATACTTTTATAATTAATCTAAGTCTCACAAACTGCAGTGCCTAGGAGTATCTTATGCTTATCTTTTTTTCGAGACAGGGTCTTGCTCTGTCACCCGGACTGGAGTACAGTGGTGTCCATAGCCACACGCCACCATGTCGGGCTAATTTTTGTAGTGTGTGTGTGTGTGTGTGTGTGTGTGTGTGTGTGGGTGTGTGTAGAGACAAGGTCTTACTTTGTTGCCAAGGTGGGTGTGGAATTCCTGGGCTCAAGGCATCTGCCCGCTATGGCCTCTCAAAGTGCTGGGACTACAGGTGTGAGCCTCTGCGCGCGGCCGGTTATTCCTTCAATAATAGCATCAACCAAATGGTCCTTCAACCTTCTTTTCTTTAACGGATAACCTCAGTCAGTTCCTTAAATCTGTTTTGTTTGTTTGTTTGTTTGTTTGTTGAGACGTAGTCTTGCTCTGTCGCCGAGGCTGGAGTGCAATGGCGCGATTTCCACTCACTGCAACCTCCGCCTCCCGGGTTCAAGTGATTCCCCTGCCTCAGCCTTCCAAACAGCTGGGATTACAGGCATGTGCCACCACGCCCGGCTAATTTTTGTATTTTTAGTGGAGATGGGATTTCACCATGTTCACCAGGCTCTCAAACTCCTGACCTCAAGTGATCTACTCACCTCGGTCTCCCAAAGTGTTGGGATTACAGGCGTGAGCCACAGTGCCCGGCCTGGTTCCTTGAATCTTAATACTTATTTTGGGTAAACTACTAACGGACAGCAAATTGTGGACAAATTTCTATCCTCAGTGCAGGCTTATTGCATGAGCAGTTCAGAAATGCAGCACCTCAAAAGGAAATGTCTGTCATGCGTTCCTGTGGGCACCAGACATTCCTGGAGGAATTGTAGATCAGGGACTGTGATCTATTTTTTTAAATTAATAATTGACTTTTCTTAAACTGGTTTTATCTAATGTGCTCACCATGTAAGAAAGCACATGGTTCAATGACTTTTTAGTAAAAACACATTTAATTTCCGAATCAATGCCACAGAGATGCTTTTGTGGACTTATTTCTACTCAGTTCTGAATTATATGTTAACTGTGTATAATAGATGTTTAGTAAGGAATAGGGAACAAAATTAGATGTTATTCTAAATAGCTCATGCTTGATTTTAATGTCACGTGGTTTCTATTTTCTGTAATTATCTATGAATAACATGTCCTATGGCCTTGCAATTCAGAGTGTTTTCTGTGGACCAGCAATATGAGCATCACCTGAGAACTTGTTAGAAATGCCCCACCCCAGACCTGCTGAATCAAAATCTGCATTTATTAGGATAAAAATGGTAGAAAAGTTTGAGTAACACTGCGTAAGTTTACAGTTTAGACTGACTTATCTGGGAAGCTTTTGAAAAATATAGATGCCAAATTTTCACAGTGGATCTGTTGAATCAGAATAGCTCAGAGTTGCGTACAACACATGCATTTAAAGAAACCTCCATGGGTCAACTTCTTATGTGCATATAAAACATAAGAAAACTACATAGTAAGTGGTGACATATATTTTCAGGATGATTTGTCACAAACTAACATTTAGTTAAAATGCCATAACTCTTTTTGAGTGATCAAGGCAACAGATTTGAGGATTAACTCAACTTTATAGACTTGTATCACTTCCTGATGCTGTTAATAATTTCTGTTATTAATTATACAATAATATAAAGAATATTGATGATGTTTTTTTCAAATGCATGAAAAGCATTAAAATGTCACCAGACTATTTTCTTTTGTGTTACATTATGTTGATAGCAAAAGTTCAATCTGAAAAGTTTATGTTTCTTCTATATGGCATAGGACTGCTGAACAGTTTTATAATCTGACATTTGAACTGTCCGCACTAAGCACTTACCATTTACAGTTTGCCAGAAGAGTGGTAGCTCCTATTTTCTTGCTTTCTTTAGTGTGACATAACATAATAAAGACCCTACACATAAATCTCAGTGTCTTTTTTCCTTAACATAAGTAACCTTTTGTAATAATACCAACAAAATAAGAGTAGTAACAATTTCTAGCTTGATTACATCTGTTATAATCTGGATGAGAATCTATTAAAATAAAAACTCAAAAACTTTCAGATCAGAGTTCAGTTTTTTGTTTTGTTTTGTTTTTTCTTCCTAACAAGCTAGATTCTAAGATTGTGTGTTGGGAGATACAGTCTAGCACTGATTGTTAGTTTCATAACTAATTTTTCATTTGTTTGTTGAGTTATTTTTTTCTTCCCATTTTCTCTTTGCTGTTTTTAGTCTGGAAAGAGTTAATTGCTACCTTAAGGAATACATGTAATATTCTGAGAATTAAATAACTGATCTTATTTAAAAGCTGTGTTTATGAAATAAAATTGGGGGTGAATTTCAGTAACTCAATGGGATGGGAACATTTGTTTTTCCCTTAAAACAAAACATAATCCAAACCAAAAACTTTTATAAACATTTTATGAAAACTTTGCCAGCCATTGGATAAATAAAAGAGGGCTCATGAAACTAATAATAAAATATAAAGTCTTTCTGTTAGTTTTAATATACCACAATGATGCTCAAATCTTACATAGTAGAACTGTGATTTACTTCACAATCATTGGTTTGAATGCCCAAAAGATATCTTGACTCTTTTTTTTTTTTTTTGAGACGGAGTCTCGCTCTGTCGCCCAGCCTGGAGTGCAGTGGCGCCATCTCTGCTCACTGCAAGCTCCGCCTCCCGGGTTCACGCCGTTCTCCTGCCTCAGCCTCCCAAGTAGCTGGGACTACAGGCGCCCGCCACCACGTCCGACTAATTTTTTGTATTTTTAGTAGAGACGGGGTTTCACTGTGTTAGCCAGGATGGTCTCAACTTCCTGACCTAGTGATCCACCCACCTCGGCCTCCCAAAGTGCTGGGATTACAGGCGTGAGCCACTGCACCTGGCCGATATGTGACTGTTGTCTCTCCCTTCAGACAGCATGGAAAGAATTTAGATTTTATCCTAATCTCAAAGACATTTAGGACATTTAATTACAGACTTTGCTTTGTTAACTAGTTTTGTTGAAAACTCTTATTAATAAGTGGAGGGATTCTCTCAAATGTAATTTCAGTACAGCTTTTACCCCACATAAACTCACTTCATCTTGTTTTGACTCCAGTGTAAATTCAGAACACTTGACTATTTTCCTGACTTGTATAACTACACTTTCCTATAGGAGAATCCTATTTATGAGCTGTAACTGCTAGTTTGCTAAAAATTTTTCCCTCTCAATAAAGTCTATTGAGTCCAGTTGGAAATTATGAATCGTACTTTTATTTTTTTTTAAATGGTAGTTGATTCACAGTCTTGAGTACTGTGATGTACCACACAAATGTTTTGCAGGATTGACAACTATAGAAAACAACTCACAATTTTGCAGTTACCAATGTGGTGGCCCTTTAAAATACAAGTGTTGCTATAATTAGTATGAGTCAGATAGCTATTTAATTAAGTTTATCAAATATTTGTTGAATGGCCTGCTGTGTGAAAAGTACTATGCCACATCTCTCATTTTGAACCCCCAACTCTCCAAGGGAATACACTGATTAATTTAATGGACTTAAATACTCATTTTATCCAGCATTCCACTAGATTAGAATTCCTTGAGATGTCAAGAGAAAATCATTGCATGAATGCAAAGTAACCTGACAATGATTCTAAATGCTTTGCTACTAAAATAGTTAAAACTATTAAGTTATGCTATTATAAGAAACATTTGAAAGAATTTCAAATTTTAATTGCTCCCTTGTTTCTGTTTTAACCCTGGCCCCAGGAAGACTCTAATCTTCCATTACCATTCAGTTTCCAAGCCAAAAATATCCTAAAGGCTTGAAGAAACAGAGAAAGACTATAAAAACAAAAGATGGTAGACAGCAATATCTGTTTCTGTTAGTTGCGTATGAACAGCTAAATATTTAATTGTGAAACCAAACTTTATCAAGGAAAGAAAGAGGTTATTTATGGTGCTAATGATAGTTAAGGGTGTAATGAATAATCCCAAGTGGAGAAAAAGGAGAAAGATCAAGGAACATGAGGAATGATTTTCCCTCAAGACTTTGTCCCATTGTGGAATTATTCTTCTAAAATCAAGTGATTAAATAAGAAATCCTGAACACCCAACTTTGTTCTTGCAAGATAATGGTTTTCCTCTGAAGGAAATGACTATAGGAAGAACACTGCCTCAACCAGTAGCCAAAGCATGAACTAGATGACCTAATGAGGCCTTTCCATCTCTGATTTCTTGATACTTGTGTTTAGAAATTTTCCTGTTGTTTAACTTTTTTTTTTTTGGAGACAGATTCTCACTCTGTTGCCCAGGCTGGAGTGCAGTGGCATGATCTCGGCTCGCTGCAACTGCCGCCTCCTGGGTTCAAGCGATTCTCCTGCCTCAGCCTCCCGAGTAACTGAGATTATAGGCGTGCACTACCACGCCTGGCTATTTTGTATTTTTAGTAGAGATGGGGTTTCACCATGTTGGCCAGGCTGGTCTCTAACTACTGGCCTCAAGAGATCCACCCGCCTCGGCCTTCCAAAGTGCTGGGATTATAGGCGTGAGCCACTGCACCTGGCCCCTGTTGTTTAATTTTTAAAAATCTTTTTATGGAACTTCTGAAAATTTCTGTGAAAAAGACCCAAGTTGGAAATAGCTTATTCACTGACAGTAGAGAAACAATGACAACAACTCCCTACTCATTTCTCTCAAGTAATAATAAGTAGAAGTAAATATTCACTTCAAGTAGAGACAGTAAATATTCACTTCTTCATTCATTTAATAATTATTCTTTTAGTGCCTATTATGTGCCAGGCTGTATTCTATGAGTATGAAAGTTTGACATCCTGACTCTTTACCAACCTAATGCCTTGGTTAAAAAAAGTAGGCATAATGTATATACAACATACTTGATTCTCTGACCTGTGAATGAAAGAATTCAATATTATATAAAATGGGAGGGTGCTGTGTGAGAGAAAGAGTGAGACTGAGGGTGACTTTTGCTCTCAATGAGCAATAAAATAATTCTCTACATGCTGCTATCAACTCTATTTTCTCATTTTGCATGTCCTGTAGCTGTGCTCTATGAGGATATAGGGTGTGGGAATGGAAAAAAGGGACAGTAGGCCCAGCTTTCACTGTCCTATAGTGGTAGGTCCCATGTACCTACTCTAATATTCCTCTGTGATAGTTCTAGGTGTCAAGAATCCCAAGACCAGGAATAAAGCTCATCAGTAGGCAGGAATAAAAGGATACAATTTTGCCTGGAGATGTTCAAGTTGCAGTAATTAAAGTACTGTGCAACTTTTGTGTGATGGAAATTGTGTGAGATATTGGTGGTAGAAAGTAAACAAAACAAAGATCAAGACCCTTAAGGAACTTGTAATTTAGAGAAGGAGGTGGATATAAATCTAGCCACTTATGATGCAATAAAGTTTTATACTTATACTTCGAACAAAGTTGACCGCAGAATTCCCAAATTTATTTGACCATGGGAAGAAATTAAAAATTGTAAATGTAAAAACTGTAATGTATCTAATAAATATTGACAGAAGGTTGTTAGTTATATTAAAAGTATGGGAAAGGTAAACAACTAAAAGGAACCCCCCCAAAAAAATAAACCTAATAAATGAATTTATAATTAACTATTTGCTGCAAGAAATGACAAAAATTTTATTCATTGGCTTAATACACAATAAATATTGGGTATCAAAATGTTGTCAAATTATGACATTGACCAGTCAGCCTCCAACAGAAAAACCCCCACAACTCTCTACTTACTTAATTGCTGCCAATATGAGGATGCACAGGTTAAAATGTTGATGTGTCAACCAATTTCATGAAACTTATTTTAAAGGAGATGATTTTCAATTAGGGAGACTAAATATATATGGCTACTTTTGAAATTATATGCTTAAAACATATTTTGAAAGAAAACATACTACAAGCATTAGTGTAAGTACTTTTGTGGAGTACCTATTAGCACCTCCTGTAATATGATGCTCTTTGCCATGTGGACAGGAAGAGGAAGGGTGCTATGGACTGAGAAATCACTATGAGCAAGAATGTGAACTTGAGGGTGTGTGGAAAACAACACTGTAGCCTGAGCCAAAGAAACATGGAGTAAGGGAAGGGATTTGACATAAGGCAGGCTGGTAGGGGTCAGTTTTTGAAAGGAACTCAAATGACTCTGTCTCTGACTCCTAACATCCTCTCTGGCAAAATTAAAAGTCAATCACGTTTTAGCTATTTACATTTTCCTATTTTCTTTAGACCTTGCCATATTTTATTACCAATGAGCCATCTGTACATATGCCATCAGTTTTATTCAAAAAATTACACTGAAGCCTTTACATATTCTAGACAATGTGCTAGAGTTTACATGTAAGATCATGTTAATTTTCATGAAGAGTTTGCAAAAGTAGTACTATGAAACCGATATTAGAGTTGAGAAAACTGAAGCTGAATCCTCATGAGAATCCAACCTATCTAACTTGAAGTTCATTTTGCTTTAATAGTTGGGCTTTGTAATGTCATTTACCCATGTGTGTTCCACAGAGGATAAAGCATGAGAAAAAAGGATTCTATGGTCATGTAAGTAAGGAGACCAAATTGCACTACATCTCCCCCTTGAAGACTCACAATTTTTTTTTTTTTTTTTTTTTCAGACGGAGTCTCGCTTTATCGCCCAGGCTGGAGTACAGTGACACAATCTCGTCTCACTGCAACCTCCGCCTCCTGGGGTCAAGCGATTCTTCTGCCTCAGCCTCTGGAGTAGCTGGGACTACAAATGTGTTTGTTTAAATAGGTACCCTGAAGTCTGAAATAAGGAGAGCCATTTTGTTTCATTTATCTAAGTATTTCATGAGCTCAGTTGGCTGTCTGAGAATTTTCCTTTTCCTGGTAAAACATTTAATATTCCAGGGAATACTTTGGGAAACTCTGCCTTAGAATATATTAGGAGAACCCTATTAATTAGAACTCATTTAGAATTAAAAAAAAACCCTATTGCATGCTCTTAAACTGATCTTTGTCAAAGTGAGAGTCATGACTTGCTGGGTTGTGAAATCAATTGAGTGCTCATCTGCAATTGGGGTTGCAGGGAAAGAATGGCAAGAAAAATATCAGGGTTGTTGCATGCAGTACAGGTAAGTACTGAATCATGAAATTTTTACTGGGTCGCTATGCAATATGCATTTCTCTCTGTGGTGATGGCCAAAAATGTCTGAAGCCGCTGCTTTCCTGAAAGTCACATGAATTGCTTGCTATGCCGGGAGTTAGGTGATAACTAATGTCTGAATGTTGTAAAATTAACACAAAAGGGCCTACTGTAATAACATGGTTAAATACATTATTTGTTATTACCTAAAATCAGATGATTTTAGATCTCAAATATCTCATAGAGGAGAAACCAAAATAGAGGTTTATTCTGACTTGTCAAGGTAAGACAGCTGTTAGCTGGGTCTAGAACCTAGATCTCCTAATGTGTATCTCTAGTGTTCTTTTACTTGTCAGTGTAAATTGACAGATTTTTCATTTATGGAATGCTTAGGGTTACTTCTTTTTAATGAATAGACAAACTCGGTGTAAAATGTAGCAAATCACTCCTGGATAGCTAGTTAATGACAAGTTACAAAAATGCTACAGGCTTTAATTGAAGGAAAAAAGTAATTTAGAGATACTTCAGTGCTGGGGTCTAATTCTAATTCCAATTAATAACTAATTGACCTAATATCCTGTTTTACTAGGTGGGGCCATTTAGTTACCTAGTTTCTCATTTGTATATGTAAATGTCCTCGATATATGATTTTGAGAAGACTTAGCAGATAAAACATCAGTGAACACCAAATCTTTCCATGCTTAAGTTAAAGGCACAACCATCACGTTACCTCTCCAGGAATAAACAATGAATCGAAGTTATAGGAAACCCTCCAAACTCACATTGCTTTTAAAAAAGAACAAGAACTATGACTTATCTTGCATCTCATAACAAGATAAACACTAGCTCGTTTTATTGTGGGCAGGCCTCTTCAAGACTGTCCAGTTGAAGTCTTGAAGTTCGTATCTAAATTTGTGTCTACTCACTCCTGGCTCGTGGACCGGTCAGTGGAGGTTGGAGCTATTTCCTTTTCCTCCTGTCTGCTTTCTGGAAAGCACCCACAGGTGTCTACGCCTGGGAGGTGGGCCTGGGCTAGGATTCCAGCAAACTCTCAGGTTGGTGTCATTTCCCCTCAGGAAGCGCCAGGCCACAGCGGGCAGAAATCATTTGATAACTTAATCTGGGTGTGAGGAAGAGTCGCTGAGGCCTGTGTACTCTAGTGATAAACGGAAGCATCCGGGTGAGTCAAGGAAAGGACGTGGTATCTTTTAAAACTAATATAAACGAATAAAGCCTAAACAAGAGCTTACAAAGAAGGACACCCCCTGCCAAAACGTGGGAGGTGACTGGTGCCTGGAAGGGAGATCACCGCGTGGTTAAGATCTGGAGGTTCCAGGGCTTCTCTTCGGGGAGAATTCTCTGGCTGGGAGAACAGTGGAGGTTGGAGGAGGTGAATTTCCTACAGCCCAGGACCAGCCCTCGGACCCTCCCCCTTCCTATAATTAACTCAACGCGCGTCCCGCCAGTCGGGACCGGTGGCGCCCCTGGACCCTCCCCTCCTCTCGCCCTAGGCGGAGAAGGAGAGGCTCCAGGGTGGGAGGTCGAGCCCGGGCCACACCAGCCCCCGAGCGGTCTCCAATCCTGACACGGTGCGGGGGGCGCGGGTTCGGGCCCCGCATGACGTGGGCGCCACGGCGGGAGGGGCAGTCCGGGGAGCTCCGGACGCCTTATTAGCGCCCCGCGGGTCGCCAGCAGCCAGCAGACTGCCGCGCTGCGAGCAACAGGAGCCGGCGAGCGGCCCACTCCTCCCACCTCCTCCGCCTGCCTTCTCCTCCTCCCCTTCGCTCCTCCCGCCCCCACCTCTGCGTGTGCGGCGGAGTCGCCCTCTCCCTGCCTCTTTCTCCCGCTCCCGCTCGCTCGTCTCTCTCGCTAATACTTCCCCCTGCTGTGCTCCGGGGAACCCAAGCATTCTCCGCGCTAACCTTAGGGACCAATGGTGCTCGAAAAGCCTCGAAAAAGCTGCTTTGGGCAGAGATAGTTGGAAAGCCCCTCGTCCCTTCCCCCTCTCCCAGGCTTAGCCTGTGCCCGCTTACAGCACCTTCTCGCTCCTGCACACTCTGTGTTGGGAGGACGGGGTGAGAAGGTGAAGTGGAAAAAACTGCAGAGCAGAGGGGGCCAGTCTCAGAGCTCAAATTTCATTTTCATTGAAGCAAAGCACAGAAGATCATTTTTTTCTATTTCGCATTTTTTCCCTTTTCCTTTTTTTCTTAAAGAAACTTATTTTGGGCGGGGGGGGTGGGTTTGCTCTGGGCATTTGCTTTGCCCAGTAGTTGGAAAGTGAACTCGACTCGTGATGGTTCTCCTGTCACTTTGGTTGATAGCAGCCGCTCTGGTAGAGGTTAGGACTTCAGCTGATGGACAAGTAAGTGGAAAATAATAACAATAAAAAAAAACTCAAACCCAACCTTTTCCCGAAAAGTTCCTCCCCTCTCTACCCTCCTCTCTTTCCTCCTTCTCCTCCCACCCTTCCCTGTTATCTTTTGCGTTCAGAAACGGTGTTTTGAGGGCTGGGCGCAGCGTGCGGGCTTTTGGGGGTAGAGGGTTGAGTTGCACGGGAGGTTACGACTCCCACTCCGGGAGCCCAGTCTTGTCACACCTAGGGCTTCACCAGTCTGCGACATTCGTAACAATTCCTAGTGACAAACCGCAGCCAGTTCCCATCCTCGCCGGGCCATCTGGGCTTCCCCTTTCTGGAGGGCGGTCTGGGCGCTTGAATGAAGTTCTGGACGCTGGGTCCGGGATCCCAGCGCTCTGGCTGCTGCCGCCAGAGTCGGGTTCCTGGAGCTTTCTCTCCTCCGAACTGACTCACGGTTTTTTCGGGCAGCCGGAGGCGGGGGTTTCAGGAAGTCCTTGGGCCGGACAGGGAGAGATCCAGTAGACACGTGTCCTGGGAGTACCACGGCCGGGCTAGGATTTGACAGTTGGGGAGGGGGGCTGGAGACGTTTCCTGCCCTCCGTTTTCCTGGGCAGAGGCTGCAGGCGCCGGCCGCCTTCTCCCCTCCCCCTCTGCACAACTCCTCCTCTTTTTAAAGCTAAGTTGAGTGCAGCTCTGTTTCTTTTCGGCCCTGCCCCCAACCCTTTGGAGGCTCAAGGTGAAGCCCGATGCTCTCAGAAGAGTCCTTGAGAAGGCTCCGCCAGGGGAGCTGTTTGTAGTAAATCATATCAGCACTGGGCCGATGGGACTTTGGGTACAGAATTTCTCTGTTAGTTTTTGTAGCTTCTCCGGTCGGCCTGGTCTGAACGACCATAGGGTAAAAAGTAGAGAATTGTCTAGTTGATTCCTGACCTTAAATCTGATTAATCAGGCCCCCTGTTAGGTGTATTTTGGCCTGTTAAATTCATACTTTCTTTTCTAATCCAGACCCAGTACGACATTTCAGAAGAGAGCATTGAGAGTCTGTATGTATTTTTGCTGGCTTCATAAGTGTTAAATTAAAATGAAAAGGGGCAAACAACTCCCTTCCCCAAATTGTTATGGAATTGGCTCATGGAACCTTCTACAAACCAAGGTGCAGGCTTTAGGCACCAATCCCAGTCTCTAGCATCTCCTGATTAGTTAGCTCTTGGAAACCATTAATGGTAGAAATAAAACTCACAAGGTGATAAGATGAAACCCAGTAACTTTCTTTTTCTTGCTTTCCCCCTCCTTTCCAGGCTGGTAATGAAGAAATGGTGCAAATAGGTAAGCTTTGTTCTCAGATGTCACTCTTATCTTAAGTTGAAAGTAAGGGAATGAAGTGAGCTAAGCAAAATATTGTTTCTGAAATGTTTCCCACTGGTGGTTAAAAAAAATAATCTGTAGTCCGGAAACATTTCTGTTCTTCTCTTCCTCTTTCTGGAGGAAGGTCCCACTTTCCTGGGGCTAAATTATAGTGAGGTAAAAATTCTCCTGCAGTTGGACATTTCAAGCATCAGTTTATTACTGTCTTTGTACAAGCCACTGATATGTACTTGGAAGATGATGGAGGGGCTGTAAGATGATATGGAGATGAATGAAATAAAATCATCAACTTCTGTAGCATTTAGGAGGAGCACATTTGAGTACAACAGAAGGCAAGAATGCTACATAGAAGAGAACAATGAAGTACAGAGCATGGAAATTTTTCTCTTACAATCTTTCCTGCTTTGGGTAAATCCTCTGATGACTTCTGTTATTCAATCTGCTTTAAAATAATTATCTCCTAATGTGAAAGATACTGTTAGGCCTTTTGCTAATATCTAAAATCCCAGTACTCTTCTGATGGTGTGGAGATTCTTACTCCCATTTTATGGGTGAGGAGACTGAGATTCAGAGAGTGTAAGTGACTTGCAACAGGTCACTCAGAAGTCCATGGTCTTTCTTGAAGCTGTTTAGAATAATGTATTTGTTGTGAATGCGGAGGCTGAAAGTCATCTGGCAAGAAGCCAGGCTACATTCAAAGTCTTTTCATACACATTTTACTTGGATTACTTTAAAAGATAATTTTTCTTTTTGGCAGAGTATTAGTCTCTGTCAATTCTGTATTTGTCAGGTGATATTGTAAAGCTGTCTTTTAGAAGAAAAGTTTTTATAACTGCTGCTGCAAACATAGTTACAAGTCATTGGCCGTTTATTAAATGCCAGGCACAGTGTTGATTGTTTCATGTGTTATGTCAACTGATTCCCACAGCCACACTGTGAGGTGGGGATACTATTGTGCCTATGTTAGAGATGAGGAAAATGAAGCTTGAGAGGTTGCATAGCTACCTGTTATAGTACACAGTGGAGATTCACACTTGTTAACTAAGAAACCCAAGAGCTAAGCCCAGAGGTGTGTATATGTAGCCTGTAATATATGAGCATATATCAAAATGCTCCTTCCTACTCAGTGCTTAGCATTGTTGGATGTATTTCCCAAGCTTAGACCTCGACGGCAAGAGGAGAACAGTGGGGAGGAAAGGCACTGAGAACTGCCCTAAAAGTACAGTGTTTATGATCAGATACTTGTCATTCGTAGTTGATAACATTCAGCCATCAATCCTTATCTTTTTAAAGAATTTTTTTTAACCAACTCTTAAGTAGGGAGAAGAAAGTTGTCTTATTTTTAATTACTTAAATATTTGATTACTTACACGTCCCAACTTTTCAATATGCAAATTAAAAAGATGTCTTAAGATCACCCATTCCACCAAAAAATTTCATAAAATATATAGCTTTGATTAGAATTTTAAGATAGAATTAGGATGCTCTCATATAAGAGGCCCTGGATTGAACCGAAGTTTGGTTCAGTTGTTTTGCTAATGTAAATTACTATGGTAGCCCTTTTAAAGGGAAGAAAATAGTACAGGTGTCCTTAAATTTGGCAGAGGAGAGATAAGTCAGTATGAAAGAGAGGAGGCGGAGCCCTCTTAGGGTGTAGTGCTGAAGATTTACTTGTTCCCATATTCATCTGTTTTATGGGATTTCTCTCTTTTATTATTACCATTCTTATTTATCGTTTTCCAGTTGAATGAAGAGAAGAACAGATTGAATAAAATAGATTTTGGCCCACAGGTCTTGTGATAGCAAAAGTATAACTATCATTTCACTTTGGTTTATGTATCATATGTAAGAAAATCTTATGTACAGTGATTAGTTTTGCTCCCCTGTTCCCATGTGTAAAGGCACTGCTACACTGCTAACCTGGAGATTTGGTGAAATGCACTCCTGAACACGTTATTTATTTTTTTTCTATTAACTGATTTAGAAGTAGTTTTATATAACTACCTGGGGACGTGTTATTTGATCAGAAATACATTAGGAAAGACAAATAATGTTTGTAGATTTTATTTATTTATTTTTCAACAAATTGGCTAGAAAATAAATTTCATGGCCCTGAATAATTTCTAAATAATTTAATGTTTCAGGAAGGGTTAAATATAAATGAGTAATAAACCACAAGTTGTTAAGAAACTAAATTTTAAAAATACTTTCTACTGAAGTGTAGTATAGATGTAGGAGGGTGCATATAAGTGTACTTTGCTGATTTTTCACAAAGTGAATGCTCCTGTGCAGTCAGCAGTCAGCAGCTGGATCAATAAGTTGAACATTACTGGAATCCCTGTACGTCCCTCATGCCAACTGCCAAGCATTCTCCCGTTATGAAAGGTGACTGCTCTCCTGACTTCTAACAGGATAAATTGATTGTGTCAGTTTTTCATGCTCTTTGTAACTAGAGTCACAGGATATGTACTTCTTAGTATTTAACTTAGAAGGTCAATTTTCAAAAATATATCTTATATGCTTCAACCCTCTAGACTAGGAAGGCTTTTATTTAGGTAAAGAGAAGGCAGTTTGTGATGGGGACAGGTTAGAATATGTATAGCTATGTCACCAATATAGTGTCTCATGCAGGATATTGCCTCCTTCCTTCTCTCTTCAGCCAGTGGAATAATACCTTCTTGGTATGTGGGAAAGTAGGATTCACCCTAGAAAAAATGGGTAAATAGGTTTTGAACCCTGACCTAGTTGTGTGCCTCTTTGTCAACCAGATAGGAACTGCCTCTCTAACCACCTACCTATACCCATACATACATATATATCTGTGTGTTTGAGTATGTTTCTGTATATATGTGTAAGTATGTTTCATGAGATCATTGACATACTTCTAGGGCGTATCAGGGAGCACTGTCATTTCTGACTCAGAGTATTGCCTTGGTAGGATGCCTGAGTTAATTGTGGGAAACTGGTGTGGCTGGTCCAATTGGGTAAGGAGGCTTGCTCAATGACACATGTGGCTTAGGAAATAATCATAGTTCTGTAGACACTGGAAAATCTGAAAAAGAATTCTCTGAGTCCTTTTGTTTCATAAGCCACCACTGAGATTGCTTGAGTATCATTTGAGGAAAAAGCATTGTGATCCTTTAGTGTTAAGCTGTCTTCCCTTTCCCGACCCCACTTGGAATTGGGGCATATCTTCCATCTCCTGATTCCTCTTGGAATTGGGGCATCTGTCCTATTTCTGTTCCTCAGTTGCAAATTCCATTACATCCCAATCTTAAAAAAATAAAGTTGCTAATCTTACTCTCTCAGATATCTAGTTTACTAAGAGATAATTTTTCACCATTTTCAGGTTTCAGTTTGTAAGGTTTAGTGTGAGTCACTTACCTAGTTATTGACCAGTAAACATTGTCACTAGATTAACCCTCATGAGAGCAAAGACTTTGTTTTGATGCCAATTGTATCTCTAGTACATAAAACAGTGCTTGGTAGCTTGTGGGTCCTCAAATATTGGTTATTCAATGAATAGATCTAGCAAGCAGGATATTATTATATTAAGGTTTATCTATGTTCTGAATTTCCTTGAATGCTCTTGTTTTGTGCCTTTCTCCAGGCTGAATTGGTCCCTAAGAAAATGAAGATGGTGACAATGGCTATACAATTAATTATTCAATGTTATCAAGGCCTCTTGGGACTCCTCTTCCACCCCACAAAGCACAGGGACCTAGGCCTATCATTTTTTGTATGCTTTTCTGTTTGTACTCAATAAGTATTTGGTAAATTGAATTGAATTCTATGTGCAGTTTTGGAATGCCAACTAATTTTTTGTTTTTTTAACTACAGCCTACTTGGGATCATTTGCCCTATTGCTGGCATCAGGAAAGATAAGCTAAGCTAAGATTAAAATCTGTCAATCCAATTTGCCAGCAGCAGTACTAGAAAGTGTGGTGAAGGAGGTTTAGGGGGATCCTTTGTAAAATTTAGAATTTTAGCTACTCAAGCCATTATTCTTTCTTGTAACTAAAGGTAATGGAGTTGGCTTTACTGATTTATCTTTTGTCCCTCCATTGAGCATGATTATGGTGAATGTTAACTGCTTCAAGATTCTTAGGTGAAAATTTTATTAAGTGCAGCATGCTATGTATCACCATTATCACAACTTAGTGTTGGTGTTTAGCCATGCTTTCACTGCTTTTCCTTGTCATTGTACCAAATAATTATAATATTGCTCAGAAATGTTAAAAAACCCTCAAGGTCGCCTCTGCTTCCAGAATGATGATCTTAAAACATTCTTTACTTTGAGTAGCCAACCCAGATTATCTTGGAAATCCATTAGGAACCATTCCAAATTGCCTGGCAAAATCATGAGTAATTTTGATATGAAGAGTTGGGTTATTGTGCTTGGAAAGGATATATTGACAATGATGACTTCAATGGAACTTTAATGCTTCTTTAAAAAGGATTGCTATTATCAGAATTTTGAGAATCTTCTCTTTAGTGTTCGTGTAGTAGAGATCAAATTTTATTCCTAAACTATACTACTTCTATTATTATAAGTTGTTGAATTTTTTCTTTTTAATTAGTCAGTGTTTTCCCAGATTGTTGATGTCTTACAAGTGCCCACTGTAATTATATTCTTTAATTTTTCTGGATTCTTAAGATTTTTGAAAATCATTCCAGTTCCCAAACTGCTGTTATAATTTAGCATGTTCTTATTCAAACTTCTTTCAGTACACACACTGTATTTTTTGTATAACTGTTTTTGTTTTGTTTAATGTTTTAGTACAATTTTTCAACATAATTACAAACTCCTTCTGAACTTCATTTTAATCTCATCATACTAATAAACTCTAATTTGTATAATCATTTTCCTAACAGTATTTATTTTCCCATGATAGTGAATGTTGCCACACAGTGTTGTGTATGTATATGTCGTTGCCTGCATTTCAAGTGACTACTTTAGGAGAGAGCCCCACAAGTTGGTTACTGAGTAAAAACAAATTCACATGATACATTTTGACAAATGGCTTTTGAACAAGTCTGTATGATCTGAACTCCTACTAGCAACTTAGGAAAGTATTGATTTTTAAAATTTCACTTTAGAATTATTTCTTTCTTCTTTTTGATATTTGAATATAATTTTTAAATATTTGGTTATGCAATCTGAAAGATGCAGCGAATTCGTAATTTTTCTAACTCTCAAGTACCCAATAAATATGAATAATCATATTATACAAATGTTTTTGTAATTTTATTAGTACTGCGAGAAGACTCATCTACCTCATACAGTGCAATCTGAGAGTTGTATATTCCTGAAAATGGACAGTGAAGCACGGGAAGTTTCCTAGCATAGCAACCTCTGTTCCCACATATAATTTATACCTCCTGATTTTCCAAAGAAGTTTACATGACTTTGCTGACTAACTGTAAATCCCTAGGAGAAATTTTGTGGTAAAATGTCAGTCTCTTGTTTATGAAAATGATTGCCACAAATTCAGCATGATGAATCTGCATGGAATTTAGAACAAATTGTGAGCAGCATGAAAAGGTATACCTTGCTCTTGAAGTGATTGATAAAACAAAAATAGTCATTAGGAAACTTGTAGCAAGTAAAACAGGATTAAATATATGATTCCTCAGGTACTGTGGTCTTAGATAGTAAATCACATTTCCAACAATTTTTCTTAATATTTAGTAAGTATATTTTTATTTAGATATGCAAACAAAAAGAATGATTGATGGCATTATTCATGAGTTCCAGTTCTCTTTCCTTTACGTGTAAGAACCTCTCTCTTTTACATGTAAAGTTCATTTTTTTCTTTCTTTTTTTTTTGAGACAGGGTCTCGCTCTGTAACAGAAGCTGGAGTGCAGTGATGCAGTCATGGCTCACTGCAGCCTTGATCTCCCCAGCTCAGGCGATCCTCCTGCCTCAGCCTCCCGAGTAGCTGGGACTACACTGGCCCCATTTCCTTTTTCTTTTCTTTCTTTTTGAGACAGAGTCTCACTCTGTTGCTCAGGCTGGAGTGCAGTGGCACAATCTCAGCTCCCTGCAACCTCTGCCTTCTGGGTTCAAGCAATTCTCTGCCTCAGCCTCCCGAGTAGCTGGGACTACAGGTGCATACTACCACGCCGGCTAATTTTTGTATTTTTGGTAGAGACGAGTTTCACCATCTTGGCCAGCTGGTCCTGAACTCCTGACCTTGTGATCCACCCGCCTCAGCTTCCCAAAGTGCTAGGATTACAGTGTTAGCCACCGTGCCTGGCCCTGGCCCCATTTCTTAATCTAAAATCTAAATCTATATATCCAGGAGAGGACCTGTTAATACTCATATTTCCTCTATCAAGTGGTCAGGAGCACAGACACTGTTGACTGAGTAGTTTAAAGTCCTAACTCCACCGCTTTCTAGCTGGTAACCTTAACCTCTCAAAGTGTTACTTTCTTGTGTGTAACATATGCATAATACTACATTTTAGAAAAAAATTTAATTTTAATTTTAAGTTCCAGGGTACACGTGCAGGACATGCAGGTTTGTTACATAGGTAAACGTGTGTCATGGTGGTTTGCTGCACCTATCAACCTATCACCTAGGTATTAAGCTCAGCATGTATTAGCTATTTTTCCTAGTGCTCTCTTCTCCTCCACCCCACCCCTCAATGGGCCCCAGCGTGTGTTGCTCCCCACCCTGTGTCCATGTGTTCTCATTGTTCAGCTCCCACTTATGAGTGAGAACATGTGGTGCTTGGTTTTCTGTTCCTGAGTTAGTTTGCTGAGGATAATGGCTTCCAGCTCCATCCATGTTCCTGCAAAGGACATGATCTTGTTCGTTTTTGTGGCTGCATAGTATTCCATGGTGTATATATATCACATTTTCTTTATCCAGTCTATCATTGATTGGCGTTTGGGTTGATTCCATGTCTTTGCTATTGTGAATAGTGCTGCAATGAACATTTTTGTTGTGTAGAAACTCTTTAGTTTAATTAGATCCCATTTGTCAATTTTCGCTTTTGTTGAAATTGCTTTCAGTGATTTTGTTATGAAATCTTTGTCTGTGCCTATGTCCTGAATGATATTGCCTAGATTTTTCTTTTAGGGTTTTTATAGGTTTTTTTTTTTTATAGTTTTGGGTTTTACATTTAAGTCTTTAATCCATCTTGAGTTAATTTTTAAATAAGGTGTAAGGAAGGGGTCCAGTTTCAATTTTCTGCATATGACTAGCCAGTTCTCCCAATACCACTTATTAAATAGGGAATCCTTCCTCTATTGCTTGTTTTTGTCAGGTTTAAGGTTGTAGATGTGCAGTGTTATTTCTGAGTTCTCTGTTCTGTTCCACTGGCCTGTGTGTATGTTTTTGTGTCAGTACCAGGCTGTTTGGGTTATTGTAGCCTTGTAGTATAGTTTGAAGTCAGGTAGTTTGATGCCTCCAGCTTTGTTCTTTTTGTTTAGGACTGTCTTGGCTATATGAGCTCTTTTTTGGTTCCATATGAATTTTAAAATAGTTTTTTAAAAATTCTGTGAATAATGTCAATGGTAGTTTAATGGGAATAGCATTGAATCCATAAATTACTTTGCCATAGTCTTGTGAAAATACTACTATTTACTTCATAGCATTCATAAAATGCTGCTACGCTGTAAACAAGATAGAATCATAACTATTGTTATTAGTGTGTCTTTGACTTGTGCTGTTTCTTTTTCTTTTTTTAAAAAAACTTTTACTCAAAGAGAGGTACTTCATTCTAATCCGTACATTTTAGGTAGGTCTGCCTATCACCATGAATTTCCAGGAACTTTAATTTCCTGTGCCATGGACTTGTAAACTGTCCAGCCAGTCAGCTCACCATGTGACAGCTCTTTGAGAGTTTTGTTTTCATGTATTATCTTCATGTTTGTATCTCAGTGTAGTATTGTTTAATTAATTGTAATATAGCAGTAGAGAGAGGGAGTTGAGAAAGGAATGGTGCAAAACCAGTTATTCCATATGGATTCCATGCCAACTATATTTTATGTTTACCAGATACAACTCTTTTACTTCTTACACCTTATTTTGTTGGAATTCCCTTCATTCCAGTTTGCTAACAGAAGTCATGTAGAAGTCATGACTCCTTTGGATGCTAGTGACAGGAACCTAGTTCACACAGGTTAAGGAAAACAAAATTGATGAGGTTTCAAAGTCAGGTATAGTTGGATCTAGAGTTCAAATGATACTCTCATGGACTCTCTCTCTTTCTCTTATTCCCTCTTTCTCTTTTTCCTTGTATCTTTCTCATTTTTCCTCTGTATTGGTTTTATTTCTCTTTCAGAGTAGGATTGGTTCACCTCCCCCTACACCTCCCACAAGTTGTGGCAAAGACTGTTGCTGTCATCTCCAGGCTGTCATTCTACCTTTCACTCCAGAAGAGAGATGCCTCTTTTTTGACAGTTCCAGTACATTTCCTGGTAGAGATTTTATTGGCTACTTGATTTAGTCATAAGCTTGAATCATTCACTGTGGTCAGGGGATGCAGTACTTTGATTCACCTGGATTGGGGCATTTTACCTCTGATTTGTAAGGAGTGTGACTGGAGTATGACATGGTTAACCTGAAGGGAAATCGGTGTGCAGTTAAAGAAAAAGGAGGGATGCATGCTGAAGAGTCACACATCATACAGTAATACCTCAAATGCAATAGCTTTCCAGCACATTGGGTGGGAGATAGTGGCTGTGGCAGGCAGAATAATGGCACGCCAAAGATGTCTGTGCCTGGATCCTTGGAACCTGCGAGTATGTTATGTTACATGCCAAAGGGGGATTAAGTTTGCAGATGGAATTGAGGTTGACAATCAAATGACCTTAAAATAGCGAGATTATCCTGGATTATCAGGGTAGGAGTCTTTATAAATGGAAGAGGGAGGTGAAAGAGAGAGAACCAGAGAGGTGGTAGCAGGAGGACTTAGTCCCCTGTTGCTGGTTCTGAGGATGGAGGAAGGGGGACCATAAGCCAGGCGATGTCGGTGGCCTCCAAAAGCTGGAAAAAGCAGGGAAACAGATTCTCTCTTACAGCTTCCAAAAGGAATGCAGCCCTGCTGATGACTTGATTTTAGCTCAGTGACCTAGTAGACTGTCCCAGTTTCTCCTACTTTTTGACAAAAGTATGAGCCAGGCTATTTTAGATTTGGAAAATGTAATTATCGCAAGTAAAGTTTCAGTGAAAACCTTTAACAGTGCTGTCCACATTTCTTGTTTATTTTATTTTCCCCAGGCTTTGCTCTTGGAGACAAATGTTAATTTTTATAGCTTCAAATTCTATACTCAATATTAATCTTTCAAAGTTCTATCTAGCAAAAATTATAAGAGGTGTGAGAAATATTAATTTTTAGAGTGCCTAACATAGCTCTCGAGTCTGTAAGATTCTTAATGATGCTAAATAAGCAGAAGTACTTATTTAAAAACTGAGATTGGAATATTAAAATTTTGGCATTTGGGCTTCACTTAAAAACAAAATGTTTTTTACTTATTTTGTTATTGATTATTTGGTCATTTTAAGATGTAGCAAATAAAATGCTTGGATATTTTTCTTCAAAGCATGCTTTTTCTTTTTTTGAAATATCTTCTCTTACCTGATTTCATGTTCTAGTACAGTAAAGAATGTGTTGTTCTTTCCTAAATGGCTTTTTTGAACATAAATATTGTGCAATTGCAACAAATATTTATTAATAAGCCAGATTTTTAAAAACTAGAAGAATTTAAGTACACAACTATTCATTCTTTCTTAATAATGAATAAAAAAGCCATGACCTTTATTTTTCAAATAGTTTCATAAAAATATTATACTATGAAAATAGATTTGCAATTAAAATAAAAGACACACCAAAGAGGGTGTCGGACTTGTGGTGATAAGAGCCTAGAGGATTTGAAGTGAGGAAAAAAGAATTTGACTGTGTTCAGAATTTCAGCATGTGTCACAATTAATTTTTAATTGCTTTTGAGGGAAGATGTGTACCATTCCCCTTAAGTGTTTACGGCTTTGCTGAGCCCTTTGGCATTTGGCGTCCTCCTTAATGTCCATTCTTCGCCCTGCTTGCATCTTTCCTGGAGCAGCTGGCTCCCATCATTTCTGATGAAAGTCATTCTCTTACTCTTGGCTCAGGATTTGGAAATGTTGTTGTTGGAGCTGCTTCTTTAGATGATCTTGAAAATGCTTATTCGATTTCATTCTTGAGGCCAGATTATTGCATACTGAGAATTTATACCTGATAAAAGAAATTGCCTGTGTGAACTGCCACTTCATCGTAGTTAACCAGCCAATTCTTGGGAGAGAATTCCAGTCTTTTAGATTGGGTAATGGGGCATGGATTGTTACAGCCAGATTGGATTTTAGGCCCTCTGTTGATGTGGAATTTAAGGTCCTTCTAACTGTATCACATCAGGCTGGGTGGGATTATAGGGGAGAGAGGCCTGAAGGGGTGCTGGGACTTGGAAGAAATCTGAAACTGGCTTTCTTTTTCTATAGCTCTAGTTAGAGGTGATGATAACAGCTCACTTTTCATTTATTAAAGTGTTATTAGATGGACCAAGTCCTTTGTATACTTCACTTCATTTGGTCCCCATTATTATTTTTATTTTTACAGATAACCTCTGCGAGCCTTAATTTTCAGAATTTGCTTGTAAGATGCCAAAGCGTGCATCAGTCAGGAACTAGAATTCAAATGCAATGCTTTCTGACTCCAGACCTTTAGTGCTCAACCATCATACCCAAATCTCTTCCTTGCTTGGAGCCATATGCATCAATCACAAGTATTTCAATATTCTATGTGCCTGGGGTAGCTTTGGTATTGATTAGACCCTTAAAAATTTGTGTGACATATAAGAGATTTATACTGAAGTCGCTCAAAGTCATTGCAATGTTGACAATACTACTGAAGACTTCTGTTCTTTTACAGTTCTATAGTGTGGTCTTTGCAATGTATTGGGGACATCTGGTATCCCCTAGGGGATATTTGTGTCTCATTCTGCTACATACTTAGAAGGAAACCAAGATATCTGTTTCAAGTTGTAGCATATCTGGCTGAACATGTAAAGGAGTTAAGATGATCCTAGAGCATGGGCCACTGTGTCTGTCATATGTCATACAGTGCACCTTACCAGCCCCAGCACAGAGCAATCTCCCAAGAAGCTCCACTTCCAGACAGAGCCATTGGTTAGACTTCCCTCCCTCTCCTTCCTTCCTTCCTTCCTGTAATATACACTAAGGCTATGTATTAGTCTGTTCTCACACTGCTCTTAGGTTGGTGCAAAAGTAATTGCGGGTTTTGCCATTGATGTAAAGAATTACCTGAGACTGAGTAATTTTTGAAGAAAAGAGGTTTAATTGAATCACAGTTCCATAGGCTATACAGGAGGCATGACAGGGGGGACCTCAGGAAATGTACAATCATGGTGGAAGGGTGAAGGGGAAGCAAGCACATCTTCATGTGGCAGCAGGAGAGAGGGAGCTAAGGGGAAAGTACTACACACCTTTAAACAACCATATCTCATGAGAACTCATTCACTATCACGAGAACACCAAAGGGGAGGTCCACCCCCATGATTCAATCACCCCCACCAGGCTCCTCCTCTAACACGTGGAGATTACAATTTGACATGAGATTTCAGTGGGGACACAGATCCAAACATACCAAGCCATTTAAACATAGTTAAGATATTATATTTCTGACCCAAAGATCTTATAGTTTCTGAAAGGATGAAACATAAGCATATAACTCTTCTCCCAGAGAGATTTTTAAAAAACTTTTGTACAGACATTGCATGAGTTTTTGTTAAATGCCTTGACAGGGAGTGCTATGGAAGCTCAGGCCAGGAGGTCTGTACTCTGTGGATAAGTTGCCAAGAAGGTTTCTTGGAAAAGATGGGGCTTGAGATAGGCCTTGGCGGCCCCATTCAGTTTGCCTTGGTGGAGAGAAAACAGTGATCCTCTACTGTAGTGATGCTGCAGTGTAGGGCTGTGAATGTAGGCATGCTTAAGCCAGGTCTTGTGAGCACATTAGACAGAATATTTCAGTAGGCTAATATGAGAGATGATATTGAAAAGAAATAAGGGGCAGAGTGCAGAGGGCTTTAAATACCAAACCTAAGTTTTTATTTGGGTTAAGTTACTTAATCTCTGATTTTCTGTTTTCTACTTTTGAAGTGGGAGGGTTTGATTAGTAGATGGTCTTTAAGCAAATTTTAGGTCTGACGTGAAAAAGATACAGATTTTGTGAATCTATATCTTTTATCCTAAAGTGATGGTGAGCTACTGAGGCTAGTTAGGTGGAATAATGTAGTGACATTAATTGCCAGCATTTATTGAATATTTACTATGTGCCAGACAGTGTTGTAAGCACTGTGAATTGATTAGCTCATTTAAATTTTACAACAAGCCTATGAAGTCAATACTATTACCCGTAATTTACAGATAAGAGCTAATGTAGTGACCCAAATCACTAGGGTAGTAAGTGGTAGAACCTAAGTATTTTCAATCTGGACCTTTAAAATAATTTTCCTGACAGCAATTTAGACAGTATTTTGGTATAATTTGTATAATACTTAGTAGTGAGAAATTCTGTGTGGGGAATTTGGACTTGGTACTTGCAGCTTTTCAGTGTGAGGTGATGAGATCTTAAAAGCAATTAGAAGAAAAGGGGTTAGTTTGAGAGAAATTGCTAAAGAAACAGCAGTAGGACTTGAATGATGTCATATGGGGGAAAGTTATAAGACATGTATAAAATAGCTCTCTAGCCTGATTTGGGAGAATCAGCACATCATGAACAGAAATAGCGAAGTCAGGAGGGCAAGCCAAATAGGTGAACATTCAGTTTGGTTTAGATATATTAAGGATGAAGAGAGAGTAAGACAAGTTATTCTCAATAGAGAACAGAGCCGTTCAGGTTATAGTTTAAGGGAAATTTTCTTTTAACCTATATTTATTGAGGGTTTACTATTTGCAGGGTATCATGCTAAAACACAGATATGTGTAAAGGCATAATGATTAAAGTTTGGAAACCACTAGGAAAATCTAACATGGTTGACATTAACATAGAAAGTAAAAAATTTCTAAGTATATTGAAATAAAGAACATTGCCTCTTCAAAGCTTTTGATGTAGGTTGTGCATATTAACTGCATATGTCTGCACAAATTTATATGCATATCACAAATACACTCATGCACATATATACAAAAATGTGGTTATTTCACATAGTACAAGGAGGAAGAAGGAATTACATTAAACTCTAGAATGAGGAATTTAGATAAAAGAGAATTCCCTGACAAGAAAATTTTTTTACATTATAATTAGGCTGCCAGTGGAGATATGACAACAGTTTTTCTTGGGGGTAGTTCAAGTTACTGAGGAGATCCTGAATAAAAAATACCCTTCTTGACTGCCTAGCTTCTGAACAAGTTGAGAAATAGAAAAACTAAAGATGTAGGTAAAAAGAAAATATCTTTTACAGAAAAGGCTGAAGTGGAGAATGAGGCTTCCACTTTGACAGGCAAGTGCACTGGCTACTAATACTCCACCCTGTGCCTGTCAGGCCTCCCCAATCCAGAGCAGCGCTGCCCCTGGCTGAGTGGAAGAGAACATGTACCCCTTATCAGACTCATTTCCAGGAAGCAGAATGAGGAGGAGGTGCTGAGGTTTGCAAATTTCTTATGCTTCCCAGACTTCCCAACCACATAATTCACTCTTCTCCACCAGGGAAGGGTGAGTGAAGGGATAGAGAGCAGCCTGGAGTGCTCAGAGAAAAACCTTTCCTTCCAGAGAGCAGGAGCAGGTTAAAGGCTCTCTACCACTAACTTGAGAAAAAATAATCCCATCTACTTGAGATTTCTGAACTGTAAGAAAGAGCAGGGATTAGGGACCCTAACTTCTGGGTCTTTTTAGTTTTTGACCTGTATAGTTATAATTCTATGAATATCCAAAGAGATGGCAGAGTGGGGGCTAATTTCCTGCTTCCTGCTCTTAAGAATGCAGGGCTCTGTGTATGTCTTACAGGAGGTCTGTTTTAATGATTAGATCCATTTCTTGTTTTTGGTAGCTTAAAAGGTAAGACCTGGATACTAAGAAATGTTTGGTTTGTAGGGCAGCAGCAACTGTGAGAAATATACACAAGCTTTCCAAGCAAAATTCTGGCTTTAGAGGTAGATGACTTGTACAGTTTGCCGTCATTAATGGCTTGGTGATAAAATGACTATTTAGCCAAAAGAAGATGCATGCTAATTTCACATACCCCTTCCGACTCAAACTGCTCTCATTCATTCACGCATTTCTTCATTTCTTCATTCATGGATATTTATTGAGTAACTTCAAGTTCTTTTTTAGGCAGTGGGGAAATGAGGTGAAGAGAACAGATAAAATCTTCTGCCTTCATGAAGTATATATGCTGGTAGATATAAGAATATATAAATAAACACATAAGTAAAATTTATAGGATGTCAGATGGTGACAGGATTTATGGCGAAAGGTAAGACACAGAAGGGGGACAGAGGGTAAAATGGTTGCTAGTGGTCAGGAAAGACTTCACTGAGAGGGTCACATTTAAGCAAAAGTCTGAAGCAATTGAGAGAGTGAGCCAGGCAGCTGAGAGAAAGATCCTTTGGCAGAGGAATCAGCAAGTACAAAATCTTTGAGATGTGAGAATCCCCAGCTTCAAGCCCTGGGACCTTATGAGCCATTTTACTTTGAGTGGGATGGGTTTGAGGAGAAGAGTGATAAGATTTGACACTTTAATTATTCTGGCTCTATTTTGAGGATAATCCATTAAGGGGAAGAGCAGAAGCAAGGAGAACAGTTAAGAAGCACATTCGAAATTGTGCCTGTGGAACTTACGGCCCACAAAAGCCTTCACATACCTATTACTGTGGCCCCTCAGCCACCTCAGCTAACAGTTTTATAGTTTCTAACTTTAAAGTTGAACCACAACATTATTTTAATGAGTGGCTAACTTACACTTAAATTAGTAATAGCTGATATTTATTGAATCTTCTACATGATTTTATGTAAAACTCTCACCAAACCTATGAAGTTGTAACTATTACTAACCTCCAGTTAACAGTTGAGGAAACTGAGCCTAAGAGAAAATAAAGAACTTGCTGAAGATCACAAGTGGACTCAACTTAGTGCTTTCTGACTTTGCAGTTCATTCAATAACCATAGGCTTTCCTGCTTTGTGAAAGTAGTTGGGCCTGTAAAATGTGAAAATTATGAATGCAGTAAATTAACGTTGGATATAATTTGGTTTTACTTCTGTGATTGTAATCTGAGATTAAAATTCTTTTGATTGCTTTGAGCTTCTGCCCCTCCTTCCAGTTTCTTCCTCCAAAACCTAGAATGTAAGAGCCTTTTACAGAAATTTCTGATGCTACACTAGAGGAAAAATTGGTTGACTGGCTGCAGGTAGGTAGAACATTGTAATTCTTGTGGTAGTTCTCTTTTATAAATCAGATCTTAAATTAGACTTTGACAGCAAGATGCTCCATCTATTCAGAAGTGAACGAGAGCATAGGAGCATGGTCTTCAGAGTCAAAATGATCAGAACAGGAATTTTCCTTTGGCTCTTTGCTTATATGTGTCAAGTCTTCTAGGTCTGCTTTCTCGTTTATAGAATAGGGGTAATAGGATTTACCTACTGTGATTGTTGTGAGTATTAGAGATGATATATTCTCAAACACAAATCATAGAGCTTGGAGCTTTTTCTGCTAATAAATGGCAGGTGACTGGGTAGTTCCATTAACTACCATCCAGGAGATGGTAATCCAAAGGGTTGCCAATCGTATCTTTTTCCTCATTACCTTAATTGCCAACAGAAAAATGACTCATTCAAACATTTAAGAAATGTTTATTATGTATACTTTTTAGGAATGATTTATTATTTAGCATTAGAGAAAATAAAGCTTTATAGAAACATACCATTCATATTTTGAATAAAAATTTAGAACATAATACCTGACAGTATAAAAATGGAACATACATCTAGGATGTATGGCTTACTGTACGTATGAGGCTGTGAGTATCCTCTTGGGTATGGAGAAGGCTCCCTGCGTTTTTCTAAATGTTCTTGTTCTCTAGTCACTTAATCCATGCATCAGTACAATATACTGATTTAGACTTTGGTTTTGTGAATTCCCTTCAGTGGAGATGGGAAATCCATACATTGAAATTAAGCACTGCTTCCTCTTTCCCTTGAAATGGTCAGCCGATGGTTAGAGAAAAAGCTATAACTGAGATTACTGGGACAGCCAGACACTCATGGGCCTGGGTAATGTGTCTTGTAAGTCAGTGTGTGTAGCAGCTTAGACAAGGCGAGTGTTCTCTGGTTACCGGTATTACTAACTTAATAAGCATCAAACAAATTCAACTGGCAAGACACCCTGACACATACAAAATCTTGTATGATGGTATTGGGAGTACCAAGTTGAATGGGGAGTTCTTTGTCTTTAAGGACTTTGTAGTTAATTTGGGCTATGTTTTGTCAGTACACATACAAGGGCTTGATTCATCTCCTTACTTTGGAAACTTTCCCCTCTGTCACTCTGCACCCGTGACACTTGTGCTCATTCTCTTATATTTTGAGTTTGTTTTTCTCTCTAAACCAGAGTTTATAAAAGTATTCACCATGGAGGAAGACCAAATCTTCCTCACAACCTTCTTGGAAGACCAAGTCTGTGTTTATACTGGTGCCTAGTCTAGTTCAGCAGGGACTGCACTGTCTGTCCAGTTTTGGAATCAGGCTTCACTTGACTCATACTACAGTCCTCACTGCTTCTTTGCCTAGTAAATATTTACAAGTGTTGCTTGCTGTATTCATTTAGTAAAATGGGATAGTTCATTTAAATACATTGGTAATTTTAAGAGGCATAATTACAGCAAACATGCACAGAAAGAATTAAAATGTTGCACAAGTAAATGCCTTTATTTGTCTTCTGGCATTTCACTTATTGCCTGAGGTTTTTAAAAAGCAAGAAAATAATGAAAATAGTGATTCTACAAGGATACTTTATGAGCATAAGACGTAGGTTCATTTACAGATCTCATGCTCTAAATACATTATTGGATGACAAAACTCGTGATCTCCATAGGTGAGCAGTTTTGTGAATCATACCATTTTTTAGGGCACTTTAACACACTATAGGATTAGCGTAAGGCTAGAATTGTGAAAGTGGGAAACTTTTTAGTTCATGTTTTTAGATTTCCCTTTCTATGCCTTCTTCTTCTTCTTCTTCTTCTTCTTCTTCTTCTTCCTCTTCCTCTTCCTCTTCCTCTTCCTCTTCCTCTTCCTCTTCTTCTTCTTCTTCTTCTTCTTCTTCTTCTTCTTCTTCTTCCTCTTCCTCTTCTTCTTCTTCTTCTTCTTCTTCTTCTTTTTTTTTTTTTTACCCTTGTTGCCCTGCTGCTTGTTTCCTTCTCTAGTATCCATTGTCCTGTGGTCTTAAAATCATTCTTATAATAGTTCCTTTAAAGTGTTCTATTTCCCAAGGGTGTTTGCATTTTGATAGACAAAATACTTATATTTGGCTAAGCCAGGGGTTTAAGTGCTAATTGTGAAATTCAGTTTAACATGTAAGTGTCTGCCCATATTGTAAGGTGGGTCCCAAATACTCTTTCATATTCTAATAGATATCTGTCCCACTTAAGGAATAAGGTGCAAAATGAGAATGCTGTTCCCTCTTGACTAACCAGTACCTGCATATTTGATTTAAAGATTATTATGTCTTCTTTACCCATTCTTCTAATTTTCTAAAAATGGAGGTTTATGGAGGAAAGCATGGTAGGATAGAATGAGTGTATGGGCTTAGGAGTACAACTTGGATTTATATTCAGGCTTTGCAGTTGTTTGACCTTGGACAAAGGACCTCCTACCCCTGAATCTCAGTTTTCTCACCTGTGAAGTATGGTTGTTAGGGTTGTTATGGTGGAAAAAATGTGTATAAATTACAGCATTGTAAGCTACAGTGTATACATTACAGACTCATGTAATATAGTTATTGTAATTAGTCTAAATTCCAGGATTTCTACAGGGAAAAAATGAAAACAATCAGAATTCTTTTTTCTACATAATAACCTTGTTAAAAGTTTTTAGCAGATGTCAGTTATGCCAATAATAAATTAATTAAGGGCATGCCTTGATTTTAAGCAAGCCATTTATAGTTTATGGACACATTATATTCGTGTTTGCAAATGTATTAATGAGATGTAAATATTTACAATGTAATTTTAATACTATTTTAAGTAAAAAATGATTCATTGAACACAGGGTTACTTAAATGCATTTGAGAAATGATTTTTGTTCTCAAAATTTAATATTTATGAGCTGATTCAGGAATGTCTATATTATGCACATTGAAGTATGGTCTTGTGAGGTGGGCAGCTTTTGTCTGTGTTATGTTCTCCTGTGTTCTCTTATTGTACAGGGTTTGACAGTTCTGTTTTTCACCCCACAGATTTACCAATAAAGAGATATAGAGAGTATGAGCTGGTGACTCCAGTCAGCACAAATCTAGAAGGACGCTATCTCTCCCATACTCTTTCTGCGAGTCACAAAAAGAGGTCAGCGAGGGACGTGTCTTCCAACCCTGAGCAGTTGTTCTTTAACATCACGGCATTTGGAAAAGATTTTCATCTGCGACTAAAGCCCAACACTCAACTAGTAGCTCCTGGGGCTGTTGTGGAGTGGCATGAGACATCTCTGGTGCCTGGGAATATAACCGATCCCATTAACAACCATCAACCAGGAAGTGCTACGTATAGAATCCGGAGAACAGAGCCTTTGCAGACTAACTGTGCTTATGTTGGTGACATCGTGGACATTCCAGGAACCTCTGTTGCCATCAGCAACTGTGATGGTCTGGTAAGACTCCTTCTGTTTTGTGCGTATGTTTGCAGGTGCTGGGAGTGCAGCCATGGCTTCTGCATAGTTTGGAAGGTGGAGGTGGAAAGGAGGCTTCATTGTTATGTTACATTTTAAGTTCAGAAAAAGACACTAGAAAGCATTTTGCTGTCAAAGATATGCATTTTGGCTTAATTTGTGACAATTTTGTTTCTTGGAATAATGCGAAGACGACATTATTCCAAGAAACAAAAGTCAAATATTTTAGCATTTTTTTTTGTTAATGTTTTTCCTTGTATTACATTGGAAGATTTTATTTCCTTATTTTGTTCAAAGTATTCTGAAAACTTTCCAAAGAAGCATAGATTCCTTCAAAATGACCGTATTTTACTCCTTATGTGGAAACTTTGGATATCCTCGTAAAGAAAGTATTTTGAAAGTGTTCTTTAGCTTCCTCACAGAATTCTAATGTGGGAAATGAGCAGATTCTCTGTCAGAATTTGTCCAAATAACATTACTTTATGAATGCAAGATGCAGTACTTTCTGTGCGGTGGCTTCAATTCTTCATTTTCAAATTTAATACCCATATGTTGCTTTTCAGTTTTGTGGTTGAGGGTTAAGTGTGCTACGTAGACTCAGGTTTGTGACAAGACAAATACCAATAGTCAGGCTAAGTGTTTAGGAACTTTTATAGCAATTTTGACAGTTAATGTGTCTGTTGGGTCTAATAATAACAGTTTTAAAAATGTGTTGGTGTTTTCTGTCTTTTTTCATTTTATTATTCTAGTAATTAGTTTTTATTTTATCAAATTGTATTTATTTTATATGTACTAAAATACTAGTCTGGTACTGACTGGGGAGAAAAACTGTCTCTTCACCATAGATAGTTTGAGAAACAGGCAGTGACACTTAGCTGATTTCGCCCATTCTGGACATCAGAAATGTGACTGAAATCATCATATTACCTATCCAGGTAACTGTATGAGATGATCGCATGAAAGGCAATTTAACATAGGCTTTATCAAAGAGGACAGAAGAATGCCTTGAGTGACGTATGTAGCTATGGCCTGGAATATGATCTAGACATAGATATTACTCAGTGAGTTTCTGAAATCAACAGGGTTTCCTGTACAAAGGAATTGACAATGATTCCTACCCAGTGTGAACAATCAAGAACAATGTCTTTTTCTGTCTAGCATTGACCCTTTCCTGTTCTCAGTCAATATTATCATGTATGAGTGACTGTTAATCCTTTACCAATTACAGCTTTATCCTTGCTCTAGTCTGCCCTAATTATAGGTAAGAATTATTGAGATATTCAATCATAGAATCGTCCCCACTTTCTGATAGCATCCAATCTAGAAAAATGCTCTACTTCTTTAGACTTTTCTCAAAATTACCCAGCCAAAGCCCAAATGCTGTTAATAATAGGTTCTTTTCAACAGTCTCTTACTGAGATGCTCATGGTTCCCTCTGCTGTACGTTCTCCATCTCAGCAACGTGTAACAAACCCAGCTTGTTAACTAAAGACGTGCTTCTGGTGGTCTTTGGCAAGGGGGTGTTGATGTGCTTTTCCTCCCTACTTCTACACCTTTGAAATGAAAGTCTGGTGGTCAGGAGTCATGACAATGGCAGGCATTTTACACACTTCTTGGGAAGACACTTCTGGATGAGAATCCCAGATGAAATAGATTTCTCCCACAGAGTCCTGGCATTTACTCTCTAATACCATAAAATCTCCCCTGTGAGTAGTGGCAGCTCACAATCATATTTTGTGGTCTACAATTTGCCAAAATAAAGGTTTTTTTGGTTAGTAGGCTTTATGTGATGTGTTTCATAATCTAAAGAAATTGGATTTTTTTCAACTTGCTAGAACAGCATCTCCTTGCTAATTCCTCTGGACTGTCGTCAGAGGGAACTGGTTGTGAGTGGAAGAACTGACTAGCTAATGGCTCTACTGGGTTACCTAGCTCAGTGATTTCCCTGTGGGCTGATTTTAAGATCAAGGGGGTTTATCTAGGACAGAGGTTTTCAACTTTTTTTTTTTTAACATTTGTAATTCTTCGTTCAGATGAAATCACTAGAGGTTATCTAATAAAATAGAGTGTAAATTGGATAAACTCAGGAAAGGTCTGGTCAAAACACTCTCCCTCCTGACTTGTCCTCAGTTCATACCACTGTTGAGCTCCCTGAGGCATCTAACAGAGATCTTTACTGGTAGGGTAGGGGTTCTTGGAAGCTTGAGGTTAACAATTTGGGAACCATAAAGAGAGCCTCTCTTCTAAAATATCTGATAGTCACATCTGGTTAATATCAGAGACATTTTACCTTTGTTAGATTTTGAGCAGGACTAAATGAAGTCTTTGTGGGCAGCTGCAAAGTTACAATGAAAACAGCCCTAGTTACCTGCCTTAAGACTTTTGCTCTGTGATTTGATCCCTTCAAAAACATATTCTTGCCATGCCTATTTTAGTAAGTCTAGCTGCAGAGGCACTTTTTAAAAAGTCCACTTAAAAAATATGAGCCAATATGCCTATGATTGAGAACATTTGACTGGTGATTGTGAGCTGTGATACAGCTTAATCTGGTAAATGAAATGTTTGATACTAAAAATAGGCATAAGTTTTTAGCTATTAACAGTGGATTTAGAAAAGAAAGTTTTTGAGGGCTGATTTCGACATGTTGACATTTGCATATCTGCTGTAATGAGAGAACTCGATGTCTGAAGACCTGTTGCCTTTCACCTATTCCTCCTGTGGAAGATGTCCACAGAAGGTGTTGTGTGTGTTATTGATGAGACAGAAGAGATATCTGTGCCTTCATGGATTACATGCTGATTTGAGACTTTAGAAGGTCTGAAGAATAAAGGACCGAAGCAATGTTTCACCTCCAGGTACCTACACCAGGCTACACCAGGACTGGAAGACGCTTAAAACTCTTATATCCTTTAATTTCCAGGGAGTAGGAACAAAGCAACAGACATTGGCCCCTTTCAGAATGAAGAATGATGAGAGTCCTCCAGTTTAATTAGTCTGGAAGAACTACTGTTGACTTCATTGCTCCCTTCCTGAGGTTTGGTCAAGCAGTGGCCCCTTGAGAGCTGACAGAATGTACCTAGTGTTGTATGCTTGCCTATGCCAGGTCTGAGCTATTGGATACATCATCCACCTTTCCTCCTTCTTCAAATAGGCAGGCAGTTTGTGCTTATTTAGGATGAAGAGGGAAGATTTGGCATAGTCCTTGATCATTTTCACATCTCATGTCTAATTTTCATATGGCTAGAATCATACATATGTCAAGCCTTTTTCATTTTTTAAAAATCTGTATTTCTCTTTTGTGACTAATTATTTTATACAAAGAATATCCAAGGATGTGATCTTGGAATAAAGTAGAAAACAAACAAACAAACAAAAAAAAGAGTTTTCAAATTTAAATAATATTTTTAATAATAGTTATTTGTAGTTAAATTAAACCATTCATGTTTATTTATTATTATAAGTACCACCTGGTCACAGTTTGCTTTTTATATACATCAATTTGATTATAGTTTTTCCCAAGTATCTCTTCTTTGATATAATAATTTTTAAAAATTAAATTTAAAGATGGTTAAAAATTAGGGAAAATTGCACATTTCTTTTTGGATAGACCTGGACAAACAGAAAATAATAGAGGCATGGGAAGTACTTTTTCTTTCTATTGTTGGCCTGAAAAGTAATGCTTTCTATTCTTTTTAATGCCATGAAAACCATGATGTCATTATAACTAGTGTAAGTTTTTGAAGATAATAAAGAAATGCTTTAAGAACTGTGAAAATATTGCTTGAGCACATCTGAAATATTTTCTTCTGGTTAAATTATAATTAAAACAAGAACAAAAGCACAGCACAGAATTGATATGATGCCTTTGTAGTAATCATGCCCTGAGGTCACAGCCTCCTTGAAAACTAAACTCAGCCTCAAGGTTTGACTTAATAATCTTCAATTCTAGGAATCCTGATCCAAGTTAAAGCATTTTGAAGCACTAGTATTAAGTTGTTGCACTGATTGCTGTGGTAAGTACTGAGATTGGTCAAGTGTAACTCTTGTCTTCAAAGAGTACTGGAAATAAATTAAGTTGTATGATTTAACACTATTAGAAATATAGAGAGATTGGTCATAAATACAATTTAAAAGGGAGACTTTACTGTTGTCACTCTATAACAATAAAATTGCAAAGAAAAAAAGGGGTTGAAAAATCAATTTGGCTTTTTATTAAGGTAGGCTGAATTCTCTGCCTCTAAAACAAGACATTTTAAACACTTTGTTTTCAAAACAGTTGATTAATTTTTGAGCAATACTAGACTACTACTAAATGTATCAAGAGATTATTATTAGTTTTATGGTGCTTTGTCATCCTAAATAGGTGTCAGTAAACAGATTCAGATCTTCCATAATTTCTGAAAATTCTCATGTATTGATTGAAGAAACAGTAATATATAATTGAACTGAGATCTAACTCCAGATTTAGTAATACTGAAAAATAAGACATATATATATATTAGCCTGACGAGTTTTGAGATGCACTATCTAGATTGTAATAGCCTACTTTTTCTTCCAATATTTTTTTGTGATAAAATACACATAACATAAAATGTACCGTCTTAAGCATGTTTTAAGTATACAGTTCAGTGGTGTTAAGTACATTCATATGGTTGTGCAACCATCACTACCATCCATCTCCAGAATTCTTTTCATTTTGCAAAACTGAAATGCTATACCTATTAAAAAATTACTTCCCATTTCTACCGCCCTATAGCCTCTGACAATCACAATTCTACTGTCTCTACAATTTTGACTTCTCTAAATGCTTCATATAAGTGGAATCATATAGTATTTTTCATTTTTGGGACTAGTTTATTGCATTTAGTATAACGTCCTTAAATTTCATCCATTTTGAAGCATATGTCAGAACTTCCTTACTTTGTAAGGCTGTATAATATCCCATTGTATGTGTGTGTCACATTTTATTTATTCATTTATCTGTTGTTAGACACTTGGATTGCTTCCACATTTTAGATACTGTGAATAATGCTGCCATTAACATGAGTGTACACATATCTTTTCAAGACTGTGTGTTCAGTTCACTTGAATTTATCCCCTGAAGTGACACTGCTGGATCATATGGTCATTCTATTTTTAATTTTTGGAAAAAAATTGCCATACTGTTCCCCATGGTAGCTGTATTAGTTCATCTTTACACTGCTGATAAAGATATACCTGAGACTGGGTAATGTACAAAAGAGAGAGGTTTATGTCTTATTCCTCTTAGTGCCTTAAACTAGAACCTGTTCAGACATGTGATAAGTTAGTACAAGTTTATTTTGATGCAAAATAATTTAGAAATTTATCCATATTTTTTCATAATACACATATTCCATGAACATTTTGAAGTTTCCTCTTAATACTTGCTTATTTATACTGCAAATCCTATTTTGAAATTGAGAAAGTATTTTAATGATGATATGCTTTCTCACACATATATCTTTCCGAGAGAAAAAGACACCATAAAAAGCAAATGTGTGTATCATTACCAGCAGCAGCAGAAGAAGAAAAGAAAGAACAACAAAATCTGTATGTTTCCAAACAAGTAAAGTTTTTAAGTGAATTAAAAAACTAGAAATAAGGCTGTTGAGACCTTGGTTCTACTGGATGTTGTGTTTCTAATTCTGGTCTCTTCAGCTCCAGCTGATATTTTGGAGTGTCTGAAGCACTTTTTGTCTATCCCAATCAGAACTTTATTATGTAGAACAGAAATGAGAAAAGGAAGTCATGGGTCATACTTTGGAGTTTGCCTCCCAAGTGTCTCTTTCCTCATTTATTTATACATGTAGTCACAGTCATTAGGAAAATCAGAAAAACTATAAAAAGAAGTTCCTAATATCTCAAATTCTGGTCCAGAATGGTATACAGGTAGAACAGAACACAATTTATTGTTAAACTATGGGTTTCTGTTAATAATGGATTGACAACGATAACAATAAAATAATGATAACAGGGGCCGGGCGCAGTGGCTCATGCCTGTAATCCCAGCACTTTGGGAGGCTGAGGCGGGCGGATCACAAGGTCAGGAGATCGAGACCATCCTGGCTAACGTGGTGAAACCCTATCTCTACTATAAATACAAAAAATTAGCCGGGCGTGGTGGTGGGCGCCTGTAGTCCCAGCGACTCGGGAGGCTGAGATAGGAGAATGGCATAAACCTGGGAGATGGAGCTTGCAGTGAGCTGAGATTGCACCACTGCTCTCCAGCCTAGGCGACAGAGCAAGACTCCGTCTCAAAACAAAGAAAACAAAACAAATAATGATAACAATAGTTAACATTTGTTTAGTACTTCTTAGGATGAGACATGTATTTTACATGTATTAGTTTGTTCATTTCCACAACAACCTAGTAAATTAGGTGCAATAATTATCCATGTTTAAGGAAAGTTTAACCATAAAATTTACCTATTTTACTAGAATACTTTCTAATTAAAAGTTAATCATTTTAACTATGATTAAATTTGAGTCATTATTCTAAATATGAATACATACACAGAGTAAATAACATTTAGGGTGTATATTAGTCCATTTTAATGCTGCTATGAAGAAATAACTAAAACTGGGTTAATTTATAAAGAAAAAGAAAACTAATGGACTCACAGTTCCACATGGCTAGGGAGGCCTCACAATCGTGGTGGAAGGCAAAGGAGGAACAAAGGCACATCTTACATAGTGGCAGGCAAGAGAGCATGTGCAGGGGAACTGCCCTTTGTAAAACCATCAGATCTCATGAGACATATTCACTATCACAAAAACAGCATGGGAAAAACGCACCCCCATGATTCAATTACCTCTCACTGAGTACCTCCCATGACATGTGAGGATTAGGGGAGCTACAAATCAAAATGAGATTTGGGTGGGGACACAGCCAAACCATATCATTCCACCCTGGCCTCCGCCAAATCTCATGTCCTCACATTTCAAAACCAATCATGCCTTCCCAACAGTTCCCCAAAGTCTTAACTTATTTCAGCATGGGCTCAAAAGTCCGCAGTCCAAAGTCTCATCTGAGACAGGGCAAGTCCCTTCCACCTATGAGCCTGTAAAATCAAAGCAAGTTAGTTACTTCCTACATACAATGTGGGTACAGGCATTGGGTAAATACACCCATTCCAAGTGGGAGAAACTGGCCAAAACAAAGGGGCTACAGGGCCCATGCAAGTTCGAAATCCAGCAGGGCAGTCAAATTTTAAAGCTCCAAAATGATCTCCTTTGACTCCAGGTCTCACATCTGGGTCATGCTGATGTAAGAGGTGGGTTCCCATGGTCTTGGGCAGCTCCATCCCCTGTGGCTCTGCAGGGTACAGCCTTCCTCCTAGCTGCTATCATGGGCTGATGTTGAGTGTCTGCAGCTTTTCCAGGCATGTGGTGCAAGCTGTTGGTGGATATATCATTCTGGGGTCTGGAGGATGGTGGCCCTCTTCTCACAGCTCCACTAGGTGGTACTCCAGTAGGGACTCTGTGTGGGGGCTCCCACCTGACATTTCCCTTCTGCACTGCCCTAGCAGAGATTCTCCATGAGAGTGCTGCTCCTGCAGCAAACTTCTGCCTGGACATCCAGGCATTTCCATACATCCTCTGAAATCTATTTGGAGGTTCTCAAACGTCAGTACTTGACTTCTGTGCACCTGCAGTCTCAACACCAAGTGGAATCTGCCAAGGCTTGGGACTTGCACCCTCTGAAGTCATGGGCCATGCTTGGCCCCTTTTAGTCATGGCTGGAGCAGCTGGGATGCAGGGCATGAGTCTCTAGACTGCACACAGCATGACAACGCTGGGCCTGGCCCATGAAATCATGTTTTCCTCCTAGACCTCCGGGTGTGTGATGGTAGGGGCTGCTGTGAAGACCTCTGAGATGCCCTGGAGACATTTTCCCCATAGTCTTGGGGATTAACATTTGGCTCCTTGTTATTTATGCAAATTTCTGCAGCGAGCTTGAATTTCTTCTCAGAAAATGACATTTTCTTTCCTATTGCATTGTCAGGCTGCAAATTTTCCAAACTTCTATGCTCTGCTTACCTTATAAAACTGAATGCGATTAACAACATCCAAGTCGCCTCTTGAATGCTTTGCTGCTTAGAAATTTCTTCTAGCAGATACCCTAAATCATCTCTCTCAAGTTCAAAGTTCCACAAAACTCTAAGGCAGGGGCAAAATGCTGCCAGTCTCTTTGCTGAAACATAACAAGAGTCACCTTTGCCCCAGTTCCCAACAAGTTCCTCATCTCCATCTGAGACCACCTCAGCTTGGATTTCATTGTCCATATCATTATCAGCATTTTGGTCAAAACCATTCAACAAGTCTCTAGGAAGTTGCAAACATTCTCACATTTTCCTGTTGTCTTCTGAGCCCTTCAAACTGTCCCACCCTCTGCCTGCTACCCAGTTCCAAAGTTGCTTTCACATTTTTGGGTATCTTTTCAGCAGCACCTCATTCTACTGGTACCAATTTACTGTGTTAGTCCATTTTCACGCTGCTGATACAGATGTATCTGAGACTGGGTAATTTACAAAAGAAAGAGGTTTAATTGGACTCACAGTTCCATGTGGCTGGGGAAGCCTCACAATCATGGCGGAAGGCAAGGAGGAGCAAGTCACATCTTAAGTGGATGGCAGCAAAGAGAGAGCTTATGCAGGCAAACTCCCATTGTTTAAAACCATCAGATCTTGTGAGACTAATTCACTATCAGGAGAACAGCACAGGAAAGACCCACCCCCATAATTCAGTCACCTCCCACCAGGTTCCTCCCATGACATATGGGAATTGTAGGAATTACAGTTCAAGATGAGATTTTGGTGGGGACACAGCCAGACCATATAAGTAGCTATACCATTTTACATTCCCATCAACAGTGCACAGAGTTTGATTTTTTTCCACATTCTTGTGAACACTTGTTATTTTCTGTTTTTTTTTTTTTTTTTTTTTTCTGATAGTAGCCATCCTAAAGGTTGGGAGGTGGGTGGTGTTTTATTATAGTTTTGAGATGCATTTCCCTAATGGTTAGTGAAGTTGAACATCTCTTCGTGTGCCTGTTGGCCACTTGTATATTTTCTTTGGAGAAATGTCTACTGAAGTCATTTGCTCATTTTTGAATCTGGTGGTTGTTTTTTGTTGAGTTTTAGGAGTTTATATATTCTGGATATTAATCTCTTATCAGATATATGGTTTGCAAGTGTTCTCTTCCATTCTGTGTGTTGCCTTTTTACTCTGTTAATAGCGTCTTTTGATACACAAAAATCTTTTTATTTTCATGAAGTCCAATTTATTTTTTCTTTTGTTTCCTGTGCCTTTGATGTGAAATCTATTGCAAAATTCAATGTTGTGAAGCTTTTGCCCTATATATATATTTTTTAACAAGAGTTTTTAGTTTTATGTCTTATATTTAGGTCTTTGATCCATTTTGTATTAATTTTTGTATATGGTGTTAGGTAAGGATCCAGCTTTATGCTTTGGGCATGTGGATATCAAGTTTTCCAAGCTCCATTTGTTGAAAAGACTGTCTTTTCTCAATTGAATGGTCTTGGCACCCCTTTCTGAAATCATTTGACCATATATGCAACAATTTATTTCTGGACTTTCTATTCTATTCCACTGCTGCATATGTTTATCTTTAGGCTAATATAACTTTATTTTGATTACTGTAGCTTTGTAGTAAGTTTTGTTATCAGGAAGTGTGAGTCCTCCAGCTTTATGCTTCTTTTTTTCTCAGGTTTGTTTTGGTGATTTGGGTTCCCTTGAGATACCATATGAATTTAAGATGGGTTTTTCAACTTCTGCCAAAAAAAAGTCTTTGGCATTTATTGCAGAAGGTGTAGTGGTAATGAACTCCTTCAGCCTGTATTTATCTAGAAATGTCTTAACTTCTCCCTCAATTTTGAAGGGATTTTTTGCCATACCTTGGTGTACCTTTTTTTTTTCTCTTGTTATTCTGAATATATCAGTCCACTGCCTCTGGAATCTAAAAGTTTCTGATGAGAAATCTGCTGATTGTCTTGAGGATCCCTTGTAATGTGATGAATCACTTCTCTCTTCCTTCTTTAAAAATTCTCTTTGTCTTTGTCTTTCAGCAATTTAATTACAATGTATTTTGGTATGAGTCTCTTTGAATTCATGCTACTTGAAGTTTATTGAGCTTCTTAGATGTTTATACTTATGTCTTTCATCAAATTTGGCAATTTTCCATCTATTATTTCTTTAGATGTTTTCTCTGCTTCTTCCTTTTTCTCTGCTGTTTCTGGATCTCCCACAATATCTATGTTGGTCTGCTTAATGGTGTTCCACAGGTCCTTTAGCCTCTGTTCACTTTTCTTCAATCTTTTTTCTTTCTCAGACTTGGTATTTCCGTGGTCCTCCCTTCAAGTTTACTAATTTTTCTGCCTGCTCAAATCTGCCTTTGAATTCCTCTAGTGAATTTTCCAGTACAGTTAGTTTCCTTTTCAACTCCAGACTTTCTTTTTGGTTTCTTTTTAGAATTTATGTCTTTCTTGATATTTTCATTTCTTTACCTATATCTCTTTCTTGACTTTCTCCATGTGTGTCTTAATTCTTTAAACATCTTTAAGACACTTGTTTTAAAGTATTTGTCTGGTAGATCTGCTAATACTGCCACTAGGTCTTGTTTAGGAACCGTATCTATTGTTTTTTTCTTTTCCTTTGAATGGACCATACTTTTCTGTTCCTTTGTGCTCCTTGTGATATTTGGTTTTAAATTGAGCTTCTGAACCTAATAGTGTTGTATCTCTGGAAATCAGATTTCCTCCCATTCCTCAGTGCTTGCTGTTTGCTTTGTTGTTGTTGTTGTTGTTTATTTGTTTGTAGTTGTTGTAGGCTGCCTCTTTTCTGAAGATTAGGCTGAACTGTAAACTTAAGGTCTTCTCAGGTCTTTTCTGAGCCTGTGCCTTTCCCTGGGCATGCACAATGACTTTCAAATTTTTCTTGTATATGTAGTTGCTTTTGACTATCCTAGTATTCAATCTCTGGTTCACAAAAGGAGAAAAAGAGAAAAATGAAAAAAAAAGCTATCTCTATAAATTCCCTAAAAATCATTTCAGTCAGATGAGGAGGGATTTGCAACAATGGAGGGAGTAACAAAAAAGGCTATCACTCTTTGTCTAAATCTCCATGATCAGAAGCATCAGTGATCAGGGCATGGATCCCAGATATTTGGAGAACAAGGCCCTTTTTGCCCACATTTGCTCCTGCAGGTTTTATGCAAGCTGCTCTAGGAATATGTGCACAGCTGCCTGCCACAGGGCTGAGGGTTGGGGTACTGGTAACTGCTACTGTGCTAAGAGCTGAAGTTGACTAAAATTAACTGTAATTTATTATTTGAGTCTTCCCCTGGAAGTGGTAAGCCTTCAGTAGACTACAGAGTTCCAAAATCCTATCATCAGACAGATTCTGCCAGTATGATTGTTGCCTTAGTGGGGAAATTCTTGGTGCTTCCTATTCTATCACCTTTTTACAATATTACCTGTTACATTTTAATTTTATAAAATGTTTGGAATATATTAAATTTGGGTTTTTTTAGTGGGAATAATCAATAAGCATGAATGAAAACGAATAGTGGCCAAATTATTCTGAGTTATGATACTTTGGGAGAGTTCAGTTTTTTAAAAAAGTAAGTACCGTTGATGACAGAAGTCAAGCCTTTTGTAAAATGGTCAAAGGAAAGGACTCATGTTGGGATTGATCACAGTGTTGTTTTAGAATTAGACAAACTTGGACTCTAGTTCCAGTTCTATCACTTACCAGCCTCATGACCTTGAGCAAGTTATTTAACCTTGCTAAGGTCTCTTTCCTTCAGTAAAATGGGGAAGTAATGCTTATCAGATTAGGGCATTACCAAGAGCATTAATGCATCTTCCACACAGCCTGGCCCTTAGGAAATCAATGTTACTGAAATCCTCTTCTTTTTCCATTTACAATGATTTGTTTTAGCATTTTGTGATTAATAATAATGATGGTTAAGTTTGCAAAATAAAATACGCTGCAGTAACCCAATTCGGCCTGTGAGCCAGTTTGTGGAAAATATAGTCTTCCACAAAATTAGAACCTTGGTGAAAATCCTTGTAATTTTAAGATAACCTTTTCTACGTCATGTATGGCTCCTTTAACATCATCTTCCCTGAGGGTTACTCTAATCTCTGCTCTCCTGAAGAGTTCTAAAGATAAAAAACCCATTACTTTCCATCTTATTTATATATAACTCTACCATATAGAAAGTTATTGTTCCACTTATTTGAATCTTCGGAGTTGAGACAAAAATATAATAACCATGATAGACTTCTTATTGCTGTTGTCATTACGATAATGAGGTTTTACACAATTGACCACCATGTAGTGCACTATGTCACAAATAACCATATAGAAAATGACCTCTGCTGTAGGAAACAGTTCCTTCAGTGGTGTGATGTAGTTCAAACCCTAGCTGGAATAGAATTAACCTGGCGTAAGTCACAATTTTAACATTTGTCTCAGGCTTTTTGTTTTGGTCAAATATTTTAAGTTAGGAATCTCAGGATGAGATGTATTTGGGATAGAAGGTAAAGGGTTTTATGGCATCAGATAGTTTATACTGTTGTTCAGAATCTTCCCAACCTCATTCTTTTGCTGTCTTTTTTTTTAAGTGATGGTGTTTAATATGCTACCTTATATCTTTTTTTGTGGTTTCTGGTCTAGAGTCTTTGATAAAAACAAGCATCCAGCAAGGAGTGGGTGTTTTCTGCCCCTCTGTGGAGGCAATTGAAAGGAATGAAGAAAGAAGTGGCATAGGGGTGTCTAGCTCCAATTACCAGAAAATGTAGTTTTTAGACTTGAATAGCATTATCAAAGTAGGTCTTTGGGGTTCTGACTAGCTGATAAAACTTTCCAACCTCAATTTAAAATGTAGGAGACTTCTGGAAGGTCTACTTCTGTCTGGTGATGTCTCTAAAAGTAGAAGATATTTATAGATTGAGAGGACTGTACTGTTAGATGCTGGGGTGTCTCATTAACCTAATGGGATCCAGTCTTAAAGTCAACTTCTGAGCTGATCGTACGAAGCCTGAGAGAAAATGAAGAACAGTAGTTAATGAGAGAATTTACAAATGTTAGCAACCCAAACACAATGGGAAACATTTCATTTAGCATTATCAGTGAAACAGGATGCCTTTAACATAGTGATTGGACTCTTGGGGTAATACTTCCTTTGGGCTTGCAGGATATTTGACTTTGCTTAGGGTGTACCAATATTTTACACTTTACTTCCTGGCTTCTTACAGTCCTTTATTTTGCATACCTGGCTCTGAGAATGGTATTAACTGGCTGCCTGGACAAGAAAGCAGACCAAGCATAGTGATGTGGGTCCAGATAAAATAAGTCACCATGAGATCTCTATTTGGTCAGCTGCACCTCACTTCCAGCCTTGGCTTCAATTGTGGTGTCACACCTAGACTTAGCATATAAAAATGAGAGAAGACTTTGTGGCATATTGGTTCTAGACACTAATATTGAGCCATATTGGTTCACTGTGAGCCATATTTTTCTAGACTCTTTGAGCCATTTTGGTCCTAGACCCTAACCATTGATCTAAAATTTTCAGAAAGGGATCTCTTTTTATATGTTATGCTTGGAAAAAAAATTAGGAACATGTTCATCTATGAGAATGTTTGAAATATGGGCTGTATTCATGGCACTATGTTGCTACTTTTTTCCATACTTAAAAACCAGGAGTTTGAATTAGGTCAGTGATTCTTTTTGTTCCATTTGTGGAACGTTATTTAAAATGGTTTGTAAACCAAACTGTATAGTGATCACTTTTTCTACTTTTTAATAAAATAAAAACATACAAAATTTCTGGTCAAAGTTCACTATGAGTACAAATTACTCTTCCTCTACACTGGTTGATTCCCTTTTCCAATAAAACAACTTATTCATAGACCTGTACCATTTTGTCCAGTCTTATGAAACAATGACATTCATTCTCAGATCTTCATTATTGCTTCCACTGGTCCCTTAAGATCTAGGGAGCTAGAATTAGGAAATCATTAACTATTAAGTTTTTGAGGTTCCTTCTGGGACTGTGATGTTCCTTTTTTCTTTTTTTTTTTTGAGACGGAGTCTCGCTCTGTCGCCCATGCTGGAGTGCAGTGGCGCAATCTCAGCTCACTGCAAACTCCGCCACCCGGGTTCACGCCATTCTCCTGCCTCAGCCTCCTGAGTAGCTTGGACTGCAGGCACCCGCCACCACGCCCGGCTAATTTTTTGTATTTTTAGTAGAGACGGGTTTTCACCGTGTTAGCCAGGATGGTCTCGATCTCTCGACCTCGCGATCCACCCACCTTGGCCTCCCAAACTGCTGGGATTACAGGCGTGAGCCCCTGCACCCAGCCGGGGACTGTGATGTTCTATGACAATATCTAAATTTGTCTTCTAATTTGTTTTTATGGACAGTGTCCTTCTGGCCGAGGAAGAGATCAAAGCACCAAATTAACTATTACTCATTAATTATGGCCTGCAAAAGAAATTGCATGTATAAATGTTTACTATTTCAAATGCTGAGATATAGTTACTTTATAATAGCACTTTTTCTACTTTTTAAAATGTATTTTTTAATCCTCTAATTCTGAATAAGCTCTGTGTACTTGAAGGCTTCAGAGGACCTAACTGCTATTACAGCTTTGGAAGATGTTTCAGCTTGTCTCCTAATGAGATGTGGAAATAACCAGTGTAAAGAAAAAAGTATATATACATGTGTGCATATATGTGCATATACATATATATGTATATATACATATGTGCATATACATATATATGTATATATACATATGTGCATATGTGTATACATATAAATGTACTGCGCTGCCAGTCACATCAAAAGTATAGCACCTGCAATTATGTACTTGATGATAATAAATGACTTTGTTACTAGTTTATTTACTGTTCTACACTTTTTAATCATTACTTTAGAGTGTACTTCTGTTATTAGAAAAAAAAAGCTGCTGTAAAACAGCCTCAGGCAGTTCCTTCAGGAGGTGTTCCAGAAGAAGGCATTGTTATAACAGGAGATGACAGCTCCGTGCATGTTATTGCCTCTGAAGACCTTCCAGTGGGATAAGATGTGAAATTGGAAGACAGTTTTATTGATGAATCTGACTCTGTGTAGGCCTAAGGTAATGTGTATGTTCGTGTCTTCATTTTTAACAAAAAAGTTTAAAAACCAAAAACAATTTTTTTAATTTAAAATTAGACAAGCCTTATAGAATAGGTATATAAAGAAAATATATTTTTATACAGATGTACAATGTGTTTGTGTTTTAAGCTAAGTATAATTATAAAATAATCATTTTTTAAAATTATAAGTTTATAAAGTAACAAGTTACAGTCAGCTAAGGTTAATTTATTATTGGAGAAAGAAAAATATTTTTAAAATAAATTTAGTGTAGCCTAAGTGTGGTGCTTACACAGGAGCCTACAATAATGTCTTAGACCTTTACTTTTACTTACCACTCACTGACTTGCCCAGAACAACTTCCAGTCCTGCAAGCTCCATATAGTGCCCTATATATGTGTACCATTTTAAATCTTTTATACCGTATTTTTACCATTTCTTTTCTATGTTCACATATGTTTAGATACACAAATACTTCCTATGTTATGACAGTTTCCTATAATATTCAGTGTAGTAGCATGCTGTGTAGGTTTGCAGCCTGGGAGCAATATGTTGTGCCATACAGCCTAGGTATGTAGTAGGTATGTAGTAGGATACACTATGTACGGTTGTGTAAGTATACCATATCATGTTCACGTAGTGATGAAATCACCTAATGCATTTCTCAGAACATATCCTAGTCATTAAGCAACACATGACTGTATTATAATTAACTAGTGTAAAGATAGATATATATAAAGTTATACGTGTGTGTGTGTGTGTGTGTGTGTGTGTGCATATTAAATTATTAAGAGCAGAAGGAACTGTCCCTTAGATGGACTGTTAGGGAAGCACCAAGTTTCTTCAAGATAGGAGTGTTGTGCCAGCTCTATTGATGATTTCCATTTCCCTGGAAAGTCCTCCTGTGTTGCATTTGAGGAATATGCAATAGGGCTGAAAATCATTGTTTTCCCTAAGGGGCTTCTGACCTTAGTGGGCATCAGGATCTCCTGGAGGGTTTATTAAAACAGACTTCTGGGTTCCACCTCAGAGTTTCTGATTTAGTAGGTCTGCAGATGGGACTGAAAGTTTGCATTTCTGTCATGCTCTCAGTTACTGACAGACCCTAAAACTCTACTGTCTGTTTCTTGTATGTGTGCAATGGTACTGGATACTGGTTTTTTCTAGCTGACTTCCTTTTTCTGGTAGGAAATTTCAACTTTTTTTTTTTTTTGTCTGTAATACTGTCTGGCCCTTTCCCAATGCTCAGTCATAATCCCTGCCAGTTTGACTCAGTACCTGTCAGTCCCAGATTGGATTAACTTTGCACAACTTTAACTCCCTCTTTTAGTCCCCTTTCTTGGAAGCTATGTGTTCTTTGTAGGCACACATGAGTGCCATCTCCCCAGGCTATGTTCTGGCAGCATACAGAAACTGTGTGAACTTAGACAAGCCACCTAATGTGTCTGATCCTTGGTTTCCTCATTTGGTTCAGGGAAAGATTGCCTGGTATAATGCGGACCTTTGAAGTGGATATTGGTGCTGTTATTTGGTGGCCAGTAGTCATTAAGAAATGCTTGTGAGTTTCTAAAGCCATTTTGCCTCCATGAACTGGGTAGAACTGTGCCACAAGGCAACAGAGAAAGCCTAAGATCTTCAGTTGTCCTGCGCTTCAACAGCCTGAGGACCATCACTCTTCTTGGGCTCCCATGAGCCAGCCACGTACCCTGTTCCTACACCAGCTCTGTGCTTTACCCAACCCTCTCCTGCATGTCTACTCTCAACCTAGAGACCTCATCTGATTCTGTGGCTTCAAATACCCAGTGATGATTTGTATGTGTCTGGGTTTGGCTCTGACTTCTCTTCTGAGCTCCAGAATCATATGTATATTCTGCGGCCAATTCAGCATCTCCACTTGGCTGTCTAAATTTAACCTGGCCAAAGATCAACCCTTGATAGACACACCTGAATGCTTTCCTCCAAAAAGAAAAGTTGGGCACCATTTCTCAGGCCAAAAACCTAGATTCTTATTATCCTAGACTCTTCTTATTTTTCCCTCAAATATCTCCTATCAAATCCATAATACATTTTTAGGTTTTTCTATGAAATATGTTTGAATCTACTTATTATATCTCCAATGTTACAGCTTTGGACAAAACCACTGTCATCTTTTCCCTGGATATGACAATGACCTCCTGACTGGTGTTTTCGGCCAATTATTGCCCCCTTCTTCACATAGAAGCTGCATTGGCATTTCTAAGTTTGATAAAATGTTCTGTTTACAAGATTTCAGTGGCTTCCCATTAAATTCCAAACATTTTACTATGACTTTTAAGACTCCATTTCAGTGTTTGCAATAAACATTGTGTATCATAATTACCTAAAAAGCATATATGTATATCTAAAGAGCATATATAATATATATCATATAAAATATTATATATTATATATTATATATAATCTATATAATATATAATATATAATATATATAATATATAATGTATAATATAATATATATAATCTATATAATATATAATATATAATATATATAATATATAATGTATAATATTATATATAATATATAATATATGATACAATATATATTATACATATTATATATTATATAATATATATAATATTATATATAATATATTATATAATAATATATATTATATAATATATATTTTAATATTAATATATATTTAATATATATTAAATTAATATTTAAATCAATATATTTTAAATTAATATATATTAAATTAATATATTTATATATAAATATATATTTGTATATAAATATATATTTATATATTAAATTAATATATTTAATATATAATATATATTAAATTAACATATATTAATTTAATATATATTATATATTAAATTCATATATGTTAATTTAATATATATTATATATTATATTTATATATTAATTTAATATATATTATATATTATATTAACATATATGAATTTAATATATAATTATATTATATATTATATGTTATTATATATTATATATTATATATAATATAAATATATTATATATATTTAATATATATAATATATATATATTAAAATAACATATGTTAATTTAATATATAATATAAATATATATTAGTTTAATATATAATATAATTTAATATATAATATATATTATATTATAATACATAATATATAATATGTTATATATAACATATTATATATAAATATAATATGTTATATATAACATATTATATATAAATATAATATATTATATTTATATATAAATATAATATATTATATATTATATATAAATATAATATATTATATTTATATATAAATATAATATATTATATATTATATATAAATATAATATATTATATAATATTTATAATATATATTATTTATATATAATATATAATATATTATATATAATTTATATTATATATTATATATTAATATAATATATTATATGTTATATATTATGTATTATTATATATAATATATATTATATTAAATTATATCATATATTAATTAACATATATTAATATTATATACAATATATTAAATAAATATATATTAATTAATATATATTATATTTAATATTAATATATATTATTTAATATATAAATAATATTTAATATTTTATATATATATTATAATGTATTATATATAATATTATATATATTATTGCTGCCAGGCTGCAAACCTGTACAGCATCTTGATATATGTGTATATATCGAGATCCCATCTCCAGATACAGAGATTCATTTGGTCTTGGGTAAGGCTCAGTATAAGTAGATTGAATGCCTCTACAAATGATTCTAATATATAACTAGGTTGAGAATTACTGTTCTCTTCAAGAGGCCACTGATCTTAGTAGGCATCAGAATCCCCTGGAAGCCTTGCTAAAACAGATTTCTGGGCACCACCACAGACTTTCTGACTCAGTAAGTCTGTAGAGGGGCCTGAAAGTTTGCATTTCTAACAGTTCCCATATGATGCTACATTTTGAGAGCCACTGTCCTACAAGAACTGGTTTCAGTATACTTCCCTGATGTCATTTCCCCTCAACTCCTTACTTCGTTTACTGTATTCGGCCATTCTGGCCTTTTTGTCTTTCAAACAATTTAAAATTTTCCTGCCTCTGGCCTTTTGGATCAGCTTTTCTTCTGTAAGAATATTCTTTTCTGGACTTTTATAATAAATAGGGGTTCATATTCATCATTTGAGTGTTAATTTAAATTATATTTCCTCAGAAAGGATTTTCCTGACCATTCTAGCTAAAGCAGAAACCCTGATTACTCTACCGTATATTGGTGCTTTTGATATTCTCTTTAGCCATTATTGGCATCTCAAGTTTATCTTAAATTTTTTATGTACATTTATTGTTGGGGAGGGCATGGGTCTACTGAGGAGAACTCTTTCCTTGGGTTTTTAACAATTCTTGGCGTAGAGTGTGTACTCAACAAATTAATATTGACAGACTGATTGGTATGGATTTTGGAATGGAGAATTAAATACCACTCTTGAGAGGTGAATTGAGGGCTTTTCTTTGATGTTTTCAGTTTTCCCTTTTGTGTAACTTTCATAAAATAAAGAGAGTGTTACGAACTTGAAAGTTTTTGAGGTACCTAAGATTTTATATAAATAAATTCCATCCTCCTGAGTAGTGTTTTTATGCTTTTGTTTGCATAAGTTCTTTTTTCCTCTCATTTTCCATCTCATCTACTTTCACGTACAAGCTAGTGAAGGAGAAGCAGCATCTGTTTTTTTTTTTTTTTTTTAGTTTTCACTTTTAATTGACAAACAACAATTGCATATATTTATGGGGTAAAAGTGATATTTTCTTATGTGTATACACCATAGAATGATAAAATCAGAGTAATCAACATATTGATTGCTTCCAATATTTATCATTCCTTTGTGGTCAGAACATTTAAAATACTCTCTTTTAACTACTTTGAAATCATCTTGACCAAATCCTCACTTGAGTTCAACCTAATAGTAGATATATAGTGTGTCTCTTAAATTAGTTTACTCCTGCTAAGCAACAGAAACCAATACAAATTAGCATGGAAACTTTTTTTTTTTAAAGAGAGAATTAAAAAAAGAGAGATCATAAAAATATTCTTGGAATTATTTCCTTGGACAAATACAAAATATGTGTATGTACTGACTTTTCAGTCAGTGTTATTACTACAGCAACTTGTAGTTCTGTGAGCACTGGCCACATGTACATTACTTGTTTAATGTCCTGTTTCTCCTCTGAAATAAAGTGGAAATTCCATGAGAGTGGTGACTGTGTCTGTCATGCTTACTTCTGTATCCACAAGTCCAGGCACTACATCTCATGTGGTAGGTGCTCTGATGAGTTACTGACTGAATGAAGACACAGAACATAAATTTGATGACACTACACTCTGCTCCCTATCCCCCTCTAGGTTTCAGGATTCTTAGTTGGATGAATTCTTCCTCTGGGTAGAATCCCTGTCCTTCCTTCCTCTTGGTACCCAGAGCTCGGCCTTGTAACCCTGTGCTTCTTTTAAAGTTTCTTCGTAATGGAATGTCAGGAGGGTTCTCAAGCCAAGTACAGAAAGCCATGTCTCTTTGGTTTCTGGATTGTTGGACTTCTTTTCGACAAGTATTGTTTTTTCTAACTTTTATTCCTCTGGGAAACTTCCAGGATTCTTTTATTTTTCTGTGACCAAATTCTTACTCTCGCTGCTTCTTGGGAGTATATAAATAGATGGACATCTAGATAGAACTTGGCTGAGTCATTGATTCATTCAATAAGTATTTTTGATCACTTACTGTGTACCTGATACTTTCATTGCTGTGGATGCAACAATGAGCAAAAGCAGGCATAGTATTTGCCCCATGAGGTTAGAGTGGGAAATACAGGTGTTACTTTTTTAAAAGTCACTGAACTAAGTAAATAATAAGCTGGCATAAATGCTATAAAGAAAAGGTATGCTGCTTTTTGAAATAAGTAACAGTGTTATCTGACCTAGGCTAAGGGTCAAGGAAGGTTTCTGTAAGGAAATGCTAGTTGAGCTGAGCTTTTAAGGATGAAGAGGAGTTCCCTTGATAAAGTACCTGTCAAGCCCATTTTGAGAAGTAAGAGCACAAGGAGACGACAGGGTCAGATTGTCAGGGCTGTCTGAGATAATGTTTGATTTTTAGAAGAAAACCATACTGCTACAGTTGTTGTTTTGAGTTACCATGGATGTTTTATCATAATGCTAACACTAGTTAAAATTGATGAATACTAACTATTGTGTTCCAAGCAAAGGTCTGTCCTTTATAGGAATCATCTTAACCTTGTCAACAATTGCCACTTACAGATTAGAAATCCAGAGAATTATCTTATCCTGTGTTTCACTGAAGACACAGATACCTGCATTCACAACCTGTGCTTTTGACCATTATTTTATCCTTGTTCACCTAATATTTGAGATAGTGTGGGCAGCTTGGATTGAAACATAGATACATGTATGGATTCCTCTCTCTCTCTCTCTCTCTCTGTCTATATATATATATATATATATATATATATATATATATATATATATGTATGTATATATTTTTTCTGTCTCTATATATGTGTGTAGTGTATACAAAGATATGCATGTGTATATGGTTATATAAAAGTCCTTCTGGGTATTTTGATGTGTACACAGCAAAAACCTACATGGACTCTACACACACACACACACACACACACACACACACACATAAATTTCATTAGTATATTTTATTAATTACTAATTAGTAGACTGTTTTATATGTATATTTATATTCTATATATTTATTAGTATATTTTGAGGAAAATTTAAGGATTTGCAATCAGGCAATTTAACAATGAAAAAAATTGCCAGATGGGATAGCTAGATGATAATTAGTAATTAATAAGTGGAACTGAGCTGTTTTCTATCAAATTTGGGTACCCTAACTTTAGCAGGTGAGTGAATTTCATTAGGGCTAGTGAAAATCTTACACAGCTGGCCTTATCCTCTGCTGCTAAAGCAGCTCATCTCCATCCACAGTAGCTGCTTATAGCTTTAAATAGCACAACCCTGGACTCTCTCTGCCAACTTTTCTCAAGCCAGCCAGGGTTACGGTGGGGCCAGGGTAGTACTGACTATGCTGTCTGTGCAAGGCCAGGGAAGAGGCCAGGGAAGGGGTTAGTGAATTGGCCAGCTGCCTGGGCACCGGTGTAGGGAAGCCATGGAGCAGCACAGCAATTTCCTGCTTTGGGTAAAGCCCTTGAAGGGCTAGTGCTGGCTAATCCCAGACTTTTAAATTCTTTTGTGATACCTCATTGGCCCCTCTCTACCCCCTTGTTTTTCTTAAGGGGGAATTTGATTTGTGCTATTCACAGGTACATGGGGATGATTTAAGAGGATCATAACCCTCTCTCCCCCGCCAGTTCAGAGTAATTTTTGCCTGGAATTTCCACTGCTAGAAAATGCAAATATCACACTCTTTAGTTATAAGAGTCTAGCTTAGATCAAATCACTTAAGTAATTCAATACACTTGCTTCTGAGGGCTACTGAGTGGATGGGAGAAAGGACAGGTGAGGGAGACTGTGAACAAGAAGCATAGCTCAGGAAGGGTGTGAAAGGCTTTGAGCAAAGCCTAGGAAAACAGATCATTAGGAGGAGAGAAACAAAAGACAAAGACCATACATTTTGTGTTCTTTACAGTTTTACTTACGTTTCATCTTGCCTTTGCTCATTTTTTTTCTTTGGAGGGTGAGGCGAAAAGAAGGTGAGCACATGTATTCCTAAAAGTTTATTTTAAGTGTCAGTTCTATCAATATGATTAAACTATTCCATGCTACAGCATGACTTACATGTCTAATGCTATATACTAGCTTGTTTTCTGAGTTGTCCTAATTGTGTCAGTGGTGATTTTATTTTATCTTATTTTTTAGCTTCAAATGTCCCTCTAATAATTGGTGGAGTTTCAGGGAAAAGTCTGAGGACAAGGATTTTTTCTAAGTTATATCAGTGTGGTGGAGCACTTTCTCATAGAAGAAGGATTTCTCTGTCCTGACTAAATAGAAGTGGGGTCTTTAGGCTCTACCTGTTTTGACCCTTAATAATTTGGAGCAGTTTCTCTTCCCAGTGTGATACTTGGACCATTCTGGAGCTGTGAGTGCACCTAACAGGTGAATGGAGAGATCTGGGTTGCAGTTGCAGAACTACAGCATCCTTGGCTGTTATAGAATCATACTTATAGCTTTATAGATGAAGAAACTGGTTCCCAGAGAAGTTGAATCATGGAATCAGTGTCACACATTTCTAATTAGCAGTAGAGAAAGAACTGGATCCCAGGTATCACAACTGCTGTCTCTAGTGTTTTTCCTACGTAGCACCTGATTATGAATCCAGAGTACTTCAAAGAGGTCTTAGGGACGCTTCCTATTCTGTCCAGTTCTATTTCTTCTTCCCTTCAGTTGACTCAAATATTTGGTTTGGCAATATAAAATTATTATCCATTTCAGTATTTTATTTGAGCTGGCTGCCATATACCTCATGAAGCGTATGCCAGTTATATACTTTAGAAAATACATACTAAACTAACAATGAAGATTTTATTTAATATCAGTGAAGAGAGGCTACTGGTTAAGGGAACAGACTCCGGAGTTAGTCTGAATCTCAGCTTTACCACATACCGGCTATAAAATCATTCTAAGTCTCTGTTTCCTCATTAGTAAAATGGTGATAATAATAGTAACTTAATAATAATTAATAATAATAATAAAGCATGATTCATGGGTTACTGTGAGCAATAAGTGATTAAACACTTAGTATAGTGCCTAGGACATTAAAAAGATTCAATGATATTATTATTATTTTTAGCTGTACTCAGTTTGTTATATATACTTATATAGCACTGTTATTGCCTCAACTTTGAAAATTATAGACCATTCCCAACATGTGTGTATTTAGAAAATATCTAGTGTTGTTTGCAGAAAGAAACAGCAATGTATGACAATTCCGAGTATCAAGTGTGTACAGGTACTTGCATACCTTCCTACCTTTCTCCTACCTGTCTTCCTCCCTTCCCATAATTCTTCTCTTTGTCTTTTTGTTGAAGGCTCTCCTTTTTAGTTATTCCTGAAAGGACTTCAGGAGACCACATGTCAGCACAATGCCAGCTAAGTAATTTAAGGAGGGATCAGAACAAAGGAAGCTAAAAGTAATCTTTTCAAGTATATGAGCTAAACAAAATTAAACACTTGGGAAATAAGGATTGCTCTAAAGTTTTTGGCAGTTAAAACCTAAAAGGGAAATACATTAGGTTACATAGTTTTAGTTTCCTAACAATAGAAAAGAATAAAAATTAGATCTTTAGAGGCAAATTAGTTATTTTTTCCCCAATAGGGTCAAATTCAAGTTACAACAATTGTAGATCAATTTACATACATTGAACATTGACCAATAAATTGTATTTGATAAATAGACATATAATCTTGCATTTATAAGTCACATTTTCATGTTATTTTCATCTTTTCGTATGATCTAATTATAATCAGGTCATATGTTAAAGATATTGTTCACCTCATGCATGGAAATAATTAAATGTCAAAATGAGTCATTTTGAGTGGGTTGCATATTGGTAAGTTCACTAATTTTTTGAATTAACAGAGGCAATAGAGATGAGTCATACAATTATTTAAAAAACTATGGAAAAGTTTTAAATATAGATCTTTGTTTTTAATCTTAATTAAAATGTAATGTAATGTAATGTATAGTATTGTTTCACATGTTATGCTGGGCAGACAATAAGTTTTCTGTGTATTTCTTTATATTTCATTTTAATTTGAGTGACATTTGCATACAGTTATACTGTTTGGTTTAAGTTGTTTTCATAACACTGGAAAATAGAATGCCCATCAAATATATAGGATAGCAGTATCCTCAGAGTTTTGATTTTGTTCTTTTGATGTTAATTGTGTTAACAGGAAGGAACTTTAGAAATTATGCTTTTCAGAAATAAACAAAGAGATATTACTCTGGGTATGTAATTGTAAAAATTGTAAAAGTTTAAGGAAATTATTGGTTCGAAATTTACTGGACATTGAAAGTTTTTGTTTTAATGCACATGTCAAATGTAGATTGTACACTGTGCTTTTCTTACTTTTTCTTTTTTTTATATTTACCTTTGGAATAGTAATTTATTAACTTGGTGATATGAGAAATTATTGGGTAATATCTAAGACTCTTATAAAGTTAAAATTTAGGTTATTAATTTCAGACATTATTTCTTCCATTTATTTTGATAGAAGAGACTAGTCTAAAAATAAGTCTATTATTTTCTTTCTTGTGGGATTAAGATTCATGTTTTATGTTTTTATGACTGAAAACAATACTGTTAAACACTTGCTCGTGTTAAGAAACTAGCTCACTTTGGTACTGGCTCAGTCTTAGATATTTCTTTCCTTTTTTCAAACACTGTCTGAAGTTAATGCATTAACTTTTATAAGGTTATAACCTTTGAAAAATGTTTTAAGCATTTTTAACACTGTCAAAAATGAAGATTGTTCTTTTTTTGTTGGTTATGATTATTTCTGTATAAAGCTGTTATACAAGGTGTAGTGATTGAATAGAACAGAAACTGTGTGTGGGAGACTGAAATATTCCACTTGATGGTAAGCATAGTCACGCTGTGTTTAATCTAAAGTTAGTCATAAAAAATGGTCTAATTGCAGAGGTTCACTCTTTTTTCACCACAGTAGTTGATACGACTTGTAGACTTTGTAGGTAACCTCTATTCCTGGCCTCTGAGTTTCCTCTCGCTTAACTGTTCTTTCTGTGAATGTGTCCTCAACAAGCAAGGATCTGTCATCTCATGAGGATTGTAACCAGGATGATGTAGTGGGTGCTATTTCATCTATTGTGTGGAAAGAGCACATTTCATGGAAGTGAAAAGTAAGTTGACTGGGGAGAAACTAATTGGATTAGGTTTTATTTAGTGACTTTGCAAACTTGACCAGGTGCTAAAAAGATCAAGATCTTGTTGTGAATATTGAGGATGAAATTTGTCCTACCACACCTACTCAGAAGGTCAATGGTGGGAGGAAAGGTTTTCAGTCTTTTTTTTCAATTATGGATTTGTGTGTAGGAGAAGGATGTACCATTTCCGATTTGATTGTGAAATGTCCCTCCCTTGGGCTTCATCTTCTTTCACTGTATCAGTGCCAACAATTTAACCTGCCAACTCAATTAAGGTTCATTCCTATAGAAGTCTGTCATGTTTTTACTTGAAATTCTTGAGTTCTCCTTGCTTGTTTGGTTAAGGGACATATACGGCTCTGTTTTCAATGGGATGTTTTAGAGCCACCTCAATTAGAAATCTAGATATTCTGATCTTATTCCAGTGATCTAAGTAGAGCAGTACTTAGTTAAATGGCCTGGAAACTTGTTGAAATTATTTTATTTGCTTACTGAAAGCATTCATTTATATGTGGGTTACTATGGCTAGATTTTCCTGGTAACTGCTCTTTATTATAATAATGGGAATAGCTAATTAAGAGATATGATTAACTTCAATTAAATTAGAGGTTATTATTGACAAAGACAGAATTTAACATAAGCTGGAGGTAATGTACACTATTTGGGGTACTTTTATGTATAATATAATAAATAGTCACTTTCGAGGATGTTTCTTGTAGGATTTATTTTTGGAACCATTTCAAATAAGTCTAGCTTTCACAATGAAAATAATATAAACTGACTTGCATTGAGCTCTGATTACATTCTACACAATATGCTAAATACTTTATATGTTTTTTAATCCTAGAAACAACTCAGTGAGCTTGAAACAAAATTCTCACTGCTTTTAATACCTTTTGAAACTGATTTCAAAAGATCCCTGATATTAATATTTTTAAGGGATTGTGATTATTGGAAAAGTAGAGAAAAGAGGTAGCTAACTGCATATAACTGGTCTTAAAATGCTAAGGCCTCGATTACCTGACATAAAGATTGTAAATATTGACCTAGCACGGTGGCTCATGCCTGTAATCTTAGCACTTTGGGCAGCTGAGGCAGGTGGGTCACTTGAGGTCAGGAGTTCGAGACCAGCCTGGCCAACATGGTGAAACCCTGTCTCTACTAAAACTACAAAAATTAGCTGGGGGTGGTGGCAGGAACCTGTAGTATCAGCTATTCTGGAGGCTGAAGTAGGAGAATCACTTGAACCGGGGAGGTGGAGGTTGCAGTGAGCCAAGATCATGCCACTACACTCCAGTCTGGGTGACTGAACGAGACTCTGTCTCAAAAAAAAAAAAGAAAAAAAGTGGGGAGGAGCCCAGATGGCCGAATAGGAACAGCGCTAGTCTACAGCTCCCAGCGTGAGCGATGCAGAAGACGGGTGATTTCTGCATTTCCATCTGAGGTACCAGGTTCATCTCACTAGGCAGTGCCAAACAGTGGGCACAGGACAGAGGGTGCAGCACATCATGCGCGAGCCGAAGCAAGGGGAGGCATTGCCTCACTCGGGAAGCACAAGGGGTCAGGGAGTTTCCTTTCCTGGTCAAGGAAAGGGGTGACAGATAGCACCTGGAAAATCGGGTCAATCCCACCCGAATACTGTGCTTTTCTGACAGGCTTAGGAAACAGCGCACCAGGAGATTATATCCCGCACATGGCTTGGAGGGTCCTACGCCCACGGAGTCTCACTGATTGCTAGCACGGCAGTCTGAGATCAAACTGCAAGGCGGCAGCGAGGCTGGGGGAGGGGCGCCCGCCATTGCCCAGGCTCGCTTAGGTAAACAAAGCAGCCGGGAAGCTCCAACTGGGTGGAGCCCACCACAGCTCAAGGAGGCCTGCCTGTCTGTGTAGGCTCCACCTCTGGGGGCAGGGCACAGACAAACAAAAAGACAGCAGTAACCTCTGCAGACTTAAATGTCCCTGTCTGACAGCTTTGAAGAGAGCAGTGGTTCTCCCAGCATGCAGCTGGAGATCTGAGAACAAGCAGACTGCCTCCTCAAGTGGGTCCCTGACCCCTGACCCCCGAGCAGCCTAACTGGGAGGCACCCCCCAGTAGGGGCAGACTGACACCTCACACGGCCGGGTACTCCTCTGAGACAAAACTTCCAGAGGAACGATTAGACAGCAGCATTTGTGGTTCACGAAAATCTGCTGTTCTGCAGCCACCGCTGCTGATACCCAGGCAAACAGGGTCTGAAGTGGACCTCTAGCAAACTCCAACAGACCTGCAGCTGAGGGTCCTGTCTGTTAGAAGGAAAACTAACAAACAGAAAGGACATCCACACCAAAAACCCATCTGTACATCACCATCATCAAAGACCAAAAGTAGATAAAACCACAAAGATGGGGAAAAAACAGAGCAGAAAAACTGGAAACTCTAAAAAGCAGAGTGCCTCTCCTCCTCCAAAGGAACGCAGTTCTTCACCAGCAATGGAACAAAGCTGGATGGAGAATGACTTTGATGAGTTGAGAGAAGAAGGCTTCAGACGAACAAACTACTCCGAGCTACAGGAAGAAATTCAAACCAAAGGCAAAGAAGTTGAAAACTTTGAAAAAAATTTAGACGAATGTATAACTAGAATAACCAATACAGAGAAGTGCTTAAAGGAGCTGATGGAGCTGAAAGCCAAGGCTTGAGAACTACGTGAAGAATGCAGAAGCCTCAGGAGCCGATGCAATCAACTGGAAGAAAGGGTATCAGTGACGGAAGATGAAATGAATCAAATGAAGCGAGAAGGGAAGTTTAGAGAAAAAAGAATAAAAAGAAATGAACAAAGCCTCCAAGAAATATGGGACTATGTGAAAAGACCAAATCTATGTCTGATTTGTGTACCTGAAAGTGATGGGGAGAATGGAACCAAGTTGGAAAACACTCTGCAGGATATTATCCAGGAGAACTTCCCCAATCCAGCAAGGCAGGCCAACATTCAGATTCAGGAAATACAGAGAACACCACAAAGATACTCCTCGAGAAGAGCAACTCCAAGACACATAATTGTCAGATTCACCAAAGTTGAAATGAAGGAAAAAATGTTAAGGGCAGGCAGAGAGAAATGTCAGGTTACCCACAAAGGGAAGCCCATCAGACTAACAGCGGATCTCTCGGCAGAAACTCTACAAGCCAGAAGAGAGTGGGGGCCAATATTCAACATTCTTAAAGAAAAGAATTTGCAACCCAGAATTTCATATCCAGCCAAACTAAGCTTCATAAGTGAAGGAGAAATAAAATCCTTTACAGACAAGCAAATGCTGAGAGATTTTGTCACCACCAGGCCTGCCCTAAAAGAGCTCCTGAAGGAAGCACTAAACATGGAAAGGAACAACTGGTACCAGCCGCTGCAAAATCATGCCAAAATGTAAAGACCATTGAGACTAGGAAGAAACTGCGTCAACTAATGAGCAAAATAAGCAGCTAACATCATAATGACAGGATCAAATTCACACATAACAATATTAACTTTAAATGTAAATGGACTAAATGCTCCAATTAAAAGACACAGACTGGCAAATTGGATAAAGAGTCAAGACCCATCAGTGTGCTGTATTCAGGAAACCCATCTCATGTGCAGAGACACACATAGGCTCAAAATAAAAGGATAGAGGAAGATCTGCCAAGCAAATGGAAAACAAAAAAAAGCAGGGGTTGCAATCCTAGTCCGTGATAAAACAGACTTTAAACCAACAAAGATCAAAAGAGACAAAGAAGGCTATTACATAATGGTAAAGGGATCAATTCAACAAGAAGAGCTAACTATCCTAAATATATATGCACCCAATACAGGAGCACCCAGATTCATAAAGCAAGTCCTGAGTGACCTACAAAGAGACTTAGACTCCCACACAATAAAAATGGGAGACTTTAACACCCCGCTGTCAACATTAGACAGATCTACGAGACAGAAAGTTAAGAAGGATACCCAGGAATTGAACTCAGCTCTGCACCAAGTGTACCTAATAGACATCTACAGAACTCTCCACCCCATATCAACAGAATATACATTTTTTTCAGCACCATACCACACCTATTCCAAAATTGACCACATACTTGGAAGTAAAGGTCTCCTCAGCAAATGTAAAAGAACAGAAATTATAACAAACTGTCTCTCAGACCACAGTGCAATCAAACTAGAACTCAGGATTAAGAAACTCACTCAAAACCGCTCAACTACATGGAAACTGAACAACCTGTTCCTGAATGACTACTGGGTATATAATGAAATGAAGGCAGAAATAAAGATATTCTTTGAAACCAACGAGAACAAAGACGCAACATACCAGAATCTCTGGGACACATTCAAAGCAGTGTGTAGAGGGAAATTTATAGCACTAAATGCCCACAAGAGAAAGCAGGAAAGATCCAAAATTGACACCCTAACATCACAATTAAAAGAACTAGAAAAGCAAGAGCAAACACATTCAAAAGCTAGCAGAAGGCAAGAAATAACTAAGATCAGAGCAGAACTGAAGGAAATAGAGACACAAAAAACCCTTCAAAAAATCAATGAATCCAGGAGCTGGTTTTTTGAAAGGATCAACAAAATTGATAGACCACTAGCAAGACTAATAAAGAAAAAAAGAGAGAAGAATCAAATAGACGCAATAAAAAATGATAAAGGGGATATCACCACCGATCCCACAGAAATACAAACTAACATCAGAGAATACTACAAACACCTCTATGCAAATAAAGTAGAAAATCTAGAAGAAATGGATAAATTCCTTGACACATACACCCTCCCAAGACTAAACCAGGAAGAAGTTGAATCTCTGAATAGACCAATAACAGGCTCTGAAATTGTGGCAATAATCAATAGCTTACTAACCAAAAAGAGTCCAGGACCAGATGGATTCACAGCCGAATTCTACCAGAGGTACAAGGAGGAACTGGTACCATTCTTTCTGAAACTATTCCAATCAATAGAAAAAGAGGGAATCCTCCCTAACTCATTTTATGAGGCCAGCATCATCCTGATACCAAAGCCTGGCAGAGACACAACCAAAAAAGAGAATTTTAGACCAATATCCTTGATGAACATTGATGCAAATCTCCTCAATAAAATACTGGCAAACCGAATCCAGCAGCACATCAAAAAGCTTATCCACCATGATCAAGTGGGCTTCATCCCTGGGATGCAAGGCTGGTTCAATATATGCAAATCAATAAATGTAATCCACCATATAAACAGAACCAAAGACAAAAACCACATGATTATCTCAATAGATGCAGAAAAGGCCTTTGACAAAATTCAACAGCCCTTCATGCTAAAAACTCTCAATAAATTAGGTATTGATGGGATGTATCTCAAAATATTAAGAGCTATCTATGCAAACTCACAGCTAATATCATACTGAATGGGCAAAAACTGGAAGCATTCCCTTTGAAAACTGGCACAAGACAGGGATGCCCTCTCTCACCACTCCTATTCAACAGAGTGTTGGAAGTTCTGGCCAGGGCAATTAGGCAGGAGAAGGAAATAAAGGGTATTCAATTAGGAAAAGAGGAAGTCAAATTGTCCCTGTTTGCAGATGACATGATTGTATATCTAGAAAACCCCATTGTCTCAGCCCAAAATCTCCTTAAGCTGATAAGCAACTTCAGCAAAGTGTCAGGATACAAAATCAATGTACAAAAATCACAAGCATTCTTATACACCAATAACGGACTAGCAGAGAGCCAAATCATGAGTGAACTCCCATTCAAAATTCCTTCAAAGAGAATAAAATACTTAGGAATCCAACTTACAAGGGACATGAAGGACCTCTTCAAGGAGAACGACAAACCACTGCTCAATGAAATAAAAAAGGATACAGACAAATGGAAGAACATTCCATGCTCATGGTTAGGAAGAATCAATATCCTGAGAATGGCCATACTGCCCAAGGTAATTTATAGATTTGGTGCCATCCCCATCAAGTTACCAATGACTTTCTTCACAGAATTGGAAAAAACTACTTGAAAGTTCATATGGAACAAAAAAGAGCCCGCATTGCCAAGTCAATCCTAAGCTAAAAGAACGAAGCTGGAGGCATCACGCTACCTGACTTGAAACTATACTACAAGGCCACAGTAACCAAAACAGCATGGTACTGGTACCAAAACAGAGATATAGAACAATGGAACAGAACAGAGCCCTCAGAAATAATGCTGCATATCTACAACTATCTGATCTTAGACAAACCTGAGAAAAACAAGCAATGGGGAAAGGATTCCCCATTTAATAAATGGTGCTGGGAAAACTGGGTAGCCATATGTAGAAAGCTGGAACTGGATCCCTTCCTTACACCTTATACAAAAATTAATTCAAGATGGATTAAAGATTTACATGTTAGACCTAAAACCATAAAAACCCTAGAAGAAAACCTAGGCAGTACCATTCAGGACATAGGCATGCACAAGGACTTCATGTCTAAAACACCAAAAGCAATGGCAACAAAAGCCAAAATTGACAAATGGGATCTAACTAAACTAAAGAGCTTCTGCACAGCAAAAGAAACTACCATCAGAGTGAACAGGCAACCTACAAAATGGGAGAAAATTTTCGCAACCTACTCATCTGACAAAGGGCTAATATCCAGAATCTACAATGAACTCAAACAAATTTACAAGAAACAAACAAACAACCCCATCAAAAAGTGGGCGAAGGACATGAACAGACACTTCTCAAAAGAAGACATTTATGCAGCCAAAAGACACATGAAAAAATGCTCATCATCACTGGCCATCAGAGAAATGCAAATCAAAACCACAATGAGATACCATCTCACACCAGTTAGAATGGCAATCATTAAAAAGTCAGGAAACAACAGGTGCTGGAGAGGATGTGGAGAAATAGGAACACTTTTACACTGTTGGTAGGACTGTAAACTAGTTCAACCATTGTGGAAGTCAGTGTGGCGATTCCTCAAGGATCTAGAACTAGAAATACCATTTGACCCAGCCATCCCATTACTGGGTATATACCCAAAGGACTATAAATCATGCTGCTATAAAGACACATGCACATGTATGTTTATTGCGGCACTATTCACAATAGCAAAGACTTGGAACCAACCCAAATGTCCAACAATGATAGAGTGGATTAAGAAAATGTGGCACATATACACCATGGAATGCTATGCAGCCATAAAAAAGGATCAGTTCATGTCCTTTGTAGGGACATGGATGAAATTGGAAATCATCATTCTCAGCAAACTATCGCAAGGACAAAAAACCAAACACCGCATGTTCTCATTCATAGATGGGCATTGAACAATGAGAACACATGGACACAGGAAGGGGAATATTACACTCTGGGGACTGTTGTGGGGTGGGGGTAGCGGGGAGGGATAGTATTAGGAGATATACCTAATGCTACATGACGAGTTAATGGGTGCAGCACACCAGCATGGCACATGTATACATATGTAACTAACCTGCACATTGTGCACATGTACCCTAAAACTTAAAGTATAATAATAATTAAAAAAAAGGAAAAAAGATTGTAAATATTGGAGTTAATTTTTAAATGCTGTTAAGTAATCATTAATTTGGATTACTTTTTAAATTTTATTTTAGTTTTACCCTTGAGGTTTGTCTGTGTGTAAGAAGCTATGTTAAATGTTTTGGTGAGGATATATATTACTTAAACATGGGGCTTACTCTCAAAAAGTTTACCATCCAGTCGGTAGTGAATACTAACTACAGGATGAGTCTAGGCAGAAGAATAGGCAGGTACGTGGCAAAGCTGGTAGATGGGCTGAGTGAGCTCAGAGAAGCCTAGCTGGATAAAAATCTAACAAAACTTCTGCGAGAGAGTTTTCCTCAGAAAAGAAGAGCCAGCTATTCTTAGCTTGATTTGGTCTTGGACATTGAGACAGAGCAATTCTGATGATAATGTTTGTTTTTCATGGTTTTATAATACTCCCACCCTCAATAGATTCATGTCTGAGCCCCATGCAAACAAAGGTGAGCATCTAAATAAAAACTGTAGTGAGAGAAGCCTTATTCACCAATACATGGGAAACATGTCTTGAAGCCTCCTAGAAGTACTTGTAACTTGTATGGGCCTAGTAATCCTGTATCAGCAGGTTCAAGAGTTGGTGACATTGAATTTATTACTATTAAGGGGACCCATCAGTGCCCATAGATGGGTAAGGCCTGGTGACAACATAGTGATTATAGAAATAACTGTTACACCAATTAAATTGAGAGGCGTTACTGAGAGAGAGAGAGAGAAGGAGAGGGGGTGAGGAAGAAGGAGAGAGATGAAAATTCAGAGGACAGAATAGAATGATTACTCTCATCTTAGAAGTCAAGGAAGACTTTTAAGAGGAAGGTCTTAAATAATATTTATCCTCAGTGAAATAACTCAGAAATAGAAAACCAAATACTGCATATTCTCGCTTATAAATAGGAGCTAAACAATGGATACACATGTTTACCCTAATAACAGACACTGGGGACTCTAAAAAGAGGAAGGATGGGAGAGGAGTGAGGGTTTAAAAATTACCTGTTGGGTACAATGTTCTCTATGTGGGTGATGGGTACACTGGAAGCCCAAACCTTACCATTATGCAATATATTTATGTAAAAAAACTGCAGGAAAAAAGAAAAGAATATTTAAGATTTAAGCATACAGAGACAGGAAAGAGGGAATGCTAGTGTCCAAATGAAGGAAAATCTGAAAGTAAACATATGGATGTGACAAGTATGGGGAAAGAAGGAAGTTCAAACATTAATTTGGCTTCATCATAGAACATGAAAAGAGCTTTGGAGTGTCAATAAACAAGAGTCTTCTGATCAGAATTTTACTCAAGAAGGTTAATCCGTTAGATGGTGGGGAGTGAAACGGAAGTGGAAAGACAGTGGTGGGCAGTAGTTTGGAGGCTACTGCAATAGCTAGATAATAGACAGTATAAAGAGGAAGTAGAACAGTAGCTGTGGTCATTGAAAAGGGAAAGATGGTATAACATTATTGAGTGGAATTCCTAAGATATGCCAACTGCTGTGAATGAAGAGGGAAGAAAGGAGTGTGTGTAAGGGATCAAAGATGAGTTGGAAAGTTTTGAGCTGGCATGACCAAGAAATATGGGAAATAGAATAGGTAAAGTAGAAAACATAAATTTTATCTAAGACACATTGCATGTGAACTGTCAACAGGATGTGCAGGCAGAGATGTTTAGAAGACAGGAGATGGGAGTCGTGGGTACTCTCCAGAGACAGTACATGGCTAGGGACAGGAATTTGGAAGACATGGAACTTTTAAAGGAGGTAACTGAAGCTGAGACAATAGATAGAATTAAGGAGTGTTTGGAGAGGAGAGCTGAAGTATGATGTCTTGAAGATGTATTTTTAAGAGCATTTTTAGGCTGATTGGGGATGCAGAAATTTCCTATGTACCCTCTGCCTCCACACGTGAAAAGAATACCCACTTTTTGGAGAGCAGGAGGAGAAGCCAGAAGAGACAAAAAGAAGTGGCTGAGCCAAGGAAACAAAACTTCAAGAATAGCATGCTCTTAGAAAAAATGAATGTAAATTTTAGGGTCAAGCTTATTTTTTTATTTATACTTTTAATTTTTGTGGGTACATAGTAGGTGTATATATTTACGGGGGGCATGAGATGTTTTGATACAGGCATGCAAGGTGAAATAAGCACATTATAGAAAATGGGTTCTCCATCCCTTCAAGCATTTATCCTTTGAGTTACAAATAATCCAGTTGTACTCTTTCAGTTATGTTAAAATATACAATTTAGTTATTGACTATAGTCACCTTGTTGTGCTATGCTATCAAATAGTAAGTCTTATTTATTTATTTATTCATTTATTTTTGAGACGGAGTCTTGCTCTGTTGCCCAGGCTGGAGTGCAGTGGTGCCCTCTTGGCTGACTGCAACCTCTGCCTCCTGGGTTCAAGCGATTCTTCTGCCTCAGCCTCCCGAGTAGCTGGGACTACAGGCACATGCCACCATCCCTGGCTAGTTTTTGTATTTTTAGTAGAGACAGGGTTTCACCATATTGGCCAGGCTGGTCTTGAACTCCTGACCTCAAGTGATCCACCCACCTCAAGATCTGTCCACCGCGGCCTCCCAAAGTGCAGGGATTACAAGTGTGAGCCAGTGCACCCAACCAGGTCTTATTTATTCTTTCTACTTATTTTTTATACCCATTTACTGATCCAACTCCCCACAACCCTCCCACTACCCTTCCCAGCCTCTGGTAACCATCCTTCTACTCTCTACATCTATGAGTTCAATTGTTTTGATTTTTAGAGTCTACAAATAAGTGAGAACATATGATGTTTGTCTTTCTGTTCCTGGCTTATTTCACTTAACATAATGATCTCCAGTTGCATCCATGTTGTTGCAAATGACAAGCTCTCGTTCTTTTTTATAACTGAATAGTACTCCATTGTGTGTATGTACCACATTTTCTTTATTCATTCATCTGTTGATGGGCACTTAGGTTGCTTTTAAATATTAGTTATTGTAAACAGTACTGCAGCAAACCTAATAGTGCAGATATCTCTCTGATATACTGATAGCCTTTCTTTTGGGTATATACCCAGCTGTAGGATTGCTGGGTCATATGGTAGCTCTATTTTTAGTTTTTTGAGAAACCTCCAAACTGTTCTCCATTGTGGTTATACTAATTTACATTCTCATTAACAGTGTGCAACAGTACCCTTTTCTCCACATCCTCACTAGCATTTGTTACTGCCATTTGGGTATAAGTCATTTTAACTGAGGTGAGATAATATCGCATTGTAGTTTTAATTTGCATTTCTCTGATGATCAGTGATGTTGAGCACGTTTTCGTATGTCCGTTTGCCATTTGTCTGTCTTCTTTTGAGAAATGTCTATTCAAATCTTTTCCCTAATTTTGGATCAGGTTATTAGATTTTTTTCCCCTGTAGAGTTGTTTGAGCTCCTCATATATTCTAGTTATTAATCTCTTGTCAGATGGGCAGTTTGCAGATGTTTTCTCCCATTCTGTGAGTCATCTTTTCACTTTGCTGTGCAGAAGCTTTTTAAGTTGATGTGATCCCATTTGTCCATTTTTGCTTTGGTTGCTTGTGCTTGTGGGATATTGATCAAGAATTTTTTGTCCAGATCAATATCCTGGAGATTTTCTCCAATCTTTCCTTGTAATAGTTTCATAATTTGAGCTCTGAGATTTAAGTCTTTAATCTATTTTGATTTGATTTTTGCATATGGAGAGACATAGGGATCTACTTTTATTCTTCTGCATATGGATATTCAGTTTTCCCAGCACCATTTATTGAAGAGACTGTCTTTTCCCCATTGTATGTTCTTGGCACTTTTGTAGAAAATGAGTTCACTGTGTGTGTATGGATTTGTTTCTGGGTTCTCTATTCTGTTCCATTGGTCTGTATATCTGATTTTATACCAGTATCATGCTGTTTTGTTTATCACAGCTCTGTAGTGTAATTTGAAGTCAGATAATGTGATTCCTCCAGTTTTTTTTTTTTTTTTTTTTTTTTTGGCTTAAGGATAGCTTTGGCTATTCCAGGTCTTTTGTGGTTCCACATAAATTTTAGGATTGATTTTTCTATTTCTGTGAATAACATCTATTGGTATTTTGCTAGGGGTTACATTGAACCTATAGATTGCTTTGGGTAGTATGGACATTTTAACAATATTGATTCTTCAAATCCATGAACATGGCATTTTTTTATGTTTTGGTGTCCTCTTCAATTTATTTCATCAGTGTTTTATAGTTTTCATTATAGAGATCTTTTATTTCTTTGGTTAATTCCTATTTAATTTTATGTGTGGCTATTGTAAATGGCATTACTTTTTTATTTCCTTTTCAGATTGTTCACTGTTGGCATATAGAAATGCTACTAATTTTTATACGTTATTTTTGTATCCTGCAACTTTACTGAATTTGTTTATCATTTCTAATAGTTTTTTGGTGGAGTGTTTAGGTTTTTCCAAATATAACATCATATCATCTGCAAACAAGGGTAATTTGACTTTTTTCTTTCCAATTTGGATGCCCTTTATATCATTCTCTTGTCTGATTGCTCAAGCTAGGACTTTTAGTACTATGTTGAGTAACAGTGGTGACAGTGGGCAGCCTTTTCATTTTCCAGATCTTAGAGGAAAGAGTTTCAGTTTTTCCTCATTTAATATGATACTAGCTGTGGGTCTGTCATATTTTGCTTTTATTATGTTGAGGCATGTTCCTTCTTTACCTGATCTTTTTGAGAGTTTTTTTTTTTTTATCATGAAGGGACATTGAATTTTATCAAATGCTTTTCCAGCATCAATTGAAATGATCATATGGTTTTTATTCTTCATCCTGTTGATATGATGTATCACGCTGATTGATTTGCATATGTTGAACCATCCTTGAATCCCAGGGATAACTCCCACTTGGTCATGATGAATGACCTTTCTAATGTATTGTTGAATTTGGTTTGCTAGTAGTTTTTTGAGGATTTTTGTGTCAGTATCCATCAGACATACTCACCTGTAGTTTTTTTTTTTTAATGTGTCTTTGTCTGGTTTTGGTAACAGGTTAATAGCAGCCTCGTAGTATGAGTTTGGAAATATTTGCTCCTCCTCCATTTTTCAGAATAGTTTGAAAAGGATTGGTATTAGTTCTTTAAATGGTTGGTAGAATTCATCAGTAAAGCCATCAGGTCCTGGGCTTTTCTTTACTGGGAGAGTTTTCATTATGGCTTCAATCTTGTTACTTGTTATTGGTTTGTTCAGATTTTGGATTTCTTCGTGGTTCAATCTTGGTAGGTTGTATGTATCTAGGAATTTGCCCATTTTTCTAGTTTTTCCAATTTATTGGCACATAGTTGCTCATGGCAGCCATTAATGATCCTTTGAATTTCTGCACTATTTGTTGTAATGTCTGTTTTTCATTTCTGATTTTATTTATTTGGATCTCCTCTCTTCTTAGTTTGGCTAAAGATTCATTCATTTTGTTTGACTTTTCAAAAACCCAATTTTTTGTTTCGTTGATCTTTTGTATTTTTTCTTTTAAATTTCAATTTCATTTATTTCTGGTCCGACCTTTATTTTTTTTTTCTTCTACTAATTTTGGGTTTGCTTTGCTCTTGCATTTCTAGTTCTTTAAGATGCATCATTAGATTGTTTATTTAAAATTTTTTCTCTTTTTTGATGTAGACACTTATAGCTATAAATTTCCCTCTTAGTTCTGCTTTTGTGTATCTCAAAGGTTTTAATACGTCATGTTTCCATTATCATTTGTTTCAAGAAATTTTTCAATTTCCTTCTCAATTTCTTTATTGACCCACTGGTCATTCAGGAGCATATTGTTTAGTTTCTATGTATTTGTATAATTTCTAGAATTCCACTTGTTATTAATTTCTAGTTTTATTCCATTGTGGTTAGAGAAGATGCTTGATATTATTTCAATTTTTTTGAATGTTTAAAACTTGCTTTTTGACCTAACATATGGTCTATCCATGGGCATAGTAAAAGAATGTGTATTCTACAGCTCTTGGATGAAATGTTCTGTAAATATTTATTAGATCCATTTGGTCTATAGTGTAGATCAAGTCTTGGCTCATATTTAACTTGGTAAAAAAATTATACAGTACGTATTTTTTGTTAACTCAAATTATGCCAAAATAGTATTCCTCCTAAGAAATTCTTATAGAATGTAATAATGAATAGCTATGACTGATTCAATATTGGTATTATGAAATTACTCTTGTTTATGATTGAATCAGCCAGATGATATTTGTAAAAACATTCCTTCGAAAATTCAAATTCTTTTCTCTAACTCTTCTTTTTCTTGGAAAAACTTATTAAGGAAATGAAACGTATTTAAATCAGAAACTCATTTAAATCCTTTTTTGACTCATCTTCCTAATGTAAAATATGACCATACTCATTGTTTTCTCCAATTACCTTGAAAAATATCTTAGAAAAGTAAGATAAAAATAACTCTCAATTTTTTAGGTTATTGGTGGGAGATTTTAACCACTAACCCATTTTAACTCTTCCATTCAGTCTGCTTATAGGCCTCTAAAGAACTATTGCTATGAGTGAGTCATTGCTGAGGTACTGAGACAAATGTAACACCCCAACTGTTAGCTGTAATTTATAGAGAGGAGATTTGCAGGGTCAGTGGAAATGTGTGTTTAGGGGGACTTCTATGTTTTACTTTAATGACTTATGAATATTTTACAATGTGCATGTGTTTGTTTATTGCCCTTCAGAGATGTGGTTTTGAATTGTGCATGTAACTATGCATATTATTGTTATGGTGAATGATAATTTTGCACAGTCCATGTTATTATGCATTTTACTTGCATATATTCTAAGGTAAAAATGACATACTTGATGTTAATAGAGGCATATGTGACTTAATAAATCAGCATAAATGTAAAGCAGTAAACAGGCAATAAGGCGTTAAATATGCAAGTCAAAAAAGGACATTTGACTGTGTACTGGATATTCATAACAGGAGATTTCAAACCTTTAGTTAGAAAATAGACAGATAGCCTGTGGAGGGTTTTGTTAGGCTAACAGGATAAACACAAGAGTGGCTCTTGATTTTATGACAATCTGAAAGGGTTTCATGGATGCAGTGGTGGGATTTTTATAGTGCTTTAAATGCTCATTGAGAAACAGTGCCCTACAAATAGTGTACCGAAACAAGGTGTGTTCTCAAAATGTGTCTCTCTTATCAGTTGGAGTTTTTTGGTTGCTGGCAAGAGAAATGCTATCTGGATAACATCATGAAATAATGAAATATACTAGAAACATATTAGGTAATTAACAGAAATTGAAGGCAAACTTAAGCAACCAAGCTTCAAGAGCAAGAACTGGGATAGTGAGAGGACTCACAATCAAAACATAGTTCCTGGGAAATTGGAATGGTTAGGTTCCAGCTATTTCGTATGGCCCTTATCTAGATTTAAATTCTCAGGAGTCAGATTCTGATTGTACAATCTTGGATTGAGTTACCAAGGCACAGTAACTAACAGCTCATCAGAGCTGCTGAGACTCAGCAGGGGTTGCCCTCCGAAAGAGGCATAAGGTGTGGTTGTCACAAGAAGAGGAAGGGAAGCTGGGCAGGCATATATAATGGACCTGCCACAGACAGTGATGGTGCTTTGTAGTTCTTTTTTAAAAAGTAAAAATAAAAAATAGGCCTGAGTGGTCTCAAACTATATTTATACACACTTATATATGCAGATATACACATTCACACATACATATTTTATATACTGCATTTAGATAATCTCTGCCACTTTTTCCTTCATTCACTATTCTTGTTGATATATGGAGTGGTACACTACAGTCTTCTTTTCTCCCCTCAAAGAAAAAATTTAGAAGAAGGTGGATTAGAGGCTTTTAGTGTGCTTCAGGCACTTGGAAATAGCAAGATAGTGCATAAAGACCAACTCTGTGAACTTTAATTCAGGAAGAAAAATGGGAATCCACTGGAATCATGAAGGACATCCCAGATCCTGGTGGGGGAAAATGTGGGCAAACAGCCACATGACAGAGACTGGCTGATAAAAGTGAGTGAAGCCCCAGTATGTGAGAGAAGCAGAGAACCTCCCTCTGTGACACACTTTTCCACTGGGTATGTGAGCAACCCAGGTCAAGGAAGAACGCTCTGTTTCTCCCAGGTCCTGGAGGTAACTTAGGGAGAGGCTTAGAGATGCTGTGAGGGAAAGATACCAGAAAGAGCTGCAAGCATTTCCCTAGATGTGGGACTGAGAACAGCACACAATTTTTAACCTGAGTTCATATAAAATCAGCCATTCTGTGGTGAGCTGGCATGATGGACATGTAGGCATTTTAGTCTTGGGCCAGCAATTGAACTGCTTGCTTTGGAGCAGGGTAGGGGTCACCACAGCCAGAACTTTGGAAAGTGCCTCAACAGTTGGCACTGGAATTGTGCCCTCCCCCAATCACAGTTCTTCTGAATGATGAGACCTGCAGCCAGGGCCAGCTTGACAACCTGGATCTGGTCTGCATGTGCCATTGCTGGGTGCCCCAGCCTGTTCCCCTGAGATTTTTGTGCAGCAGGGTCTTCTCTGTTCCAGAGCCAGGCAGATCTCCAGGCTTTTTGAGCATCCCTTCACCTTGATCAGCAGCCTAAGCCACCCCACTTTTCCTGTGCATAGATCGTAGTGCAGTGGAGCCCTCTTTGCTCTATACATAAGCAGATCTCCAAGAATTAGGAGCAACTGCTAGCATAGACTAACAGCCTGAGTCACCGCATCTTTCTGTGCAGAGATCTGGGTATGGGGGTGCCCTCTCTGCCTCATGCTCAGGCAGATCTCCATGCATTGGAAGCCCTCATTTGCCTGGTTCTGCAGGCATAATTGCCCCACTCTTTTTGTTCAGAGATGTTGGTGCAGGGACACCATCTCCACTCCACACCCAGGCAGATTTCCAAGCATTTGGAGCACCTGCTCACCTGGAACAGCAGCCTGAGCTGCTTCACACTTCCTATGCAGAGAGATCCTGGTGCAGGATGGTCCTCTCTGCTCCATGCCCAGGCAGACCTACAGCCATCTGGAGTGTCCACTTTCCAGGATTAGAAGTCTAGGCTGCCCCCTGCCATCTCCAGGCAGGGAACTCAGGGCTAAGGAGGTTTCCCAGTTTCATGCCTACCTATACCTCTGGGTACTTGGTGGCTGCCCACTGGACTGTCTCTTAGCACTTGTGCATGTGCCTGCCATCAGGGGACCTGTAGGTGTATTTGTCCATCTTGCCCTTCCCCTCTACCGTCTCCTTCCAGGGCTGAGGAGGGAGCTTGGACTGCTGTGCTTTCCAGGAGTCAGCCCATTCCCTGGGGCAACAGACAGCTTTTACCAGTAAACAAGGATCAAGCATATACCCTGCCTTATTGGCCATAGCCGGCTCTTACCCATAAGCGCCATCTACTGACTTATAGGTCAAATTGCATACCCCAGTAAAAAAATCTACCAACAGAAGTGCATAGTGCTATAGGGTCAAAGACAAAAGACCTTACCCATCATTTTCTTCAGTCACACACTCTAGGGAAGAGGGTAAAGAGACAGGGAAAGAAGAAACAAAACAACAGTATTATAGAGAAAAAGAAAAAATCCTACCCACATGAAAATAACTATAAAAATTAGAATTGCCAGCATCTCCAAATGATAAGGAACTAGCACAAGAATTCTGACACCATGAAAAATCCGAATGTAGTGACACCACCAAAGGGTCTCACTAACTCTCCAGCAATGGTCCATAATCAAAATGGAAACTCACAAATGACAGATAAAGAATGTAAAACGTGGATTGCAAGGAAGCTCAACAAGATCCAAGTCAAGGTTGAAAATCAACACAAAGAAATCTTCTAAAGCAATATGGGAAATGAAGGGAGAGATAAACATCTTAAAAAGAAATCAATTAGAGCTTCTGGAATTGAAAACCTCACCTAAGAAATTTCAAAATATGATTGAAAACTTTATAAGTAGCTTTACCAAGAAGAAGGACTTTCAGAGATTGAAAACTGGGTTTTTGAACTAATCCAGTGAGTTAACAATAAAGAAAAAGAATTAAAATAAATGAACAAAACATTTGAGAAATATGGGATCTTGTAAAGCATACAAACATACAAATTATTGGTGTTTCTGAGAGGAGGTAGAGAAAGAAAACAACCTGTAAAAGATATTTGAATGAAAAATTTAAGAAAATTTTTCTAACCTTCCTAGAGAGGTAGATATCCAAGTATAAGAAATCCAGAGAACACCTATGAAATACTATACAAAACTAACATCCCTAAGGCATATGGTCACCAGACTGTCCAAATCCAGTGCTAAAGAAAAAAAATTAAATGTAACCAGAGTAAAAGGTCAGATCATGTACAAAAGGAACTCTATTGGGCTAACAGTGGTCTCAGCAGAAACCTTACGAGCCAGAAGAGATCAGGGCCTATTTTCGGCCTTCTTAAAGACAAGGAAGTCCAATCAAGAATTTCATATTTCACCAAACTAAGCTTTATAAATGAAAGAGAAATAAAATATTTTTTCAGACAAGCAAGTACCAAGGGAATTTACCACTAGACCAACTTTACAATAAATCTTGAAAATGATAAAACAATACCTGCTACCACAAAAAGACACTTATGTACATAGCCCACAGACCCAATAAAGCAACCAAACAGTAGAAACTACAAAGCAACCAGTCAACAACTTCATGATAGCATCAAAACCTCACATATCAATATTAAAATGTAAATGTTCTAAACATCCCACTTAAATGGCAGAGTGGCAACTTGGATAAAAAAGCAAGACCCATCCATCTGCTGTCTTCAAGAGACCTATCTCACACATAATGACATCCATAATATCAAAATAAAGGGTTGGAGAAAAATCTATTATGCACAAAGAACACAACAAAGAGCAGGGATAAGTATTCTTATATTAGATGAAACAGACATTAAACCAACAACAGTAAAAAAGGACAAAGAAGGATATTACATAATGATAAAGGGTTAAATTCAACAAGAAGACTTAACAGTCTTAAATATATACACATCCAACATTGGAGGACCTGTATTCATAAAGTACTTCTAGACCTGTTAGGAAATGTAGACAGTCACACAATAATACTGAGGGATTTCAACAACTGACTGACAGCCTTAGAAAGCTCATTGAGGCAGAAAGCTAACAAAGAAATTCTGGACTTAAATTCAACACTTGACCAATTGGAGCTGATAGACATCTACTGAATACTTTACCCATCAACCATAGAATGTATATTCTCAATTGCACATGGAAAATACTCCAAGATAGACCACATGCTTGGCCATAAAGCAGTCTCAATAAAATAAAAACACTGAAGTCATACCAACTATAATCTCAGACCACAGTGGAATAAAAATAGAAATCATTACCAAGAAAATCTCTCAAAACCACAAAGTTACATGGAAATTAAACAACTTGCTTTTGAATGAATTTTGTGTAAACAATAAAATTAAGGCAGAAATAAACAAATACTGTCAAGGCTGGGAGTGGTGTCTCACGGCTATAATCCCAGCACTTTGGGAGGCTGAGGTGGGTGGATCACAAGGTCAGGAGTTCAAGACCAGCCTGGCCAAGATGGTGAAACCCCATCTCTAGTAAAATACAAAAAATTAGCCAAGCGTGGTGGTGGGCACCTGTAATCCCAGCTACTTGGGAGGCTGAGGCAGAGAATCGCTTGAACCTGGGAGGGAAAGGTTGCAGTGAGCTGAGATTGCAACACTGTACTCTAGCCTGGGCAACAGAGTGAGACTCCATCAAGAAAACAAAAACAAAAGAAACAAAAAAAACCTTTCAAATAAATGAAAATAGAGACACAACATACCAAAAATATCTAGGATACAGCATAAGTAGTGTTAAGAGGAAAGTTTATAGTGCCAAACACTTACCGAGGGGAACATCACACACCAGAGCCTGTCAGTGGGTGGCGGGCTAGGGGAGGGATAACGTTAGGAGGAGTACCTAATGTAGGTGATGGGTTGATGGGTGCAGCAAACCTCAATGGCAAGTGTATACCTATGTAACAAAACTGCATGTTCTGCACATGTACCCCAGAACTTAGAGTGTAATAATAATAAAAAGAAGTTAGCAAGATCTCAAATTAATGATCTAACATTGAACTTAGGGGAACTAGAAAAATAAGAACAAACAAATCCCAAAGCTAGCAGGAATCACTTAAGTCAGAAAAGAACTGAATGAAATTGAGACCCAAATATCCACACAAAGAATCAAAGCAACCAGAAGTAGGCGTTTGAAAGAATAAACAAGATTGATAGATTGCTCTTTAGATTAACTGTGAAAACAAGAAAGTCCAAATAAGCACAATAAAAAATGGCAAAGGTGACTACAACTGATTCCACAGGAATACAAATGATTCTCAGAGACTATTATGAACACCTATGTACACACAAACTAGAAAATCTAGAGGAAATGAATAAATTCCTGGAAACACGCAACCTTCCAAGATTGAATCAGGAAGAAATTGAAACCTTGAACAGAATGGTATCAAGTTCCAATATTCAATCAGCAATAAAAAACTTACCACCAAAAAGAAGCCCCAGACCAGATGGATTCACAGCCAAATTCTACAAGATGTACAAAAAAGACCTGGCACTAATCATACTGTAACTACTCCAAAAAATTGAGGAGGAGGAACTCCTCCCTAACTCATTCTATAAAGCCAGCATTACCCTGATACCAAAACCTGGCAAAGACATAACAAAGAAACAAAACTATAGGCCAATATCTCTGTTAAACATAGATGCAAAAATCTTGAAAAGGAAATACTAGCAAACTAAATCCAGCAGCACATCAAAAAGTGAATGCACCATGATCAAGTAGGCTTCATTGCTGGGATGCGAGGTTTGTTCAACAAACACAAATCAAAAAAGGTGATTCACCATATAAACAGAATTAGAAAGAAAATCATACGATCATCTCAATAGATGTGGAAAGAGCTGTTGATAAAATTGATAACATCCCAGTATGATAAAAAAACCCTCAGGAAATTAAGCATTAAAGAAATATACTTCAAAATTTTAATAACTGTCTATGACCAACCCATAGGAGACAACGATACTAAGCAGTCAAGAACTGGAAGCATTCCCCTTGAGAACAGGAACAGGAAGCTAACTCTCACCACTCCTATTCAACATAGTACTGGGAGTCCTTATCAGATAAATCAGGCAAGAGAAAGAAATAAGATATCCAAATAGGAGAAGGAGTCAAATTATCTCTCTTTGCTCATGATATGATTCTAGAGCTAAAAAAACCCTAAAGACTCTGTCAAAAAGCTGCTGGTACTGACAAATGATTTCAATGAAGTTTCAGGATACAAAATCAATGTATAAAAATTAGTAGCATTTCTATATATCAATAATGTTTAAGCTGCGAGCCAAATCAAGAACACAATCCCATTTAAAATAGCTTAAATAAATATACATAAAATACCTAGGAATACATGTAACCAAAGAGGTGAAAGAGCTCTACAAGGACAACAATCAAATACTGCTGAAAGAAATTATAGATGACACAAATAAACTGAAAAAAATTTCATGCTCATGGATTGGAAGAATTAATATTGTTAAAATGGCCATACTGTCCAAAGCAATTTACAGACACATTGCGAGTCCTCTCAAGCTACCAATGTCATTTTTCACAGAATTTGAAAAAACTATTTTAAAATTCATATAGAAACAAAAAAAGGCTCAAATAGTCAAAGCAATGCTAAGCAAAAAGAACAAAGCCAGAGGCCTCACATTACCTGACCTCAAACTATACAATAAGGCTACAGTAACTAAAACAGCATGGTACATGCACAAAAACAGACAAATAGACCAATGGAACAAAATAGAGAACTCAGAAATAAAGCCACATGCCTACAGCCATCTGATCTTTAAAAAACTTAACAAAAGTAAGCAATAGGGAAAGGACCCCCTATTTAATAAATGGTGCTGGAATAGCTGGCTAGCCATTTGCAGAAGAACGGAACTACTCCTACCTTTCACTTTATATAAAAATTAACTCAAGATGGATTAAAGATTTAAATGTAAGACCTCAAAATACAAGAATTCTTGAAGAAAACCTGGGAAATACCATAATCGATACCAGCTTTGGAAAATAATTTGTGACTGTGTCTTCAAAAGCAATTGCAACAAAAACAAAAACTGACAAGGAGAACATAATTAAACTAAAGAGCTTTTCTGTACAGCAAAATAAACTATCAACAGATTAAACAGACAACCTACAGAATGGGAAAAGTATTTGCAAACTATGCATCTGACAAAGATTTCATATCCAGAATCTATAGGGAACTTAACTGAACAAGCAAAAAGCAAGTAACTCCACTTAAAAATGGGCAAAGAACATGAACAGACACTTCTCCAAAAGAGATGTACATGCCAACAAACGTGAAAAAATGCTCAATATCACTAATCATCAGAGAGATGCAAATCAAAACCACAAGGAAATACCATCTCACACCAGTCAGAATGGTTATTATTAAAAAGTCAAAAAATAACAGATGCTGTCAAGGCTGCAGAGAAAACGGAATGCTTATACACTGTTAGTGGGAATGCAAATTTGTCCAGCCACTATGGAAATCAGTTTGGAAATATCTCAAAGAACTTTAAACTACCATTCAACCCAGCAGTCTCATTACTGGGTATATATCCAAAAGAAAATAAATCATTCTACCAAGAAGACACATGCACTTGTATGTTCATTACAGCACTGTTCACAATAACAAAGACATGGAATCAATCTAAGTGTTCATCAGTCGTGGATTGGATAAAGAAAATGTGGTACATATACACCATTGAATACTTTGCAGCAATAAAAAGGAATGAAATCATATCCTTTGCAGGAATATAGATGCAGCTGGAGGCCATTGTTCTAAACAAATTAACACAGGAACAGAAAACGAAATACCTCATGTTCTTACTTATAAGGGTGACCTCAACAATAGGTACTCATGGACATAAAGATGGGAATGATGGACACCGAGGGACCACTACAGTGGGGAGCTAGGAAGGATGGCAAAAGTTGAAAAACTATTGGGCATTGTGCTCAGTATCTGGGTGACGGGATCAATTGTACCTCAAACCTCAGCATCATGCAATATACCAAAGTAACAAACCTGCAAATGTACTCCCGAATCTAAAATAAAAGTTGAAATTATCAAAAATGGAAAAATTTAAAGAAATGCCTGAGCCCCCGAAGATACATTGTTGTAGAGTGCAACATATGGCAAGTACATAGGTCGGTGTAATATAGGAAGTTGATTTTTGGTTGTTAATAAATGTAGTTTACCACTTTTTAGACTAAGAGGTATGTTCTCGCATCATTTTTTAGTGGAATTTATATTGACTTGTATAAATAATCTTGTCCACCTGTAGGAGGAGATTATCCTGCTGAAATAAGCTTTTCCTTCTGATGTACTGTTTAGCTTCTGATCCAGGACTTGATTTACTATAATTAAAAACATGTACAGTGCTGTTAACAAGTATCTAAAGCTTGCGCTTACTTTTGTGAATAGATTTTTAAACATAGATTCTTATTATACTTTAATAATGGGAAGAAATTTCTTATTGCATTTCACAGACTGTAGACAAAACAATGGAAGATGTCTTCTGAATTTGTTTACAGACCTTTCAGATTCCAGATCTGTGATTCTCAAACTTCCTTTGGTATGAGTCTCACATGGGGTGCTTGCTAAAATACACATTTCTGGGCTGACTTTTAGAGATTTGAATTTGGTAGGTCTTGTAGGGGCTGAAGATTCTAGTTTTATCAAATATTCCGTATGATTATGATGCAAGTGGTCTGTGGACCATAATCTTGACAACCCTGTTATAGGTGATTTTATATTAGCTTATAAATAGTGTCAGAGATGGAAGAATTATGTGTAATCAGTTCAAAGGCATGGACTTGAAGTATTGGAACAATGAACATTCAGATTATTTACTTCTGAACCACTCTTTTACCAATGTGGCCAAGAATTCTGTTATTACTGAAACTATGAGACAGCTTTATGGGGAAGTTAAAGAGAAAAGAAACTTTGGAAGTGAATCCTAGATGCTCCAAGAATATTTTAGTTCTACACACATCTCACATATTAATAAACGTGTGTGTGCGTGTGTGTGTGCGTGTGAGAAAGAGAGAGAGAGTGAGAGAGAGAGAGGGAATATTGAATATTTCAGGGTGAGGTAGAATGTTCTGTTTTTCTTGCTTTTGTTTGGAATACATTAATATCCTCTGATGAATGTGATTTAGTAGGTATGCCCAAACTGTAGTTTCATTCTTTATTACCTTGAAAGTTGTATTCTCATTCATGTACTTTTTCTTCTGAAAACAAATTCTTTTTTTTACAGGCTTTTCTAGTAAAACTCTTTTTATGACTTCTATTACTCTCAATATAAGATGGTTTGAGTTCTGATGTCTTTTTTTTTACATTACTGTGAGTAGAGCTCGTGATGTCATTGATACAATGGCAGGGATGCTGGGAAATCTGATTTCAATTCCTAAAAGCACTATAGATGGCTTAAAAAGTTATAAGGAGTTGTTAGACCAGAATGCGGTGCAGAAATCGTAGAGTGCTTACTTTTGAGCAAAATGATAAATATTGCCAGCCTCAATATATAGTGTTCGCTCTCTAAGACAAAGGACACATTTTACTTAATATGTTATACGGAAAACACTTAGTTATATACTGGTCTTTTTAGTTATGCCTGAAAGTAGTCACAATTATCTGCAGAAGCATCTGCATGTACAAAGAGAGAATTTAGAGAGCTAAGGGCCAAATTTCAGTGGATATTGACATTTTACAAATTGCCATAGCCTTTGAAAGCCTCAAGCATGAAAAACAAATCTTTTTATCTTTTAACTGAGCTGAGAAAAAGTCCTTGAGGCACAGATAACTGACTTATCTTTAGCGATGTGAATTCAGAAATAAGTTTTTAATTTTTTATTTGTTCAAATTATTGAGACAAACTTTTGGATGAAGTTAAAATTAGGCTGGTCAGTTTTTATGTTAATGTAAATAGACTTTTTTTCTGATGATAATCATTAATCTATAACAAGAAAAGTTGAGATTTTTTTGGAGGCAGCTTTGTTATATTTTAAATATTAGGGCTTTAGTTTCAGATCTTTGAATATCTGTAAATCTTATGATATATTTAGAGTATAAAAATATACTTTCCTTAAAAAACTGAGCTAATATTTTATGATATTCTTCTGGGTTAATAATTTTATGGGCTATGTTTTGATAAAATATTTTTAATATTTAACATAATATGTACTAAAAGACTCTCCTTGATGTCTCTTCAGTTATACCATTTCCATAAAAATGTAAGCAATAGATAGGAAAATGTTTTACAAGTTCTCCAAAAGAGTATGTTTATAGTTACATTCTGTAGAACAGAAGTAGTGACATATTAAAATAGAAAATAATGTGCTAATTCTACTGCATACTGAGGCCTTGCTTATCCTGCATTTTTGATCACGATATAAAATATATTCTGGATTTTGTGGTAGTGTCTGTATATGCATTTCCAGAATAGAGATTTCTGTAACCTTAAGTGATAGAATAAAGTACATTTGCATTTGTTCTTAAGATAAAATACTTCCAACAGCTTTATCCTTCCTTCCATCATAAATTTGTGGATTATATAGGAAAAAAATATTCTATTAATTAGTGGATATATTAAACATCTGATAACTTCCCTTTACACAAGCAGAGTGTGCTTTAGATTAAAGCCTCTGGCAGCTTCCAAAGGGGGGACCTGGAATGACACCTGGAAGAAATATTGGATGTTAGAATTGTTATTGTGCAAAGTGGGTGAGAGAGAAGAAGTTCCTTTAAATTTTGAACTTCAAAAATATGGTATCAAAATGGAGGATTTTTCTTGATGTGCGGCTGAATGTTTATTTTTATAAGTCAGTTTTAAGTGTATTTGAGTTGAAATATACAGAATTATAATTATCATCTTCAGAAAGCAAACAGGAGACAGGTGTACAAAAGGACAAAAGTCCATGTAAAGTGAGGAGGCCATTGGATTACCACTCTCTTATATCCCAGCCGTTCAAAGAGCCTTCCTTACTATGTTTACTATCTTCCCTCCTAGATATTTCAATGGAATTAAAATGAATAGGGACAGTATAATCGATGGCTTCTGACACTAAGCTGTATTGGTCCTGGTGGGCTGGAAAATCTAAGCTCCATAGTGGTCATAGGATTGATGATACTAGGAGTGGCAGACACTTTTATATACCTATGCCATATAGCGGGATGCTTGTGAAGATTAATATCCAGTAGGAAACAAGACAGATTACAGAGGTTGGAAAGGATCAGGCTGATGCTAGTCTTACCTTTAAAAAATTAAAGAAGAAAGGTGAGATCTGAATGCCATGGTCAGGATAATCCACAAGATGGAGTTATTTTACACTGGTAAAACATCTCTAAAATGAACACTTGACTTGAGTGAACAATACTGCTTTCAGCAAGAGAAAGCCCAAAGTAGGAACACTTAATTTATTACATTTGAAGGTATGACTAGAAAACCACACAAGAACTACTGCTGTGATGACGTGTTAATCATTCCAGATTTTATCTGCTTATTTTGCCAACTCTGTAGATTGAAGATTTCCTCTGTAAGATTAAGTAAGCACCATTCTTATGCCATGTTTGCAGGAGCTACAACTGAGAAAAGTCTAATAATTTTCTTTACAGATTTACAACTCATTTCAAAAGATTAAATGGAAAAAATAAAAAAGCTCTCCCATTATAGTCATTTTTGATATCTAACACTTTATAGTGACTGGCACATAGTAGGTACATAGTACATTTGTAGTTGACAAGATTGCTTACATGGAAAGATGTAGACCAGAAATAGTGCTGTATTGAGTTAGCAAATAGTGTGTTAATTTGCTTCTGTGCAAAGTCCTTGCTGTATAGTAGGTTTGTATTATGGTTCTATCTTTTAACCAGGCTTAAATATATATTCCAAAAAGTGTCCTTTTCCAAAATTGTTTGTAATGTTCTAAAGATCTGGGTTGGCAGCACATTTAATATATATAGGTTACTGTGAGAAAGTTGCTTTTTTTGCTGCAGGTTATTAAAAAATAACTGAAAGAGGTAGGTCATGATTTGATGATTTTTCTAGGTATTTTTTTGCAACTGTTATTATTGAGTTAAACTTTGTAGCCTTACCTGTGTATTTCTACAAAACAATGTTTTAAAGGAGTTTGACAAATAATGTCTCTTTTTTTCTTTGTAAAAAGGTAGTCAGTGTCTCCTGCATTCCTTCCAGATACATAGCTAATAGTATATAAAATGTAAGCTTATTAATAATGTAAACCTGGCTTTTCAGTTTAAGTAATAAATAATTGATTGAACCCCACCCCATCTGAGAGCAGAGATACCACAGCTGCACCTTCTTCCCCATCCTGCTGATTTGCTGCTGTGCCTGCCATTTCTCTCTTTTCCAGCCAGAGCTACCAGTTCCCTACAATGACTCTATAGACCCCACAGACCCTGGGACTATTCCACACATTTTCACACCTTAGATAACGGTGTCACTACTGCAGTGAGTGTGCCCATTCCATGGTTCCAAGTGCTGTGGTTGTTCTACACACCCCAAAGCCTTGGACCCTGTCTTCGCGGCTGCTTAGCACACTCAGGCCTTAGACACTTACACCATCATTATGGTAAGGGCACCTGTGTCCCAGACCCGGACATTGCTGCCACTGGTTGTGTGCGCCCACATGTCAGACCTGGTGCTAAAAGGGATTCCCTTGGTCATGACTTCCCCCATGAGGGAAAAGGAGAACTAGAGGACCCCAGCAACCTTTTCCATTAAGGACACCAAGAGTCCTTTTTGCTGCCAGGTATATTTGTAACCTTGGCTGCTGAAGATCCTCATAGTCTCTGCTGATGCTGACCTAGCTGATGTAACTCTGTGGAGATTTCATTGTTGCATCTGCCTGAAGCCAGAATTACTACTAAGCACCCCCAAACTGAGCCAAAGCTGTCACACCCTACCCAGTTGGCACTGTCACACCCTACCTTAGGTAAATATCTTTCTGAAGCCAGTTCATAAAGTCTGGAAGAGGCTACTGCTCCCTCAAATGTGCAGATGTCAATGCAAGGCTACAGGAAACACAAAACATCAGCTAAACATGATATCACCAAAGCAACATGATAATTTTCCAGTATCTGACTGTAAAGAAATGGAAGTCTATGAACTGGGTAAGAGTTCAAAATAATTCTTTTAAGGAAATTAAGGTAGCTAAAAGAGAACACAGATAGAAAACTTAACAAAATCAGAAAACAATACAAGAACAAAACAAGAAGTTCAACAAAGACATAGAAATCATAAAAATAGAACCAAACAGAAATTCTGGAGCTGAAGAATACAATGAATGGAATGAAGAAAGCAATAGAGAGTGTCAGCAACAGACTCAATCAATCAGAAAAATATCTAAAAATGTGAGGACCCATGGTTTGGAGGTTCCCAGTCAAAGAAGGACAAAGAATAAAAAGGAATGAAGAAAGCTTATGAGACTCATGATGCATCATCAAGAAAACTAAAATATGCATTTTGAGAGTTCAAGAAGGAGAAGAGACAGATAAAGGAGATGAAAGCTTATTTAAAGAATTAATATCTGAAAACTTCCCAAATCTTGAGCGGGAAATTGACATTCTAGTTCATGAAAGCTGTAAAGTCTCCAAACATGATAAACCCGAAGAAGACTATACTGAGGCACATTGTAATCAAATTGTCAAATGTCAAAGACAAAGATAGAATTTTGAAAGCAGCAAGAGAAAAGCAACTCATCACATACAAGGTGACCTCTATAAGACTGACAGTGTATTTATTTTTTTTTAGCTGTCCAGGAGTGATTTGTATGATATATTAAAAGTTCTGAAAGAAAAAAACTCCACAATAATACTATACTTTGTAAAATTATTTTTAAAAATGAGGGAGAAATAGTGACTTTCCTAGATAAACAAAAACTGAGAGAGTTTGTCACCACTAGACTTACTTTACAAGAAATGCTTAAGGGACTTTTTGTATTGAAATGAAAATATGCTAAACAACAACAAAAAGCATTTGAAAGCATAAATATAACAGATACAGCCAAATGGACATGTACAAATTAATGTAACATCATCAAAGTGGTGCATAAATTACTTTTAATATTAACACATACATTAATAGATAAAAATGTGTTAGTGGTTACACAGTATGATATGAAGCACACTCTTTCTACAAGAACACAAAATGTATGTATGAGGAGTAAAAGTATAGTGTTTTTGTATGAGATTAGAGTTAAGTTGTTATCAACTTAAAATAGAAGGTTAAAACTATCAGATATTTTATGCAAGCCATGAGCTAACCACAAAGAAAAAGCGTGTAATAGGCACACAAAAGATAAAGAAAATAAATCAAAGCAAATCACTACAAAAATAGAATAACAAAGGAAGATAACAAAAGAGGATGAGACAGACAAAACCACTGTAAGATAAACAGAAAACAACTAACAAAGTGGTAACAGTATGTCCTCACCTAAAAATAATTTCTTTAAATATAAATGGATTAAACTCACCACCAAACAAAAGTCATAGGATAGAATGGCTGAATGGACAAAAAACAAATTTGGTGATATGTTGTCTATAAGAGGTTCACTTTAGAATTAAAGACACATAGGCTAAAAGTGAAGGGATGTAAAAAGATATTTCATGCAAATAAAAGAAAACTGGTGGCTATATTTATATTTGGCAAAATAGTCATTAAGTCTAAAACCTTATCTAGAGGAAAAGAAGGTCATTATACATTGATAAAAGAGTTAATTCAACAGTAAGTTATAACAGTTATAAGTATAAACACACCAAATATCACAGCATCTAAATATTTAGATAATGTTTTATCTAAATAAAGTAAATATTGATAGATCTGAAGGCAGAAATTGACAGCAATACAGTAACACTTGGGGACTTTAGTACCATATTTACAAGAATAGGTGGAACATTCAAATATGAATATCAACCATAAACAGATGACTCAAACAACACTGGAGAGCTAAAGGGTCCTATCTGATGTATACAGAACTTTTCACGCAACAGAACTTTTCAGTACACACAGAACATTCTCTAGGTTAGATCACATATTAGGTCACAAAACAAATCTCAACAAATTTAAGAAAATAAAAATCATTCCAAAATAAAAATCACTTTTTCTGAGCACAGTGCAATAAAAGTTGAAATTAGTAACAGCAAGAAAGTGAAAAATTCACAAATATATGGAAACTAAGCTCTACACTGAAAATTAAAAGGGAATGTAAAGTGTATCTCGAAACAAAGGAAAATTAAAACAACATATCAAAGCCCATGGGATTCAGCAAAAGCTTTAATAAGAGGAATCTTTGTAGGTATAAATGCCTATATTGAAAAAAAAAACTTTGCACCTCAAAGAACTAGAAAAACAAGAATAAGCTAAGCCTAGTGTTAGCATAAATAAGGACACAATAAAAATTAGAAAAGAAATAAATCAAATAGAGAATAAAAAAACAGAAAAAAATCAGCAAAGCTGAAAGTTGTTTTTCGAAAGATAAATAAAAGTTTTAAAAAACCCTTAGTCTAAGAAAAAGAGAAAGAAGATTCAAATATTTAATATCAGAAATATAAGAGGAGACATTAAAACAATTTTTTTCTGAAATAAAAATCATAGGCACTATTATAAACAATTATATCCCGAAAAACTAGATTACATAAAAGAAATGGATCAATTTTCAATTTTGAGAAACTTTCAAACTACCAAAATTGTGTCGGGAAGAAACAACCTGAAAAGGACAATAACAAATAAAGAGATGATTGAATTAGTAATGAAAAATCTGCCAACAATGAAAAGTTCAGAACCTGATGGCTTCATAGGTGAATTTTATTAAAAGAGAAATTAATATGAATCTGTCTCAGACTGTTCCAGAAAATCGAAGAAAAGGGAACACTTTCCAACTCATTTTATGAGGCCAGCATCTCCCTGCTACTAAAACCAGGCAAAAATAGTAAAGAAAAGAAAACTATAAGCTAATTTCCCTGATGAACATGGATGCAAAAATCCTCAAGGAAATACCAGTAACCCTAATCAACAGCATGATAAAAGGATCCAACACCATGACAAAGTGGAAGTTTTCTATTATGCAAGGATGGGTCTACATACACAATTAACAGAGTGAAAGACAAAAATAACATCATTTTCATAGATGCAGGACAAGCAATTGACAAAGTTCAATACCCATTCATGATAAAAACTCTTAACAAAATAGTGATAGAAGGATCTTACTTCAACATAGTGAAGTCTATATATGAAAAACCCATACCTCTTATGATAATAAATGAGGAAAAACTGAAAACTTTTCTTCTGAGATACTGAACAATACAAAGATGCCTACTCTGGTCACTTCTCAACATAGTATCAGAAGTTTTAGCTAGAGCATTTAGGAAAGAAAAAAACAAAAAGAAGAAAAATTGTCTTTGTTTGCAGATAACATGATCATATACCCAGGAAACTCTAAAGAATGAACAACAACAAAATTCTGTTAGAACTAACAAATGAATTCAGTAAGGTTGCATAATAAAAAATCAACAGAACAAAATCAATTGTGCTTCTATTTACAAACAACAAATTGTCCAAAAAGAAAATTAAGAAAACAATCTCATTCGTAATGTCAACAAAAAGAATAAAATACTTAGAAATAAACTTAACCAAATAAGTGAAAGACTTGTACACTAAAAACTATAAAGCATTGATAAGGGAAATTAAAGACAAATGGAAAAAATCTCATGTTCATTCATTGGAAGAATTAATATTGTTAAAATGTTACTAACCAAAGTTATATACAGACTCAGTGCATTTCTATCAAAAGCTTCATGGAAGTAGTTACAGATATAGAAAAACAATCCTATAATTCCTGTGAAACCACAAAAGACCCTGAGTAGCCAAAGAAACTTAGCAGGAAGAATAAAGCTAGAGGTATCAGGCTGCTTAAGTTAAAATTTTATTACAAAGCTACACTAATTAAAACGTATGGTACTGGCATGAAAACCAATGGAACAGAAAAAAGAGCATAAGGATAAACTCACGCATACTCAGTCAACTGGTCTTTAACAATGTGCCAAGAATACATAATGTGGAAAAGACAATGTCCAATAAATGGTGCTGGAAAAACCAGATATGCACATGCAGAATAATGAAATATGATCCTTATCTTACAATGCATGCAAAATTCCGTTCAAATGTATTAAAAGCTTAACTCTTAAGACCTGAAATTGCCAAAGTAGTAGAAGAAAACAAAAGAAAAAAGCTTCATGACATTAGTCTGGGCAATAATTTTTTTGATATGATCACAAAGGCACAGGCAACAAAAGCAAAAATAGACAAATGAATTTACATCAAAGTGAAAAGCATTTGCATAGAAATAAATGACAAAGTGAAGAGATAACCAACAGAATGGGAGAAAATATTTGCAGACAATATATCCTATAAAGGGTTAACATGCAAAATACATGAAGAACTCAACAACTCAATAGCATCAAAACAATCTATTTGAAAAATGGGCAAAGATCCGAATAGACATTTCTCAATAGAAGACAACAAATGGCCAATAGGTATATGAAAAAGTGCTCCACATCACTAATCATCAGGGAAATGCAGATCAAACTCACAGTGAGATATCGCATCACACCTGTTGAAATGGCTACTAGGAGAAAAGTGAAAGATAAGTGTTGGTGAGATATGGAGAAAAGGGAATGTCTGTACACTACTGATGGGAATGTAAATGGTGCAGCACTTATGAAAAACAGTATGGAGGCTCCTCAAAAAATTAAAAATAAAACTACATATATTCCAGCGATCTACTTTTGGGTATATATACAGCAACTTCCTTATCTGTGAGAAATATGTTCCGAGACCCTCAGTGGATGTCTGAAACCTTAGAAAGTAATGAACCCTATATATACTATATTTTTTCCTGCACATACATGCCTATGATTAAGTTTATAAAATAGGCACAATAAGAAATTAATACAAATAACTAATAATAAAATATGCATGTGAGGATGTGAGATGATAAAATGCCTATGTGATGAAATGAAGTGAGGTGAATGCCGTAGCCATTGAGATGTAGTGTTAGGTTATTATTCCGTTTCTGACTATACCTCAGAAGGAAGAACATCTGCTTCAGGTGATCCTGGATTATTGGGCTATGATATGGTTGGCTGTCAGGAGCAGACGATGTTGATGATTAACAAGTGGGTAGTATAGACAGCAAGGACTTGCTGGACAAAGGAATGATTCATGTCCTGGGCAAGACAGAGCTAGATGACATTAGATTTCATCATGCTACAGAAAACAACAAGCAATTTAAAACTTATGAATTGTTACTTCTGGAATTTTTCATTTAATATTTTTGGACTGCAATTGACCATGGGTGATCGAAACCATAGAAAGCAACACTGCAGATAAAGGGGGGCTACTGTACAAGAAAAATCACTATCTCAGAGAGATGTCTGCACTTTCATATTCATTGCAGTATTATTCACAATCAACAAGATAGGGAAACAACCTAAATGTCTGTCAATGTATGAATGGATAGGGAAACCTTTCTAAACCTTTATTCAGCTTTAGAAATGAAGGAAATCCTGCCATTTGTGACAACATGGATGAATCTGGAGGACTTTATGCTAAGTGAAATAGGCCAGACACAGAAAGACAAATATTGCATGATCTCACTTATATGTGGAATATAAAAAAGTCAACTTATAGAAATGGAGAGTAGAAGGAAGATTGCTAGAGGTCATGATGAGGAGAAAATGGGGAGATAGTGGTCAAAGCATACAAACTTTATAGTTATTAGATGAGTACATTCTGGAGATCTAAGTTCTGGTGACTATAGTTGTTGTATTTTATTATATGCTTGAAATTTGCTAAGAGGGTAGATCCTAGGTGTTCTCACCACGAAAATAAAGAAAAAATATTGATGACTACATGAGGTGATAGGTTAATTAATTTGTGGTGATTATTTCATAAATATATATGTCTATCAAATCATTAAATTTTATGCCTTAAATATATATGTAATATTTGTCAATTATAAATAGTAAATCTTGAATAAAGTAATCTATCTTGAAAAAGATTACCCTGCCTAAAATGTGAATCAACTAGAGAGCAGGAGATGATCACATTTGAGATATGGCTGTAGGTTGGATTAGGTTAGAAGTGGTGGAAGTGATGAGCAATGGATCATCTCAGGCACTACCAAAACATTTCAAAAACTGATAGCATGACAAATGCCAGTATTTCACAGAGATGGAATTTGTTATCAGAAGAGTAAGCTATCTGACTAGTAACCTTGATGCAAAATGTGAACCTGTACAATCTAGAAATAAATCCTTAAAATTCAAGAACCTATAAAGTAAAAATAGCAGTGTAATCTGGAATATAGTCTCCACAGAGAAGTCCCTGTTCTGAGCAATTTCAGGGTCCAAGGGACATTAATTACCAACCAGGAAAAGGCAGCTCCTGTATATTAAATATATTGAATACACAACACTATTAAATCAAGACCACAAAGCATAGGGGATAAAGGCCTTTACATTGCCACGTTTGCAACTCAACAGGATCATGGTTAATCACTCCTAATCACTAAGTTAAAAATAAAAAAAGACTTGATTGTGTAACTTTTCTGGCTTGAATAATATGCATAGAAATTTATGGACTCATAACCAAAGTGCACAATATTTGGGCATTTATTTATTTTTTTCTTTCTCCATTTCAAACATGGCCAAGAAAATGAATAAGAAAAGGGCTATTTTTTCTCTTAGGAAGAGCTATTTTTTCTCTTAAGTCAAGCCTTATAAATGCATCAGAATTCTTTTTGATTATAATGTTTATATGGATTATTAAACTCTTCTAGCAGTGTAGAGAGAATGATTGTATTTGATCATAGCTACTCCCTTTTTGTTGCCATCTCTTTATTAATTGTATATACCAGGTTCATTCAGTATTGTGCTTGTCAGCATATAGAACCTGATTTTTACTCACATGCTAATTTTTACATATATGTAAAGGGAATGAATACAAGACTGAATATGTAGCAGAAAGTATTGTTAATAAGAGATGGAAAGCGTTTTTGTCACTAACCGATATAAGACTGCATGCTCATGGTAAATCTGGAACCAAAGGTAATGGTTACAGAGTGGTATAACTGATTGCCCATGTATGGTGAGGGACAGGGCAGACAGAGATGGGCATCTGTTTTACTTAGCATTAGCTATTGAAATTTTGTTTTGCTGATTGGTTCTTTGACTCCTTCACTCTCATCTAGTGAATTTTTCTTGGCTCCAAGCCACCTCTTAAGAAGATCATAGATTCTTGTGATGGAGTCAGAATACTTGCTGCAAATTTTTTGAAGACCTATTTTAGCACATGCATCCTTTTTTCCTTCTTAATATCCATGTTAGCTTTTTCTCCTACCTTTGTCTTCTACTTATTTGTTTTCCTGAACATTGAGCCAATATAATTTTATTAATGTGAATAATCACAATGAGTCATGTTTTCTGTGAAAAAGATTTAATGATCTAAGAGTTGACATACCTTTTATAGAGAATGTAAATCTTCTACAACAACCTTTGGCATACAGTGGTCACTATGCCTCACTTCTTGTGACTTTGGGAATATTTTAACCTCTCAGAATATTTTTTCTTCTCTTCTGTAAAGTAAAAGTGATGACTGGAGAGGTGATCATCCTTAAAATAAGTTATTAAATTCAGATAAGGATGTGCATAGTTTTCATGAAATCCAATGAACAATCTACAGTTAACTGAGCATTTATTATTTGCTATATTTTGCCCTTCTACCTTTTTAAACTAATGACATTAGAGGGGGAATAAGGAAGTGATAGAGCAGATGAGTGAAAAGCATCAGAGAATGAAGGTGCAGTATTCTGTCCATGCTGGCACTCTGGCTGTTCTAAGTAGTGCATTGACCCTCGAATGCCTGTATTCTTCACTTGAATTAAGTACTTGGCACTTTTTGTTCTTAAACTCTTTCTTCCATCTGGTCATGCAGTCTGTTTTGGGAAAGAATTATTTTTTTCTTTCATATTTGATTCAATCTTTTATTATCAGAAACCTGCCTATTTGAAAATTTGATTTTTCTAGCATTTGGATCTTTTCAAGCACTCTAAAAATAGAATCCATCCAAAGCCCTGGATTTATTAATGACGGAGGGCTCTTGCTTCAGAGGCCTGATGGAGGGCTAGGTTCTCAGTTTTCTTTGTGAAATAGACATAGAACCTATGATTCAAATAATTTTATTTTTTAAGTAGGAGCCAGATAGGCCTCTCTGTACAAGACTGAGCAGAAATATGAGTAAAGTATATGAATATCCAAATGTGGTTGTTCAACCAAGGTGGCCTCAGTACTTACTACAATGATGAAAATACATTTTGGGTGTTGGAGTACATTAGAACTGGATAAAGCTTGGCTGTGCCATCTAGAAACTTTGTTAAGTTGGGCAAGTTTAATTGATTTATGTAGATCTTAGTTTCCTCATTTATAAAACAGAAATGATATTTACTACAGAAGTTTTTCAGTCTGGTTTAACTAAGATAACATGTAAGTCTACTACTATATACAGTTCTTGCATGAAGGCACGTACTAGGTATCATCTTAGTCTATTTGGGCTGCTATATGGAAACATGTAAGAATGGGTAATTTCTAAACAACAGAAATTTATTGCTCACAATTCTGGATGCTAGGAAATCCAAGATCAAGGTACCAGCAGTTTCAGTGTCCAGTGAGGGCCCAGTCTCTGCTTCAAAGATAGCACTTGTTTGCTACATCCTCACATGGTGGAAGGGGCAAACAGGCTCTGTCAAGCCTCTTTTATAAGGGCACTAATCTCATTTATGAGGGCAAAGCCCTCATGACCTTATTACCTCCCAAAGGCCCCCCCTCTTAATTTCATTACCGTAAGGGTTAGGTTTCAACGTATGAATTTTGAGGGGGATGCTAACATTCAGACCATAGCAGTTGTTATATTTAGAAGGCATTGAACAATGTAAGTATGGTTAGGAGCAGCAAATATAACTCAGGAGAGAAAAGAAAAGTTTGTGTTTTGAAAATTAAGGGAACTTAAAAAATAGGAAGTTAGGAAACAAGAGTACTGGTAGAAATATATTTCTTGAATGATTTTATTGTGAACATATTTTTCCAATGATCTTTAAAAAAAAAATAACCTGTTAAACCAGAACATACATAATTAAGCCTGGAAGATAATGCAGGAAACGTAGCTAAAATTTTGCATTAGAATAGACATGTTTATCTATTCTCTATGATCTGATCAAAATTTTAAAAATTTATATCACTTCTAAAATCATTACTTGACAATTGAACTCCAGTCTAAACTACAAAAATTTTAGCTTAAACCCTTTGTGAATGAATCACTAAGATTAACATTTTTGTAGAGGTTTCAAGAAACCTCTTGAGTTGGAAACAAAATACACAAAAACAGTATATTGGAATATGTGGATAAATTCTGGAATATTTCATTTCTTTGAACTACGGATCTTGTTCCATGTTTTAGTGTTTGTTGTCATGAACATAATCACAAACCCACATGCTTGAAGCTTAATGAAAACCTTGTGGCTGCAGAAATAATCAGAAGTATAATATGCTGCATTTCTCTTTTTAACCCATTTCATCTTACTGACATTTTACAACCCATTTCATCTTACTGACATTTTACACACCATTTTCAAGAAGTTTTGAGCACACCAATCTGATGTAAATGCTCAGGTCTTTGATATTTATAATGTGGGAAATAGGAAAAACAAGGATACATGATTGAAAGGGAGGGTCGTTTATACTCTGGCATTTTGGGGGTCTTATACTTTAAAAAATCTATTCCCAAGAGTGATCTACAACCAGAATTGGACTTTTTCCTTGTTACCTGAGTATCTTTCAGGTATCTACCTTTAAGGTAGGCTATATGCTGCAATAGCAGCCACCCTCACCACCACTCTGCACACTTCCGCCATGCTGCCTATCCTCACCATCCATGGGAGTTTCTAGTTTGTCCTATATGACAAATGAGAGCACTGCAGATTTGCTGTGAGTAGCCTGTGAGATCCACTCCCACTTTTGCTAAGGTGAGTATATAAATCAAGGGAACTGAATTTTCCTGGCTTCATCTTTGGTCTGGTGTAGGAATGTAGCTCAAGTACAGTGAATCAAATACAACTCCATTTGTGCCTTAATGAGGTTCAGACACACTTATCTGCCTTTTGGTCTTTTTTTACCCTGCTTTAAGTATGCTGTACTAAGGGAATATTTGAGTAAGACATAGATGGTCAGGATCCCAAGTTTTGAAAGGGTAAATGTAGTTGTTGGTTTATAAATGATAATGGAAAAATATGTTTTTTAAAAGAAAAAAGGAAGGCATTTAACTTTCAGGACATTACTGGAAGAATTTTACACATAAGAAACTAGAATAGTGCCTTAATATGTACTGTGCACTGTAATTTAGTGTTAGGTTTTAAACTTTGTTATTATCTTTTTGCTTTTCCTTTTTACACATTTCTGGATTCTATTGCATTTAAGGAAGGACAGTAAGATTGGGGTAAATTAGATGGGATTGAGGGAGGGAGCCAGGGCTGTTTGAGAATAAATGGAGCAAATAAATAGAACAAACAAATGCTATCTTTTTTTTTTCTTTCTTTCTTTTTTGAGACGGAGTCCTGCTCTGTCACCCGGGCTGGAGTGCAATGGTGCCATCTTGGCTCACCGCAAGTTCCGCCTCCTGGGTTCACGCCATTCTCCTGCCTCAGCCTCCTGAGTAGCTGGGACTACAGGCGCCTGCCACCACGCCTGGCTAATTTTTTGTATTTTTAGTAGAGACGGGGTTTCACCATGTTAGTCAGGATGGTCTCAATCTCCTGACCTCATGATCGCCTGCCTCAGCCTCCCAAAGTGCTGGGATTACAGGCGTGAGCCACCGTGCCTGGCACAAATGCTATCTTAATGAAGGTTTGGGTATTCTTTGGATTTTACTTCTTTACTTTTATCCAAACAATTATATTGTTTTGCAGCTAGGTTGGATACTAGGAGTAGTGAAAACCTCTCTGAGAGCCACTGTTAACAGAAGATTTGTCCTACACTTGAGACTGGGGCAAACCAAATGTATTGTCTGGTTATCTTGGGGACAAATGAAGAATGAACTTCCTGAAACTCATTGTTGATGGGGTGTCACTCTTTTGGAAAAAGAGAAATAAAAGGAGTGAGGGATACTTGCCATTAGCTAAGACATTTATTATAAGACTGATTATTGATACTGCTTTAACCAAGGCTAGACTATTTAGTTTAGCTATAGAGCTTTTAAAATCAGATTTATTGGGGTATAACTTAGACAAAATGAAATTCACCAATTTTGGAAGTACAATTTGTATATTCCCTTGCATCCTGTGGCTTTGTAGTTTTAGTAGGTTTTTGGTAGCTCTCATAATTTTCTACATAAACTGTCATATTTTCTGGGAAAGAGAGTTTTATTTCTTCCCTTCCAATATGTACGCCTTTTTTTTCTTGCCTCATTACATTGGTTAGGATCTCTAGAAATGAAATGTTGAAAAAAAAGATGAGAGTAGAAATCTCTGTCTTAATCCTAATCTTAGGAAAATTGCATTCAGTCAATAATGGTTGATAGGACGTTAGCTGTAAGTTTTTCATTAGCACACTTTCAGGTTGGGGAACTGGCCTTCTAATTTTAGTTTGCTGATAGTTATTCTCTTTTATAGATGTTAAATCTTGTTAAATGCCTTTCTAGCATCTATTGAGATGGTCATGGGTTTTTTTATTTTTAGCCTGTTAGTATGATGAGTTACAGTGACCAATTTTCCAATGACTTATTACTTACATTGTGGTCCCCACAGCAGTGGAATCTGTATTATCTGAAGACTTGTTAGAAATACAGAATCTCAGGCTTTACTTACTAAATCATGATCTACATTTTTTTTAAATTAAACCTTTTTGAGATAGTTATAGATTCTGTTGCAGTTATAAGAAATGATAGATTCAGTGTACTCTTTTCTGTTTCCCTCAATAACATCCTCAACTACAGTATGATATTACCAATAGAATATTGACATTGATACAGTTAATATACAGATGTGTTACATGACTAAAAGGCTTTCTCATATTGCCCTTTTATAGCCATGACCACTTTTCTCCCACCCCACTTCTTCCTTAAGCTCTGAAAACTGTGAATCTGTTCTTCATTTCCATTTTTGTCATTTCCAGAACAGTATGTAAATGGTACTATATAGTATGTAACCTTTTAGGACTTGACTTTTTTTTTTGCTCTGCATAATTTTCTGGAGATTCACTCAGGTTGTTGTATGCATCAATAGTTTGTTCATTTTTTTTATTGATGTGTACTATTCCAAGGAATGGATGTATCATACTTTATTTAATAATTCGTCCATTGAAAGACATCAGGTTGTTTCCAATTTTTGGCTGTTGTGACCAAAGGTGCTATAAACTTTGTGTACAGGTTTTTTTTTAAATGAACATAACCCTTAGTTTTTCTGGTAAAAATGCCCTAGAGTGAAATTTCTGGATTGTATGATAATTGAGTGATTAGTTTTTTAAAAAGTTGACGAACTGTTAATGCAGAGTGGTTGTAACATTTTACATTCCCACCAGCAACGTATGAATGTTCCAGTTTCTTCACATTCTTACCAGCATTTGGTGATGTCACTATGTTTTTGCCTTTATGATAGTGTGTAGTCATAGCTCACTGTTCTTTTAATTTGGATTTTCATAATGGTTAATTATCTTTTCATGTGCTTATTTTCCATTTATGTATTCTCTAAATATGTGAAATGTCTGTTCATGGCTTTTTCATTTTCTAATTGAATTTTTTAAATTTACATTTTGAGCTAATCTATTCTAGAAAATTTTCCTTTGTCAGATATGTCATTTGCAAATATTTTCTACCACTTTTTGACTTGTCTTTTCATCTTCTTAATGTGGCCTTTTGCAGAGAAAATTTTTAATTTTGATGGAGTCCAATTAATCAGTTTTTATGGTTCATGTCATAAGAACTCTTTGCCTAGCTCTAGATCCTGAAGATTTTTCTCCTATGTTTTTTTCTAAAAGTCTTATGATTTTATGACTTACATTTAAATCTGTGGTCAATTTTGATTTGATTTTTGCTTCAGATATAAAATTTAGGTCCAAGGCTATTCTTTTGTCTATGGAGAGTCAATTGCTCTAGCACCATTTGCTGAAAAGCTCTCTTTCTTTTATTGAATTGCCTTTGCAACTTTGTCAGAAGTAAGTTGGGCATATTGGTGTGGATATGTTTCTGGATTCTTTACTTTGTTCCATTGGGCTATGTATTTATCCCTTCACCAATATGACACAATCTGGATTCCTGTAGCTGTAAAAGTCTTGAAATTAGGTATACTGATTATTCCTGCTTTATTATTTTTCAAAATTGTCTTAACTCTTCTAGTTCTTCCACCTTTCTGTATCAATTTGAAAATAATCTTGTCTATATCTATGAAAAATATTGCTTGAGTTTTGATAGGAATTTCATCAAGCTTGTTCACAAGTTTGGGAAAAACTGAAATCTTTACTATCTTGAGTGTTTCAATTTATCATGACAGTATGTCTTTCCCTTTATTTAGGTCTTTGATTTCTTTCACCAATATTGTGTAAGTTTCAGCATACAGGTTTTATACATGTTTTTGTTAGAGTTTCACCTATATTTAAGTATGTTTTCATGGTTGTAAATAGTACTGCATTTTAAATTCTTCCCATATATTCATTATTGATATTAAAATACAATTTATTTTTGCAGGTTTATTTTGTACCATGCTACCTTGCTAAATTCACTTATTGTTTCTATGAGCTTTTTAATGAGTTCCTTGAGATTTTCTATGTAGACTATCATATCATCTGGAAATAGGGGTAGTTTTTTTTTTTTCCAGTATACATGCCTTTTATTTCCTCTTGTTTCTCTTTTTTTATTTTTTATTTTTTTATTATTATTATACTTTAAGTTTTAGGGTACATGTGCACAATGTGCAGGTTAGTTACATATGTATACATGTGCCATGCTGGTGTGCTGCACCCATTAACTCGTCATTTAGCATTAGGTATATCTCCTAATGCTATCCCTCCCCCGTCCCCCGACCCCACAACAGTCCCCAGAGTGTTATGTTCCCCTTCCTGTGTCCATGTGTTCTCATTGTTCAATTCCCATCTATGATTGAGAACATGTGGTGTTTGGTTTTTTGTCCTTGCGATAGTTTACTGAGAAGGATGATTTCCAATTTCATCCATGTCCCTACAAAGGACATGAACTCATCCTTTTTTATGGCTGCATAGTATTCCATGGTGTATATGTGCCACGTTTTCTTAATCTAGTCTATCATTGTTGGACGTTTGGGTTGGTTCCAAGTCTTTGCTATTGTGAATAGTGCCACAATAAACATACGTGTGCATGTGTCTTTATAGCAGCATGATTTATAGTCCTTTGGGTATATACCCAGTAATGGGATGGCTGGGTCAAATGATATTTCTAGTTCTAGATCCCTGAGGAATCGCCACACTGACTTCCACAATGGTTGAACTCGTTTACAGTCCCACCAACAGTGTAAAAGTGTTCCTATTTCTCCACATCCTCTCTAGCACCTGTTGTTTCCTGACTTTTTAATGATTGCCATTCTAACTGGTGTGAGATGGTATCTCATTGTGGTTTTGATTTGCATTTCTCTGATGGCCAGTGATGATGAGCATTTTTTCATGTGTCTTTTGGCTGCATAAATGTCTTCTTTTGAGAAGTGTCTGTTCATATCCTTTGCCCACTCTTTGATGGGGTTGTTTGTTTGTTTCTTGTAAATTTGTTTGAGTTCATTGTAGATTCTGGATATTAGCCCTTTGTCAGATGAGTAGGTTGCGAAAATTTTCTCCCATTTTGCAGGCTGCCTGTTCACTCTGATGGTAGTTTCTTTTGCTGTGCAGAAGCTCTTTAGTTTAATGAGATCCCATTTGTTAATTTTGTCTTTTGTTGCCATTGCTTTTGGTGTTTTAGACATGAAGTCCTTGCCCATGCCTATGTCCTGAATGGTAATGCCTAGGTTTTCTTCTAGGGTTTTTATGGTTTTAGGTCTAACGTTTAAGTCTTTAATCCATCTTGAGTTAACTTTTATATAAGGTGTAAGGAAAGGATCCAGTTTCAGCTTTCTACATATGGCTAGCCAGTTTTCCCAGCACCATTTATTAAATAGGGAATCCTTTCCCCATTGCTTGTTTTTGTCAGGTTTGTCAAAGATCAGATAGTTGTAGATATGTGGCATTATTTCTGAGGGCTCTTTTCTGTTCCATTGTTCTATATCTCTGTTTTGGTACCAGTACCATGCTGTTTTGGTGACTGTAGCCTTGTAGTATAGTTTGAAGTCAGGTAGTGTGATGCCTCCAGCTTTGTTCTTTTGGCTTAGGATTGACTTGGCAATGCGGGCTCTTTTTTGGTTCCCTATGAACTTTAAAGTAGTTTTTTCCAATTCTGTGAAGAAAGTCATTGGTAGCTTGATGGGTATGGCATTGAATCTATAAATTACCCTGGGCAGTATGGCCATTCTCAGGATATTGATTCTTCCTAGCCATGAGCATGGAATGTTCTTCCATTTGTTTGTATCCTCTTTTATTTCGTTGAGCAGTGGTTTGTAGTTCTCCTTGAGGAGGTCCTTCACGTCCCTTGTAAGTAGGATTCCTAAGTATTTTATTCTCTTTGAAGCAATTGTGAATGGGAGTTCACTCATGATTTGGCTCTCTGTTTGTCTGTTATTGGTGTATAAGAATGCTTGTGATTTTTGTACATTGATTTTGTATCCTGAGACTTTGCTGAAGTTGCTTATCAGCTTAAGGAGATTTTGGGCTGAGACAATGGGGTTTTCTAGATATAGAATCATGTCAACTGCAAACAGGGACAATTTGACTTCCTCTTTTCCTAATTGAATACCCTTTATTTCCTTCTCCTGCCTAATTGCCCTGGCCAGAACTTCCAACACTCTGTTGAATAGGAGTGGTGAGAGAGGGCATCCCTGTCTTGTGCCAGTTTTCAAAGGGAATGCTTCCAGTTTTTGCCCATTCAGTATGATATTGGCTGTGGGTTTGTCATAGATAGCTCTTATTATTTTGAGATATGTCCCATCAATACCTAATTTATTGAGAGTTTTTAGCATGAAGGGTTGTTGAATTTTGTCAAAGGCCTTTTCTGCATCTATTGAGATAATCATGTGGTTTTTGTCTTTGGTTCTGTTTATATGCTGGATTACATTTATTGATTTGCATATATTGAACCAGCCTTGCATCCCAGGGATGAAGCCCACTTGATCATGGTGGATAAGCTTTTTGATGTGCTGCTGGATTCGTTTTGCCAGTATTTTATTGAGGATTTTTGCATCAATGTTCATCAAGGATATTGGTCTAAAATTCTCTTTTTTAGTTGTGTCTCTGCCCAGCTTTGGTATCAGAATGAAGCTGGCCTCATAAAATGAGTTAGAGAAGATTCCCTCTTTTTCTGTTGATTGGAATAGTTTCAGAAAGAATGGTACCAGTTCCTCCTTGTACCTCTGGTAGAATTTGGCTGTGAAACCATCTGGTCCTGGACTCTTTTTGGTTGGTAAGCTATTGATTATTGCCACAATTTCAGATCTTGTTATTTGTCTATTCAGAGATTCAACTTCTTCCTGGTTTAGTCTTGGGAGGGTGTATGTGTCGAAGAATTTATCCATTTCTTCTAGGTTTTCTAGTTTATTTGCATAGAGGTGTTTGTAGTATTCTCTGATGGTAGTTTGTATTTCGGTGGGATCGGTGGTGATATCCCCTTTATCATTTTTTATTGCGTCTATTTGATTCTTCTCACTTTTTTTCTTTATTAGTCTTGCTAGTGGTCTATCAATTTTGTTGATCCTTTCAAAAAACCAGCTCCTGGATTCATTGATTTTTTGAAGGGTTTTTTGTGTCTCTATTTCCTTCAGTTCTGCTCTGATTTTAGTTATTTCTTGCCTTCTGCTAGATTTTGAATGTGTTTGCTCTTGCTTTTCTAGATCTTTTAATTGTGATGTTAGGGTGTCAATTTTGGATCTTTCCTGCTTTCTCTTGTGGGCATTTAGTGCTATAAATTTCCCTCTACACACTGCTTTGAGTGTGTCCCAGAGATTCTGGTATGTTGTGTCTTTTTTCTCGTTGGTTTCAAAGAACATCTTTATTTCTGCCTTCATTTCGTTACGTACCCAGTAGTCATTCAGGAGCAGGTTGTTCAGTTTCCATGTAGTTGAGCGCTTTTGAGTGAGTTTCTTAATCCTGAGTTCTAGTTTGATTGCACTGTGGTCTGAGAGACAGTTTGTTATAATTTCTGTTCTTTTACATTTGCTGATGAGAGCTTTACTTCCAACTGTGTGGTCAGTTTTGGAGTAGGTGTGGTGTGGTGCTGAGAAGAATGCATATTCTGTTGATTTGGGGTGGAGTGTTCTGTAAATGTCTATTAGGTCCGCTTGGTACAGAGCTGAGTTCAATCTATATTGAGTAAAAGTGCTGAGAGTAGACATCTCTGCTTTGCTCCCAATTTCAGGGTGAAAGTCTTGAGTCTTTTACCACTTAAATATAATGTTATCTATAGGTTTTTTGAAGATGCTTTTTGTCAAGTTGAGGAAGTTCCCTTCTACTCCTATTTTTCTGAGCATTTTTTATTACAAATGAATATTGAATTCTGTCAAATGATTTTTTCTGCATCATTTGATACGTATTTTCTGCATCATTTGATATGTGATTTTAAATAAATCCTGTTAATGTTTTAGCTTACATTGATTGATTCTTGAAAGTTGAACTAGCCTTGCTTCCCTGAAATAAACCCCATTAGGCCATGTTGTATGATTCTTTTTATATCATTATATTATTGCTATGTTTTTGAATTTTGTTTGCAATATTTTGTTAATGATTTTTTGCATGAATATTTATGAGGAATGTTGATGTGTAATTTTCCTTCTCTTTCTTTCATCACCCTCCCTTCTTCCTTCCCTCCCTTTGTCTTTGTCTAGTTTGGGGATTAGTGTAATTTTAGCTTCGTAAATTAATTGGTAAGTTTTTCTTCTTCTGTTTTCTGGAAGAAATTGTATAGAGTTGATGTTAATTCTTCTTCAACCATTTGGTAGAATTCTCCATTGAACCCATCTGGGCCTGGACATTCCTTTTTTGGGATTTTTTAAGTTGTACATTTAATTACCTTATTGGTTACAAGGATGTTTAAATTATCTATTTCATGTTAGATGAGTTGTGGTAGTTTATGTTTTTTGGGGAAGTAGTTTATTTTGTCTAAGTTGTTAAATTTATATTGATGGAATTTTTCATTGCATTCTATCATTATTCTTTTGTTATCTTTAGGATCTTGAATGAATCTATTTCATTTCTGATATTGACAACTCATGCCTCCTTTCTTCTTTGTCAGTCTTGCTAGATATTTTTTCAGTTTTATTGATCTTTTCAAAGACCTAGCTCTTTGTTTTATTGGTTTTCTCTATTGATTTTTTCTTTTTTGATTTATTGATTTTAGCTCTTTATTATTTACTTATTTACTTCTTTCTACTTAGTTTGGGTTTACTTTGCTCTAGTTTTCATAGTTTCTTCAGGTAGGGGCTTAGCTTATTGATTCGAGATTTTTCTTTTTTCTAATGTATGTATTGCATGCTGTAAATTACTCTTTTTGTACTGCTTTAACTGTGTCCCACAAATTTTGATATGTTGTATTTTTATTCATTTGAATGTATTTTGACTTCCTATGAGACTTCCTCTTTGACTCATGGATTATTTAAAATGTATTGTTTACTTTCTAAGTGGGGACATTCCTGTTATTTTTAGATTGATTCTGTTATAGTCAGAGAACATACTTAGTCTGATTTCAGTTATTTTAATTTTGTTTTTTTTTCATAGATGAGGATATATTCTCTCTTGGTATATGTTCTGTGGGCTCTTGAAACTGTATATAGTTTCCTATTCTTCAGTAGAATATTTTATAAATATTGACTGGATCTTGTAGATTGATGGTGTTGAGTTCGTCTATATTCTTGCTAATTTTTTGTCTAGCTGTTTAGTTCTTCCAAAGGTCATGTTAAAGACTCCAACTGTAATTGTGGATTTGTTTGTTTCTTCTTTCAATTTTATCAGTTTTTGTATCATATGTTTTGCGTCTCTGTTGTCTGGTGCATATGTATTTAAGATTGCTGTGTCTTCTTCCTGTATTGACTATTTTATAATTATATAATATCTCTTTCTGTTAATATATATATGTTTTTGCTCTGAAGTCTACATTATCTAACATTAGTATAGCCACTTATGATTTTCTTTGAATGATATGTGCATTATGTATATATTGCATTCTTTTACTTTCAACTTCCCTATTTCGTTGAAGAGAGTTTCTTGTAGACAGCATGTAATTTTGTTATGCTTTTAAATTTCATCTGTCAATCTCTGTCTTTTAATGTTATATTTACATTATTTATATTTAATGTAATTATTAATATGTTAGGGCTTAAGTTTGGTACTTTATTTTTGTTTTCTGTTTTTTTCTCCTCCTCTATTTTTTAATTCTTTGTTTTATTTTTCCTGCCTTTAAAGATTATGCAAACATTTTTAGAATTCTTTTTTCTTTTTTTTTTTTAGACGGAGTCTCGCTCTGTCGCCCAGGCTGGAGTGCAGTGGCGGGATCTCGGCTCACTGCAAGCTCCGCCTCCCGGGTTCACGCCATTCTCCTGCCTCAGCCTCCCAAGTAGCTGGGACTACAGGCACCCGCCACTACGCCCGGCTAATTTTTTTGTATTTTTAGTAGAGACGGGGTTTCACCGTTTTAGCCGGGATGGTCTCGATCTCCTGACCTCGTGATCCACCCGCCTCGGCCTCCCAAAGTGCTGGGATTACAGGCGTGAGCCACAGCGCCCGGCCTAGAATTCTATTTTGATTTATTAATAGCGTTTGTGAGGTATATCCTTGTGTAGTTTCTGGTGGTTACTCTACATATTGTATTATATGTACATAACTACTGATGTTGTCATTTTACCAGTTTGAATGAAGTATGGAAACTTTACCTGAATATTAGTGTCAGATTTTTTTTTTAAGTATATTGTTTCCAGGTTTCTGAGGCTCTGTTTATTTTATGTAGTCTATTTTCTTTCTTTTGTTCAGATTAGATAACATCTATTCTGCTTTCCAGTTTACTGATTCTTTTCTCTGTCCATTTATTCTGCTGTTGAGCCTTTCCAAATGAGCTTTGTGTCTGGGTTACCATATTTTTCTGTTGTAATACTTTATTTGAATTTTCCTTATATTTTCTATTTCTTTGTTTTTTCTCCGTTTTCATTTATTTCAAGTATGTTTGTAATTGATGATTGAAACATTGTTTATCATTGTTGCTTTAAAATCTGTGCAGATGATTTTAACATCTGTCATCTTAGTGTTGGCATCTATTAATTGTCTTTTTTCATTTAGTTTGAGATCTTCCAGGTTCTTGATATGACGAGTGATTTTTGACTTATATCTGGACTTTTTCATATGTTCTGAGACTCTGGATTTTATTTAAACCTTCTGTTTTAACTGGCCTTTTCTGACACCATTTTAGCAGATATGTGGGGAAGGAGCTCCCTTGTTACTGCCAGGTGTAGATAAAAGTTTGTGTTCCTCATTTGGCTTCTATTTACTCCTGAAGACAGGAGTGTCTCATTACTGCTGGGTGGGAGTGGGAATTTTGGCTCTCCACATGGTCTTCACTGACATCATGTTGAGGATGGCCTCCAATAAAAGATAACCTTATTACCAGGCAATGGTGAAAGTTCTAACTCTCCACTCTGCCTCCTTTGAAACCACCCCAGTGGGGAGGGGAAAGAGTGACTCATTACTGATGGGTAGGAGTTGGGAGTCTTGGTTTTTCATATGGTCCCACTGATAGTACACAGTGTACTAGGGAAGTGCTGGTTACCAACTGGTGGGAATGAAAGTCCCAGCTCCCCACTTGGCTTTCTCTCACACCACCTAGGGTGTTGGGATGACTCATCACAATCTTGACAAGATGGAGGCCTAAGCTCCCCACTTGGCCTGTGCTGGTGTGAATGTAGTAGGACCGTGTTTTTTTTTTTTTTTTCTGTGGTGTTTGGCTTGTGTAAAACTGTTAGTGTCTAAATGTTTTTATTCTCATAGGCTGGCCATTTCCTAGACCATTGGCTAGAGAGAGCATGTTTTTTTTAGGGCTTTGTTATTGTTGCTGTTGTTATTTTGTTTGTTTTTGTTTCCTTGCCTGTTTTTGTCTACATTTCTGAGTTGCTAACTTTTTTTTCCACTGCAAATCTGGGATAAAAGAAGCAAAAAGAAAACCCAGCATGTCATCATGGATCTTGAGGTCTTTAGCTAGTCTGCCTTCTTCTCTCCACCTTTAGAGTCGTCTTATGTTTGTTATATATATAAGGTCCAGAGTAGACAGTTGTACTTAGTGAGTAGAGTCCCTAGGTGTAGTAGAAGTATGTCGACTTCTGATATACTGATTATGATAATCAATATTTTTAACAAGATCTGTGGGATCTGCTACTTCAGGTACACATGTTGAATAGCAAAGCTATACATTATTAAATTATCGTTTGTTTTGTTAATATTAATTTTTTATTTTTAATTCTTTTTAGAAATTTTGTAATGGGGTTCCAAGTTACTTTGGTTGCAAAACTAAAGATTTTGTTTTGCTGTATTTTATGCCAACTTTTAGATGAATTTCTCTTTCACTCATACTCATGGTCATCAAATATTACAGTTACGTTTGAGGCACCTCAGATTGACTTGTGTCTTAACATGAAACAAATGCTAGCCAAAGTTCGTGCAGTGCTTAAGCCATTCTACAATTGTCAACATAAGCTATCCATGAATAAAGAATTTATTTTACCCTTCATTTTGACTATCTTATATGTGGCATTTTCAGTAATTATTCCCCTAAGAGTACTTATTAGCACAACTCTGATTTTTCTGTTATATATTGGGGGTTCTTCAGAACTGCAAGGTGAAAGAAGGAATATTTCTCTTGAACAGAATCTAATTTTAATGTCTCCTTATTAAATATATATTGGGGAACGGACAAGATGACATTGTCAGGTTCTTAAAAGCAATTCATAACATGGACTAGTAGGTTAATTAGCCCATTTTGCTAAAAAAAAGTAAGAAAACAAACTGATTTTCATGGAAGCTTGAGAATGTTGAGTTATTTTTATGTTCAGAAGCACTGTTTATGTGTCTTTAATATACTGTATAAACCTACAGTGAATTGCTTTGCATGTTGTTAAAAGATATTTTACCAGGGATATTTCTGTATTTGGCGTATACTCTGTAGTAACAGAGGTTAATATCTTATTTTCAGAAGAAAAATGATCAGTATGTAGTTTGGTTTTTATAAGTTTCTTTTCTTCTAAGGGGCATGGAATTTTGGCCTTAGCAAATATAAGCGATGTAGTGGAATTGAGAATGTATGAATTTCAGAATATTTATAAAAACGTTATTTCTCCTATTTGTCATTTATATTGTCAAGCCCTGTCTCATTTTTCCTGGACCAGGATTTCCAGATGTTAAACTCAGTTCTTATTTCTAGATCTTCCTTGTATTTATCTCAGGAATTCTAAGTATCTGCTTTATGTCCCATAGTTCCTGACATTCCTGCTTCCAACTGAGGGAGAAGTGATCTCTACTGATAGCTTTCTTCAGTGGAGGATCTTGGTTTCTTTCAGGTAGTAGTTCTGACAATTTTTGACTTTAGGGCCCTTATAGTCTTAAAAATTATTTAAGACCTCAAAGAGATTTTGTTTATATAGATTATATCTATCTACATTTACCATAATGAAAATCAGAGATGAACAAAATTAAATATTGATTTATTAATTTTTACAGTAGTTATAATAAACTTGGCATATATTAACATAAACAAGTTTGTCTAAAAGTAGCTATATTTTCAAAAACAAAAAAATTCAAGAGGAAGATGGCATTGTTTTTAATTTTCACCAACCTTTTTCTTGCCTGGCTTGATAGAAGATGGTTACGTTTTCATATCTGCTTTTGCATTTTTAATGTTGTTTTGGTTGAAGTATATGAAGAAAATCTGGTCTTATAAACATATGCAGTTGGAAATGAAACAAATATTTTAAAATGCTTTTTATATAATGAGAACATTCTTTGATTCTATACTAGAACTCAACAAATACTAGCACTCTAAATACTAGATGCAATGTGGAATCCAAAAGCATATCAAGTATTTTTGTACTCTGTTATATTAAAATCTATGTTGCACTTTTTGTAATTTTATGCATTGGTCATTTGGAAAATATTGTGTCATGGAGTTAGAAGTTATTGCATTATTGACATTTGTTACTATAACTACAGATTAAATCAGAAAAAGTCTTTAAATGTTGAGAGTCTGTTAAGCTAACAGTGGCAGATAACAAGTACTCCAAGTTTCTAATTTTTGCTTGAAATCTTGAATTTTATCATTAGCAACATATCCTGTTAGTTGTTTTCCTTGAAAAGGCAGGCTCACGTTATTTTTCAAGAAGATGTTTGCCAAATATCCAAGTTTGAATAACTGTGCTTTATCTCTTAGTCATTATTTTAAGTAAAAATGGTGTTCCATGAAAAAACGGCTCATTCGACTCACACCTCAAACATTTGTGCAAGTGATCTTTCTTGAGATATCCTTTGTAGTTTGGTATGCGATAGAAGTGGTATATGGTTGTGCACTTCCTATTTATATCACATAGGATATTAAAAATTTTGTACTTAAGCCTTAAGACTTAATAAAATTAATAATTGTTACGCTTTAACAGGACTTTTTTATTGCAACTGGCTTTTAAAAATTATTGTCATTACCATAAGTGTGTAGGACAGTGAAGAATATGATGACTCCTAGTACAGTTGAGTGCCACTGCCTTGATTCATGTGGAAGCCCAGCAGTTTAACTCACCATTGCCTTTTTGCCACCAGTGCGAATATCAACACAGTGAAAAAGGTGAAAACATCTTCATATTAGGGTGAGAATAGTTTTGACCTTGCAGAGCCCCTTTAAGAGAATGGGTCTTAGGTGTCTTCAGGGATTCACAGGTTAAATTTCGAGAACTATTACTATAAGTCATGCATATACAGGAAGATGGATATAATTTTAAGAATGTGTGTGTATTATATGTGTGTATATACATACTCATAATATGTATATATTATGAGTGTATATATATTATACATGAGATGTATATATTATGTATATGAAATGTGTGTGTGTGTGTGTGTGTGTGTGTGTGTATATATATATATATAAACTTAAAATAATTTCAGAAAATGACTTGAGTAATCCTCATGGTATTCCAGAGAGGTAGGTGGTGATTAGAATATCTGCCTGAGATATAGAGGAATCATGTCAGTGTAGCTATGCCATTTTGCCCATGACCAAGTAAGAGGAGTTGCTGAAAGGGCTAGAATCCCGATTCAGAATGAAACCCACAGGACAGCCAGTATCAACCTAGACTAAAACAGTATTGAGCATTCTAGTTTTTCTCATCTTGTATACAAACTTGAAGTCTTCTCTGAAGTCTTGTATTTAAAAAAATATGGCACACTGGGACAATACAATTGATCCTTGATCAATGCGGAGGTTGGGCAACCAACCCCCATGCAGTGAAATGTCTGTATGTAACTTTTGACTCCCTTAAAGCTTAACCACTAATAGCTTACTGTTGCCTGGAAGCCTCACTGATAACATAAACAGTCAATTAACACTTATTTCGTATGTTGTATATATTATATACTGTATTCTTACAATAACGTAAGCCAGAGAAAAAAAGTGTTATTAAGAAAGTCATAAGGAAGGGAAAATGTATTTATTATTCATTAAGTGGGAGTGGATCATCATCAAGCTTTTCATTCCCTGTTGTCCTCACAGTGAATAGGCTAAGGGAGAGGAGGCGGAGGAGGAGGGGTTGGTCTTGCTGTCACAGGGTTGGCAAAGGCAGAAGATCCATGTATAAATGGATGCACACAGTTCACATCTGTGTTGTTCAAGAGTCACCTGTGCTTGGAAGGAGCAGGCCTGAAAGACCTGTGCATGCTGATCACGGAGAGGTGAGGGATTAGATAGCAATAAGGGGAAAGGACACTGATTTTATTAGTCGTCTAATGAATGCCAGGTACTGTTCATTGTACTCACATGTTAACCCCTTTAATTCTCACAACAACTTATGAAGTCACTATTATCCACCTCATTTTAGAGAGGAAGAAATGGAGCCTCTGATATTAAACAATGAGCCTGAAACAACATCACTTCTATGGGTTGGAGTATGAATTCAAACCATTTGAATTCTATAGGTAGAACTCCAACCCATGGAATACTACCATTTTATTGTAATATAGTGTCTTCATATCTGTATTCACCAGCCTCTTGGGCTACATTGTTAACTGGTTAACTGTTACTATATCTGTCTTCTAAACATATTTCTGAATATACACGTGTATAGTCAGGTTCAGTTTTTACCTTTCTGAGGAAAATAAACAGAATTTTGTATTCATTCATCCACTAGAGGGCACAAGAGTGCTAATTTGTTAAGTTGATAATGATTGATGAGTAGAGTTTAAATTAATATGATTGTAGTATGATTTATAATCATATGTATGTACTATAGGAACTTGCATATGAAAAGTTATGAACAACCATCTAGTAATTATTCTTGGTAAGAAAGATGCTGTGCCATCTTTTTATTGGAAACCAGAGACTGCTTTTTCCACAAAATATGAAAAATAAATAACATTTAGTTAAACTTAGATGTGTGACTGGTGGTTGAAGAGAGGGACCATGTGATATGCACTGGCAAGATAAGCTGTGAACCAAGTCAAAACTTACATTCTATTCTAAGTTTTCTTCTCGTTTTTTTTTTCATAATACATGCCAGTTTTGACATTATTAATTTAACTTTGTTGTGATGTGTTTGATGCAATGTTGTTCGAAATAACGGATGGATTTACCTAAGACATTACTTAAGTTTTAAAGGAAAATGTTAAGATAGCTTTTTGTATTTGGTTAATGCTTGTGTTAATCATTATTTATTATTCCAGACTTGTCATTTAAATATGACTAGGTATGGGGAGTCTTTTAATATAACTGATACATCAAGTTCCTTATTTATGTAATTACCATGTGGGTAATTTTTAGTAAAATTGTGAAATACATTTTTTAAGAAGAACAAAACTGTGAACTGTGAAATAATTGCATAATGTTTGCATGATATTTGCCATTAGAGTATTTGTATTTGAAAAGAAATTTGGGATATTGTCCTGATTTATTTTTCTTAAGACTCCTGTAAACTTTGGATCATGATGACTGTGAAGAAGTTTGAAATTCCATTGGCATCATATCCATGGCAATTGTGAAGTTTTGCCAATTAGATTCTTACACTATATATTACATGTAATGCTTTTTGTTTTTGTTAAGTTAGAGTTTGTAAATGAAGGAATCTAAAATAGTTTTTCATTTCACTATTTTTAGATATACAATGAAGAATGTTCTTGAGCTCTACTTAAAGAAATTTTTTTTTCAGACTGAAAACCTCTGAAGGATTAGTGAAATAATACATTTTTATATGATTCTAATTTTGAGAAAGTGTGGCTGCTGGAACAAAATGGTCCAGAGTTTATAACCTTCTTTGCTCTGATACATACAGGCATATATGATATAATATAGCTTAACCTCTTTGAACATTAGTTGACTGCTCTATATAATTGGATTACAGCATTGCTGTAGGATGGTAGGCACTAAGGATACAAAGATGAGTCATGAGTAGTTCTGTCTTCAAGGATGGCCATCTATGGGGAGTGCTATACAAGTTAGCAAAAGATTACAGTGTGGTATGATGAGGGCCTAGTAAAGTGATGCAAACTTGCTACTCTGTCCTCACTTAAAAGGGTGGTAACTTAGTCTGTGATGTATTCAGGGAAGATCCTTCAGAGGAGGTAAGACTTGGACTTAAAGAATAAACAGTAGAGAGTTTGGGGTGCTGGGAGGAAGGAGCATATTTTAGGCAGAAGAAATAACATGGGACAAATCAGGGTGGAATAGGACAGTAGACTTTTAAATTGTAAGAGTATGGAATAAAGACGAAATAATGTAGGAGAAGTTGGAGATACAAGATGGGATCAAAATCATGTCTCTTGAATGTATATTAACAAGCTGGAATCTTATTTAGATTATAAGGAGCCATTTGCAGGTTTTCACTTAGGAGTGCTCTTGCATTTTAGGAGGATCACTGAAATAAGACTTAGAGAAGTTGGAAGATACTGCAATAGATACTGTGGGAAGAGGTGTAGCTGAGACAAGGCTGTAGAGTAAGCCTCGAGACAGTGATCAGCAGATTTTGGGGCTACCTAAGTATAGGATTAACAGAAGGAATGAAATCAATAGGTATAATTTTGAATCTGCAGACTTGGCAGTTAGAAATAAAGCCAGAAAAAGCTAGAGGAGACAAAGGTGACTCAAAGGTGACTTTTGGGCTTCAGGTTTGGCTGACTATGGAAAATGGAGGAGAGGGGAAAGCTTTTTTGCAGTGATTTTTAGCTAGAGATGGAGATTAAAACAAAATAAAATACAACTTTGAAATAATGTTTGATTACTTCCAATGTGCCAGAGATATAGTGAGGTTTTAAATGTGACATATTTAATTATCTCAGTATCCCCTTGAGGTATTATCATCTCTAATGGACCATTGAGGAGGCAGATTTAGAGAGGTCATTATCTTAACTAAGACCGCATAGCTGGAACTGATAGAACTTGGAATTGAGCTTAATTCTATCTGACCCTAAATTACAGCCTTTTCCATTCTATTACTCTGGGTATCATCTCATATATAGTACAGTTGAAGCGATGAGTATAAATGGAAATGATAAAAAGAGAAGAGAACAAGAGAAGAGAAGATGGTCAAGGGTAGAACTTGGGCAAATAACATTAGATTACATGGAGCCTACCAGGGATATAGAGAAGATGCAGCCACAGGGAGGCAGGGAAATTAGAAATAGCATTACATCCAAGACAAAACCATTAGAATCAAGCTTGAAGGCTCTCATTCTTTCCCACCCCCACATTCTGTCGATTAGCAAATTCTGTTTGCTCCGCCTTCAGAATATGTATAGATTCTGACCATTCACTCTGGTCCAAGCTACTCACATCTCTTGTGCTGTAACGGTGTTTTTCACATCTAGTCTTGTTGCCGTAGTGTCTTTTCTCCAAACAGCAGTTAGATTGTCATTTTCTGCTCAGAACTATCCAGTGGTCTTTCTTGCCATTCAAGAATACAATCCAAACTCATTACCATGGACTACAAGGATGCACATGGCTCTCACACAGGCTATCCCTCTAGCCTCTTCTTCTACATCCTCCTGTGAACCATAGTGCCAGCCACGAGCTGAACAGTGCTTTCTCTATGGAATTTGCACTGACTGCTCACCTTCCTGAGATGCTTTCTCCCCAGATGTTCATCACAGTGTCAGAAGGACCCAACCAACCTTTCTGAAATGGCATCTTGCATTATCACATTCTACCTTTTTATTCTCTTTTTATTGATAGGACATTATCACTTGTGTATTAGTCAGTTCTCATGCTGCTAATAAAGATATGCCCAAGACTGGGTAATTTATAAAGGAAAGAAGTTTAATTGACTCACAGTTTCACATGTCTGGGCAGGCCTTACAATCATGGCAGAAGCTGAATGAGGAGCAAAGTCACATCTTACATGGTGGCAGACAAGAGAACTTGTGCAGAAAAACTCCCATTTATAAAACCATTAGATCTCATGAGACTTATTCACTACCATGAGAACAGTATGGGGGAAACCTGCCCCCATAATTCAGTTATCTCCACATGGCCCCACCCTTGACACATGGGGATTATTGCAATTCAAGGTGAGATTTGGGTGGGGACACAGGGAAACCATATCAACTTGAAACATTAAGCTTAAGTGTGTGCTTTGTATTTATTGCCCCTAAAACCCCTGTCCTGCACCCAAACTTCATGAAGGTAGAGATTTTGCCCTTTTTAGTTCAATCCTGGATCCCCAGTGTGTAGGACATAGTTAATGCTGAACAAATGTTTGAATGAATGAGTACAGTCAGAGTGGACATTAAAACAAGTAAATCAGATCATATCGCCCCCACTTTTAACCCTCCCACCCTAGCTGCCTCCTATCACTGTCAGAATAAAAGCCAAACTTTGTACCATCATCTGCAAGGCCTTACATGATCCAAGCCTTGGTAAAGACTGGCCTCTAGCCTTACTATTCCACCCTGGTTGACTATGTTCAAGCCACATTGGCGTTTTTGTTCTTGGAACTTGCTAAGCTCATTTCTTCCTCTTGCTACTTCCTTTGCCAGTCACTCCTCCTACATAGTTGGCTCCTTTTGATCCTTCAGATTTTTGCTCAAGTATTCCTTCTTGAGCCAATCTGGACTACCCTTTCTTAAAATGGTTCCTCTGATACCTGCCCCTCCATCTCAGATCTTCCCAGGACCCAGGCTAATTTTTAGCATCATAGTTGTCACTAACTAAGCAATGGTGTTTATTTATTTACTTATTAATATTCTCTCTCCTGAACTGGATTATCAACTTCATGAGGGCAAGGGCTTAGATTTCTGTCTTGTTACCATTACATTTCCAACACCTGGATGGAGTGCTTGGCACATTTTAGAAGCCCAATGCTCAGAGGATGAATGAATACAAGACTACTGCCGCTCCTGTGAGGGTGGCTCCTTGTGATTGTGAATGCTTGAATACTCATTTGGTGACACACAAACGCCTGAAACTTCTAAGATGAAGGTTATGCAGTTTGAACACTAAGTTGTGAGACTACTTTTCCAAACTATCTCATAGAATTTTGGTCCATTACTTTGTAGAGACACTTCTTGCACATTCTTAGGAATCCAAATCTTGCAAACTTTCAGGATGTAGTTTTTATTCTTAGTTGTTGCCATTAGTATTTGACTGAATTAGATTTATAGTTTCTCTAGGATGGTAAGTGCCATGTTCTCTTTCATAGCCCCACACTTTTCCCAGAATTCAACACAGAGTAAATGTTCAATAAATGTTTGCTAGTGGATTTTCTTTTAAATTTAGTTAAAAATTTATAGTTTTCTGTAAAATCTTTTCAGTTTTTAATAGATTTCACAATTTAGCCCTGCCCACCCCACATCTCCAAGAAGCTCAACCTTTAAGCAATGTTCGCTTACTGACAAACTCCAGAAAAGGAATGAAGGAGTGACATTCCCACACTAAGTTTAAATTCTATCCACTAGGCTAGAGAAACAGAGGAGACCTATAACCATTTATTCACCTAGTGCAGCTCTCTATTTGGATGGGGTTGGGGTGGAGGCAGGAAAAGATTCTGTGGCCCAGCATCCTTCTTCACTCTTATTTTCTTTCTGATAAAACAGCCAGTGTTCAATGTGGCTCCAGAAGTTTTGGTTTGGGGATTTAAAAAGTGAGCAGCAGGTAGCTGTGACGCAGGTTTTGCACGGTCATTGAGCTGCACACACCTTAAGCCAACATAACCGTGAAAGGTGGTAGTGTTTGAACTGAATCTGTGCTTTTTAGATGGAGTAGCACCTTTCAATAAAAGCACGTTTATATGGACTCCTTAAGAAGTTTAGACTGGAGGGCTGTCTCCAGAGATGGGCGCCCCTTTAGCCAAGACCCATTTGTTTGTCTTGGCAGGCTGGCTGTGTCTGCTTGGCTGGTGCTAATGCTAGGATGTTAAATTGATGAAACACAGAGCTCTTGATCCTTTTCAGTGAGGCTTCTCTTTGGTTAATGGCAGGGTGGAACTCTTTGCTGCTAGCCACCTGTAACTGGACAAGTTAAAAAATAAAGAAAGAAGTAGATGTGAAGTTGTGGAAGAGGAAATCTTTATTTGAAAGTATGTTACCAAATGCTTTTTTTTTTTTTTTTTTGCCTGTTTTAGTATCCAAAAAAGATTTCAAAACACTGAAAAATAGTAAAAAAATGTCAACTAAATCCCACCATTATTTTTGGGCAGTGGCAGTGGTTTGGGAGAGGGATGGAGAATGAGTATTCTTATAATATGGTTAGAAATTGGAGGAGCTGTGGAAAGATGCTTCATTAGAATAATTAACCTTGCTGTTCATTGTGGCTTTTGTCTTACTTTCTTTGGTCTAGATATAATCTTTTCTTTCAAGTGATTACAATGTATGCTTCTGCTTTGCACAAATGCCAAGGCATAAATAACCTGACAAAAATATGAAGTGGTTTGGCTTTTTGAGAGGTTGGTCATTTCTGAGCTACGTACCCATTACAGTCATGCCTTGCTTAATGTGGAGGATATATTCTGAGAAATGTGTTGTTAGGTGATTTCACATTGTGTGAACATCATGCAGTGTACTTACACAAACCCAGATGGCATAGCCTAATACACACCTAGGCTATGCCTTATAGTCTATTGATCCTAGGCTACAAACCTGTACAGTATGTTACTGTACTGCATACTGTAGGCAGTTATAACACAGTGGTAAGTTTTTGTGTATCTAAACATAGAAAAGATAGCATAAAAATACTGTATCAAAGATAAAAATGGTACACCTATATAGATCACCTGTCATGAATGGAGCTTTCAGGACTGGAAGTTGCTCTGTATGACTCTGAGTGAGTGAGCGATGTGTTACTGTGAAGGCCTAAAACATTACTGTACACTCCTCTAGACTTCATAAACACCGTACACTTAGGCTACACTAAATTTATTTTAAAAATTTTCTTTCTTCAATAATAACTTGAGCTTACTGTCACTTTTTTACTTTATAAATGTTTACGATTTTTTTTTTACTTTTAAACTCTTATAATAACCCAAACGCATTGTATAACTCTACAAAAATATTTTCTTTTTATATTCTATTCTATATTTTCTATTTTTTAAATTTAAAACATGTTTAAACTATTTCATTAAAAACTAAAACACGAACATACACATTAGACTCAGACTACATGGGATCAGGATCATTAAGACGTCACTAGCCTCGGCCTACATGGGATCAGGATCATTAAGACGTCACAGGGTGATAGGAAATTTTCAGCTCCATTGGAATCCTACGGGACCATCATCATATATGCAGTCCATTGTTGACTGAAATGTCATTTTGTGGTGTGTGACCGTACACTTGTGTAAAATGCACTCATGTTTCTTTGATGTGCTTGGGATTGAACTACTTTTAGTCTGTGAGTCTTCATGACTGCGCATTGTTTCAACAGCCAAGGGCTATGATGAGACTTTTTAGAACTAACAGCACAAAAACGAAGCAAGTATAAATCATCTTTCTGGTTTACATTTTCCAAGAGATTTATAATATTCCTTATGTTGTTATAGATGTTGATAATCTCGTGAGGTTGCTGGCTTTATTAATCCTTTACTCTATTGAGGCTTCTGCTCAAATGTCACCTCCTCAAAAGAGGCAATACACCAAGCCCTCACCCAGTCACTCTTTAAGTGTGCACTTGCTTTATTTTTTATAGCAATTATTATGACCTGAACTATATTTCTGTTTTTAAAGTCATAACTCTTCAACTGCAATGTGTGTGAGTTATGTGAGGCCAGGGATGTTTTCTTATTCACTGCTTAATCCATAGTGCTCAGAAGAGTAACCAGGTTATAGTAAATGCTTGATAAATTTATGTTGAATGACTGAACTAGTAATGAAAGGAGCGATAAAGGATGAAGTAGAGAAAGGAAATGATTGTTTCTCAGATAATATCATTCAATATGCTGCTAGTTAAAGCACCACAGGAAAGTCCATCAATTTTGTTAAATGTGTATTAGTACTACTAGTAAAACTGTGAGTGAAAACTGAATTGCATGTAGCAAACATCACTTATACCAAGTAAATGAAATAATTAAGTTAGCCAAAGATCAGAGAATATGAAAACATTTCATTGTATTGTTGAATGGAAGGAGTGAGCAGAGAGATTAGATTTGTTTTAATAAAGGTGTTAAGAGTATCAGTTCAGAAATTTTACCATCGGTCCACAAGAATACATTTAAAACTCTGTTTACTGCCATGCCCTCTGCTTTAGAAAGGTTAGGTTTGTCAATTTCAAAATCTCTATTAGTTGCTTATATCCATTGCCTGAGTATATTAGCATTTCTGGAGCTATATAGCATATGCTGCCACTAACAGATGGAATTGACTAAAGAGAATATCTACAGTCCACTAAAGAAAAAAATGTTTAAGGAGGGTGTTTGACACATTACAGATGGCATGAGAAATAGCCTGTCAAATTAAGATCAGTAATAATGGATTAGTGAACACCCTGTAATTAACTACCAAATATTCTTCTCATGATTCCACTCTATTTCTTTCTACTCTATGTTGACTTTTTATATAACTCAGATCATAATATTTCATATTTTTTATTTCATATTTTTATATACTAGTATTTACCCTAAAGATGTATCTATTTTGTTTTACATTCTTCTTAATGGGTTTTTCATAGTTCATCGAGTTGATATGGTAGAATGAGACTCCCGTATTGGGAGCAAAGCTGTTATGTTAGTAGTTTTTGTATGCCTATAGCTAGCTATATGCCTGGCATGTAGAACATACTCAGTTTATGTTTGTTAAACTTAATTGACTATCCCAAATGTATTTAACCTTTACTTTATTATTGGACATTTAGCTTCTTTCTGGTTTATTGATATTATAAGTAATGAGGTAACCATCTATAGGAATGCCTGTGGCTTCATGATTCTTTTGATTCAGTCTTATGATGAATTCCCAAAAAGAAATTTATTAGTCAAATGTTGTGAACATTTTTGTATATCTTTTAATTTGAAAATGGGTGACACAATTTTATAGTGGTATCTTCAGTTTTTGAATATTCCTTTGCTCTTACAAAATAAGTAAGGATATTTTTGGTCTTATCTAGCATTTCTTGTGGCCATTTCTTCTTTCTGACACATTGTAGCTACAAGTATTCCCAAATTTGGATCTAAGTGACACCTATTTTAGTTTTTCTTTTAATTTTAGGCATGGTTTTTTTGATAGTAATTGTTAGCATATTTATGACTTTTATTAATATATTTTTAAAAATAAATTATGCATTTTATTAATTTTTTCAAGGAATTTTTAAAAGGCCTTTGTACTTGGATACTGCTTAATTATTGTTACAAGCTAGTTTTTTAAATGTGCATATTTCAGGTGGGGTGTCTACAACTTTCACATTCCCGAAGCCCTTTTATTTTTATTCTTCCCTCCCTATTTCAATTTTTGAAATGCTAGTGGCTTTTGAAGTTGCTTTCAAATGGTTAAAATACACACACGTTCATATACTATGTGGTACATAATTATTGTTTCTTTCTTAGCTTCATTACTCTCCAAAAAAGTAAGAGAAACTAGAAAATCTACCTTAAGCAGCTTCAATGAACAGAACAATAATTTTGTGCTTATTTAGAATGAACAAATCTTTGGTTGAAAACCAGCTAATGACCGGTAAAAAAAGTGGGGGCGGGGAGGAGATACTCTTAATATTTAACTTTTCGTTTCCTGGTTCTCTTTCTAAATATGTAGTGCAGGTTGGGAATTCCTAATTTAAAAATCCAAAATCTGATATGTTCCAAAATCTGAAACATTTTGATCTCTGATATGACAGTATGGGTGGAAAATTTCGCACCTGAACTTATGTGATGAGTCACAGTCAAAACTTTGTTTCATGTACAAAATTATTTAAAAATTGTATAAGGTTACTTTCAGGCTATGTGTATAAGATATATATGAAATGTAAATGAATTCTATGTTCAGATTTGGGTCCCATTCCCAAGATATCTCATTACATATATGCAAGTATTCCAAAATCCGAAAAAATCCAAAATCTGGGAAACTTCTGGTTCCAAGCATTTCAGATAAGGGATACTTGACCTTTACTCAAACCTTTCCCTGGTTATGTAACCCTTAGATAATAGTCTTTTTGTTGATATTAGAATGCTAACTATTGGTAATAATAGCTACATTTTGAGATTTTTATATGTACAAAGTACTGGATTTCCTGTACATTTTCTCAATCTTGTTATTATTCCTTTTTCATAGATGGTGGAACTGAAGCTTTGGGAAATTAAATAAAACTAGCCCAGAGGTAGAAAAACTGTTCAGACTTGAGTCTGTCTAAACCTCACGCTCTTAATCATGATTCTATGCTAAGTACATTGGTTTTGATAATTTGCGTTTATTGCTAAGGATTTCTTTTTAGAAGACTCTCTCTTTCTAATTGTGTATTTGTATGGCCATCTCGGAATTGAAATATTTAGCAAATAAATTTTAAATTCTTATCCAAAGTGTTCTTGATAACCAGGTATTGATCTATGCTGGGAAAGCCATCTTCCAATATCTCTACACAGAGCAAGCAGTTAACTGATTTGCTCTAAGCTTCACTCCCTGATTTGTCTGTTCCCTAACTTTGGGCTTCTTTTGTAAACAGAGTCCTCATCTTTCACTTAACACAGAACTTAATCAAAATAAACTTGATTATGGCCCCAAACATTTCTGATATCTTTATCTAATATTTGTTGTGTATAATTAATGGTTTACAGTATGTAAAATGTTTTTCAGAAGTAAAAAGAACTTTTTGTATACAAAATTGTTTTTTTGTTAGCATTTTCATTAATATTTCCTGTGCTTTGCCAGTTTTTGTCAATTGCTGTGCTATGGGGAATGTTGTTTAAACTGAGCTTGATAAAATCGGGTCATTTTTGTGGTCACCAGTGAAGAATATTTAAGTGTTCTTTCTAGGTCCTGGTTACATTCAGCCTTGTTCTTACTGAAAATGGTGTGGCACTTACGAGTAGAAACTCTTTCTGATATGTGGAGATATTCAACAAATGCCTATTTATAATCATGATTATTATTTACCTTAGAAGTTTTTAGCCTGAGGACCATGGAGAGGGCTTCAGGGAATCATAGGTTGGGAGTGGTGTGTGAAAAATTATGTCACTGTGTTTTTTTTTGAATTCATCATTTTCATCATTCATTCAGTTATTCATTGAATTATCCATTTCACCATTCATTCAAGTATCTAAAAAGAAAACTGGACCCTAAGAAAGTTTTAAAACATCCCTATTCTTAAAACCTTGTCATCTGCATTTATTTAACCACTTAACTTAAATACCAGACCTCTTAGATGCCTATTTTTACCATAATTTCTGTTCCTATTCTTCTGTCAATTTCCTATGTCTAACTCTAAGCATTTTTTTGCTTGCTATTTTTAAGCAATGATGACATGGACTTTTTTTTTAATTAACATCGTGATTGCTTATTCTTTAGTTGCATAAATGGCCATATTTTAAAGACAGAGAGAGACTAAAATTTGGAGACTTTAAGGCTCTGGGATGATTGGCTGCTATGAACTTACTATTTGAAACCTGTTAGTTCAGTGATGCATGTACTATACTGTAATAATCTAAAATATGGTCCTAGAGTTCTGTCTTCCTTCCTAACAGTAAAACAGGAATTCCTAAGTTTTATTTCTCTTCATTATCACCTGGGCCATCACCTCCATCTCCAAATATTACCAGCTCTAGATGCGCTCAGTTAAAACCCTGCTACCATGTCACTCTGGAATAGACTAGTTACTGCTGAAGAAACGGAAGCAGAAAATCAGTGCCAGGGGCTGTCTGTCCTTTAATCTCCCAAACTGTTTTCACTTTGCCTCATCCCCTCCAAAGATGAGTCACAGCAACCTGCCTTTCTTATAATTGTCTAACAGAGATAATGAGTTTACTTCATAAACAACAACAACAACAACAAAACAAGAGAGTATGAAAGAAGGGTATAAAATATTCTATACATTTTAAGGATAAAACTTAGTAGTTTGTTTTGAATCAGTCTTTCATAATTCTAAGAAGACAGTATCATGTAGTAAACAACCCATGCTGTGGAATCTTTCTACCTTAGACCTGCCACTGGTTAGCTGTTTCATTTTTACAATTCAGGATAAAATGGAATAATCGTGGACCTACAGGCTAGGGTTAGAGCAGGCAAAGTTTTTAACAAACTGCAAGTCCTCAATAAATGTTTGTTTATTGGTAACAGAACCATCTTTTGTTGTCTCCCAGTTTTAATGACATATCTAGGAACAACCGCATTTTATTTAAAGTAAAACGACCACTTCTATTTACAGTAAAACATCTAAAAATGTAACTAGTTCAAAGAATCATGTAATATCTAATTTGAGGTAGTTCTCATTCCTTTCTGCCTGACTAATACTAGACCACTGAATATTCCAAACCTCTTAAGATTTTATTCCCTTATACTACAAGTCAATTAAAGTGCTATTACTGTCATTTATGTGTTTAATGGTTTTCAACCCATAAATGTAAAATGGTTTATCTTTAATTTTTGTTATGTCCTGCCAGTTTCTTGTAGGTTATGCCTATGGGCAATAAGCAAACGGAACCTGATAAAATTTGCTTATAATGTAGAACATTTCAGGTTACCAAACAAAGCTCACTTTGTTTACTAATTTTAATTTCTATTATAAATGTAGCACATCTTTATTTCATGTGGTATTTAGAAATACTAAAAGATATTTTAATCATAGAAGAAGAAAAAAATGCTCACATCCCTACACCTCAAAGATCTCTACTTATATTTTGGGTGACTTCCTTCCATGATGATTTCTACAAACTTAAGACTACGATCTTCCAATAAATGCCACTTTGAATATGTTCACTTTAACAAGTTTCTCAAAGACTTTCTTTTGTCTTTTAATCCTTTGTAGTCCCTCCCTGTGTTGGCTTGGGGCACTATATAGGGAGTGCTCTGTTTAAAAGCAGAACAAATGAAGATGCAAACACACAAATGTAAAGAATGCACCCCCAATTAAAGAGGAGCCTACCATTCTGTGCAGCATAGTATGCAAGCTTGCTTCCCAGTTTCTCCCCAAATGTTAGCTTAGGGGAAAGGTAGGGATCATGCGGAAATGAACTCTGGTAGGAATTAGTGGGTGCCTATGTGAGTTATGCGGCATTTTTGGCAGATGTAAGTACTTTTAGAAATAATTTAAAATATATTTATCCTTTGTATGATATAGCAGATATTTAAACAGCTCATTCACAGATGCTGCTGGTGAAGGTTATACTATCATCATGGGTGGATTTAGGTTTTGTGGAGCCAGAAACTTGTATAATTTTGCAGATTACATTTTAGAGAAGTGAATAGAACTATATATATGTTATATATATACTATATATAAAATCTATAATATATATACTATATATACTATATATTGTATACTATATACTATATATAGTATATACAGTATATATACTATATATAAAATATATATAGTATATACAGTATATATACTATATATAAAATATATATAGTATATACAGTATATATACTATATATAAAATATATATAGTACATACTATATATAAAATATATATAGTACATACTATATATAAAATATATATAGTATATACTATATATAAAATATATATAAAATATATATAGTATATATACTATATATAAAATATATATAGTATATATACTATATATATAAAATATATATAGTATATATACTATATGTAAAATATATATATAGTATATATACTATATGTAAAATATATATATAGTATATATACTATATGTAAAATATATATAGTATATATACTATATGTAAAATATATATAGTATATATACTGTATATATACTATATATAAAATATATATAGTATATATACAGTGTATATACTATATATAAAATATATATAGTATATACAGTGTATATACTATATATAAAATATATAGTATATACACTGTATATACTATATGTAAAATATATAGACACAAAATATATATATATATAAGTAGTTACAATGGTGAATATTTCTTTAGTCTGAGAAAAAAATTGTAAAAATTACAAATTTGATAAAGCCGACAGATATCACTAACATCAAAAAATCCGGAAGAAAGGTAATCTTTTTAAAGAAACTGTCCAACATATTTCTTTCTTTCTTTTTTTTTTTTTTTAATACTTTAAGTTCTGGGATACATGTGCAGAATGTGCAGGTTTGTTGCATAGCTATACACGTACCATGATGGTTTGCTGCACCCATCAACCCATCATCTACATTAGGTATTTCTCCTAATGCTATCGCTCCCATAGTTCCCCACCCCCAATAGGCCCTGGTGCGTGATGTTCCCCTCCCTGTGTCCATATGTTCTCATTGTTCAACTCCCACATACCAGTGAGAACATGTGGTGTTTGGTTTTCTGTTCCTGTGTTAGTTTGCTGAGAATGATGGTTTCCAGCTTCATCCATGTCCCTGCAAAGGACATGAACCTATCTTTTTTATGGCTGCATTGTATTTCATGGTGTTATATGTGCCACATTTTCTTTATCCAACATATTTCTAAGTTTTTTCTATATTTGTTGGCTCTTATACTTTAATCGCTTCTTTGCTTATCAATGATTTTGAAATATCATTTTTGTAGAGAGAATAAAAAGTTAACTCAGTTTTTCTTCTATCATTGTTCAGATTTTGATTTTTATTATTGATAATTGAGATGCATAAAACATGTGCATATAGTCATCATCATTTGTTTGTAGTGCTGCTGTTGGTTTGTTCCTTACAAACAGGAATTCTGATGAATTCAGTCTCATACATTTCTCATAAAAATCAATACAGTGTGTTTAAATTTTGTTATTTGTTCATTATGATGTTGAATTATCAAATATATTTCTGACAAGGGTAAATTTCCATTTTGACTAAGTATTGATGAGAACCAGTTCCCTCACCTACAGTTTTAAAGTAAGGATTGGAAGACTTGTCCACAGCCCAGATTCTGGCTTCATAGGCTTCAAACCCTGTTTCTCCTCCACTGCTCATACACTTCCAGGCTGGGCACTGTGTACTGTTTCTCTCTTTGATCCTCCTAGTGTTGTTAATATCCTTCTCCTGGTCTTCTTCAACCTATTGTATTTTACAAAGGTAATTTTTGAATTAAGATGAGATATTGCCAAGGAGAAGGCCTAATAATGGGCAAGAACAACAATAATAATATTAGCTAGTGTCAAGTGCTACATTTCAAGCATGTGCCAAGCATGTACCATCTAATTATTGCCATGAACCAATTCTAATTTTGTAAATGAGAAAACTGAACTTGTCGGGCTTTCTATTCAGACTCAAAGCCAAACTACTACAAACCACTTTTCAGCAGTTTACACTTGGTGTGGGGTGGTTCAAACCCAAACATGCCCTTCTATTTTACTTACACAAATTATTATATTTTCTAATTATAACTTTTTATATCTTTGGATTTTATTAATTTATTCTAGTCCTTTCAACAGGAGATTATTTTACAACTAACTTATCTGTAAAACCAAAAATACTTAAGTCAAAGGTCATTATTAGAATAAAGCTTAATATTTCAGTAACTGTATGCAATAATGTATTATAATAAAAAATCAAAACAATAAAAAATAAAATGAACAGTCCTTTTGAGTTTGAAATATAGAATTTAACTTATTTCATCAGTATTTTTATTGAAGTTGCTTTCTAATCTTTGTGAATGAGCATAAAATATTATTTTTACTCATCTTTATTATACAGGTTCAGAAGTGTGTGAATTTGCTTTCAAGCAAATCTACAGTCAAAATCTATCCAGTTACTTCCTTTCTTCACTGTTGGATAAAAAGTTTGTGCATATGCACTTTCTCCCTATGTATACATATATATATATATATTTTACATATAATATAATATAGTATAATATAAATATGTTGCAGAGGGGAGCCTCTCCTGCTTTTAACTCCTGATGTTCAGTTGGCACCTTACTTAAACTTATTATGACTTAATTTCCATGAGTTGTCTCTGTTTAGGCCTACTTTTTTATCCTTGTTATAAGCTACTTTTATCACAAATACAGAAAAAAATTAACAAGTACCCATCCTGAGGATGGCCTCTATATACTGGGACCATAGCACTTTGTATTTGTGTTACTTGCTTGTTCTCCAAAGGATTATTATCTAATCAAATAAATTTATCTAATTTTAAATCTTTACTAGATGTGATTGCTTGGACTTGAATCCCTGTTCCACCACATACTAACCATGTTACCTATGGCAAGTGATGTAACCTTTTTGTGCTCAGTTTCCTCATCTGTCTAACAGGGATAACACATAGTACTGACTTGCTGGATTGTTGGGTAGTTTGCATGTCTTAATATATGTAAAATACTTGGAATAATGAATGTTACACAGTAAACTCTTAATAAATATTAGCTGTTATTTTTAACAGCAAGCCGACTATGTCACTGTTGGGAATGAATGATTTGAGATGCCTCAGGATTGGTTCTCTGACTACAGCTGTTTCTACTACTACCAGCCATAGTGTCTGAAATATTATCAAAGATTAGTCAGGAACCTCTAAGAAATGCAGATGCTACTCAGAGGACTGATAAATCAGAATTTCTCTATGTTTTTTAGAATGTTAATAAATGGAAAAAATATATAATATAATAAAGCAATGGCCTGTGGCCACATATGTTTGGGAGTACATTTGTTTAAGCAATCAGGTTTCTAGTATAGTAGGATTCTCCAGCTCTTTTGAGATGCAAATGTAATAGCAAATCTCTGAGCAGAGATGAAGTATGTAGCGTGGATCCAGGGGCAGTTTTCATACCCCTACCCCTACTGCTGCATTTTTTAGAAAACATTCTTCTTGTTTAGTGTTCTTTGAGATAGACTCCGATACATCCCTTCAGAGATCATCAACTAAAAACCTAGTAGAATGGTATTTGGCTATTTGACACAAGTAAATAGTTAGAACCAAGATAGTGGTTTTAGGTTGTAGGAGAGATGCTTTGAAGGAAGTGGTGGGCAGGTACCAAAGCCCAGGGAACCTGCCCAATTTGTAGGACTGTGTGGTTCAGACCAGCCATACTGCAGAATCCCTGATGCACGAAATCAGCTCAAGACTGCCTGTGTATTATGAGAGCTGTAGTGACCCAGTCCAGTACTGAATTTGATTTACTAAGAAACTTAAGTTGAAAGATGGAGACTGGTTGTTGAAGCAGTTTCAAAAGAAGGGTCGACCTTGCTGATAGATTCATGTTCTAACTCAACTGCTCCCAACCAGACAATGGCATTTCAAGCATACAATTATATCTAGAAGCAATTTGAAACATAAGTCACCTGAGTTCTGGCTTGTACTTTTTTGAGGTAATTGGGCCAGTTTTGTTTATAAGAAAGAAAAAGATCTGTTTTATGAAAGCAATACCCTAAATATGTTCTTTGACTAGTATACATATCCCAACTATACTTATTATATTTTATATTATATTATGTTAATAATAAAAATAAATTATAAACTTATACGTATTATAACATGTCTATTGCTATAGATAACACATTTTGTGAAGTGTAGAGCTGGTCAATACTTTCTAGTAAAGCATAAGCTTTTATTTTTGTATTCAGATTCTGTTTTTATAAATGTGACTTCCTGTAAAGGGAAAGGAACATGCAAACTTTTATTATTGTTGTTGTTGTTGTTATTGTTTGAAACTGGGTCTCACTCAGGCTGGAGTGCATGGAGTGCAGTGGCAGGATCACAGCTCATTGTAGCCTTGACCTCCTGTGCTCAAGCATCCTCCCACCTAAGTCTCCTGAGTAGCTTGGATTACAGGTGTCCACCACCATGTTTGGCTAATTTTTTATAGAGAAGGGGGTCTCATTATGTTGCTTTGGTTGCTCTTAAACTCGTGGGCTCAAGCAATCCTCAAATTTTGGCCTTTCAAAGTGTTGGAATTACAGGCGTGAGCCACTGTGCCTGGCCTCCAAACTTTAAAGCTATTGTTTAACAATTTAAAATCTCCAATAATGCTTCATTTATATATGAATATAATGGGTCAATCATATTTCCTTTAACGTATATAATTTATGAAAAATCTTGTCAGAGATATATTGGGTTTTGGTTTTGGTTTCATTACTTTGAAAGTTTGGAATCAGTAAGTGTAACAAACTTTTTTCCCCTTAGTGTCAGTCTATTTCTGTGTCTGTAGTTACAAATTTTGGATCTGAAAAATGTTCAATTTACGTCATGAAATGGAGCTGGCCTTCTTTCTAAATATGTTGGCGCTGGGCCAGGGCTAGCTTTTCCACTAGTGCTTCCATGCCTATCTTTTAAAATGTAGATTTTATGTATTTTCTTTTGATTGGTGATCAGTCTATTATACTCATGGTTTGCTTCCATTTTGGAATCTTCTAGTAAGAAATGACCTCAGACATTATTGAGAAATTTGTGTCATTCTTTTCTCATTATCAACTTTTTTTCCCCTGACATTTGTTCTGAGTAGCTCAGGTGCACTTTATCCAGGCAGTCAGTTTGTGCTGAATGTTATTTGACCTTCAGGAATCTAAGATTCAGCCAGGATTGGGCCAGACTTGATCTTCTCCTGTTTTAGATACCTGGCCAACTTCTCTGGCCAGCATTAGGCTTTGACATTCCCAAAGGCCTGTAGATGATTTCATGAAAGGGTATGCTATCCTTTTACTTGTCTGCAGTCTGTTTCAACAGTGAAAATAATAGAAACTGTAGGTTAGTGTTAAGGATATTCTTATCTGTTGCAAATTTCTCTTCTCTTCTCTTCTCTTCTCTTCTCTTCTCTTCTCTTCTCTTCTTTTTGCCTGCCTGCCTGCCTGCCTTCCTTCCTTCCTTCCTTCCTTCCCTGCTCTCCTCCTCCTCCTCCTCTTTCTATTGCTCCCATTTATTCCTGTTTTGGGGGTAGTGATGTGTGGAATCATTGGTATGCTGTTTTTGTATATTTGGTTTCTCCTCTTGGTACTCTCTTGAAGGCCTTTCTAGCAAGACAGGTGTGAGAGATGCTCGGGGTGGCACAAGGCACCCGGCTGGAAATGGACTTGCAATTTTGATTGAGAGAAGCTTCATGGAGTCTACACTTTTGCAGTAGTAGGACATTTGCCACAGATTTTAGTTTGCCATGGAGTTTCTTAGATGGTGTAATCATGACAATTCTTATGTTTATTAGTGGTGTTGGCATCAGTGAAAGCCTCAGAAAAGATTCTGTAAGACAAAGTAAAAACTACCTCTACACAGGCATGGTAAAATACCAGATTGTGAAAGAGCAAAGAATGATAATTTGGGAATGGTCATATAATGGATTAAACATAGGTTTTTGTCACTTGGATGCCTCTTACACAGCCACAATAAGCAAGTCTTACCTGAGAAACACTGGAATGTCTGTTTTCTAGCAGAGGGGTGCCTTGCATGCTCTTCCATGGTGCCAGAGCCTGGCCATGTGGCTCCTGGAGCATACTTATGACCACGAAGGCAATTGTACCGTTCAGTGCATCTGTGAAATGAAAAAAAATGTGGTTTCAAGCAGGGGTTGTATGAGGAAAGGTGTTCTATCAGTTTTGTCCACCTCTTTTTCAAACTAAACAGTGTACCATAACCTTTGAGACAGGCCTGGAGGGAATTATGGGCACCAAGATTATTAGTGTCATATTTCAAAGAATGTACTGAGGGCCTAAGAAGTTATGTTTGGCACTGTTCTAGGTGGTAGGACAGCATGGCAAAGATGTTAGATGAGGCTTCCAGGGAGAGATAGGTGGAAAACCAATATACACACAGGAAAACTGTGGGATTAGGAGAAGTCTTAATGTTATGCAGATAAATAAGTTTAGTGTTACATGACAAGAAGTGACTAAGGCATTCTTAGAATGGGTGGTGAGGAAGACATGCTATTTAGATTGAAACTGAAAAAAAAGAAAGTGCCAGATGTGGAGAAACTAAGGGGCAAAACATTTCTGGCAGAGAGGACGAGTAAGAAAGTGAGTGAGCAATGGAGTGGGCATTAAAAGACAAAACAGATGGGAAGAAGCCAGTCTTGTATGGCTGTGTAAGCCAGAGTAAAACATTTAACTGCAGGTATAATAGGGGCCAGGAAGGATTTTAAGCAGAAGGATAATATGGTATGATTTGCCTTTTTGAAAATGTTCATCTTGCTGTGTAAAGAATGGAATAGAGGATGGGCAGGAGTCTGTCTAGGAGGCTCTTACTGTTGTTCAGGTGAGGTGTGATGGTGGCTTGGACTACAATAGTAATAAGAAAGCTGGAAGGAGGTAATGGATGTTGTGGAGGTAGATTGACAGGACTGGTTGGGGAATGCCATATGTATGGTGAAAGGAAGAGAGAAGACAATGATAATGCCTGGATTTGAGATGTGAGGAATAGTACTGATGGGTCATTTCCTGAGATGGGGACCACTAGGGGAGCAGTGGGCATCCATAGCAAACTCAAGAGTTTTGGCCGTGGAGAGTTTGAGATGTCTGTTAGATGTCCCAGGGAGATGTCAAGTGGGAAGATGGGGTTAGGGCTGGAGGTACAGATTTAGGTGTTAAAAACAGTCAGAAGATGCTCTTTACAACCATGGGACTCGGTGGGAACACTTAAGTAAAGTAAATTGTCTGAAAAGTGAAGGAGGCCCAGAGCACAGTCTTCACACACTCCTGCTTTTATGACAAGTGCAGAGAAAGAGTCAGTAAGCTGGGGGAAAATAAGGAGAGTATGATTTTCTAGAAGCCAGTGGAAAATAGCATTTCAAGAGTGAGACAAAGGTAGATATTGTGGGGTTGGAAGCTTAGTCAATGTGGAGGTCCTTTTAAAGAAAAATAATACAGGATTATTAATACAAACTTAGGTACTAATTTGACTGGAATGAGAAAATAATGGTAAAAATTATAAAATTTTAAAGAGTTAAAATGCCATAAATGAACAAAATTCAGAAAAATCTTATTAATTAAACACCAATGCACTTCTATAATACTTTTTTTTCTTTTTTAGGGAGTAGAAAAGGGGAGGAGGCTTACTTTTGGATTGCTTCTTCATATTACAAGAATTTTATAATGTCATCTTCTGCAGGGATATCAGAAAAATAATTCAGTATTTAGCATAGCTGGTTGAAATTATATTTTTATTATTGAAAAGTTTAGAACAGTTTCTTTTGGTATTACAGCCTATTATTGATAATGCCATATAAATTTTTAGGATTGTTGCCAAAATGTGGAAACTTACATCAAGTTTCTCTCATATATGAGCTTTGTGATTTCAGGACATGCCAAGTTTTCATGCAGAGTGACTAATCTTAAGTAATCTTAAAGAATAACTTATAAACCAGTTTGTTACCGATGCTTTGGTGTTAAGAGCCTGGAAGGCATTTCTACACTGGAAATAATTAGCAATAACTGAATTATGTAAGAAAATTACTCTGAATCACAGAAATTACATCGTACTGAATCCGAAGTGAATATAATTCCAAACTCACTGCCTACTTATATAGATCTTAAAGATGCTTGCTCGCTTCCCAGCATAAAGGCAAATGTGATAGAGGGGAGGTCGAGCAGTATCCACCAATTGATGAAAATATACGTGATTTTGGCAAACTTAAAAATAAAATGTCTTATGGAAACATTGTTGGGGCCCCTCTCTGAGCCTTAGTTTGGCCTTTGTAAATAAGGGGCCCTGAACCTTAAACTGAGTTAGCTTCGTTTGGAAGGAGAGAGTAATAAAGTGCATACAGGACAGGTGAGTGATCAAGTGAGATAAAAACAGAGAGGTCCCCTTTGGGTTTATACTTTAAAAATATCTACTCAGTATAAAAAAAGTGTCTGAAGTCATTAGTGAAAAGTTTTGTGTAAGTAGCATTATGATGTGCCTGGCAGGGAGAATGTTGGTGCAGTCTCCAGGTTAGCAAAAATAAGTGGTTACATTTTTAGATATGAGCCACATGGGGTGGCTTTCTATTTTCCCCTCAGAAACAAAGGAAAAATATGAATTTTATCTGATGGTTTCTGCATTTGGGTCACCGGTTTTGCCTTTTAGAGCCAACTGTGCTTCTTTATGTTTAGTAATCTACTGCAAAATGTGTAGATGAAGAAGATGCAGATGTTGAAGATGGAGTGTGGGGCAATGAAAGATCTTCTCTATTAATCTTAGGTCATTTTCTCACATCTCAAAGCCTCACTTGTTTTTGAATACAAGAAAATCTTAAGTAATTTTTACATCTACATTTTGTTAAATGTATTTTCCAATGTGGCATTATGGAGAAAATCCTGACTCAAATTTTGTTGTAATTGAACATAAAATTAATAACTTTACTTGCAGTTTACTGACATTCTGTTCAGAGAGTGAAATAAATTCAGGCTGAGATCATAGTATTTGTTTAAATAATTATCAATATTAGCTGCATGAAAAGAGGTCAGAATGGAAATTAGAAGGTAAGATTTGGAAGAGAGGAGGTAAGGATTGGAAATAATGGGTTCCTCCCATGATATTGATGGCAGCTTCTTTAATTGCTCCTTTTGCTTGTTCATGCTGGCAGTTAGAATAACAGCAAAGAAAGACATAAGGGATTTTCAGATATTGGTATTTATTTAGTAAATGCTGGCTGAGGCTAGAGCCCTTGTATAATCTGCAATCTGTTCTTCTACTTAGAGCAACCGTAAGAACAGTTGCCTATTGATAGGAGTGGAACTGGGATTGAATATGAGGAAAATGACACTAATGTTTATAATTGCTTTAGATAGCTCTGAATTATCTTTATTGTATTTACTGTATTGTCTGATTCAAGAAAAGACTGTTTAACCTATTAAGATCATTTTGTTGTTTCTTTTCTTTCCATGTAAAAATATCAATTTTAGGTTTTAAATTTGAGTTGGCAGACTTGTTAAGGAGGATGAGGGAGGAGGTTATGGGCAAGTTTCCTACATGCATGATTCAGCCAAACTAGAGAAGGGATAGAAAAAAATCTTAGATTCACTAGTTCAACCTTCTATCCAAAGAGTATATTCTCTGGAAATGATGATTCTGCTTGTATGTGAATTGTCTAATGACTGCTCTCTCATGAGTTTGCACTGAGCATATTGTTAGAGAGCTATAGTTTGTAAGGCCTCATATTAAATTAATCAGGGATCTTCTCTTTCACATGGTATTTGAAGACTTTCACATATTTGAAGACTTCATCATAGCCTTCCCCTGTGTAGGTTAAACATCCTCCGTTTTTTATTGGTTTTCCATGTGAAATAGTGTCTGGATCATACACCAGTGTGATCGCTGTTTTCTTGGTGAGAGTTGCTCACCTTCCTTCCTGGAAGAAGCCTGAATTTGTTCATTGTTCTCACCTCATTGTTCTGATTTGAGGAAATGATCTCTCCTGCCGAGTTCAGGGGCAAATCATGATTAGAATGATCCAGTCCTATTGAGGTCTCATTCTCCTTGTTAAGGATTGGTTTAAGCATGATTATGTGACCCAATCCTGGCAGTGAGATCTGAGGGGAACTTGACCAGAAGATGTTTGCAAGACTTTTTCCCAAATAAAAAGATACATTGAGGAAATGCCTTTTTCCATTTTTGGGGATGTGGAACTGTCAGAAGTTGACACCTATAGAACTGCTACAGTTAGCTTGAAAACATTAGGGGAGAGATTGCTGGAGTACAGGGATGCAAGGTAGGACAATTGAAAGTCCTGGGGCCCTTGAGGTCAAGTTGAGCAACTGAGTCAATGAGGGAGCCCTCCTTTCACATATCTTCTTGTATGGGAGATGATTAATCCTTTCCAGTTTCCATTTCTTTTAGTTTGCTCTTCTGTTACTTGCAGCTCAAAGCATCCTGGCTACTATGTACTCAATCCCTTGTAGTTTATTTCAGTTCACCTGTGACTTCTGTTAATCAATGATGCCTTTAGTATTGTTTTTAGAATCTTCTCTTCGAATTATTATATTTAACTGATATCATTCTTTAATGATTCATAAACACAAGCAAAAGCATTTGCCATGATTGACATGAAAATCAAATTGTCTTCTAAAATTTTATGCTGGAATTAAGGTGACAGCACTTGGTGTTTTTCTGTGGTGGGTTTAACACTGAATTGGGCTGATTTGGGCCTATGATTCTTTAAGTGAAGCTCCTCCACCCTATGTACATATACATTTGTTTAGCTAATACTTTGCTACAGCTTCATGTTGCTAATAAAAGTAAGATTTTATCATTTTGTTTTTGTTCACTATGTTTCCCCTTTCAAACTTTCAAAATAAGGGCATTAAAAGTTCCTTCTATTTTACTCTTACAGAACTGTTTTTCCTATAGTACTCATTATTAAGGACAGTGTACTTAAGTGATGTTTTGAAGCATGTGGAGAAACTTTGCCATAGATTATTTGAACATATTGGTGGCTGAGGTAAAGTATGTTCAGTTCCTGGCTTTAGACTCAGGAGAAGAGTTTTCTCTCCCAGTTTTGCCTTTCTCTGTATCCTCTCAGATTTATGCTTATAAACATGAGCAAGTATTTATTTCATGTGTTCTTTTTATATACAAAGTAGATCCCTGTGTCATTTCAGCTACAAAATATTTTAATAGCTTTATTGAGTTGTGATTCACATACCATACAATTCACCTATTTAAAATGCAGTGGTTTCTAGTGCATTTGGGGTGTGCAGTTGTCAACAAAATCAATTTTAAAGCATTTTCATTATCTCAAAAATAAACCACGTGCCCATTAGCAGTCAGTCTCCATTTCCTCTCATTTCTTTCCCTCTCCTTTCAGAAACCACTGATCTATTTTCTGTCTCTGTGGATTTGCCTACACTAGACAATTTGTATAAATAGATGCGTACAATATGTGGGTTTTGCTACTGGTTTCTTCCATTTAGCATGTTTTCAAGGTTCATCCATGTCGTAGCATGCATCAGTTCTTCGTTTCCTTTCATTGCAGAATTGTGTGCCATTGTATGGCTATACCATATTTTATTTACCCATTCTTCAGTTGACAGACAATGGCTTGTTTCCACTTTCTGGCAATTATGAATTATCTCATATTGTAATCTGAATTCATCTCTTGTCATCTTTCAGTTTTCCTTATAACTTGCAATGTCAAATACGTAGCCTATGCTATTTTCCTCTGATTTTATCTAGCATTTAAGTATGACATTTCTATGTGTAAGACTTTGTTTACTGACCACTTAATTGCCTAAAATGTGTTTATAGCTTCACACAGAAAAGGAATGAAAGAGAGAAAGAAAACTCAGCACACATTCAAACAAAAATGTACATACACATAAATCCCTGGATTTAAAAAGTTAGAGAAATTCACATGTGAATACATTATTTTTAACACAGGCAGTAATTGTAAACCTGGGTTTAGACTTAAATTGGAAAAGAGTATCCTGAGGTGTTTAATGTTTATCCTTAAATGTCCAGGATAAGACCATGATGACAGCTACCAACCTGTTTTTTATGATCTTGGAAAGACATGAGAGGAATAAATTTTTATCATGCGTCATTTGCTGGGATTTTTGTGACTCTTTTACCTCCCCATTTAGATTTTGGTGAGGGTAGCAGTGAATTCTTTTATGATTTGTTTTTCTAGGAATAGGAGAAGGAACTGTCTGTGCATTTTTATGTTTGTATTTTGTTCCTCAGAAGGGAAGTGCTTAGAAGCACTGGCTGCATTTGTGCACAGACACACACATAATAGCTGTGCAGCCTGCTGCCTCTTTCCTGGTGCCATTATAGTCCATATTTGAGCTGATTTTTAAGTTCCCTGCAGCATATGATGATAAAAACAATGGCTATTCACTATGGTGATTACTTGTCTGTTTATTTTGGCCCCATAAATATATGACTTTGTCTGCAGGGAGAAAGACTGTGAGGACCTTGGATAACCATTCTGCAACCCAACCCATTAGTCTTGAATGGGTTGGAACTAGTGACCCATAGAACACACTTCAATGACCACAGATGATCACCAAAATGACCAGTATTACTCTTTTCTACTGCCAGGATTTTGAGGAATAATTAACCTAATAATAGTAAAAACATGAAAAAGGAGTGGTTCAAATGGGAATGCAAATGAGGTTTCTTGTACCATTTTTTTTTTTTCCATTCGAACGTTTTTGGGATTTCAGATTTCCCTAAAGGAAATATTACCTTTTAAAATTACATTAATTTATTTTAATACAGATTGTGCTGGATTACCTAGATGAACTAACTGTGAACAAGTATTAAACTACTTTATCTTTTGTAGGAAATTAATTTGTCAAACATTTTTGAGAATCTAGCCATTGTTAGGGAATGTGCTGAATAAGATACAGAGGTGACTCTCAATCAGGTAATTGTCTAGGTGCAGATAAAGACATTTTTAACACTAGAGGGTAAGCTTTATGGTGGTAGGGATTCAAACTGTTTTTACTAAACAGTATATACAACTCCTAGCACAGTGCTTAACAGGTGGTAGGCTCTCAATATGTATTTTTTAAATGAATGAACGCATAATTATAACATGATATAATTATTACATGTTGTACCATGTAATGGAAGTTTGAGGGACACAGATGAAACTGACTTTGTCCTGGTGATGGGGTAGTTTTACATATACATGTCTTTTGATGAGATTGTGGTGACTGAGTAGGATTTCACTGGGCAGATATGGGCAGGGAACTAAATTATGAAAATTACTTCCCATGTTTCAGTCGCCAAGAAGGATAAGTTATTTGACACATTAACTGAGCAAGGTAGTATCATTACTCCATTGCATCATTGTTGTAGTGTAATAATAGAATATATTATAAACCTTTTATCGTTGTAGTATTACTATTATTATACAAAAGGGAAAGCTGAGGTTTGGAGTCATTGAGTGACTAATCCAAGGTTAAAGAATTTTCGGGGGTGAGTCAAAGTTTTGAACTCAAGGATATCTGTCACCCCTTTCTACATGAAAGACAAGTAACTTCCCAGAGATTAATTTCAGGATGGAAAAACAGAAAGCTGCCTCTGTCTTGCTGCTAATTAAAATGCATTGGTAAGCTTTTTCATGTAATGCGCCCTTTGGCACTCTGGGTGCTCCCATTCGGAGCAATCCCTCTGGGCAATCTCTCTCAGGTGTTCCTTATCTGGATAATCTCTTGATATAGTTTGGATATTTGTCCCCTTCACATCTCATGTTGAAATGTGATTGCCAGTGATGGAGTTGCGGTCTGGTGGAAGGTGTTTGGGCCATGGAGGTGGACCCTTCTTGAATGGCTTGGTGCCATTGTAGCAGTAATGAGTGAGATCTGGTCGTTTAAAAGAGCCTGGCACCTTCCTCCTGCCTTGCTTTTTCTTGCTTTTTTCCTCTCTTGCTTCCTCCGTCTTGCCATGTGATGCCTCATCCACTTTATCTTCCATCATGATTAAAAGTTTCCTGAGGTTATTGCCAGAAGCAGATGACAAAGCTGTGCTTCTTGTATGGCCTGCAGAACTGCAGGACAAATAAACCTCTTTTCTTTATAAATTATTTAGTCCCAGGTATTCCTTTATTGCAATACAAAATGGACTAAGGCATCTCTCTTGTGTGCTCCTTTTCTGTGCTGTCTTTCAGAACTCTGTCATCACACCTGTGAGACACTCTAGCCACATGGAGAAGCAAGTCCTTGAGATATCCTAGCCCAGGTGCCAAACATGTGCATGAGAATCCACTAAATGTTCCTAGACCTCAGCCATTCAAGTCACTTCCAGCTCTTTAGATCTGTCCAGCTAGTCTTCAGACATTGTGGAGCAAAGAGAAGCCATCTGCATTGTGCCTCTCTGAAATCCTGACCCATAGAACCCAGAGAAAACATGATGGCTGGAGTTGCAGCAGTCATCTAGTGATCATGAAGGAAAGGCCTTGAGAATTGCCCTCGTGCCAGCCTCAACGTCATTAAGTTGTGGAACCGATATCAGTAGCCACTTACTGGACTTCTTGTCAAGGCTTCCCTTTTAATGTTAATATTGTTGGAGAGCACCAGCAGATGGTTCTGTGTGGGGAAAGGCTGTGAATATTTAAGCTGGTAGCAACAACATTGATGTGACTGATGAATAAACCAACACCAGCTCTGTTTAGCCTTTTCCCCATGACAAATGTGCAGCCTTGGAAGAGAAAGCCATGAGAACAGGAACAGGGCACTCCTAATCTGCAGGGGAATGTTGGCACATGGAATGAGTCTTTGGAGTAGACCAAGATTTCTTCAGTAGGACACAAAGAGCAGTAACCATGAAAACCATAGATAAACTAGACTTCAAAATTAAAACTGCTCATCTCAAGACAGCATTGCAATAATGAACAGACAAATAACAAATAACAAATTGAAATATTATAAAAAATATTCACAACACATACATGACAAACAACTTGTATCCCAGATATGTAAAGAAAGCCTATAAATCATCAGTGAAAAGACAATCCAATTTTTTAAAATGTGCACAAGAATTGAACTGACATCTCACAAAAGAAGATGTACAAATGTTGAAAAATACATAAAATATATAGTGTGTTCATATAATGAAATATTACTCAGCAATAAAAAGAAGAAACTACTGATTCATGCAACAATATGGGTGAATCTCAAAAGCATTATGCTGAATAAAAAAGCCAGATTTAAAAAGTCTGCATATATGATGATTTGATTGATATGCAGTCCAAGAACAGAAAAAACAATCTATGATGTTAGAAATCAGGAAGTGGTTGCCTGGGGAAGGGAGAAAGAAACTGACTGGAGAAAGGCATGAAAACTTTTTGAGACTCACAGATATGTCCTATATTTTGATCTCACTGCTGGCTACACAGGTATTTGCAATTGTGAATACTCATTGTATTGAGTAACTAAGATCTGTGCATCATTGTATCTTATGTTAATTTTAATTAGATAAAAAATGACATACACAAAAGTAATAGTAATTTTTCTCATTATAATTCTTGTAATAAAAAAAGTGAAAATCCAAATTGAATAGGTGTATTTCACTCCCACGGGACTTATTGAAATTATTTTGATTATGGATGGACAAAATTCATGCAGGGAGAAATTTCAGTTTTCTTGAATTGTTCTTTTTGTATAAAGTTCTCAGCTGCACTGTGCTGTATCTTCACTGGAAGAAGGAAAAGTGTGTTCAAAGTCATGTGAGAATATAAGCTCTCAAGGAGGTTGCTGTGCCTGTTACGAAAAGTGTGATTGCATATCTGCTTTGGGCCAGGTGCTGAAGCCACTCTAGGCCTACTTGTTGAAGAATGAACTGGCAAGAGATGAAGTGGTTTTGGGCTGAGTGAACATCATATGCATTGCTAAAAAGTTCAGACTGCATTTTTTTAAGGAAAAACATATTCATGGAAGTTTTTAAACAAGGAAATGATTTTTTTCCCCTATGCAACAACTTTACTGGCTTTGTGGACAGTAAGCCAAAATTTAGAGAAACTAGTGGCAGGGATATTCATGTGTGGATGTGATGTTTTTGCTATTGAGCAATTTATCCACAATAAACATATCTTTTAGATACTAATATCTTAGTATACTTTGATGTGTGGATATAAAATGGAATTTAGACCTTCATGTCTACTGAATTTTGTTTGAAAAATACTATGAAACTCATCTTTCATTTGTCCACTTTGACACTTTTTTGTGTAATTAGTATTATATAATTGTCACCATTTTTTTAGGCAGTAACAAGTAACCTTTATCAAAATTGTGAAGTTTCAAATATTAGTGGTATTTTAAAGTATTTTGGTTTATTCCTATTTGAAGTAGAAAAGCTCTTAACTGATTTTCTGCATATATTTTGAAATTTTGCATTGGCATTATTAGATATAGTTCTTTAAAAAGTCATAAGTAACCATCTCAGTGAATTTGTAAACAATTGAGTGAAAAAAATACAAAAATAATTGGAGAAGGAAGCAACTTTTTTTTAGAAAATTATTGCCTTTGGAAATATATTTTAAAGTTTCAGCAAACACTTTTTAATAAAATGATTTATTTAAACAATATTACTATGCCACGGTAAGGCTTATACCAGTACCATAGCAACTGTAGGTACACATTTCATTTTGTGAGAAAGATGGCAAGAAAAATGTCTTGAGCTTGAAATGAATGTCTGTTGCCAATTCAATAATGTTAAATATCTCACATGAGGGAAAACCACTGGTTAGGGTGGTGATTTTTTTAAATAACATTTTAATCTAAATAATATGATTTTTTTCATTCATGTTTTAACAAAAATGAAACTTAGGAATTATTAAAACATTATACCAGTCACTGTTAGTTGTTCTATATGTTACATTTAAGAAATGCTTCATCTTAAAAAAAGGAAAAAAATAAGGAAACTGATGACTATTATTTGACTAAGGCCTTACTCATGCAATTTTATTTAAAAGGAAATAAAGGTGTTGGAGGGAAAACATGTGGCTTGGCACTTGAATGTCATAAAACAGAATTAATAAACTTTATTCTGTAAAGCTTTTTGAGAAAATAAGCTAATTCTCAGGAAGCTAAATACTTTTTTGTTGTTGCTCAAGGTAATTACTGTAAAAGTAAGATTTCAAACTGTATTTTGTGACTAAAAACTTAATGAAATGGCATGTACTGTTTTTAAAAATAAAAAATAAATGTATTTTAATGGCCACTTATTAAGTTACATTAGTTCAATCCTCAGTTCCCAAACTACCAAAAATTAAATATAACTTAATTTTGACTTTACCTAAAATAACATCAAACCTCTACTTTGAGTATGCTTGGGTATATGCTACTGAGAAGATTTCGTTGATTTCAAATTATTACGTTACTATTAAACACTGTAAAAAGTAAAATAGATACCTATGTAGCCAGTAATAGTGGATATATGTGAGTTAGGTCACCTTGTGATTGTGAAGGCACAGTAATAGTTAGTGGATGTTATGGTCTTAAGCAAGTTGATCTTTTTTGATGTCTTAGCACTGCCGTTCTCAAAATGTAGTGCAGAGAGGGCGACCAGTTGTCCTGGTTTGCCCTGAAACTCAGGGTTTCCTAGAACTTGAGACTAAAACTAGAGTAGTCCTAGGCAAACCAGAAGGTTGTTCATCCTGTGTCCTCAATACTCTTTCAAGAGGTCTGTAAAATCAAAACTATTTTCATAATAATACTACTTGTGTTTGTTTCACTCTCATACTCACTCAAGTGCACAGAGGAGTTTTCCAGAGGCTATGAGAGGTATGATAATATACACAACAGATTGAATTCAAAAGCAGCTAGGAGAACCCAACTGTCTTCTATTAAGTCAGACAGAAAGAGATTTATAAAAATGTAAAACAATGACATTCTTATCACTAATTTTTTTGGTTTAGAAAAACATAGTTATTTTACATAAACACATTCAGTTATTTTACCATGTAATGGACTAATTATTTTTGTTTTAAAAGGAATTAAATATTTCATAAAATTTTGTTTTAATTTCTAACATAACGTAACTGGAAATGTAGCCTACATGAACAAAAGCTCTTTAGGGCCCTTAATTATCTCAAATAGGACCAAAAAGGTTGAGAAACCCTGCTTTAGAATGTTTCTACCTGAAAGCAGGAAAGACATTTATAAACAATATAACTCAATGGATCTTTCAGCAGACTTTGTTTATGTGACCAGAAATCCTTCCTTATCTTCCTACTATTACCTCTGGATATAGTCGGGTTGCTTTCCCTGTGCCCTAATTTCTGCACACACAGAGTAAAGATGGGTTAAGTCAGTTTACTCTGGCTTAAAATCACTTTAAATCACAATAGCTAAAACCATGAGAACACAAAAGAAACAACAACAAAAAACATTTATGGGAACTCAAAACGACAGAAACAGTTTCATCAAGCTAAACTCATCTTTCCCATTTAATGGGAAAAAAATCTTATCGAGGGTGTTTTTGTTTTCCCAAAACTGCGTGTATTTTTTCCATTACTATTATTAGCATATTACCTATTGTTAATATTAATGAAAATAGACACACTACATGACTTCACCTAGCAGTTTTGAGATCAGAAAGAATTCTTGTTTACTTTATGGGTCTGAATTGTTGGTAGTGAAAATAATCAAAGCCACATGGCTTTGAAGAGCTGAGCCCATTCTATTATTGTTTCTGTTATCATCACCCTCTAGAAGATTGGTTCATAGTGCACCAACACAGAGGCTTGGCTGAAAGCTTTGGAACTGGGGAAAATTGTTGACAACACAACCCTCGCAAAGCATCTTCTGCATCGGTTTTTCAGTAAACACTTACTTGAGAGTGATGAACTGTGATAGAAATAGGACTATGATCATGCTATACAATTCCTAGTATCAACTAAGGAGGATACAGATCCATGGGCAAAATACTAGCTATCTGATAATCTTTGTGTTGCAATAAATTGGTACAGAGCCTTCTTTTATAGGCATTCAGTTACTTTGAAAATATTTTAGGATGTTGGTTGATAAATTTTCGATGTACGTGGTTCTAGCAGTGCAGATGCTTTTCATGCTGATCCCTATTGAAAAGATTTATTTTATGTCTGTGGAACAACACTGCATTTGTACTTCCTAAATATGTATTTTTTAAAAATGTTCATTTCCGTTGCAAGAGACCTGCCTTCCCTGAGAAGATTTGGTGATAACTGGTAATTTTTTGTGTGAAGTTTTACAGAATACTCACATCACAATTTGTAGTTCTACTTTTAACTATTGTCATGTTGAAGAATGTCCTGTGGAGTGAATAGTTTGAGCAAACTCAACATTTGATAAAGTTCACCCATTCATTCAACATTTCTCTACCACCTCTTTTTATTATTATTATTATATTTTAAGTTCTAGGGTACATGTGCACAACGTGCAGGTTTGTTACATATGTATACAAGTGCCATGTTGGTGTGCTGCACCCATTAACTCGTCATTTATGTTAGATATTTTTCCTAATGTTATCCCTCCCCACTCCCCCCACCCCACAACAGTCCTCGGTGTGTGATGTTCCCCACCCTGTGTCCAAGTGTTCTCATTGTTCAATTCCCACCTATGAGTGAGAACATGCGGTGTTTGGTTTTCTGTCCTTGCGATAGTTTGCTGAGAATGATGGTTCCTAGCTTTATCCATGTCCCTATAAAGGACATGAACTCATCCTTTTTTATGGCTGCATAGTATTCCATAGTGTATGTGTGCCACATTTTCTTAATCCAGTCTATCATTGATGGACATTTGGGTTGGTTCCAAGTCTTTGCTATTGTGAATAGTGCCGCAATAAACATACGTGTGCATGTGTCTTTATAGCAGCATGATTTATATTCCTTTGGGTATATACCCAGTAATGGGATGGCTGGGTCAAATGGTATTTCTAGTTCTAGATCCTTGAGGAATCGCCACACTGTCTTCCACAATGATTGAACAAGTTTACAGTCCCACCAACAGTGTAAAAGTGTTCCTATTTCTCCACATCCTCTCCAGCACCTGTTGTTTCCTGACTTTTTGATGATTGCCATTCTAACTGGCGTGAGATGGTATCTCATTATGGTTTTGATTTGCATTTCTCTGATGGCCAGTGATGATGAACATTTTTTTCATGTGTCTTTTGGCTGCATAAATATCTTCTTTTGAGAAGTGTCTGTTCATATCCTTTGCCCACTTTTTGATGCGGTTGTTTGATTTTTTTCTTGTAAATTTGTTTAAGTTCTTTGTAGATTCTTGGTATTAGCCCTTTGTCAGATGGGTAGATTGCAAAAATTTTCTCCCATTCTGTAGGTTGCCTGTTCACTCTGATGGTAGTTTCTTTTGTTGCGCAGAAGCTCTTTAGTTTAATTAGATCCCATTTGTCAATTTTGTCTTTTGTTGCCATTGCTTTTGGTGTTTTAGTCATGAATTCCTTGCCCATGCCTATGTCCTGAATGGTATTGCCTAGGTTTTCTTCAAGGGTTTTTATGGTTTTAGGTCTAACATTTAAGTCTCTAATCTATTTCGAATTAATTTTTGTATAGGTGTAAGGAAAGGATCCAGTTTCAGCTTTCTACATATGGCTAGCCAGTTTTCTCAGCACCATTTATTAAATAGGAAATCCTTTCCCCATTTCCTATTTTTATCAGGTTTGTCAAAGATCAGATGGTTGTAGATGTGTGGTATTAATTTTGAGGGCTCTGTTCTGTTCCATTTGTCTATATCTCTGTTTTACCACTGCTTATGTGCCATGTACTGTCTTACATCAGTCGACAGTCAATTAAAGGATTCAGAAGTAAGCATACAGTTTTAATACAGAGCTAATAAAACTATTCATAAGGTAGGCAGAAGGTGCAGAATTTGCTGTGGTTGAATTGAGAAATTTATTATTTTTTCAAAATGCAGGGTTTTTTAAAAAAATACATGTTCAGTGTAAAAATTCAGGAAATATAGTAAATAAATGCAACATCGGTTAACATTTCAATATACAGTTGGTCCTTCATTATTCATGGATTTTTTTTTCACATTTGCTTACTTGCTAAGATTTATTTGTAGCCCTAAAAATCAATATTTTGGGAGCTTTTGTGGTCAAACAGAGCAGCAAAAAATTTGAGTTGCCTAAAAAGGCACATATTCCCAGCTAAAATCAAACAAGGCAGTGATCTGCCTTTTTATATCAGCTTTCATACTGCAATCAAATGTCTTTTTTGAGGTCTGTTTAGTGCCACACATTTCACAGTTTTGTGCTTTTTGTTGGTGATCTGACCGGTTAAAATGGTTAGAAACTATGTCTTTGCTCAAGCATGAATTACAGTGCTATTGGCCATGAGGTCAAAGTTTATGCTGTTTAGAGGCTTAATTTGGGAAGAATCACTTTCAAGTTCGTTCAGGTTGGTGGCAAAATTGAATTTCCTTGTGGCTAATTGAGATCCACATTTTCTTGTTAGATGTCAGCTAGAAACCAATCTTTTCTCCTAGAGGCCACACTCAGATCTTTAACATGTAATCATCTGCATAGACGGCTCACTGCCTGGCCATTTGCTTCTTCAAGGCCAGCGGAAGATTCTCTAGCTTCAGAAGAAACCCAACCCTAATTTGAAGAGCTCTCACCTGCTGAAGTCAGTCCCACACAGGATACTCTCCCTTTCAAGTAATCAACTCAACTCAACTAAATTAAGACCTTAATTGCATCTGCAAAACCCCCTTCCTTTGCCACATATGTAACCTAATCATGGGCATGACATTTCATCATATTCACAGGTCCTGCCCACACTCAAAGGGAGGGATTATGCAGGATGTGCACACTGTTGGCTGGGGTATAGGAATTTGGGGGGGCCACCTTAGAATTCTGCCTACTACAAGACCCAACCTCAGAGGTTTAGATTTAGTAAGTCTACAGTGGAGCTCCAGAATTGGTGTTTCTTAAAGGTCCGGGACCTTATTCTACTCTATAAGAGTAAAAAGAACATCAGTTAAGAGTTAAAAGACACGAGTTCATGTCTTAGTTGTGCCACTCACAATGTGACCTTGGGCATGCCATTTTAATTTCTTGAGTCTAGTTTTTAAATAATGCAATTTAGTTTTAATGACTGAATGAGCAAATGAATTTTAAATGGGCTACGTATTTGTAAATTGGCATTGCTATTGCAGTTATGGTACCATATATTTGGACCTAAAAAACTTAGGTGCCTAAATTCTCTTGGTGGGGGGGAGCTCCATTTTGTTTGCAGCCTGTGAATCTCAGGGTGCAGATCAGCACTGATCTGTTTACTCTGTTCTCATGTGGCCATCTAAAGAACAGAATGTACTCAAGCTTGAAGGCTGGGACTTGCCATTTATATTTGATTGTTAGTATATCTGACCAGCTATTGGTCAGCTACTGTTGTAATGAGATTTCACCAACCTCGGTAGTCTAGTTCATTGATGTACTTGATTGTAAGAGAGGGCAGCTATTCTATAAAATATATACTTTGTTGTTGAAAGTTTTTTTTTCTAATTCCAACTCACATCCCTGTGATAAACATCCACAGTTTAAAAATAACAAAATCATTGATCAGCTAGCATATGTAACAGAAAGCACACTCTGCTCTTCTTTTGATAATTTTGTTAGAAATAACAAATATAAGTGCTTGGAAAATCACTTATATGTAAGCTTACTATTACCAAGATTATGACATTAAGAGACATATTTTGGTAGTAGCACATAATTTTAATGTATTTGTTATAGAACCATACCATTTCTTATAGAACAGTACCATGTTTGTGCGAAATTTCATGTTCATACAGCAAAGGTGTGGGGAAAAAATTTAGGAGAATTAAAGAAAATCTGTGAAACACATTGGATTCTGCCTGACACACATTAGATCAACAAATGTAGCTATTTAAAGTAACGAACGCTTTAATGTCATATTTAATATACCAGGGTCGAGTCTTAGTTTGAAGCAAGGTATAGCTTCTTTTGATAGATATGCCTTCTCCTTTCTTTAGAATGTTACATATTTGATAATGCATCTCAGAACAAGAATATGAGAAGAAGCTCAAGATACGAGATGAGTGCTATAGAGCAAATTTAAATGAAAACAAAGGAAACTAGACAGTCTTTATCCTTGGCTCTTGATAATGGACATTTGCCATGACTACTGAGCTTCTAGCTGGAGAGATGCTTTATTTAGCATCTTAATGTTACTTGCAGGCAGGGTGTGGCTCTTGATCAGGAGCTGACATTCATGATCAGGGTTAGTTTTGGTTGAAGCTTGTTTTTTCCATCATAAGAAGATTATCGGGAAAAAAAGTCAGCATATTTCAATACTGTAAACTGTTTTGGGCTGGTTCAGCCATTTGGCAGCCCTATAAACAGAGTAGGATTTCATTGAAAGAATGAGAACTGAGAAATATATGCTCTCTGCCTTCCAGCTTAGGTGGATGCTGTTCCAATGTAGAACTAGTTTCTGAGTGTTAATTTTAAGAATTGGATCTCATTACTTTTTTTCTTGAAAATATAAATATCATAAATAAGTATTCTGAATAATGTTAAAAGCTTGGCATGTAATACACATTTTCTTTTGCTGTGATGTATATGTACTGATTATGTAAAAAAATGTAAAAAGGAAAAAACTTACTCATCTGTTTTATTATTGGTCCTTGATACCATCAGCATACAATGAAGAGGACAGTCTCAAGGTGATTCCCAAGATCATTTTCGGTTCCAAAGTTCTGTCATTTTCATTAGTTCTCTTTAATACTTAAGTATCATAATCTTTATTTAAATTTTAATGAGAAAGCCAGACATAGCTGTCAAGGTTCTGACAGGGAGCAGTGACATTCTTTAAAATGTTTAACTGAGAGGAGTTTCATGAAGGGACCGTTTACAGAAGTGTGGGCGGTGATAAGGAACTAACATGGAATGGCGAGTCACCCAGAACTCATGAAAAGCTGGGTGCTGTTATTGTCCCTAGACCTCAAGGGGCAAAACAGGGAAATGGTATTAGAGCTAGGTATGTGGAAGAGCAGTCGGAGGGGAGCAGATACCGGTACTGTGAACACCATAGTGTGGTCGGGAGGGAAAGTAGAATCAAACACCTGCCTTCTCTCTTCTCCCATTATGTGGCATGGAGGATGCTGTTGGAGGAATTTATGGGCCAAGCTGAGAAGTAGCATTTATCACTTCCAGCCACACACCTTGGCTGGAATCTGGACACACCTAATTGTGGAGGAAACTGGAATTACAGTTCTCCTATGTACCTAGGAAGAGAAGAACACGCAGGCATTGGTGAGTGCCAGCAGCCTCTGCTACAGAGGATCAAGAATGACTCCAAGCTTTCTGACTGGAACATCTGGTGGATTATAGTTAGGAAGCTGTCTTGGGCTTTCTCTTCATTTGCTGGTAACCTTTTTTTATCCCTAATAACTCTTAGCTTTTTCTCTCATTACTACCTTTTCTTAAGCTTTTAGTACTATAACTACTACTAAAATTACTACGCTACAACTACTGCTATTTCACTACTGCTACTATTACTATTTTTTCGTGGGCTCTTTCTTGGTTATTTTAAGTATATATAAATCTTATGTATCGCCTCTTCCCATTTCCCCTTTACCAAATAGTTATATCCCTTCACTCTGCTTTATTTTCTTCATGATACTTATCACTATGTAAAAGTACAGGTTGAGTATTCCTTACCTGAAACACTTCGGAACAGAAGTGCTTTGAATTTTGGAATATTTGCATGTGCACAATGAGTACCTTGGGGGTGAGACCCAAGACTAAACACAAAGTTTACTTATGTTTCATATACACCTTATACACATAGCCTGAAGGTAATTTTGTACAATATTATAAAATAATTTTGTGCATGAAACAAAGTTTTCAGTGCATTCTGACTGCACCCTGTCACATGAGGGCAGGTGTAGAACTTTTTACTTGTGGCATCATGTCAGTGCTCAAAAAGTTTTGATTTTAGAGCAGTTCAAATTTTGGATTTTAAGATTAAGAATGCTTAGCCTGTCCTTTTATTTACCTGTTTACTGGTTTATTGTCCTCACTAGTATTTTAGCTTTAATGGGGCAGTGACTCTGTCATGCTCCTCACGTATTATCCGCAGTTCCTGGAACACTGAATGACCCCATAGCAGGGTTTCAAAAATATTTGTTCAGCAGAAGTATCAACAGGTTTTATGAGCCATTTTCGCCATTGTGCCATAATTCTTTTCTTTCTTTCCGCTTCTGTTTATGCTCTGTGGGTGTCTTTTTGCATTGCTTCTGCTTCTTTCCTTAGAACTTTTTCTTTGCTTTCCGTTGTTTGATTTCTGTTTTGCTCCATGGTTGTTCTAATAAGTCTAACAAAAAAAGTATCATTGATGGAACAAAAAAAATCTTAAAATCTTAATAGTTCATGTTCCATTCTCAAATTTTCATCTACTTGGTTACTATCTGTTACTGATTCCTTTAAAGTTTCTTTATAATCCTCCCCATTTAATTTATATTATAATCTCTTGCCTCATCTTAGAACTCATCTTCTATTCCAGCCAGACTTTTTCCTTGAGTTTTTTTTTTTTTAATGATTTTGGATACTTTGTCTCTATCACCAGACTTTCCCTTTCTTAACCACACAGCTTTGTTTAAACTATTAAAAATAACGTATGGTTTTTTTCCTTTATTTAGTAGATATCCTTTCTCTACATTAACTCTAATTCCATTCTTGCAGTTTTCCATCGTTGTAGAACAGATCACCTCAAACTTAGAGCATAAAACAACAGTTAATTTACTATGTTCATGGATTTTGTATGTTAGGCATTCCAAGAGGGCAAGTGTGGATGATTTATCTTTGCTTCAGAAAGTCTGGGTTCCTCGCCTGGGAATGCTCAACTGACTGGGAGTGAATTGAATGGCTGAGTGTGGGGGCTCTCTGGAGGCTTCTTCATTCACATGTCTGGTGCCTGGGCTGAGTTGATTCTAAGGCTTGGACTGTCATGAGAGCACCTACACAGCCTCTCCATATGGTTTGGGTTTCTCCCAGTGTGGCTGCTGGGCTCTGAGAGGAAGCATCTGAGGAGAGTATTCCATGAGACCACAGCAGAAGCTGCAAGTCTTGTCATCTGGGCTCAGAAGTCCTGCAGTGACACTTCTACCACATTCTTTCAGTTGCAAGTGAGTCATGAAAGCTGGCCTAGATTCAAGGGCAAGGAAATTAAACTCTATCTCTTGATGAGGGAGTGCCAAGGTCACACTTGGAAAATCATGTGGGATAAGAACAATTGTAATATGGCCATCTTTGGAAAATACAATTTGCCACAGTGACCTAATTTGATTCATGGGATTTTCTTTTTTCAACACAATAGGGTTCAAATGCCCTGAGGCCTTGCTACTTAAACCGTTGTTCAGGGAGCAGAAGCATCAGTGTTACCTGGGCATTTATTAGGAATACTGAATCTTAGCCTGCTGAATCAGAATCTGTGTTCTGACAAGGTCTCCAGGTGATTTATTTACACTTTAAAGTTTGAAAAACACTGTCCAGGAGATGTTGACCATGATATGGTCTTTTCTATATTCACCCAACTGCAGAAGGAAAATAGCAAGCGCCGAAGGAATAGTTGAACTGATCTGGTTTGAATTCCTGTTTACCCACACAGAATTCCTATGCTTTAAATTATACCTGTCACTACTAATTTTAAGCCTATTAATGTTGATTAGAATCTAGCTTATCTTTTTAGGAGCAATGACTATATCTTTAATACATATCCTCAAAATGTAATATAATGCATAATCCTAGCTTTAATAGTTATCAGTCACTAATCTCCTTAACTCAGGAAGGTTCAGGATGATCATGCACTTTGGTATGTTTAATAATGCTTTTTTGAATAATGTCTAAGATCAAAAAGTTAGGTTATTTTGGATTTTACGTTTCCTTTAAACTATTTTTTAATTGTTGGATCTTTTAAAGCTTTTTCCCTCCTATAACAACTGACTGTTGGTAGATATCGCTTTTCTACTGAATGAAAGAATACGTTTTTTATAAAATATCTGTTAAGACACCTTGAGTTATTCTATAAAATTGTAAAAATCTGTGAAATGTATATAGGACTTACTATATCTTTAGCAGATGACTATTATGTATTTCGATTATTACATATAGTTGAATTCATAGGTTCCATTTATTCATGTTTTCTTTAAATAGTCATCTTAAAATTCATTTTGGAGCAAAAGAATAAACATCCAAAAGTTCATTTTGATTGGCACATTAATTTTAAGGCAGTTTTTCTCAAACTATGATTTCCAGGCAACTACTATTTGTAGCATCTGAAGTACTTGTTAAAACTGCAGATTTCTGATCACCATCCCAGTCCTTTTGAATCAGACTCTCTGGAGTTGGAACATGGAAAAGTCTCTGAGGTTGGGACCTAAATTCTTTGGCACACTAAAGTTTGCGACCTACTTTCTTAAGGAGTTAAGTATATGAGTCTTACAATCATCTTTTAAATTATTTATTATGGGAATAAGTGGGTTTCGGGATATTGGCAGGGAGCAGCTTTTCAAATTCATGTCTTGGGAGCTCTAATATTAGAATATAATTTAAATAATAGAGTAATTGAATTGGGAGACATCTTAGAGATTATCTAGTAAAACTCTTTTAAGTTTTTAGATTATGAAACTGAGCTCCAGAGAGTTTAAATGACTTTTCACAAGTAATGCTAGTTAATAGCAAAGCTGTGACCAGAACCCAAATCCTGTATCAACCAAGCTAGGGTTTCTCCTTTATGCCAAAAACAAGGAGGATTAATCTTATCTTTTAGCCTGGAAATTAGGTATGTTAATATGGAAAGCATAAAAAAATGAGCATTTAATCAGCAGTTCTTGGTTTGCTGAATTGACTAGGTTAATAAAATTGTTTACAGTCTTTGATCCTACTATGGCTTTAGCCATCCAATATAAGTCTTTTCATAGAGGTTTTCTTGCACATCCTAATAAACCTCATCATGACTAAGGAAAATTGCTAGGTAAAATATCTTAACATGAAAAGCCCAACATGAAAAACTAAAACAGATACAGTAAGCAACAATTTATACTCTTTATGAAAAGTAGCTAAGAGTTTTTTTAATGAATAAAATTTTATATGCCATGGATTTCATAAATGTCAAACACTTACGAAAAGCATTTTACTAGAGATTATTAAGACTTTCAGAAAATTGGGGTAGGTGGAACCTCTACTTCAACTCATCTTCAAACTCAATTTCCTTCATAACATTCTTCCTCTTCCTCACTTCTTGTGTCCCCATCCTTTCCCCCTGTAATTGCACAAGTACAATAGCGATGGGTAAGCCACAGTACCCATAATGTTTTTTTAGGTGTTCAGTTAATAAACTGACTCTTAAATGACAAAGGTCCTTAAACTGTTGCTTAATTTCATTTTTTTAAACTTCATTTTCTTTCACAAAAGAAAAAATCCACTCTTTTCTGTACGTTAACATTTTTCAATATTTTACCTTTCTTTATGGAATTTTAGCAACAGATATATTGTGTGTGTTGCAGCACATCTACAATAGGCATGTAACATACTAGGAGAGGAGAAGGGTTAGAGTGGATATTTACTGTGCGGTAAAAGGCAGAAGAACTCCTCAGAAGTTCATGTCCTGTCTCTTTGCCTCTCACTTGTGCTCTTTCTCTCTTCCATTTTGCCAACCCTCTGAATTTGGAACATAGAGATTGATTGAACTAACCTTTCTTCTCTTCTTTTTTTCTTCTTTTTTTGTCTCTGTTTTTTTCCTTCTGCTGTTTTCCAGCTCTGAGTTGCAGATTGGTTTTCTTTACTCATCTCTTTCTCTATTCCTCTTGGCCAAGGTGTTACAGCAGAGAGCCCTGATAAATGCATTCTTGTGCCTTACCTCTATTCCTCATGATGTCATTTTGCATGGAACAGAGAGCTTACCTGAGAACCTCCAACATAATCAGCTGAATAAAAAGGTCATTGACATAACTGGCTGTGGTTGATACCAGCAGAGACTTGGAAAGAAGTGTTTGACACTCAAAAGGGGAATGTAATGGAATTTCTTGGACCCCACTCTCCCACCTCAAGTAGGAAGTTCTTGAAACTTTCAGCTTAGGCTCTCTGCAGTTACATTAGAATTGGGAGGAGTGTAGCCTGGGAATGATTAATGAATTCAATGGGATCTAAGGGGTGTTGAGAAAGAGTGGAACTGGCATGTGTGAGAAGTTAGGTTGAAAGAGAATAGTACCAGTGCATTCAGAGCTTTTGGAAATTGTCCCTGCTAACACCTTGACACCAGTCAGCCTTCTGATCTACAGAACTGAAAGATAAGTTTGTGTTGTTTTAAGCCATTAAATTTGTGGCAATTTGTTATGGCAGCAATAGAAAAACAATATAGGGCTGATCCTTTTTTCCACCCACCTAATTTAATTTTTAGGAAAAATCACCCTAGAAAGAAGTAGAGTGGATGACTGCTTTGATTCAGTTTTTTATTTTTTCTTTTCTTTTGAGATGGGGTCTTGCCCTGTTGCCCAGACTGGTGTGCAGTGGTGCAATCATGGCTCACTGCAGTCTTGACCTCCAGGGTTCAAGCAAGTCCTCTCATCTCAGCCTCTCAACACAGTAGCTGGGACCACAGGTACATGCCTATATGCCTGGATAATTTATTTGTTTATTTTTGTAGAGACAGGGCCTCACTATATTGCCTAGGCTGGTCTCAAACTCCTGGCTTAAGTGATCCACCATCCTTGGTCTCTCACTGTGTTGGGATTATAGGCATGAAGCACTTCGCCAAGCTAATTTAGTTTTTTATTGTTATATTGTTGTTTGATTTGCTTTTATATTTTACAAATCAATGAAAGGAAATAAATAACAGAAAGCATGCTGTTTTGGTTCAGATATGTCTTCTGCCAAGATGAGTGAGATTATAGTTTGGGTATGTGCATTTATTAATATAAACAGAATCCACAGCAACATAGAATCAAATGCCCAGATTCAAGGACTTCATGTCTGAAACACCAAAAACAATGGCAACAAAAGCCAAAATTGACAAATGGGATCTAATTAAACTAAAGAGCTTCTGCACAGCAAAAGAAACTACCATCAGAGTGAACAGGCAACTTACAGCATAGGAGAAAATTTTTGCAATCTACTCATCTGACAAAGGGCTAATATCCAGAATCTACAATGAACTCAAACAAATTTATAAGAAAAAAACAAACAACACCATCAACAAGTGGGTGAAGGATATGAACAGACACTTCTCAAAAGAAGACATTTATGCAGCCAACAGAGACATGAATAAATGCTCATCATCACTGGCCATCAGAGAAATGCAAATCAAAACCACAGTGAGATACCATCTCACACTGGTTAGAATGGCAATCATTAAAAAGTCAGGAAGCAACAGGTGCTAGAGAGGATGTGGAGAAATAGGAACACTTTTACACTGTTGATGGGACTGTAAACTAGTTCAACCATTGTGGAAGTCAGTGTGGTGATTCCTCAGGGATCTAGAACTAGAAATACCATTTGACCCAGCCATCCCATTACTGGGTATATACCCAAAGGACTATAAATCATGCTGCTATAAAGACACATGCACACGTATGTTTATTGTGGCACTATTCACAATAGCAAAGACTTGGAACCAACCCAAATGTCCAACAATGATAGACTGGATTAAGAAAATGTGGCACATATACACCATAGAATACTATGCAGCCATAAAAAAGGATGAGTTCATGTCGTTTTAGGGACGTGGATGAAGCTGGAAATCATCATTCTCAGCAAACTATTGCAAAGACAAAAAACCAAACACTGCATGTTCTCACTCATAGATGGGAATTGAACAATGAGAACACATGGACACAGGAAGGGGAACATCACACACCGGGACCTGTTGTGGGGTAAGGGGAAGGGGGAGGGATAGCATTAGGAGATATACCTAATGTTAAATGACGAGTTAATGGGTGCAGCACACCAACATGGCACATGTATCCATGTGTAACTAACCTGCACATTGTGCACATGTACCCTAAAATGTAAAGTATAAAAAAAAAGAATCAAATGCCCAAATTAAAAATAAATGTTTTATATATTTTATATTTTTGTGACCATTGGACAGTGTGAATCATTAAGAAATTAAAGAAAAGCAAGATTTAGGCTTATGAATTGTCATTTTCCTAAGAATAATACAAATAATAATTTATGCTTCCTCAACTTTTTCTGAGAATACTCATATATTTGTGAAATATTGGATAATGCCAAGCATTGCTAATACATTTAATCCCATAATTCACAAATTTCTGGAAGAATATGCTTTCTTGTTTCACATCAGTTAAACTATAATGCTGTTGTAGCTTTAGCTTGAAATATAGGACTTATATGTCATTCAACAAGTACCTACCCTCTTCAATATGACAAAGAATATGTAGCAACCTATACATTCATACAATAAAATATTGACAATATAATAAGTCAGCAAGAAGAGAAAATAAAAGAAGAAAAAATAACCTCCAATAAAAAGTTAGTATCCAAGGATTTATGGCACAAGACTGTCCTACAAGTAGGATACAGATTTGACTCTGAGTTTTCTTTCAGATACTGATTAGTTATGTAGTATTCAGTGTTTGTAATAAAAATGAACTAGTTTCTTGGGAGAAGAAAAACTGTTCCTGTTACTGAAGTCTGTGATTTTTTTTCCCCCAAGACTCTCATGTAACAAACAGGGTATGATATTGAGAAAGGTCCTCAATGACAAATGCACTGTTATTACAATAATGAGCTTCCTAGGGCTCTTTTTGTGTAATCATGTTCATTCTAGGCAGGCGTTTTAGCATTTTAGTATAGTTGAATAAAATCAATTCTATTAGGAGCCCAAATAACTGTGGCCTGGCTTAATGGAAGCAGGATTTGGTAATGGAGATTAGGGAAAATTAGAGGAATTAGAATGGATGTATAGAAAATCCTTTAGCCTTCAGGAAATATTTCTCAAATTTTATTTTTTGCCGCCTGTATTTTGATAAGAACCAGGCAGCAGAGGGTTGGAGGTTATGCCCTCTCATTAGGGAACTGAAATGGTAATGTCTAATGTTCCTGGTTAAGGTTAGATTCATTTGCTTTAGCAATTAATTGAATTGTGGGTTCAGATGGCATTATCGTTTATTTTTTTCTTTAACGTAGGACTCTAGCCATTTGCAGGAGATGCTTTCGAGATAACAGAAAGCATCTGGAAGGGTTATTATTGAATGAAATGCCAGCTAAACTCAAATGTAAATTTGGCATTTAATCAGGTTTATATTTGGGTACAGTTAACATCTTATTTAACATCTCTTAATTTCCAGGCATCAGCACAGTTAACATAAATAATTGTAATACAAAGTTGACAGTGATAAATGCCATAGAAATATAGATAAAATTCTGGGAGTTCAAAAGAGATAAAAATTCCCTCTGGCTTTAAAATAAGGGGAAGCTTTATAGAAATTGAAGGCATGGCTTGGGGGCTATTCCAGCTACTGTTATTCTTTATATACTCTGTCTAAATGCATCTCAATAGTTGAGTTTCTTTTATTTAAGTAGAGAGATAGTACTTTTGGTTTGCGAATACAGCTTCAGATCAATACTAGTCATTCTACTTTCCAGCCCTTCTCAACCACTTTACCTTCCTCAATCCTTCCTTTGCAGAAATTCTGGAGAGGCCATTGAAATGTTGCCTGAAATTCAGGAAATATTTAGAAATCATCTGCATATAGTAAAACCAACATGGCACATGTATACATATGTAACAAACTTGCACGTTGTGCACATGTACCCTAAAACTTAAAGTATAATAATAATAAAAGAAAAAAAAGAAAAAAAAATCTGTCCATTCTCATTGTAAATGGAATTAGACAATGTGTTTGCTTGGAACATTGATAGAACAGATGTTTGAGGAAATAACAGTGAAACGGTGATTCACAGAATGTGTTTTTAGAGAACCTTAGCGAACTAAAATAATGTTGTTGTACCACTAAGGTATAATGATAGTCTTACTAGACTATTATATTTACATGTATTCTCCGTCTTACACACACAATATTGATATATATTTTTTCAGCATCTTTTCCAGACATTTAAAACTTACTATGCATTTCTGTGCTATGAACTAGTATAAGGTTGTAACAGATTTAGCACAAAATGATAAATATTTAGTTTCAGCTGCAATTCTATATTAAATGATTGGTACCTATTTCATGAGGCACCAAAAAAAGCTACCCATCTCTATTCTCTTTCCTTAGCGGATCTGAGAAGAACTGCAATAAAACCACGTTTAGTTGTCACAGTTAGAAATGGAAGGTGTCCATGGCATAAGTTTTTTAGAATATTTGGCACAGAATTTTAAGAAAACATTGTAATTTTTGATGGAACTTTTTTAAAAATGTCACTTAGACTAATTTTTGTCTTAAACACAATTTAGTCTTCTCTTGATGACTGATTTTTATTATTATAGACATATAAAAACTAGTGTTTTACATTTCTTGTAGGACTTTGTAGTTTATAAAGGGCATTCATAGACATTATCTCATCTGAAACTCTCTATATCCCACACCCCTTGTTCCCATTTGCCATTTATGCTCTGATGAGAATTAGAAAACCATCTAACCTAGTTTATTATAATTGGGCTTCAAATATGGCTGTGAGGACCCCTCCTAGTGAGTAAGGAGTGTGGCCTTTGTGATCGCTGTTTTCATCATCTGAGGCTATCTGACTTAATTCTGAACTCTTGGCAGTGTTTGAGTTGAGTGATGTAGCTGGAAGAGTTGACCAAATGAGGGGAATTTTGCAGCTGGCTTTTTAGCATACATCATTGTTTTATAAATATCCCCTCCGAAATGCTGTCAGAGGGCCTATATGAAGAATTAAAGCAAAATAAAATATGTTTAACATAATGTGCTTAATGCTATACTAAAAATAAATATTTAAAAAAAATTAGTGTTAAATTTTGGAAAATAGTTTGGGAAACTAAATATTTCATGTATCATTGCAGAGATTAGAATCTCTGCATATATCAATGCAGGACTTTATGTGAAGGACTTTATGTTATATAGGGAAATTTATAAAACATTATCTTGATATTGTATGCCAATTAATTGAGATTAAGGATGAAAATTAAAAATGGTTGCATCTTTTTAAACATAATCCCTCAGGAGAATATATAATTGTAGGCATGACACTTCTAAAAATTTCTAAGTCATAAATTTCTGGTGTCATTATAAATAATAGTAGTACTTAGAATTTTATGCACACTTATTCCTGTAAGTCATTTCATTGTCATATGTACTAAATGTATCCTGTGAAATAAAATGTTGCAGACCTGAGAGCAGGAATGTGAATTTTTTATTGAGGTTATGTATGACAGTGCATGGTCTTTGAGTTTCTCAAAACATCTGTTGAATGCATGACTACCTAAATGGGCATTCTAGTGGATAAAAGAACTTTCACTATTTAGTTATTAGTACTGGTGATTTTTTTCCTTTCTTAAGTATGTATAGGACAGTCCTGTCTAAAATCTCAGGTACTTTAAAAATAGTCACTCCAATTTTGATAGCTACTCAGAGAAATATTAATATAGTGTGACGGGAAGAGGTGCAGAAGAATCTACCTCTAATGGCTGTGAATATTCTGGGATCTGAAAAACATGTGGTTTTGACACTTAAGTCTTTCTGTAACTCCTTGTAATATCTCTTCAGCCCCCACTACTCTAATTAAATGTTTTTACATGTCTAGTTTCCTTCTCACAGACTTCATTCTCTGCGTCTTCTTCACTGCAGTTACTTTTTCTTTGACAAAACTCTCTCCTACTTAGGTGCCCATGACACTCTTCTTGGGTTTCCTCATGTCTCTCATCATTCCTTTTCAGCTTCCTTCTAAATCTAAGGTGTTTTATTTTCACCTGTCCATAACTTACATTGATTTCTTCTCCCATGCTCCCTCAAGTGTTATGCACCTACTTTGAGCCAGGCACTGTGCTAGACCCTGGGATATGACATAGCAGTGAATATGGCAAAGCCCATGCCCATGTGAAGCTTATATACTGAATTGGGCCAGGCAATCACCTAGCCATGCTGGAAGGGAAAAAGTTAGGATAGAGAGTGAAAGCGATGCTAATTGATATAAGTGGGGTAGTACCAGTGGGACTAGGACCATGTGGCTAGAGCAGAAAGAGCAAGGCATAAAGTGTTAGAAGCCAGAAAAATAGACAAGGCTAGGACATGGAGGGCCTTATAGGCCATGGTCTAGAGTTTAGATTTTAGGAATTTCCTATATGACAGTTTCCTAACGTTATATGGACATTTCCTAGGATTCTCTATTGACCTTCCCTCAAATCTCTTTATGAACTTTTCTTCTTCATTTCTGTTAACAGCTTTAGCTATTGCCCCTGAGAAGATGTATCCCAAATCCATTGCGGTTATGACTTTTTTTTTTCTTAATTACAATTCTGTATTTCTCCACTGAATGCTGGGAATTTCCATCACTATTTCAAGAAAATGGTTAAAACAAAACGCATTAACTTTTTCTCCTGCCTTCCAGTCAGCTTGCCATTTTGGCTTTTCTGTTTCTGTGAATGAAAACATTAATTTCATAGTCATCCAACTTCAAAACTAAGGTTAGATTATGCCTTCCTTCTTTGTTGTTTTTTCATTTATCAGGTATTTATTGAGTGTCTAGTTTATGCCAGGTATTGCTTTAAGCACTTGAGATAAATAGTTGAACAAGCTGAACAAAGCAGACCAAGAAGTAATTCCTGACCAGAAGGGCAGTGGTGGGTTACTAACAATAAACAATGAACATGATAGGCAGTTAAGTGATCGAGTGTGTCGGAGGACAGTAAGTGCAGTGGAAACAACAGTGTAGAGAAAGAGGCTTGGGGTGCTGGGTTGAGAAGCAGATGGGTAGTCCGTGTATGCTCTTTGAGAAGCAACACCTAAGCAAGGACTTAAAGGAGGTGAAAATGTTAGCCATGCATAGTCCTAGGGGAAGAGGATTCCAAGTAGAGGAAAGAGCCAGTGCAAAGGTCTTAAAGGGGAAACACCCCTTAAGTATTCAAGAATCAGCAAGGAGCCCATCATGGCTGGAGTGAAGCCAGCAAGGAAGAGAGTGAGCAGATGAGGCCGGAGAGGTGGTGGAGTCTTGAAGGCGGTGATGGAGTCTTGAAGGCAGTGATGCTGAGATGAGGGAGGGCCTAGGTGGACTCGGTAGGAACTTTGGTTATTAATCTAGGTGAGAAGGGGAGACCTTCGAAAGTTTTGAATAGAGGAGCTTACATTTTAAAAGGTACCACTTTTTTTTTCCTGAAATCACTTTTAAATTAATTCTTTCCCCACTCCCCTGCCCTTTTCTCTTCCCATTGCCACTTTTGCTATCTGGACTGTTATTTTAGCTTCTTGCTTGCTTCCATCTGGCACTTAATCATCAGAGAAATATGAAAATAGTATTTTGTTCTAGTCCATCCGATCAACATTCTTTTTTATTTATTTATTTTTTGGGTCTCTGTTTCTACATGTTAAAATTCTGACCCAAGATAGTACTAATAGTCCTCCGTGGCATTGTTTTGGAGCCCCCCTGCATGAACTCTTCCCTGAATGAATAGCTTGCTTGCTGTCCACATGTGTGCCAGGAGTTTTTGTACTTACAGGGGTGTCCAGTATTTTAGCTTTCGTGGGCCACATTGGAAGAAGAATTGTCTGGGGCCACACATAAAATACACTCATACTAACGACAGCTGATGAGCTTAAAAATAATCACAAAAAATCTCATAACGTTTTAAGAAAGTTTACGAATTTGTGTTGGGCTGCATTCAAAGCTGTCCTGGGCTGCCTGTGGCCCACAGGACACAGGTTGGACAAGCTTGCTTTAGAACCTTTGCTCCACCCTGAACGGCCTCACCTCTAATTCCTTCTATTCTATCCCCACTATAGCAATACTCCCATATTTGGAAAATCACCAAAAGTCTAAAAGCTCTTCATTCCCTCATTTGTATCATTCACTCATTCATGTAATTTTTCATCAGAACTTTATTGAATACATATTTTGTGCGAGCAATTTTGATGGAGCTTAAGGCTCAAAGGTGAGCTAAGCTAGATATATGTGCCTTAGTAGCTAACAGTTCCACAGGGGAGACAGAGAACCATAAATTTCACATTCAGCTGAATACACCCTTGAAATTTGTGTTAAGGACCAGGAGAGAAAAGAACACATTATTTTCAGTTAGAATAATTGGCTAAGAGAGGATCTAATTTAGACGGGGGCACCTCATTTTTGTGAGGTGAGGGAGTAAGAAAATCATTTTAAGGAGATAACATTTAAGTTGAAGCCTGGAGAATAAAAACCAGCCAGCTTAGGGAAGTGTGGTGTGGCTCTTTAAGCAGAATGAATGGCATTGCAAAGACCTGATGTTATAAGGACCTTGGAAATAGAAAAAGAAAAAGAAAATTGAACAAAATCCCCTGAGGTTGGGGCCTCGTGAGGACACTGAGAATGGCAAACTTGAGGATGGTGGGCAGCGCAGATGACGTGGGCCTTAAAGGCCAAAGTAATGAGTGCAGTTTTAAGTGCAATGGGAAGCAATTAAAGTGTTTTAAGCAAAGGAGTGGCATGATCTTTTTGGAGGTTGAGACTTCCATCTGTTCATCAAAATCCATTTGTCTCTTCTGCCTGGGCTTACAGCCAGATTACATTTCCTGGCCCTCTTTGCAGCTGGCTGTGAGCCATGCAACTGTATCCTATCTGTGGCAGTAAGTGGAAATGGTGAATACCATGAGTAGGGCTAGCTCATAAAAATTTCCCATGTGGGCTCCCTCATACTGCTTCCTGTTTTGACTAGGAATACTGGAAGCTTATATTAAGATGATAGAGCCACTGTCAACCTGGACTCCTGGATGATTGTGTGGAGTAGAAACCTTTCCTGGCCAATCCAAAACCATCCTGAGCTTTATGTGAGTGAGAAAGAAGCACCTGATGTTTTGAGCCCTTACATGCTTGCTCCACTTGCTACCAAATTCAGATTTGTCCAAATTTAATATGATAATTTTAAAGGGCAATTTTGGCTGCCACACTATGTGAATATGTAGATCATGTGGACAGTAACAGTGGCCAAAGCGAAGGTTTATTGTGATGTGGACTAGGAACATTTCAGTTGAAATAGATACTAGATAATTTCGAGTGAAAAATCAACTGTTCCTACTAACAGTTTTCTGTGTCTGGTGAGATTATGGAGGAAAAAAATTTTACTTGATTTTACTATCAACTGCCCTGTCAATTACTTTTCTGCACTTTCCATAGCATACTCATTGAATTTCAGTAGGCATGTATTTTATTTATTCAACTGGATTTAATCAAATGAGGACAAATGAACTGTCTTGCAGGATTTCTCATTTATTAGTATATTTAGTACAGTGCTTTATATAAAGTACTTACTTTTTTTTTTTTGAGATGGAGTCTCCCTCTGTCGCCCAGTCTGGAGTGCAGTGGTGCGATCTCGGCTCACTGCAAGCTCCGCCTCCCGGGTTCACGCCATTCTCCTGCCTCAGCCTCCCGAGTAGCTGGGACTACAGGCGCCTGCCACCACGCCTGGCAAATTTTTTTTTGTATTTTTAGTAGAGACAGGGTTTCACCGTGTTAGCCAGGATGGTCTTGATCTCCTGACTTCATGATCCGCCCATCTCGGCGTCCCAAAATGCTGGGATTACAGGTGTGAGCCACTGCGCCCAGCCTATATAAGTACTTTCTTTCATTAAACTTTACTTAAATTAATAAATAAAAGGGCCGACTTTCAGATTTTGGGTCCATGGAGTTAATGGATGTCACTTGATCCAACTCTTGCCTTGTCACTAATACTGACTCAGTTTGACTTAAATTTTCTTTGCTTTCTAAGTGAGATGTTTAATTGTGTTGAATTTTGTTTTACCTGTGGCTTAGTGGGGTAAAATAACATCATGTGGCCTGAAATTTGAATGTTTGCCATAGCAGGTATGGAGAAGTGTTTTCAAAAGACCCATGGGCTAATCCTCACTGCCCTCCCTATCACTTTCAAGTGACTGCAATAGCCATTGCGCATTGCTCAGAGTCGCTGACCGCTTCAGTGGCACTGTTTCTTCCCTGAGTCAGGCACTCATCTGGGAGAATCATTATGATCTTTGGAAAATCTTAAGATAGGGAGTTTCTGTAATCCGAATAAACAATGATGATGTTTATAACTAAGGAAATGTTAGTGGACTTAGGAGGATGGGCGAATAATGTAGATGTTACAGAATGCAGTGACAGCGGATTTGGGGCAAAGAAAAGACTGTAATAAAGATGAATACTGAAACTCCCATGCTGATGCACTTCACCTTATAAACTTCCATATATTTAAACAGACCTATCTTTCTGGGATAAAGCCGGTTCACGCTTTTTGCTACCAGCAGATGGTGTTAGGGATGAGATAACATTTTATCCTTATACATTTTATTAACTTTTTATACATTTACTGTGTTTGTGCTTAGTTTGGATGTATTTTATGGACATTAATTAATTAATGCCTGAGAAGGCCAATAGCAGTGAGTGTTGAAAGTACTGGTAATAGGAGATAAAATAATATGACCATAATATAGAATAGATTAAAATTAAAATTTGAAAGCATGAGGAAGATGTTGGAAATTATATTTGTAGAAGAGGTGAATCCATTAACCAATAGGAACAACTCTGAATAGGGAATAATTATATAACTTTTGAAAAATATGTGCATTTCATAGTACATGACTAAGTATAAAGTAATTAGTCAGATAAGGAAAGAAACTCCAATTATTGGAGTATCTGGAAGATCAGCATTACTACTAAGTACCCACTAGCTCAATGCTCTTTTAAGTGAAAGCTAGAGGTTTGTTCCAGAGGGTATGGGCCAAGAATAGTAGAAGAGTTGTAGTAATGTTTTCTTGTGAGACACGGTCGCATAGGTTCCAGGGCTGTTTGTATGTGCACATCATAAAGGCAAGCGTAGAAGTGGCATATGGAGATGGCATAGCTTTTAAGAATTCCCTGTGAGGCTTACAAAGGGAAAGAAGGGAAATACTATACCCAGGTGTAGAAGTCAGAACAGAAAGGAAAAGGACAGATTTGAGTGTGACAGAAAAGCTATAGTCATAGGCATATTTGCTAAATATATATATATTTATTTATTTATATACATATATGAATATATATATTTATATTTATATTTGCTGAAAACATATGCTCTTTGGTAAAGGACACCTCCCTTTTATTTCTATGTTGCTTGATAGCATAATGGCAAAGACATCAACATAGTTCGAAGGAGTAAGAAACTCCTCCCTTGTCTGTGTTACATGAGAGCCAGTGACCTCTTGTGTGAAAATACAGAATAAGTTAAAGGTTTGAGAAAAAATATGGCATCTCTAAATCTGATATATATTTCCAAAATAAGTACAGTTTCCACACTAAGACATTATTTGTTTGAATTTTGTTTTCAAATAAATGTGCTTATATTTAAATTAATATTTCGTATTATTGTATGATGTTTAAAGTAGAAACACGAGCCACAACTACTTGACTGTAATGTGGACTTGATGTTTAAGAAATATCGCATTTTAGAAAAAAACATCATTTTTCTTCAGCTATAGTACTGGCTATAGCCCTGGTGTTTTCTGAATAATTAAAAGATGAAACAGAATCAGAAAACAATAAATAGAGAGATGGAAGGAATTGAAAGCAAGAGTAGGCTTTTCAGTGTGAAAGGATGCAGTTTGAGGGGGATATATATATATAATATTAAAGTTATAATTTAAATCATAAAGTTAGATTAAGCTAGGACAAATATGAGTTAGTTCTTCAAATGAATAAACTTTAGAAATGGGGATTTCCACAGAAGCTTAATGAGACTATTTTAAAGAAATAACTTTACATACTGAAGGTAGCATGGAACTCATTTCTCTCATGCCACTTTGTTTGGTGGGAAGATGTAAATAAGTAAAAATGTATGTAACGTTTGGACCACTGCTCCACAATGGGTTATTTTGGGAAATTAGAGATTTTTTGAATTTATGTGTCCCATATGATTCTTACTAGATATAAAATACCAAGTAGAATATATAAATGCACTTATTTTGCAGTTTGATAAAATATATACATTGTATGATTTCCCTATTCTTATCCTATGTAAATTTTGTATTCCGTAATACCTTAATATGAATTTTTCATTTCTGTCATATGTGAATTTCTACCTTATATGAATTAATTATTGATAGTTAATAAAACTATTTTAAGTTATGGCCAAATGTGGAAAGAAAAAGCGTTAGTTTTCACAAGTCATATTCTTGACATTTAAAAAGATGTGCTTGTGAGCTGAAGATGATAGATATTTCTTTTTTAAATTAACACATTTTGTGCTTTCTCTAGGCTGGAATGATAAAAAGTGATAATGAAGAGTATTTCATTGAACCCTTGGAAAGAGGTAAACAGATGGAGGAAGAAAAAGGAAGGATTCATGTTGTCTACAAGAGATCAGCTGTAGAACAGGCTCCCATAGACATGTCCAAAGACTTCCACTACAGAGGTAGGCGTCTTGACAAAGCTTAATAATGAAATATAATTTTAAGATATGATGAAAACAACTCTCCCATCAAGTAAGAGAATGTGATTGCCATGTTCTCTTGTATAACGCGGAGATAGAAAAAGAAGTTTACATTTATAAATCATGAAATGTGGCTTGCTTTTTAAAAAATGCATAGAGTATATGTTACAGATATTTATTCCAGTGTGTTATATATCCCTGATATGACTTCTTTTAATACCTTTATATTAAAACTATTGGTTCTCTAGCTTATGTTAAAATTTGAAAATCTTTGTGGTTTGTATTTTACAGAAGTATCTTAATTATGAATTATCACTGTTATTTTAAACCTTTTAAAGGATGTATACTAGGATGGCAAACAGTTGCTTTTTGTTTTAAGACCAGTGTGATGGATATATTTGAAAATAATATGCCACTTGTCTTTAAAATCTATTTGGCAAAACTTTTACTAGATGGAGGAGACAATGAATGAAATTCTTCTGTGGAATTTTATTTCAAATTAGGCTAGAACTGCTAAAGTCAAGTAAATTATGTTGCATCAAAGTTTTCTATTTTTGTTTGTTTAAATGAAACCTGAAAGTAACTTACTATTAAGGAGATATGCTTATACATTGGATATAAAATTTCCTTTGGGGAGAAAAAAAAATTTAGGAATCTATTTTTTTTTTAACCAAATCTCAAGAAGTCTTTACATTTGCCAAGACAACTTTCTTAATGAAGAATAGAGTTTTCTTTTAGGGAAATGACATGGATATAAGTAAATATAAGTAATTTAGAAATAATTTGTCTTCTAGATTGCCTTTTGAGACTTGCTACCTAGTCATTAGTTTGATTTTCAGATGCTACTAACTTCCCCTAAAATTATTTATGAACAGAATAGTGCAATTTAAGATAACTTTAAAGTTAACATATCTTGAAAATTTTAAAGAAATTTCTCATTTGAAACAACAGGACTATATTAATAAATACAGTATTATGAAATGTATGCCTAGCTTAGAGAGTCACTGTAGAGGCTTTGCAGTTAGACTTGGTATGAGTAATAATAGCTCTGCACACCAAGTTGTTCTGTTACCTTAGATTAGTACTTAACCTCTCTGAGCCTCAGTTTTTTAATGAAAAAAGAAGTAATATATATTGCACAGTTGTAATAATATTAGATGTATATGCAAATTGCTGAAGGTAGTATTCAACAAAAATAGGTGCTTAATGAATGCTAGCTGTTATTTAATTGCCTGTTAATATTTAATATCTTTGCAGAAGGTTTGCATGTTAAGAGTTTTGTTAAAGTTGAAGCATTAGTCATTGTCTTCATGTGAATACTCAATTTTCATATTCTTAAAATGTTATTCTAAATCAGAAGACTGGTTATGTTAAGGAAAAGATAGTAGGTTAGAGTGATTTTTCTTGGTTGTTCCATATTACTAATATCTAAATCTTGGTTGTTCCATATTACTAATACCTAATACCTCTTTCAAAGCAATGGTTAAATATTTTTTAGGAACGCATAGGCCACATGCTATGGAATTGTATAGGAGAACTGGAAGCCAGATCAGTTACTGTGTCTGTCCTCCCATCAGGTCCATCTGTCATAACTGTAGTTTCATCAGGCTGTACCCTATTACTACATTTCAATTCCTGAAGGTATCTATTTCTATAAATATTAGCCCTAGTACTTTTCATTAGTCTGATATTTATAAGAAGAAGAGTTTTTTTCTTGAAGTAATAAAGTTACAAGAAATATTATGTTTAATACTTATTGTATTTTTAGATGATAGAATAGGGAAATTAACAGCGTATGTATATACAAAGGAATTGGATGGAATTACAGAAATTTGGGACATTGCTTTAGAAAATTATTTAAAATGTCAATTTCAATAGCATCAACATACTCAGTTTACTTAAAATTTCTTTTTAATAATGCAGACACTGAAGACTGAGTTTTTCAGTCATGAATAGAAGATTGCAATTATAGTTGAAGTAGGCCACCAACTAGAGTAATATATTTTGAGACAAGTTTCAATGGTCATGGGTCAGAGCAAAAGGAGTTCTTTTGTCACCTCTCAATTACCTTAAAACTTGAATCAAAATTGAATCATTCAGTTCTCTTAAAATGTTCCATGATAAACGTTAATATGAGCTTAATGATCTTCACCTTCTTATTTATGAAGTTCTGATTGAATTAAGTTGTGGGTGATATGAATTTACCTTCTTTTGAGAATCTTGAATTGTAACCATATATGTTAGAAGTGCAACTCTCTTGCCTAGGGGAACAAGTGATTCAGATTCAGAACTTTCAAATTCTTCCTTTAACTTCTTGGTAGCAAGATGGAGAGCCAAGTCTTCTCATAGATCAAATACCTTCCAACTGTAAATTAAGAACATATTTTTGTAATGTATTCCATTATTTTAAAATTTAAAATTGAAAAAAATTAGGTTTAGGAAGATATATTGATTTATAAATGAAAACCAAAGCACTATATAAAATAGTGCCTTTTCTGGATTAATTCAAGATTTTATTTTAGGAAACATATGAGGTCTTTCTTAATGAGTTATTTAGGAAGAGGAATAAAATCCATAAGCTAAGCCTTACATGGAATGAAATGTGTTTGAGAACCATGGTCTCCATACATTTCTCTGACAGCAAGTCATCAGTAGGAGTTTTGATCATAAGCAAGCCATTTCTGACCCTGCAAGATTTCATCAGTAAGGCCCATGTAATATTCTGCCCTATTTTGCTAGTTGTCACAGTAATTGGCTAGCTACATTTCTTGATTTGGCAGTTTAGTTCCTCAGAACTGCCATTCATTTGAGTTCTGTAGTTTGTTGCAAGTGTTATACATTAAAATCTATTAGGACCTGAACTAGATGATGGAGAGATAGAACCAAGTGGGTAGAAATTGAAGGAAAACTGATGGAGTTTTGTGATGGGATAGATGTTGGAGGGCATGGGGAAAGAGAGAGAGATTGTTTAAGGAGGACTCAGAATTCTAATCTAGAAGACTAGAGAATTCTCTTTCCAGAATTCAGGTATATAAAATGAGAAACAGAAATAGGCTTGATAAAGGAGGATGATAAGTTGGTCCAATTTGAGTAGATTAGGATAGATGATCTTTTAGAACACTGAGTGAATTTTCAAAATGGTGTATTTTCATATTCATGTCCCAGAGGCAAAGTATGAATGGCCTTCTAAACATTTCTTGTGGTAGGGATGGGTAGAGATTAGCTTGAGAGTGAGGTAGCAGTTATTGGCTCGTTGATGGTTAGAATGCCCCTTCTTGCCTTCTACTCTGTCATTCTCAGGTGTATCACTGAGAATCTGAAGGTATACACTGCACAGAATTGGGAGCCTATGAAAGATATTTGCTATAGATAAGGAGGACTTTATGTCTCCAGAAAACAAGATTAAAACTAGAAGCAAAACAAAAATTGTGCTTCTCCCACACTCTGGAGCCCTAAGCTATTCCGCTTGACCAAATGAAAATATCTATTTCTATTTCCTGTCACCTAAGAATATTCAGCTGAGTTTCCAACAAAAGTCACAGCTTTGAAACTGTTAAGATAATGTGTCATATGGTACGATTCAACAACACAAAAACAATCAATCAATCCCATATATAGCGGATTCTTCTTCCTTGACTCTTAATAGAAAAGTTGTATTGTTTTCACAATGTGAAACATATGAAGAGTTGTTTAAAAATATGTTTTTTTAAGTCAAAAATGCAGTGCTCTGCTTTAGAATTACTCTTTAAAGAATAAGATCTAAAGCAGTTTTACATTTGGCAATATAAATAATGGTGTCTTCTAGTGCAGAAGTGGCAAGTATTCATAACACATAGCACTGCCAGTTTCTAGCAAACGAATAGCATCCTTTTCATTACACAAAAAACATAAACTTGGCATGCTTATGACAAAGAAATTTGTCTACTTCATCATGGTAGGCATGTTTAATTTGCTTCTTTTTCAGATTTAGGGGCATGGAAATGACATTTTGAAACTCTTTAATTTGGACAAAATTATATTTGAAACTCTAATTGGTAACAATATACTTAATAAAAATTAAAGGGTCATAAATTTCACCTCTACTATTAAATCAATCATTTGTCTAAACTCATGTAAAAAAATATACCCCTGCCTATCTCATAAGAATGTTTACTCTGTCATCATTAAGGAGTTTGCTTTAGGCAGTCTACTTTTTTGGGGGAAGGTGGCTGAACTTGTATGACATCATTCAGCATTTTACATTTTTAATTTAATCCCTAGGCCCTAGGCTTCTCCCCTCAAATTACCCACTATTCATTCACCAGAAGCTTTGTGTTAAAGTAATTTTTGTAATTACATCCTACCAGTGGGAAACAAGGAATAGTGAGCCTTTATCTCCTAGCTTCCTTTCAGGATTTTCATTTTCCTGCATGAACCCGAGTGCTTGTGTTGCTGGTGTGGTTGTCATGGTGCTGTGAAGGCGTGTTTTTGTCCCAGGTGGGAAACATGTAGAAGTCAGAAATGATTTGGGAGTTGCTGCTGGTTGCCAGGGAATGAAACTATGAAACAAGAACTAGAAAAACGAGAAGATTATTTCTTATTTTATTGCTCCTAGGGACTTCCTAGGCCCAGAGCCCTTCCTTGAATCTGTAGACATGTCAGTATATACTCTAACCTGCTGTATTTGGAAGTTCTCATGACCTATGCCCTAATCAAAGAGAATCATTGGTGGGCTTTGTAACCCACACAAATATTGAACAATAGAAATTAATTTCAGCAGACATTTTTTAGTAAATGAAGTATGGAACATAATATTACTAAATTACTAAGATCAAGTAGCAATCATTATTTTGGGTAAGTGTTAAATTACAAAATTTTTACACCTGCATCATCTTATTTAGCAGCCAATCATTTGTCAAGGCTATTACTATTGAATTCATGTGGAAATACTAATCATATTTATGGAATCTGTTGTCTGGTTAGTTTTGTATGTTTCACAGTTGGGGTATTTATAACAATTATTGACAAAATGAAGGCAATATGAAGATTGACTTATTACATAAAATAGGAATCAGAGTGAAGGTTAAAGAGCTTTCATATGTGAAACATAAAGGATAATACTTTATTTTTTTCATTAAATTGCCTTACTGAGTTTCTTCTGTCTCTGTATGAATAGGTTCAATGAAAAGAGCTTATTTAGGAGATAGATAGACCAGGATTAAAGTGTTACAAATGTAACTCTATATTTTTTTTTCCAATAAAGAATTGAAGATGAAAAGACGCAAAATGTGTTGAGACTTCAGAGCTCAGGATTACTATTTAGTTCTTGATCTTGCATTAATGGAGAAAGAGAACTGGGAGGTTTTAAATATGTTTGACTGACTGAAGTGAAATTGAAGGCAGTAAACATACATCAGGGTAGAAAGCCAATTCAGATAATTTGGGCCAGATCTTGATTCTTAAATTAAGTAATTGCCTACTCAGAAAAAAGCTGTATCAATTACTGATTCATGAGGAAGCAGTTCATACCAGGAAAAAGCTTTGCTAGTATTTAAAATGTAATTGCTCCTTTTCAATATAAAACACACTCTATTATCAAAATGTAGTGTTTGCTTTCTCGCATGTCAACTGCTTTTGCTTAGGAGGGATAGACCCTTTTTTAAGAAAAATTTTGAGTACATTTTGACTCTGCTCATGCCAAGCGTGCCTCCTTAACCACATTTTATTTTATTTTTATTTTATTTTATTTTTTATTATACTTTAAGTTCTGGGTTACATGTGCAGAACCTGCAGTTTTGTTACATAGGTATACACGTGACCTGGTAGTTTGTTGCACCCCTCAACCCATCACCTACATTAGGTATTTCTCCCAATGTTATCCCTCCCCTAGGCCCCCACCCCCCGACCGGCCCTGGTGTGTGATGTTCTCCTCCCTGTGTCCATGTGTTGTTATTGTTCATGGTGTTTGGTTTTATGGTCTTGTGATAGTTTGCTGAGAATGATGGTTTCCAGCTTCATCCATATCCCTGCAAAGGACATGAACTCATCCTTTTTTATGGCTGCATAGTATTCCACGTTAACCACATTTTAAAGCCTGTACTTCTTTTTTTTTTTTTCCAGGTACAATGATTTATAAACTTTCATGTTAGTAAGTGGGAAGCATTTGTGTTAGGAATCCAGACGTTTCTGGAGGTTTAATAATCTTTTGTTTCATCATTTTTATTTATAACTCAGGTGCTGAATATATTTTTAAAAGATAATTTTCTATAAATTAGATGTCATTTATTTTCCTGTCATTGTTTTATTTTCCTTGCTGGATCATCAAGCATTAACTTTAAACATAATATTTATTTATGAGAATCAATACTATCCACTCTTGAACATGTTCATTTAGGATTTTGCAAATTGTGTGTCTGTGTGTGTGCATGAGTGTGTGTATGTGTGTGTGTGCACCTCCTATGTCTCTGTGGAGGATTCAGTTAGGTTATTCTCACTACCCTCTGTCTTCAGAGGATCTTTTTCATATGAGTCTTCTACCGGGCATCTTCCTGATATATGGGGTAAAGGTTGATGGTGTCTGTTAAAGAAAAAGAAAATGTGGGAAAAATAAATGTGGCTCTGAAATAATATTTTTATTTGAAAATTGTTTGAGTTTACATGAGTTTACTGTCAATTTAAATGTGAGAACTACACATAGGCTAAAACAAATGCTCCTTTAATGCATAATTTTGTAACAGGAGCTGAATACTTGCTTTTGTTCTTTCTAGATACTAGAAATTTTACTCTAATTTTCAACTGTAACCTGTCTGGTCTAAATATCTAAATTTAAAACTTCTCAGTGGAATTTCTTGAATTTGGGACTATATACTGGAAGCATTTGTTTCAGGAATGATTGGAGCTATTTCCCTCAATAAGATTGTATTGAGATTGTCATAAACAACCAACTATATACAGCATATTCCTGTACTTTCAGCACCTTACTAAGTATATGAAAAAAATGTTTTACAAGTCTGAATGAAAAGAAGTTTTTTCATCTTTCAGAACTACTGTAACCACTTACATGCCCCCACTCTAACTTGTTCAGTGCTTTTGACCTGAGATATTTTTTATTTGAGAGCTCTGATAATATCAAACATCTTAAGTCTTTGTGGCCATTCTTTCTCACAGGACTGTCTTTAGTTCTAAGCATTTATCACCCATTTCCTGTGGAAGGCCTTGGTTCTCTCTAGTGTGCTTTACAAATTGCTATGTATTCTTTTATTGTCAAGTCTCAGGGATACTAAAATATTTTGCTCCCTAAGTTCAGTCCTCTTTATCAGCACTTTGGCAGGTTTTGTTTTTATGTTTTCAAGTTTCGTCAGGTTTTATTCCATGTGCTACAGGGATAAAAGCCATGTCTAAGCCCAGAGGTTCTTGTCTCACCAAAAGGTGAAACAAATAATAAAAGCAGATTTTCTTTATGTCCTGTTCTATGATACTTGTATTAATACAGTGTCCCTAAAGAGTCTTCTACTAATGGAAATTGGGGTATTAGAACCATTTTTTTTAATTTCATCATACCTAACTTTTGGATAACATATAGGGAAAGCCAGTATGGGAATATATGAAGATATACATTGTCTTTCCTCATTTAGTATGCCTGGCCTTGGCTTCTAGGTCTCATGGGAAGCCCTTGTGGACATCACTACTATGTACAGTAAATGGATCTTTCTAATTATGTTTAAAGAAGGTATTAAGTTAATCAGGCTGGGATATGTTGTTTTTGTCTCCTTTAATATCCCTTTCTCTTTGGTGACCCAACATTTGAAAAATCAGTAGAAGCGTTTGTGTGGTTCACCTTAGGTTGCTATCATCTAAGTTCTCTGCAGGGTATCATTTTGTCACTCACCAGCACCCTTCCTCTTAAATATGTGGAAGCAGTGTTCTAAAATGCTGCCAGCTCAGACTTACACATATTATTAATGGGCATCTCTGAAACATATTGGGACTATTTTTATAGATTTGCAGTTTGAAACACATAAATTGGACAAAATTATTATAACAATCACCTGGATTCTTATTGTGGAATAAAAACCCTACTTTATTTGGATTTGTCATATTTCCTGATTGTGGCCCCCATTATATTGAGACTCAGGACCTGAATATTTGCTCAGCCCACTTGCAGTGTACATAAAAGCATCATTCGTTCCCATTTCTTCCTTTCACTACCTAATGACAACTACACTAAAGCAACTAACTCAGATAGTTTGAATTAACTTCAAGTTTTATATTTCAAATAGGAATTAAGTAAATGGGAAGCGAAGAATTTACTATAAGTAGTAGAGACTACAAAATGAACAGTCATTTTATTAATAAAAGGATTTCATTGTGGTACATATTAATTCTTTACAAATGTTCAAGGATAAAACAAAGAAAAAAACAGGAAAAAGTAGTTCCGTTATCTTACAATGTTGAATGCATCTTATGTCTATTAAAATTTCTATATGAAATTATCCTATATTAACCATAGTATGGGTTCCTGTGGCTGGCCAAGTAGGCATTGCTGGGCTGGCTATCTTTTTTGCATGGTATCTGCTAGCCCTGTTGGTATTTACTGCCAGCTTGACTATATAGTCTGCTGTCATTAGTACAGCAAACCACCCTGAGTTATGGCTGGGACTGCTATTTGTCCAGCCTATATGATCCACTCACTCACAGCTTCTGGTATGGGACCCACATTGACACTGATTCAGCAGCCCTCTCTCACAGGCTCCCCAGGAGACTCAGACATTGCTGTTCTTGTTGCACAAGAATTGTGGGGAGTCACAGCTTCTTAGATTGTGAACAGAGTGATGTCCTAGCCGCCCATAAAGTGTTCTTCCAGAATCTCCAAAACAGAGTAGGAGAAAAGGCTTTGGCTCTTACAGTTCCTTGATGATTTGCATATTTTAGCCTCTTTAATCCAAATTAAAGAACCTCTGCCTGACCCTTGAATCTGTATGTAAAAATCCTGTATTTTAATCCTGTATGCTTAATCCTATCTCTCCCCATCTGAGACTTGGCCTTGAAGGGAACTGGGAAGAAATTACAACCATTGTCTTCCCAGTTCTGTTTATTTCCCTCATCCAGAGGCATCCTAAGACCAAAAGGGCTAGGCTTGTATTTTCCTTCTTCTAATTATATGCTTTTTCTTCACTAATCCAGACTAATGACTAAGACTTATGATAAACAGGACTTTCTCTACCCAACAGGAAAACAAAACCAAAACAAATTTAAAAAGTTTGTGATATAGTCTCCAGGCCTACCATTAATGTACTGTGTGAGAACTAAGTATTAAGAAAATTCTTTCTCTCTTAACACAACCTAGCTTACAAATCTGTTTTTTTTAAATATTACTTGAATCCAGGAGCTGAATATTGAGTCTCTTTATATTTTTTTATATTGTGTTAAGAATGCTTAACATGAGATCTATCCTTTGTTAAAAGGATAATATTCCATGTATATATATACCACATTTTCTTTATCTATTCATCTATCAGTGAACATTTAGGTTGTTTCCACATCTTCGATATTGTGAATAATGCTGAAGTGAACACCAGGTTGCAAATATTTCTTCAAGGTCCTGATTTCAGTTCTTTTGGATATATGCCCTGAAGTGAGATATCTGGATCATATGGTAGTTCTATTTTTTAATATTCTCAGGAGCCTCAACATAGTTTATTTTCTCTAGGAACTGCACTATTTACATTCACACCAACAGTGCAAGTGTTCCCTTTTCTCTACATCTCCTCAATACTTATTTTTCTTACCACAGGCATTCTAACAGGTGTTATGTAATATCTCACTTCTGTTTTGATTGTTATTTCCCTGATTAGTGATGCTGAGTATCTTTTCATATGTCTGTTGGTCTGTTTTACACAGAAGAATTGTCTATTCAAGTCCTTCACCCATTCTTTAATCGAGTTATTTTGTGTGTTTTGTGTGTGTGTGTGTGTGTGTGTGTGTGTGTGTGTTTTGTTTGCTTGTTTGTTTTGCTACTGAGTTGAAGGAGTTCTTTAGATTTTTTGGATATTATTCTCATATCAGATATATGGTTTGCAAATATTTTCTCCCATTCTATAGGTTTCCTTTTCACCCTGTTAATTTTTCCTTTGCTGTGTAGAAGCTTTTTAGTTTGATGTAGTCCTATTTGTCTATTTTGGCTTTTGTTGCCTGTGCTTTTGGGGTCATAACTAGCAAATCGTTGTGAAGATCAATATCACGAAGTTTTTTTGCTTTCTCCTAGGAGTTTTATAGTTTCAGTTCTTACATTTAAGTCTTCAATCCATCTGGGGTTGATTTTTGTTTATGGTGTAAGATGAGGGTTCAATTACATTCTTTTGCATGTGTATATTCACTTTTCCCAATACCATTCATTGAGGAGACTCTCCTTTCCCCATTGTGTATTTTTGTGGAGGACCATTTGACCATATATGTGTGGGTTTATTTCTGGGCTGTCTGTTCTGTTCCATTAGTCTGTCTGTTTTTATGCCAATATTATATTGATTTGGTCATGGTTGCTTGGTTATAGATTTTGAAGTCCCATAGTATGATGCTTCCAGCTTTGTTCTTTGTTGTAAAGATTATTTTGGCTACCAAGGGTCCTCTGTGGTTTCACAGGAATTTTGTAATTGTTTTTTCTATGTCCGTAAAAAATGCCACTGGCATCTTAATAGGGATTGCATAGAATCTGTAGGTCATATTGGGTATTTTAAGCAGTATGGACGTTTTAACAATAACTTTTCCAACGCATGGACATGGGATGTCTTTCTATTTATTTGTTTCTTTTTTATTCTTCATGCAAGAATTCTAGTATGTAATATTCTCCATCCCTTCCCTTTTCTCTCCATTGACTCAAAGCCTCCCAGCCATTTCTGAGGGCTGATTATTAAGTAGGTTATCTACACACAAAGTCAGGGAGAAATATTTTCCAAAATTATTCCCATTGTGCAAGTTCTAATATTTATGTGGTTGACGTTGTTGTAGTTTCAAATTGTTACAGTTGCAGAAACCCTATGTGTTCAAGGGTTGCTGAAAGGACTCTTGTTAGGAGCTTTTTATTTTAAAAAATTTTTTTATCTCTAAGTTGGGATGAGGAATGATAAAATGTCAAATGCAAAATAGCAAAAAATAGTGTTAAGAATAAAATTAATGTTAGAAAAAATAAATTTTTCTGCATAACTCAAGCACACCTTACCACATGATTTTTCACTTATAACATCACAAATATAGCTTTGACATCATAAGTAACTAGGAGAACCTTGGAATTTTCAGTTTTCTGATTGTCTGTATATCCAAATTTGGGATCTTAATACTACTTGACTCTTATTTTTTTTCCATCTAATATCTGCAGATATTGAGTTTTATCCCAAATTCCACAGAATTTTATGTGTGAGTAAAAAGGAATCAAATTTTCTTCATGAATATAGAAACATTATATTTTATTTTTGATACTGTTAAAACTGCTTAGGGTTATCTATGCACATCAGAGAGTAGATAGTATTAATGTGGTCACCATGAAGCCATATACTTACTTTTGCAGATTTTTCTAACTTTTTATCCAGAGATAGAAAAGTGACAGAAGTACCATGTCCAGGCCTCACTCAGTACAAATAGAGAGATCATCTGTTTTAGTCTTCTTCAATTCTTGGCAAAAACAAAGGAAAAATTAAGACCAAACATGATGGCAGTTTCTTACTTTAGGTACCCAGTTCCAGTGACTAAAGCTTAAAGAACACTTTGACTGTGTTATACAGCAGAGAAACTAATAAACAAATGAGGATGAGAAACCATAAGTGCTCAGTGTTCAGTCCTTTGGGAATACCCCCTGGTATTTCCAGGTATAGGGACTAAAATATAAGACCTAGGTATAAGCAACTATTTCCGTAAATATATTTTGATTAACGTAAGAACACTTTGCATTGAGACACTCCCCCCACACCACCTCCCAGACCTTAATGGACATTCCTATGAAAGATGTTTTATAGCCAAAGGAAGACAGTCCAACTGTGTTACATTTCTTAGAGTAAACTTTGCCAAGGATATTCTGTAAAAACAGATTCCGACATTTGAATCTGATCTCTTCAGCTAGTTTTGAGATTAGACCTTCATTCTGGGTCTTTATAATACTAAAGAAATAATGAATCTAAGCATGGACTTTTTTGATACAAGACTATCTAACATATATCTCTTTAATAATCTTTATTATTTCCTATATTACAGAAAGGAAAAAAGAGCTAACATGTTTCAGCTAATTCATGAGAAAACTAAAGCACTTATTAGAGATAAACTGAGTGTTTATATTTTATGCCTTCAAAAACTGTGAAGACAATATTAAATTACAAATGATAAATTTTAGATGAACACCTATGGTATTCTTGATGCAAGGTATGTTATTGTTATCATTTATTTATCAGATGCTCAGTATATGCTCTTTCATCAAATAGTATAGCATACTTCAGTAAAGATTGGCATTAAAACCAAATCATTGTGCAATTCGCATTATAGTGAATGATCTAGAAAATATATGTTGTGTGACTTTAGAGATAACAGTGAAGGCTCAAGTGTTTTAGGGACTTCATGTGAATATTCAAAGATGCTTGGGTTTTGATTCAAGATACAATGACTGGGAGAAAGGAGGCCATTCCTGAGGAAAGAAGACAAGGAAAGAAGACAAAGTTTAGAGAACTAACTAATGGTGATAGTATGGTGAAAATATTATTATCAATAACTCTTAATCACTGAAAGTAAAAAAGCACATAGTGATATATTACCTTGATGCTGTTTTCATAATAACTAATTCAATGAGATCGATTCAGTGTCTTAGATATTATTGTTACGTAAATATTTCTTTTCTTTTAGTAGAGTTTATTTCAAAGGCTTACCATTAAATAGTTTTGTAACCTTGGTCAAGTTACTTAACCTATCAGTGCTTACGATTCCTCATCTACAAGGCAGAGAAAATAATAATGCTTACTTCAAGCATTGTTCTTTGGATTAAATCTAATATTGACTTAAAGCAATTAGCTTTAGTTTCTTAGTAAGCTGTCAATAAGTTATCTCTGACTTTTTTTCTTAAATCACAACTACATCTTTCCTTTGTGATGGTTTTATAATCTTATAAAGAATTATCAGCCATCTTTCTTTGAGCATGTGATTTGTAGCATATTTTCTTTCTTTCTTCCTTTCTTTCACTCTTTTTTTTTCTTTTCTTTTTTTTTTTTTTTTTTTTTTGAGACAGAGTATCTCTCTGTCGCCCAGGCTGGAGTGCAGTGGCGCGATCTCAGCCCACTGCAACCTCCACCCCCCCAGTTCAAGTGATTCTCCTACCTCAGCCTACCAAGTAGCTGGGATTACAGGAGCCTGCCACCATGCCCAGCTAATTTTTGTATTTTTAGTAGAGACGGGGTTTCACTGTGTTGGCCAGGCTGGTCTTGAACTCCAGACCTCAGGTGATCCACCCACCTCAGCCTCCCAAAGTGCTGGGATTACAGGTGTGAGCCACCGTGCCCAGCCCATAGCATATTTTCACATAGTATCATTTACTGCTCAACCCTGGCATCATTCAGATGTTCTGTTTCATGTTTCTACTCCCAGCTTTTAGGAAACTGCTGTCCAATAGGATTTTACGTGATGATGGAAGTGTTCTAAATTAGTGCTGTCCGGTATGGTAGCCACTGGTCATATGTAGCTATTGAGATGTGACTAGTGTAACTGATGAACTGAACTTTTATTTTTATTGAATTTTAATTCATTCAAATTTATATAGTTGCATACGACTAATGGCCCCTGTATTGGACAGTGTGGGTCTAGGATTTGCACCATAGTGTGTGTACACCTAGACCCACACTGTCCAATACATATATATATGTGTATATATATATATGTCCAATATATGTATGTCCAATATATATATCCAATATATACATACATATGTCCAATACACAGATATATACACATATATATACACACCATGTGTATATCTATACACACATACATATACCCACCATGTGTATATCTATGCACACGTATATATACACACCGTGTGCATATCTATGCACACGTATATATACACACCGTGTGCATATCTATGCACACGTATATATACACACCGTGTGCATATCTATGCACACGTATATATACACACCGTGTGCATATCTATGCACACGTATATATACACACCGTGTGCATATCTATGCACACGTATATATACACACCGTGTGCATATCTATGCACACGTATATATACACACCGTGTGCATATCTATGCACACGTATATATACACACCGTGTGCATATCTATGCACACGTATATATACACACCGTGTGCATATCTATGCACACGTATATATACACACCGTGTGCATATCTATGCACACGTATATATACACACCGTGTGCATATCTATGCACACGTATATATACACACCGTGTGCATATCTATGCACACGTATATATACACACCGTGTGTATATATACACACACCATGTGTGCATATATACACACGTATATACACACACACCATGTGTGCATATATACACACGTATATACACACCATGTGTGCATATATACACACATATACATACACACCATGTGTGCATATATACACACATATACATACCATGTGTGCATATATACACACATATATATACACACCATGTGTGCATATATACACACGTATATACACACCATGTGTGCATATATACACACGTATATACACACCATGTGTGCATATATACACACGTATATACACACCGTGTGTGCATATATACACACGTATATACACACCGTGTGTGCATATATACACACGTATATACACACCGTGTGTGCATATATACACACGTATATACACACCGTGTGTGCATATATACACACGTATATACACACCGTGTGTGCATATATACACACGTATATACACACCGTGTGTGTATATATACACACGTATATACACACCGTGTGTGTATATATATACACACGTATATACACACCGTGTGTGTATATATATACACACATATGCGTACACACCGTGTGTGTATATATATACACACATATGCGTACACACCGTGTGTGTATATACACACATATGCGTACACACCGTGTGTGTATATATACACATATATATAACTTCTTGACAGTTTTCTAAGTTCCTCCTGAAAACTTATTTCATTTGAGTCTCCCAAGAATTATATAAAATAGGTGGAATTACCCCAATTTTTCCTTTTTGTTCAACATTGCTTACTCAAGGGTCTAGCACAGTACCTAGCCCAGGGTAGGTCTTCAATAAATATTGATTGAACAAATGAATGATGAGTGACTCTGATACTCAGAAATGTTAAGAACCTTGCTGAGAAAAATAATTTTTTCTTTTTCAGAGAAGAGTGTTGTTCTATTGCCCAGGCTGGAGTGCGGTGGCATAATCATAGCTCACTGCAACCTCAAACTCCTGGATTTAAGCAATCCTCTTACCTTAGCCTCCCCAGTAACTGGGACTACAGGTGTGCACCACCACACTCAGCTAATTTCTTTTACTTTTTTTGTAGAGATGAGGTCTCACTATGTTGCCCAGGCTGGTCTCAAACTCCCGGTCTCAAGCAATCCTCCCACCAAAGCCTCACAAAGTGCTCAGATTCTGATGGCTCACGCATGGCCAGAAAAATAACTTAAACATTTTCTCCACATTTTTAATTAGATAATAAAGTGAAAGCTTTGCAAGTACTTTTAAAACTGAACAAAAAAGCTCTCAACTAAAATTTTTAGGGAAGGTGAAAAATGAAGTAGAACAACTAGTGTGACATAGAAGAAGGCCTGTACTGTCAAAGATTCTCTGCAATTTGTAGATGAAAATTACAAGAAAGGTAATCTGAAATTGCACTTATCACCTTAGATGTCTGGTTATCAAACCCAGACTGTGTAATGAAGTCTCCGGGCTGTATTCTTTTCACTGTTGGAGGGTAGGGGTTGAATGGGACTCAGGAGTGGGATGCATAGCACAGAAGAGGTAGTTTGTGGGGTCCTCCAGATTTAGGATGTAGAACTTGCTTACTTAGTCACTGGTGTCACACGTTTCTTTCTCTTTTGTTTTCATCTTATGAACTTTCATAAAGATGTGCATGAGTCTTCAAGATGATAAAAGTGTCCTTTGTCTTCATAAATATCTGGTTGAATTTGGGTCCTTTCATCCTTTGTAGATACTTTTATTTATGTATGTATGTATTTATTTATTTATTTTAGATGGAGTCTCACTCTGTCACCCAGGCTGGAGTGCAGTGGCACGATCTCAGCTCACTGCAACCTCCGCTTCCCAGGTTCAAGCAATTCTCCTGTCTCAGCCTCCCAAGTAGCTGGTATTACAGTTGTGCGTTACTATGCCCACCTATTTTTATTTATTTATTTATTTTTTGTATTTTTAGTAGAGACGGGGTTTCTCCATGTTGGCCAGGCTGGTCTTGACCTCCTGACCTCAGGTGATCCACCTGCCTTGGCCTCCCAAAGTGCTGGGATTACAGAAGTGAGCCACCACGCCTGGCAGATACTTTTATTTTATCAACATTGTTACCACATTTCTCTAAAGAACATTTTTTGTTTTGCACCCTTTATCTGTTATAGAGCTCCCCCTCAACATGGCTCTCATCCTCAGCAATTTATATAAATAGTTTTCCGCAGAGACCTAAAAATTTCAACAGATTGTTGTTCTCAGGACTTATTTTCCTGGTCCTCTTCATGATGACACTTCATAGCAGATTGTTTCTTTAAATTTTCTTTTGTCTCCTGATAACCTCAGTGTAGGCTCCTTATCCCTTACTATCTTTGATCAGTTGTTTTGGGTCTCCTTCTTCTACAATGCAGTAGTGATTTTTTTTTTACATTAAATTGTATCCTACATAGTTTACAAGGGATGCTCTTTTTGTAGCTTCAGGTATGTTCACTGAATATCCATGGTCTTCTCTAGTATAGGTTTTGTGATCAGAAAGACATGTGTTCAAATCACAGCTCTGCAATTATCAGCTCTGTCACTTGCAGAACTTTAGGAAGCCTCTTTAGATATCACTGCCTCATCTATAAAACTAAACTTCTGTGTGTCTCAAGATGCTGCTAATGATATGGTGCCCTACACAAGATGGGCAGTCAGCTCACAGTTTCTCTCCTGTTTTCCTCTCCCCTTTTCCTGTCTTACGACAGCCAAAACTATAGTTGATATACTTTTCTTTCTTTGTGTGTGTGTGTGTGTGTGTGTGTGTGTAATAGAGTCTCACCCTGTCGCCCAGGCTGGAATGCAGTTGCGCAATCTCAGCTCACTGCAGCCTCCACCTCCCTGGTTCAAGCAATTCTCCTGCCTTAGGTTCCTGAGTAGCTGGGATTACAAGCACCCGCCACGGCACCTGGCTAATTTATTGTACTTTTGGTAGAGACAGGTTTCACCATGTTGGCCAGGCTGGTCTCGAACTCATGACCTTACATGATCCACCCACCTCGGCCTCCCAAAGTGCTAGGATTACGGTGTGAGCCACTGCGCCCGGCTGATATACTTTTCTTATATTTGTCTCGGGTAAGAACGGTTAATGCCAGATTATGAAGAACCCTATTTTACAAGTTTAAAAAAATATACTCACAGAAGTTATGTACTATAATATGTATTTTAGAAAATCTGTCTTCCATTCATGTGGAATGCAGAATACACTCTTGGAGTATAGAGAGGAGTGAGAGAGTAGAGGCAGGGAAAAGAGCTTGGAGTGTTTTTCCCTGGAGTACTAATCCAGGTGAGAGGTGATGAGGGCATGAAATGTGTCAACTCCAATGTGAAAAAGGAGTGGATTTGGCTGAGCCCATTTTAAGAATCAGGGCAGACATTTTTATGGGGGCTGCTTTAACTTGAGGTTGTTCATGATCATTATGACCATTTCACTTTTAATTTTAGAAATTTTAAAATAAAAGCGCAACAGCATTCCGTAGGCTATCCCCTGACTCCTACCTAATCTCTGAGTATAAGATTCAGAAATGGAGCAAAAATAAGGGTTCTTTGTTTTATATATATTACTTAGTACTTTTGTAAATCCAGAAAGCAGAATATTTAAAATTTAAGTCATTACATCATAGTTATAAATACCCCAACATAATGTGCTTTAAAAGTAATGTCATGTGTCCATCTTTATGGAAGGAAAAGAGAGCATATGATGCCTGCTCTGATGTAGTGTGGGATGCAGTTAGCTAGGCTTCCTCATCGTCTCCCCTGCTTGTTCTTTCTGTAAATATAGTCATATTCCCTTCTGCATCTGCAGTGTCTTCTTGTCACCTCCACTTAGTGTTCATTATCCAGTGTGGGTGTCATCATTTCTTTTTTTTCTCTGAAAGTTTTTTTCCTGATATTTTATAGTTCTTATAAAATATCAAGTTATGTTGATTTTCATACTTTGTCATATACCATGTTATTATGTTACTTCATGTTTTTAATTCTTAATTCATTGAAATCTGTTTTTTAGCTTCTCCTATCTGATTTACTTGCAAAATAAATAAAATCTTTGATGAGAAAACTGTGCTGTTACATTTGCTTTTTCCTTACCTTACCTCTCTTTAAGGTCCTCCACAGATACCTGTGACTCAGACTGGCTAACATTGAGTTTGTTTCTAACCCTCCACCAGTTTCTGGACTACTCCTTCTTTATCCTTTCCTCTTATATTCCAGTTTTAGTAAATGAAACCAACATCCACCCAGTTAACTTCCTGATTTTCACAACCCTTATCCAGTTGGTAAGCAGTACCCACAAATTTTACATCCAGATAGCTCTCAAGAAAATGGCCCAGGGTCTGTTGTTTCCACTTTCGTTCAGAGCCTAATACTTTTTGTTTCAAATACTGCAGCAGTATCCTAAACTGTTTTCCTGCTTCTAAACCTATCTCCCTCTATTCCATTTTGAGATAGAAGGTTACCAAATGTTGTGGACCATGTATCCACAGCACATGCGTGTGTATATGCACACACACACACACACACAAATATACTACTATCATTTATACATTATGGAACATGCATCCTATGTATTGTAGAACTTTCATGGAGCTATAAATTTTCAAGACTGTAATAAAGAGAACTATAGAGATTCTTTTTCCCCATACTCCAGTAAATGTTGTTGTATGTGTTTGCAATCTCTGCTTTGGAGATTGCTGCTTTTGATTGAAGATGTAGTCATTGTTGTAAACTGAAATACTTTGTCATTTATTAATCTAAAAATGTTTAGTGGCTCCCAACTCCCTATTGGATAAAATATAAATTTTTTATATTTGTCCTCCATTGCCTGGTACTTCCATAGTTTATCTATTTTATCTCATTATTCATAAGGGACGCCACTCCCCAGTATACACTCATTATTTTGGTTCTGCTGAACTTCCAATTGCCTAAACACTTATTTTTTTAACCTTGCCTTTTTTTGTCCTTATACATGCTAGACTGCATATATGGATATATGAGTTGAATATGTCCATATTTGAGTTGTTTTCAAAGGAGTCTATCATTTTTAAAATTTGTGGAAATAACTGCCTTTAAACTATTTGATATTCTTTAGATAATCTAATTTGCTTTTGCCATATGTGCAGCTGGGCTCCCACCTGTAATCTCAGCACTTTGGGAGGCCGAGGCAGGTGGATCACCTGAGGTCAGGAGTTTGAGACCAGCCTGATCGACATGGTGAAACCCCATCTCTACTAAAAATACAAAAATTAGCCAGGTGTAGTGGCACATGCCTGTAATCCTAGCTACTCCAGAGGCTGAGGCAGGAGAATAGCTTGCACCCAGGAGGCGGAGGTTGCAGTGAGTCGAGATCGTGCCACTGCACTCAGCCTGGGCAACAAGAGTGAAACTCCATCTCCAAAAAAAAAAAAAGCCAAATGTGCGTATATGTTGGAGACTAAAAGGGTGAGAAATGGATTTTATTCACGTCATACCATATGTTGCCTATGAAACTACTGGACATTTAGTATCAGAATATTAATTGAATAATATATCTAATTTCAAAAGCATAACTTTTGGTTTCCTTTCAAGTGTATGAATCAACTATTTTAGTGTAGTGGTATTTACTAGTTCAGTTTTAGAAGATGTTTTGGTGAGAGGGAAACATGCTTCAGTATGACTTCTTTTGAATAATGCAAAAAATAAACATACATCACCCCCCTCAATCGGTAGAATACTTTTGTATTTGAAAGGGTAGGAAATGTATGCTGCAGAAATGGCAATGTTTTGGGTGAAGAGATCTTCATTATCTCAGCCAACAGTGGTCTTCAGAAGCAATGACATCATTGTTGCTTCACTGACTTCAGAATTCACGCAAGAGACAGAGGCCCATGAACTTAAGACAGCTTCTTTGTCAGACATGGTGTAGAAAGGAAGACACAAAGAGCTTCCTGTTGAGTCATGGCGAGCTTTGGGACTCCTTTCTTGGCCCTTTGTGAAAGCACATGACTGGACTTGTAGAAGATTAACTCCCTTAACATTTCTGTAAAAATTTAAACAGATGCAAAGCAGCACCATCAGTTTTTTTTTTCCTCTCTGTTGTGAATTCAGTATTCTGGTGGGCAGTGAATTATATTGAATCCCCTCAGAGAGGCCAGGGCAGTCAATGGTGACTGTGAATGGGGCCCTCTGAAGGGCTCAGCTGTGGGTTTTTTGGGGCTTTCACTGTTCTTTATAGCATTATTCCTCTGAAAGAGCTCCCTCTAAGAGTGGGGTCAGTCTAGAGACCTTTATAGTGCTTGAAGTAATCCACTCTTTAATCTGTTCCTTCCTGTGGGAAAATCAGTGTGGAAAAAGAAAAGAGTGAGCTGGTATTTACATCCAGATATAGACTGTTTAGACAGTTTACTTTTAATCTTCTACTGTCCTTTGCATGAGTACAGCTTGTTTTCAAATTTAGTTTCTTAATAAAACAAATTCCAGAAATTCAATACATGGTTTGTGCTGATAATTTAATCTAGTTATAGATGCTGAAGAGCTGTTGTTCTTAACCTTCTTTCCTAGCCTGGATCATCAGTTCATTAATCCAGCAGACATTACATGTATTTAAAAGTAAGTATATACTATCTTATTAATAAAATGATATAAGTGATCTCTACATCTTTTTTATTTTCCTGGTTGTGACTTTACTTAAATATTCTGTATATGGAAAGGATTATATATGTTATCATCATATGTCAAAATATTACGTTTGAAGGTAACAAGATTTAGCTCTTGATTTTTAATGACAAAATTGGTGACAGTGATAGCACAGATACTGACTTCCTTTGCGAATGGGATAGTAATTGGGAGGTGGGATGCTAAGGGAAGACTTTTGCTCATCTTTTATTGCATGAATTTTAAAATTCAATTATGTATTCATTTATTACTTACATATTTGGAAAAAATTTAAAACAACAAAGAGGAAATGTGTTAGTCTGAGAGAAGTAGTGGGCATTTTAGTCCAAGTTATCTTATCTATTCTGGTTCCAAGTCTATATAATATCCCACAGCAGACTCCAATCCTAATCTAACATATCGAGATTATATGAAGGAAGGAGATGGAAACTAATATTTCTGTTGCAAAATATCTGATGGAGGCCAGGCGCGGTGGCTCACGCCTGTAATCCCAGCACTTTGGGCGGCCGAGGTGGGTGGATCACGAGGTCAGGAGTTCGAGACCAGCCTGACCAACATGGTGAAACCCCACCTCTACTAAAAATACAAAACTTAGCTGGGTGTGGTGGCAGGTGCCTGTAATCCCAGCTACTCGGGAGGCTGAGGCAGGAGAATCATTTGAACCTGGGAGGCAGAGGTTGTAGTGAGCTGAGATTGCGCCATTGCACTCCAGCCTGGGCGACAGGGTGAGACTCCATCTCAGAAAAAAAAAAAGAAAAAAAAAAAAAATCCGATGGGTAGAAGAATTTTTTTTACTCATACTCTTTTGAAGACAAAGAGTACATCAAAATTTCTTTTCTAGTTCCTCCTAAAACTAAAAGTCAGCTATTTCCAATTATCTTTGAATTAACTTAGAGTAAAAATAAAGTGAAAAAAATTTGTTTTAGGCAAAGAAGTCAGTGAAAAAATTTATATTCCCCTATCCCCTTGGCTTCTCTTCTATTCTTTTCCTCTTTAGGCAAAGAAGTCAGTGAAAAAATTTATATTCCTCTATCCCCTTGGCTTCTCTTCTATTCTTTTCCTCTTTTAAAAAGAACTGTTCTTGAAGAAAACTAGTGTGTGCCTTAAACCTAGCTAGCATCTTACCCCAGTGCAATTTAGGGTCAGGTAGAGACAAGAAAAATTATCAAGATGCTTTGAAGCAATGAATTTCAAGTGCAAAATACTGCTATGATGTATGCATATAATATTCCCACTACTTTGGATTAAGGGGGTGGATTTTTTTTAAATATGTAGGAAGTTTGTGATGGGATAGGGTGGTGATGGACAAGGCTATACATGGAGAAAATAGATATAGAAATATAAAGGCTGTGGAAAGTTACAGTGCCATCATTAATTATGTATGCTTGCCCTTCCTCTTGTTTCGAGATGGAATGTGTAGACTAAGAGACACAGCTGCCTATCTCAGGTGAAGCCTATGAAATATCAGCAGGATGGTACAGTGGGAGGGGCCCTGGTCTCCAGGAGTCAGGGAATATGAGTTCTGGTCCTCATTCTGCCATTAGCAGTGAGGTCTAAGGGGTCACTTCTCTGTTGCACTTGCAGCCACTATCCAGATGGAAATGTTAGGTTTTAAGATCCTCGAAACATCTTTATACTCATGTGCTCAGCATAGGGCCACGCACCTGGAACATACATATTTTTTAAGAGAAAGAGTAAAAGTACAGCATTTTTTAAATTGTAAAAATAGCGTGGGGTGGTTAGAATTTGTTATTGTGTTTTCTACGCGTTTTCAGGATCTTAAAATCAGATTGTAGGTTATCTTCTTAATTTTTTTTTCCTGCAGAAGTATCGCATCTGTAATAGCCTTGACAGGTTGTCATCATGTTACTCTGCTCCAATAACAATATTTTCAATATTTTCACTGAAACCATATTGTGGGTTTTGTTTTTTTTTAACCTTCACTATTGAACACTTCCCTGGTTTTCTAGTCCTGCTTCCTTTCAGGAAGGTTTTAATGGAGTTAAATGATGCGTAGTTGCCATTTTTGTAGGTCTAAAACAGTTGAATATTAACAATTTCAAATGGCGCAAGTAAAGTTTATTATCTAACTGTAGTCACAGAGATTTGGTCCCTGCTTAAAATGTTTCATTGGCCTCTCATGACTCCCCTGACCTCCCATCCAGCCCTTCTTGTCCTGACTCACAAGGGCTTTCACTTACCAATTTCTTTCACTGTCTACACCCCAGCTGCTCTGAAATTTCAGTGCCTGGACTGCTAAGCTTTATCTTCAGTGTGGGCCTTTGGGAATGCCATTTCTTTTGCCAAAAACACTCTCCTTTTCCTCCTGTTCTTCTCCATCTCTCAACTCTGTAGCTTGGGTTGGCTAATACCAATTTGAGCAATGGGAGAGAGACAATATACACAAAGTAAATATGTTTAGTATTTTAGAAGTGAAAATATACACGTAATATACAATATACACAAATTACACAAAAAGATGGATTTTCTTCCCTCTAACTACCCTTTATTCTTTCTTCCCTCTAACTACCCTTTCTTCCCTCTAACCTGGTCCTTTATTCCAAATGCCCCATTTCAGTGATGTTACCCGTAACTAAACATAGTGTCACAGATGTGGACCAATGTGCAAACTGCAGTGGGAAGATCATTTTCCTTGTTTGGGGTCTTATAAATCCATCAGTACAATTATCTAGGGTTGTTAGCTCATAGTAAGCTCATAATCATTTTTCATTTCCCAGAATATAAAAGAAGCTTTAAAAAAAAAGTTTAGCCAGTTTTTTTTTTTTTTTTAATTTTTTCTAGGAACCTAGGAAAAAGGAGTCACCATTGGGAAGTTAGAAAGGCATGGAAGTTTTCAGGAACGGTTTATGTTTTATTTTTGTTTTTAAAATAGCTTTCAGGTATTTATAGAACAGCTTAGGAAATAAAGCGCTTTCCCAGACAGGTGTTTTTGCTATGCTTTGGAATACTGGTATGGGAGAAATGCTACTGAAGCCTTCTCTTAATTCACAGGAGAAACATACCCTTTTGCTCCTTCCTGTATAATAACATTTGCTTTGCCAAAGTCATGAGTAATCAGTATAGGAAATGTAGTTATTTTTAGTTGAATATTATGTTTTCATAAAGTATGAGATAATAGGAAATGAAGTGTCAAAATGAGTAAAGTTAAAAATAAAAGCTTTGGATGTAGTCTGCCTGAGTGAATTCAGGCTCCATCTAAGACAATTTATTTTAACTTTCTGTGCCTCAGTTTTCACACATGTAAAATGGGGAAAGACAAGTGTCTTCCTCACTGGGTTCTTTTGAGAATTAATAAGATAAAGTATTTAGAATAGCATCATTGGTGCCGTCATCACAAATAAATGTACTTATTATTATTTTAACTAAAAGTAGTCATGAAGAATCCCAGAGACTTTTTTAAAGTTAGTTAATATGGTTAATCTTTTGTAATGTGATTCTTATGCCATCCTTCTCAAATTAGTACTATAGGGTTCTGATTATTCTGTAACTCTTCTAGTGCTTCCTACTTATTTAAATGTAGTTTAAAGACATTTGCCCCTCTAGTACACTTGAGATTTGAAAATACCTGAATTAGTGCTGGAAACTAGAAATAGATTTTCTCTCATTTGTATTCATGGTATTTCTTCCCAGTTCCGCTTCCCCTCTCCTTTTCCTGCCCTCTTCTCCACTCGTTTCTGTCTCTCATTCTTGCAGGCCTATATGTGTGTATACACATTCATCTCTTCTTTTCCTTCTCTCTCTCCTTATCATTAGAAAAATATAAGTGAATTGTAAGCTAAACAACTATTGTAAATTGGAGTTCTATGTAATTTCATTTATTGTTAGAGTGGTGTGTGTGGAGCATTTGTGATTGATTGATTGACTGGTTGATGGCTATTAAATATTGGTATAAACCCAGATTTCCTCTGTTATGGTACCCATTATCTTTATAGTTCCAAAATATTTTTCAGGAGATTTTTTTAAAAGTCACTTAATTTGTGACATACGCTGGTGGACCTTACAAAATTTTCTCTTAACGTTGGCACATTTGAGTTGCTTCGCAGCTGTTTCTCCACTGCATAGTCCTTTCTAAATGTTATTAATGATATACTTTCATGAGGGATAGTTTCTTGTTTGTATGATTTTTTTTTTTTGTTTTTTTCATCTTTTAATTTAAATGAAACATTTCAAAGTTATACAGATGAACAAAAATAAAATTATAGACATGTGTATATCATACAATTAAACAGCTATCAATATTTTTCCATGTTTGTTTTAAATGTTTCAAATGTTACAGATATGGCTAAAGCCCCACCACTAATTTATTTCCTCTCTGTCATTCCTGAGGGGTGGTCATTCACAAATTTTGAAACAGATTATTCTTCTGAATTTTCTTTTTTATTTTTGCTGGATTTATATAAAATATTAGTTAGGATACCTGTGCGGTAAAGAATTAACATAACAGTCCTGAGGCTGTTATCCTCGGAAAGGCCTCCTTGCAAGGTTGGTCATTGGCTGGCATATTAAAAACTGGAATTTAGAAGGGTTCGCATTCCCAGAACTGATAAGGGTGGCTTGCTGTGCCAAAACTGTACAAACAGTGTGGGTGATACTGAACACCTAATTTTTTCTGGGAATCTGGAATTTTGGTTTGTGCTAGGCCGAGGATGGCTACGTGACCAGCCCCCAACAAAATCTCAGGCACTGAGTCTTTAATGAGATTTCCTAGTAGACAACATTTCACATGTTTTATCCAACTCATTGCTAGAGGAATTAGGTGTGTTCTGTGTGACACCACTGGGAGAGAACTCTTGGAAGCTTGTGCTGGCCTTCCTCTGAACTTCACCCTGTGTGACTTTTCCCTTTGCAGGTTTTTCTTTGTATGCTTTCACTGTAATGAATCCTAACCATGAACAGGACTATATGCTGAGTCCTGTGAATCCTCCTAAGGAGTCATCAAATCTATGGGTGGTCTTGGAGAATGCTGACAGAATATAGCCTGTGGATTGATTGGAATGAGGTTAAACTGCTACAGCAAAGAGCTCCCCCAAACGCTATGACTTGAACAGAAAAGACATTTATTTATTTTTTCTAATGTTCATAGTCCAGAAATTGAAACTGTAAGATAAGTCTCACAAGGGTAATGGCTAAGCAGCACATGCACAAGCTACTGGGGCACACTGGAGAAAATGCATTGAGAAAGCAGCACCAGGGGTAGTGACGTGGCCCCTTTGTTGGCACATTGCATTGTAGGGAAGCACACATAATTCTAGTAGGTCTTGATGACAGACTTTGGAAGAGGGGCCTCAATATACAGGCAGTGGTACTTTTAAACTGCATGATTAGTGAAGTACCAGTTCCTCTCCTGGCCTATCATAGACCAAAACACAATAGTGGTATGACCTGGTATAATACTGGCCCCAGACCCATGCTGCCAGATGAGGACCTGAGGTTTGGGAGCACCAGCCTTTTGCCTGGCATAATCAGTGGGCTGGGGTCCAAGCCTTGCGGTTGTGTCTGTCACATGGCATGACAGCAACAGGATTTGTCACATCAGCATTTATGGTTGAGAAGAATCCCTATTTTTACCTTATGCTAATGGAAGAGTTTTTAATATTCTCCTCTTTACAAAGTAGTCTGGTTTTCAGTCATTCTTACCATCTCACTGACAAATAAGACAGATATTGGCTGCTAGTAATTACTTGGTAATTACCTGGATTTATGCTCTTATACTTTGATCTTAGAAAACTACTTCTCTAGTGTCTAATGTTGCTAAATAGCACTCTTTAGGAACTTGCAGAAAGTTTTTTTTTTGTCTTTTGTTAATTACATACTGGGGGAACAACAATAAATAGCATTCTTTGAGTCTGAGCATTTTAATCAACTAGGAAGAGATGGATCCCTTTATCTTTTGACCAGCACCACTTATGTTGCCTTAGGCACCTCATTCAAGTCAATTTTGAAGAGAAAATTTTGATAGTACTGTATTCAATATAGGAAGTTCACCCCAAAACTTTAGATGCCTCTATTTGCTAATTAGCCTTGTGCCCCATATCTAGAGTGAGATAAGGCTCACTCAGGATAGCCCCAATATGCACCTCCAAGCTGACTCCCTTCCCCAAAGGTGTCAGTTGCTAGGTAGCTTGACTCCTTTTAATTAGGAAATTCAACACAAGAACTGGCAGTTGAATAGTACCTGGTTTGGCATATCATTATCTGTGAAAGGTATTTACCATTTAAGAATTTTTGTGATTATTTAAGATAAAGGTAAGAGACAGCTAGCATAGTTGATTGAGTATGGGGTTTAGATCACAAGCTTAAGAACATCTGTATTCTGACAGTTATGGGTCATATGGCTTTGGAGAGAGACCAAATCTCTGTGGACATCTGTTTCATGATTTGTAAAATGTGACTGATAACAGGGTATACCTGCTTCTCTTAATTGTTATGAAGAATAAGTGAAATGTTCATACAAAAAAGCATGAATTTTAGCTATCTAATTACATCAGCTAACAGATTTAGTTCTCTAAAGGGAGTAGAGTCAGAATGTAAAAAACAAATTCTAATCAGTGATTTGCTTTGATAATGTCTACTCACCTTGAGAAATTTGTTAGCTTTCTTTTTCTAAAACTCCTTTAACAGCCAACAGATGAAGAATAGGTTTTTGAGATTTTGGATAGTCTTAGCTATTGAAAAGAGCATTTATTTATGTAAATTAACTCTAATGTTTCAATTATTCTGTTTTTATGTTACCTTATTTTTAAAATAGGAAGGTCAGTGAGTAAGATTGCTTAAAAAAATGCTAGTTTACCATGGTGAGAATCTACTTTCTTATGAACCCTTAAAAACATCACAGTGTGTTAAAGCCTTGATTATCTTTGATGGAATAGTTCAGTGGGCTTAAAGAGCAGGCCCTTGAGTAGGACCACCTAGATTTAAATCCTAGCTTTACACTCAATAGATGTAGAGTGTTGGAAAAGTTATCTACTATTTAGTTTATGTCTAGCTCATGAAAATGCAATGGTGCTCTGTGTGTTTGTCTGGTTGCTTTCCCTGAGACTCATCAGTGTTGTTCAGTCTCTCTCTCTCTCTCTTCCCCCATCCCTTAAATTTAATGTAAAATTCAAAAACAGATTTGGAAAAAAATTAGATATGATTTAGATGTGATTCTCCCTTATTGCACTGATGGTATAGTTACTTTAAAAAAAAGAGAGAGAAGGAACACAGATTCCTTGCTTTGTGTTGCTTAATGTGTTTTTGCAAAATGTTGTTTGCCAATATTTTTGGCTAGGCAATTTAACTTCAGTATTGCTAGAGTGACACAGATGGATGAAATGTGCTTTTAAAAATAAGAGTGTATATATATAAACACATGTCGTGAATATGTGCATCCATACACATACATACAAACATAAATTTGGATGGAAAGAGAAAAACAGGAAAGAAAAAAGTGAAAGAAAATTTTGGTTACTGATTTTAGGAAATGATTCAGTTGGTACCGAGACATTTTGAAGAGTTTACCAAGAGTGAGATCTCCTGAGTATGGAAGCTTTTCAAGGAAATTCAGTATGAAAACTTATTGGCTTTCTGATATAACTCCATAGCAAGTATATACCCATATAGATGATGGCTGGAAATCAGAAATGTTATCTTCTCTAACTTTAGGTTATAGATTTCTTAACACGCCTAAAAAAAATACATGGAAATCACTTAGCTCAATGAAGTTTGAGTGTAATTAAAAGGAAAAAAAAATCATTGATTTTTATGCCTTCCTAATAAATTTGGAATACCCAAATTATTTATTTTATAATTAATTTTTTCCCCAACTTTTATTTTAGATTCAGGTGGTACATGTGCAGGTTTGTTACATGGGTATATTGCATGATGCTGAGGTTTAGGGTAGAATGGAACCCATCACCCAGGTAGTGAGTATAGTACTCAATTAATGTTTTTAACTAATTAGGAAATTCCAAAGTGAAACTTTTCCTTGAGGCCTACTTTGTCTGATAGTAATACAGTCACTCAGCTATCTTATGCTTGCTTAATACATGCTATCTCTTTTTCCACATATTTACTTTCAACCTATCTGTATTGTAGCATATAGTTTGGCCTAGCTAGCTTTTTTATTATTATTATTCATTCTTATAATCTCTGCCTTTTGGAGGGAGCATTTCACTTAATGTAATTATTGATATGGTTGGAGGTAGGTCTAATGTTTCACAGTTTACTGTCTGTTTGTCCTACCTGCTCTTCGTACCTGTGTACCTTATTTATTACCTCCTTTTGAATTAATTGAATATTTTATGTAATTCCATCTTAGCTTCTCTACCAGCTTTTTAGCTCTAATAATTTATTTTTTTAATGGCCACTGAGGTACTATAATAAATATCCTTGAATTTTCAGGTGTCCTTAGAGTTAATATTGTACCAATTCATGTAAAATGTGAAAACTTTGTAATCACATAGGTTCATTGACTGACCCCCTTTTCTTTTCTTTTTTTTTTTGAGACAGAGTCTTACTCTGTCACCCAGGCTGGAGTGCAGTGGCAGGATCTCGGCTCACTGCAAGCTCCACCTCCCAGGTTCACGCCATTCTCCTGCCTCAGCCTGTAGAAGTAGCTGGGACTACAGGTGCCCGCCACCAATCCCGGCTAATTTTCTTTTTTTAAAATATATTTTTAGTAGAGACGGGGTTTCAGGGTGTTAGCCAGGATGGTCTCGATCTCCTGACCTTGTGATCCGCCCGCCTTGGCCTCCCAAAGTGCTGGGATTACAGGCGTGAGCCACCACACCCGGCCCCAGTTTTCTTTATGCTATAGTTATAACAGGTGTTATCTGTACATATGTTATAAATCCCACCATATATTTTTTGCTTTAAACGTAAATATTTTAAAGAAATTGAATAGAAAATAATATTTTATATTTACCCACATATTGGTCTTTTTGATGTTCAATATTGTTTCCTGGACATCTGATTTTATCTGGTATCATTTTCCTTCAGCCCAAATAACTTTCTGTAGGAATTTTTGTGGTGTAGTTCTGCTTTACATCATAATTTTTATTTATCTGAAAATGTTTTTATGTGATCTACCTTTTTGAAAGTAATTTTCAATAGATTTTGAATTCAAATTTGGTAGTTTTTAAAGTTTTGGTTTCTTTTAGCACTTTGGTGACATTTTTCTACTGTCTTCTGGCCTTCATTGTTTTTGATGAGAAGTCAAGGATAACTCGTAACATTATTCTCCCATAAATAGTATGCTATTTTTCTCTAACTCCTTTCAAGATCTTCTGTTATCTGTGGTTTTAACAATGTGACTAAAAACTGCCCATGTGTGGTTTTATTTCTTTTTGTCCTGTTTGAAATTCACTGAACTTTTTGAATTTGTAAATATATGTCTTCTAGCAGATTTTGAAAATGGCCATAATCATTTCAAATAATTTTTCTCTTAATTCTTTCTTGTTCTATACTCTCAGATTCCAGTTATATGTATGTCATACCTTTGGGTATTGCTACACAGATAACTGAAACTCTGTTTATAATTTTCAAACTGTTTTCTCTTTCTTCTTTTTGGATATTTTCTGTTTATTGATTTCCCAGTTCACTGACCCTTATGTGTCACTTTCAATTGATGTTAAACTTGTCCACTTGATTTTTAAAATATATATATATTTATTGTATTATTAGTATTCAGTATTGTATTTTTTAGTTATTTTTAATTGTCTGTTGAGCTTTTCTACTTGCTCATTCGTTATAAGTATATTTTTCTTTATATCATTGAAGAATTTATAATTTTGCATCCTAATTCTAACATCTGATTCATCTCAGATTCACTCTCAGTTAATTCTCTTTTCTCTTGATTCTGGATCACATTTAAAAAGTTTCTTTATGTATCTAATTTTGAATTGTTTCTTAAACATTTTGAATGATACATTGTAGAGATGTTGCATTATGTGGTAGTCCTCTAGATAGTGTGCTTTTTGTTTTGTTTTACTTGTTTGTTTTAGACCGACACTGTGGCTGGTATCAGATTGTAAACTGTAACCCCTCTGCATTCCTTTTAGCCTTAGCTGGGCTGCTTAGAGTCCGCCTCGAACACATATAGTTCAGGGGTCAGCCAGAGGTTGTTGGAAAGTGCATTTGCAGAATATGGAAGTCACCTTCTATGACTTTCTGTTTTCCAGGACCACTGCACTTACCCAACCCCAAACTTCCAAGTATGTGATGCCCAAACTCAGTACTTTGGTTCTTTATGCCAGTAAAATCCTGGTTCTCATTCATATTTCAGCCACTCATATAGACTTAACCTCAGAAAGAAAAGCCATACAATCAGAAAACTCACCCATGTGTCGTTTCATTCTTCCAAGTGACAGCTCCTCTCTAGCTTCTCCCTGCATTTGTTCATTCTCCAATGACTTCAGAAAGCTGCTTTTTTTTCTATTTTATTTAGTGTTTATAGTTATCTACAAGAGGATTGGTTGGAGAGGAAGTACTTAACCATCCCAGAAGTGAACTGCTGTCATTTATTTTGGAATGTGGAAGATGTCACCAGCAGTAAATAAAAATACTAAGAAAAAAAAAAAAGCATTCCTTCTTGAAACAGGAGAATCTTTCTATTCACAGGATATTCTTTTTAAATTTTTTATTTATGTGCTTATTTATTATAAATTCAGGGGGTGCATATGCAGGTTTGTTACATGGGTATAGTGCATAATGCTGGGGTTTGGGTTTCCAGTGAACTCATCACTCCAATAGTGAACATGGTACCTAACCGGTAGTTTTGCAACCCTTGCTTTCCTCCTACCCTCCCCACTTTTGTAGTTTCCAGAGTCTATTGTTTCCAGATTCATGTATACCCATTGATTAGCTCCCATGTATAAGTGAGAACAGGTGGTATTTGATTTTCTGTTTCTGAGTTGTTTTACTTAGGATAACAGCCTCCAGCTACATCCATGTTGCTATGAAGGACATGATTTCATTATTTTTATGGCTGCATAGTATGCCATGGTGTATATATACCACATTTTGTTTATCCAGTTCACTGATAGACACCTAGTTTGAGTCCATGACTTTGCTATTGTGAATAGTGCTGCAGTAAACGTACAGGTTTAGGTATCTTCTTGATAAAACTGTTTCTTTTCCTTTGGGTAGATACCCAGTAGCGAGATTGCTGGGTCAAATGGTAATTTTATTTTTAATTCTTTGAGAAATCTCTATACTGTCTTCCATGGGGGTTGACCAAATTTACATTCCCACCCTTTTCTCTGCATGGTTTCCAGCATCCAAACCAGCAGAACTCAATATCATAGAGTTATGGGAGGAGCTACTATGTAGTCATTAGATATAATTATATGACATAATTATATCCATGACTACTATGTAGTCATTAGATATAATTATATGACATAATTATATCCATGACTACTATGTAGTCATTAGATATAATTTTAAAATATTCAACATCTTGATTTTATCATTAACTATGTGTGCCATAATATAAAATATATTAGGAAGCTGTCTTCCTTCAAGGCTTCATAGCAGGGATGGGTCCTTACGTGACAAGTTAAGAAATCATCAGAACTGATATTCAGATAGCCTTGTAGAGCTTAAGTTTCTGTTGTTGATTTCATGCACAGCCTCAATTACTGCCACCATAGCACTTCGCTGTACTGACATGTGCAGAAGGAGTTATTCTGTCCGTGTAATTGAGAACCTCTTCTGCAGGGAATCTTCTGGTGAGCATTCCTATGGTATACATATATCCTCAGATCCTGATCCCATTCCCAAAGATCTATCCCAACTTTTCTTTCAAACTTCCTGGTTATCAATATTTCAATTTATTTCTTATATTATTGTAATTACTTCACCAGACAACTCAGAAAGTGGTGTGTAGATCCTAGCCTTGGGCTGTACTCCTGCAAAATGGTATATAGTGCTTAAATGCAGCCACCTTCTGGACTAGTCTTCATTGTTTTATAACTCCATTCTTGAATGGGGCTATAACACTTTTGCAGTCCAGTTCTGGGTGGTTCCTGTATATCTTATAGATGCATCTGCAAGACAGGCTATAGAATCTTCATCTGCAGTTATTTAGTGAAAAGGAACTCCCAGGATCACATTAGGTGTCAGTTGAGAGAGAAGTTGAAATACGTTAGGAGCAGGCATACATGCTGGGTCCTGTAAACAAAATGATTATACAATTTGTGCCTCCGAGACCTGATCCATGTAGATTATTTTCATTGAATAATGGAGGTGGACTGCCGCTGGATTTGCCTGACATAATTGCAAAATTAATCCAATAGCACTCGATGTAAGAATGGAATATCAAGTTGCATGGCTATCTGGCATTCATTGATTAGGCATTCAGTTCTACCAGAGACCAGTGGGAAGCTGGGAGCTACTATCTTAAAAAATAAAAAAAGGTTATTTGTTTATAAGTACTTGCCCTTTTTACTATACTATTAAATGCACATAGGTTTTGCTGTGATTTTTTATTAGAATTTGTCACAATCTCCATATAACACCCCAGTCTACACAGCCACTTTACACACCATGGGATTATCTTGTCACAAATACTAAAAATAGAACAATTTGCACTGTATCTTGGGAAACCTGAAGAACTTTTTTGTTTGTTTGCTTTGACCTGGACTTCTATTAAAACTGGGAGCTTTTTAAAATCATATGAATGAGTCAGTGATAAATGTCACCTCCAAAGTCGTATTAGTTAATTAGATGTTCCTACTCCTTTTTAGTGGTTGGGTATACAATATATAGCAACTTATTTTTCGGTATGGAAAAAAATCTTGATATGCTCTGAACCAGTGGATCCTTAAGCACTTTACTAAGATGTCAAGATGATGTATTTCTATGGAATTTGTTTCTCAATCTCTGCTACACATTTTTTTATATAAATCTCTGAGATGACTGCCACTTTCTGCCCTCTAGAACCTGTCAACAATATGTATTTAATATTGTAGACTAGAGTAGTGAATTGTGAGATTGTGTGAGAAATTCGATATTTCCTTAAGACAGAATGTCAAAGCTATGCTGCTGGCCCTGTCAGGTAAAAATTGTTTACTAGTGGTGTTCTTGTCTTACCAGAATAGAGGGAAAAGTACCTTTATCAAATGAAACCTGCATGTTAGATGAAATAGGCTATGCTTGTTTGATCCAGTGAGCAAACAGTATCTGAAACTGCAGCCATAATAATCATTACTGCCTTATTAATTTTATAAAAAATCATTCTTATTCTTTAAAATACATCGATCTTCTGCACTAGCCCAAAGTGGAGTGTTAAATGGAGAAGTGACAGGAATCATCACCCTTGAATCCTTTTAGGTCTTTGGGTTTAAACTTTCTGTGCATGGCTCAATAGTGATAGAGATGTCTTTAAAAATTTACTTCAGTGGCTTCTACTTGGTCTTTGCTCTCATAATAGCTCTTGTACCACAGCCAGGAAATTAATTTGGGAGTCTGGGGATTCTGACAGCTTCTTAGGATATCCACTTAAATATATTCTCAAGAATATTACAAATATTCATACTATGTGTTTGCGTGTCCCATTGGTCCTACAGTAAAATGCATTCACATTAGAATTACATAATACCCTTTGAGACATGTAGACCCCGGAAGCATTTGCTGTCCTCACAAATTATTGCTGTTCCATAGCAACAAGGTATGTTGCTTATGTGAACCCTAAATGATACAGAATGTATATGATGAATGAGAAGAGACATTCACTAGAGCAAGAGGTATTGAGCTGGTAAACACAATGGTTATCTATTAAACAACTTGATTGGGGTAGGGAAGTCTTCATAGTAGTAATAATATAAATCAGAATTACATTTATATACTATTTTGTGTTATATGCACTACTTCATTTGGTCCTTACAGTAATCCTGTAAGACATATGTTTTTATTATTACTGTAATGATTATCATCATTTCTAAGCATGGAGACTGAAGTGTATGATACTACAGATTTGCCAGAAAACTAAAGGGCATAGTGATACTACAGATGTCCCAGAATTACAGAATAAATAATTGGAATATGCAAAACTTGAATCCAATATTTATGATTAAAAATTAAATGTTCTTTTCACTCTATCATAAATTGTCAACTATAGCTCTATGATTGACTTGAACTTATTTCTTTTGAAATCATGGACTGTTAGTGCCAGAAGAGATTTTGGTGACTGGATGGTCTCTAATTGATTTATCTAGTCCAAAATGGGTTTTTTTTTTTTTTTTCAAACTGTTTATTTACTACATAATTATTTGTTAAAAGGAAAATTCTCTGCTTGGAAGTCCAGCGCGTGAAGTAGATGCAAGAAGAGATGTGTCTCAACCACTTGCTTTGCCTTGCCCCTGTGGCCTCGGGGGAAGAGGTTAACCCAATCACTGGAGTTCTGTTGAGCAAAATTTTCATGACAGTTGCTGTGATAAGCAGAATTCCATTCACAAGATCTCCATCCCTAGGTGTACACGCCCTGAATAGCCCCTCCCCCTGAGTGTGGGCAGAGCCTGTGAATATGCTGGGATATCAAAAAGGAGATTATCATGGGTGTGCTTTACCTAGTTAGAGGACTTAACTAAAAGACAGTGAAGTGGTAGACAGACATGCTCTAACTGGCCTAGAAGAGAGTAAGCAGCCATGTTGGGAACTGTTCAGGACCTCATGGTAAGGAACTGAGGAAAGTCTCTAGCAGCTGAGTGATTCTTGTCTGACATCTGGCAAGAGAACTGCGACCTGTCATACAGCCACAAGGAGATGAATTTTAACAACTCGAGAATCTGAAAGAGAAAAAGTTTAGGAGAAAACCCCTCTCAGCATGGCTGACGTCTTGATTTCAGCTTTGTGAGAGCCTGAATTAAAAACAACAATTGAGGCCTGACCATCTTCTGGCCTACAAGACTGTAAATTAGCAAATGAGTGTTGTTTTAAGCTCCTAACTTTGTGATTTGTTCTGTAGCAATAGAAAGATAAGATAATGGGAATAGTGATAATCATTATAACTTCTGTGACTGCAAAAAAAAAAAATTCAAGTCATGTTGATGGTGATTTGGAAACATCATATACAGTGATGTGAAAGGAAGCACTTATATTCTATCAGCATGTAATGAAAGCTACCTCTTGCATGGAAGCTCAAGTTTACTACTAACGGCCTATCTAAGATGGTTTCATGTGGCTGTACTCAGAAACGGAAGTTTCTGCTAATAACAATCATAACAATAATATGATAACTATGAAAATAGTCATTGATATAAATAGTTTCTGTTATAAACTAATTGGTCAATGTTTAGGTGTAATTGAACCTCAAACAGAACCCACAAATTCTCCATTCTACCGTATTTTCTAATGAATACAAGGAAGAAAGTAACCATTTTGACTCTTTGTGCTGAATTGATAATATCCAATTTAAAGTGGATTATGGTTTCCTAAATGCTTCATTCATAGGCTTAGTGTTTTATAGTTGCAGTTAAGGTAGATGCAAGGAGCACCACCATTTATTTATTAATGGAAACTGATGAAGGAATTTTAGCAAGAAACATGTCTTTTCACGTGGTTGAAATTTTATAAATTGAGATGGGATTGTTCATACATTATGCATTTCAATTTTATCTAAGGAAGAGTATTTTTTGCCAAAAACATTTCCTGGAAGGATTTTTATAATTCTAAGCATGCTTTCTTTAACTAATCATTACTCCGAGTATGCAGAAAGAATGAGCTCAGTTTGTAGTATTCAGGGAAAAGCATGTGAAGAAATCCAGAGTGCTCACACTCTGTTATTCCCTGATTTTCCAGTTTTTAGTTCTTGGTTAGTGAATCCCAGTTTTGGAGCTAAGAAATTTTAGCTCAGATAGTGGAGAAAATGCCCTTTTTCTGAGCACAAATAGAGACAACACTGACCCAGCTCCAAAGTATAAAGTCCTTGTTTCTATCCAATGCCTGGCAACATCAAAGGCCACTTAGATCATCAAGGCTGTAGACCTAAGCAGCCCAAGGTGGCAGAGTTGCTGGCAACGGAACTATGTCATGCCACTTGGCAACTTGGAATACTTTTAGCATCTGCAGAAGGAAAGTTTACGCAGCTTTGGAAAATGCTGAACAGAGAGACACATATAGACCAGTCATACTGGGACTACTGTGTCTTCTCTCCTTTAGCCGTCTAGATAGGCCTTTCTGAACTGATTTTTCAGAGCAGGTTTTAACAGTGCTCAAGTGGAGTTATTCTGTAATGACATATAATCCTAAATCCTTTTTCCTCTTTGGTATTTCTCCTTTCTCCGTTTTCCCCTATTTCTCTTGGAACATCTTATATTCATTTACACGGACTAAATAAAGATACAGAGGAAGAACAAACATGACTGCTAAGTCCAGGATTTGTATTGGAAAGATTTGGGTAGATGTTTGTGAGGAGCTAGCAACAATTCCATCCTCTCTTTCCTTTCTAAGGGTAATAAAACATTTAATTACCAGTGAGGCAAGACACACAACAATCAGAATACACACTGGTACAGGAGCTCAAGCAGGGTGGTGGTGGTTCCTTTTAGTTGCCTTTGTGGGTGTGCAGTACTCAGGGTGTGTCTTGGACATAGCTATATGCCATCTGGCATGGAAGTATTTCAGTATTTTAACATCTGGTAAGGCCATGTTTACAGTATTGCCTACATAACTTCTCAGTTATTCTCTCTCTTTTTCAGTATTCAAATTTCTGTTTATTCATGCCACTTCAGTGAATGCCACTTATGCAGAATTCTTAGATATTTGATCATTACAGGCTTACACTCACACAGTGTCTTTTTATTCAGAAAATATAGGCAAGGCGTTCAGTCACTCAAAAATACCATCCTTGGCAGTGAAATACAAGACAAATATGGAACAGCCTATATGTTCAAAGTGTATACTGATTTTATTCAACAAATTTGTGAGGTTGGGCCTTGGAGACAGTAATGTCTCACTTTGCAGATGAGGAAAGTTCCCTTGGAACAAAGGTTCTCAATCAGCAACATCATCATCACCTAGAACTAGTTAGAAATGCAGTTCTTAGGCCCCAACAAAGGCTTATTAAATTACAAACTCTGGGGGTTGCTGGGACCAATCAGTCTATGGTTTACTAAGCTCCCCAGGTGCTTCAAATGCATTCTAACATTAGAAACTCACAGGTCAGTGATTCAGATCTTCAGTGCATTGCAGTCAGGACACAAGTCCTGGGCCTTCTCCATTTTACCTTTCTACCTCCACAATAATGGATATTTATTGAACGTCCATGCTGATTTGGAACAATTGTGTGTAGTCTGTGATGGTTAATGCTAGTGATTAGTGCCCTTATAAAAGAAACCCCAAAGAGCTGCCCTACCTTTCCGCCGTATGAAGACACATAGAAGGTGTCTATGAGGAATGGGCCATCACCAGATATTAACCTTGATCTTGGGCTCTCCCAGCCTTAAGAACTATGAGCAATAAATCCCCATTGTTCATAAATTACCAAGCCTATGATATTTCATTATAGCAGACCAAACACACTAAGGCATTATTCTTTGACATTTTACTTATATTTAAATGTATGTAGCACTTCCACATAATCTGCACGTGTATTTGAGAATTTGCAACTACCTGGTGGTCCTCTTTTGATCCTCATCTTAAACCTGCCTTCCCTATATCTGTACTGCTACTGGCTTATGGCATTTTGCCCTTTTCTTCTTCTCCATATAAATTGTTATCTCACCTTGCAACTTCTGCGTCATCTGTATTTTTCCTTTTAGAATTTTATTCCACATAATGCCCTGATTATAGCTCTGGGTACTTTTCAGTTTCTTTTTTAAATATATAAGAGAGACTCCTAGCAAAGTTCAAGATAAGGATGCTTATTTTTCTTCTTTGGAGTGAAATAATTCTTGCACAGGAATACATTTTAAGTTTATTCCTGCTGTGTACATTTCAGAGTTCTCCCCCTCCTTCCTTTTGATTGATGATTTAATAATTTTCCAATAGAAAGGACCTCCTCTTTTAAGTACACAGATCTTTATCCTGCTATGCAAATTCCTGCCTAGCATGACCCCTGCCTGATGATCACTTTTTAGATCTTGGCTGATGTCACTTCCTTAGAGATCTTTCCTGACTCCATACACTGAATCAGGCCAAGCATCTTATGCTCTCAGAATACCGAGTACTTTCTCTTCCCAGCACTCATCACAGCTTGTAATCATGTATCTGTGCAGTTACTCATTTAAGCTCTGTCTTTTCCATTAAATTGTAAGCTCTTGAAGGGCCAGGAGCCTGTTTTACTCATCATTTTCTTTCCAGCACCTGGCAGAGTGCTGGGCACGTAGTAGGCACTCAGGAAATATTTGTGGAATTGGATACACAGAACTCCCAGAAATGCTTTGGCGGCCTGGGGGCAATTCCTTGTGGTAAAGTCTGGCTTGCTGGGCCAATTTGCTGCCTCACCAGGATGAAATAGCATATTTACTAAGGGTTGCCAAAGGATGGTTTACTGAGTCATAGTTTTGGGGAAGGAAGACAGTGCCTCGCATAAAGCCTGAAGGGTGAGATAATGCTAGAAATGGAATGGAGGAATTGGTAATAAAATAGGTAGCCAAGAAGATTGAGATTAAGAAGAAATATATAGAGAGGAAATATTTCAAGGCTAGCAGCTAAGATTATAAAGTGATCTCCCATCATGTAATAACCTGTGAGATAGGAAGGCATTTCTAAAGAGAATACGGATCAATACAAGCAATACAGCTTAGGTAGGGACTTTTGGAATGTCTTAGAAATACCTACTTTCATTTAAAGGTGGTAGTTGCTTATATCAAGAGCAAGAGATTTTAAATGATTATAGTCACTAGAATTAAAGGTGTTAAGAGTATTTCTTTGCTATCCATTTCTGTTGTCATTTTTGATGTCATAGTAACAGGTTCCACATTTAAAAATAAATTCCTTTCACAGTATTTTAAACCAAGAAACTATGCAAAAATATAATCAGTCACCTCATTCTCTTGAAATGTATAACTGAAATAGCAATAAATAATCCACCAATGTGGACAGGATGGAAGAAACAGAAGTGGAAGAAAATTTAGTGTAAGGAAAAAAATATAAAAATCTATTTATGGAAGGGTTTATTTTCATATTGACTAGTTAATAATTAGTGACAACTTGTACTTTCTTCTATTCATAGCTTTCTTCTTCCTTTTGCCACATAAAATTATCTGATTCTTAAATAATTCACATGTATAATAATTCGAGTACAGTCCTGAAAGAGATAATCCCTTGTGACTGGTTTTCTTTGCTTCTGGGTTAGCAGCTTAATGCTAAAAATAAGTCTTGGCTTGGGTGATTCAAAGCATAGCAAGAAGATAATAACAGAGTATTCTGTACCAGCAAAAAAAAAAAAAGGAGTTACTCCCAAACATGCAGGAGAACAAACAGGATGCAACTCAGTTTTTAAATTAAATACATGTTTTTAATGTCACAATGAAAAAAAAGCTATAGAATGAGTTACAAAGTGTGTACTTTTTTATGTTGCTAAAATGGCCGTAAGCTTCAAAAACTTGTTTATTCTGTCTGGGGAAATGAAGAAATAGGCAATATGCTTATTCTAGCATATTATTCATAAAGCTGGAGAGAGAATTATTAGTCTTATTCATGAGTGCCTCACATAACCTTATATTTTTCTAGAGTGCCTGTGCCTAGATTAATACCTACAACATTATCAACACCTCAGATACTTTCCTATTATTATTATTATTATTATTATTATTATTATTATTATTATTATTATTATTTTGAGATGGGGTCTTGCTGACACAGAGTCTAGAGTGCAGTGGTGTGATCTTGGTTCACTGCAGACTCGATCTCCCAGGCTCAAGTTATCCTCCCACCTTAGCCTCCCAAATAGCTGCCATGACAGGTGTGTGCCACCACACCTGGCTAATTTTTTGTATTTTTTGTAGAGACGGGGTTTCACCATGTTACCCAGGCTGGTCTCAAACATCTGGGTCCAAGTGATCCACCCACCTTGGCCTCCCAAAGTGCTAGGATTACAGGTGTGAGCCAACATGCCCAGCCCCTCACCACTATTTTGACTTAAAGCATTGGAAGTTAGTTCTGGCTGATTTTTAACTTTAAATAAATGAATTCATGTAGTATGTGATCTTTTGTGTCTGTTTCTTTTTCAATCAAATTATTTTGTAAAATTTATTCCTGTGTGTAGGTATAGTTTATTCTTCCTTATTGCTGAATAGTAATCCATTGTATAAGTGTACCACAATTTTTAAATTCATTTTATTGTTAATGGACTGGGTTGTTTCCATTTTGGCACCATTTACTAAAATGGCCATTCTTTTCCCACTGCGTGGCAGTCTCACCTTGTATTTGAGGCGACCATATGTGTGTGGGTCTGTTCTGGACTCCGTCTCTTCTGTTGGCTTTTTTGTCAGTGTGTGCATCAATGTTGCTCTGTTTTAACTATTTTAGCTTTATGGTAGCTTTTGATATATGCGGTGTAAGTTGTTCAAACCTGTGCTATGTTTTAAAGATTCCCATAGCTGTTTTTGACCTTTCCGTTTCCATGTAATTTTTTAAAATTACCTTTCTAGTTTCCACAGAAGAACAATTATCACAATTTTAACGGGGATTATGCTAAATCTATAAATAAAATTAAAATTGAGGAGAATTAGCATCTTTATAATAATGAGTTTTCCAAAATATGTATGGAATTAAAGTGGGGGATTCTAGTATTTTCCTTAGATGTGTCAGCAAAATTATATTTGGCTACTGAAAGTGAAATATGATTGCCGTAATTTTTGGATAAAAATTAAAAGAATAGCAAGAAATGTTTACATAAAACTATGTGTCCTTCCATTTATTTAGGTTTTTCCTATTTTTTTCCTCAATAGCATTTTATAACTTTCAGCATACAAGTACTGCATATATTTTGTTAGCTATATTCCTAGTTATCTGATGTTTTTGGTATTACTGTGAATTATATTTTTTTAAAAAATTCTATATCTAGCATATAAAAAGCAAATTTTTATAGTGACTTTATACCCATCTTTCTTGCTAATTTAGTTATTAATTCTCACAGTTTGTCAATAGATTATTTTAGATTTCTGGAAAGATTTTTAGTTGTAAGTTTATTACTTAATATATTTAGTACAGTTCATATTTTCCTTTTTTGGTATCATTTTTAGTAAGCTGTGTTTTCAAGGAATTTGCTTATTTCTCATAAATTTTAAAATTAATTGGCATTATTTATGATGTACTTCTATCTTCAGGATATGTAATAATATTGGTTTTTTCATTCCTTATATTGGCAATTTGTACTTATTTCTCATCAATCTTTATAGAAGTCATCTAATATAGTATTATTCTTCCCACAGATTCAATTTTTGCCAGCACTGATTTTTTTTATTCTTTATGCTTCTATTTTATTTCTGCAATTCTACTTCATCTAGTTTAATGGCTTTTAATGTTCTGTCCTTTACTAACTTATTAATATTTAGAAAGTTGATATTGATCCGTTCTTCTTTTCACAATGTAGGCATTAGAGGCTATACCTTTTCTCTCTAGCTACAGCCTTACGTGCATCACATAAATTCTAATATTCTTCAGTTCAAAATATTTCCTAATTTCCACTGTGATGTTTTCTTTGACAATATGGTTTATGACTATTGTGGGCTACTTTCACATATGAAGATTTTCTAATTATCTTTTTGCTTTTGATTTCTTGTTAATTCCATCATGTTGGGAGAACACAGAATGATTCATTTTTTTTTTTTTGAAATTTGTATGACTTGCTTTATGGCCCAGCATGAAATGTTATTATCCAGCAATAAACCAATGTTCTATGATCACATGAAAATAATGTGAGTTTTGAGTACAATGCTGTTTGTTACCAAGTCAAGTTTGTTAATTGCGTTATTCATATCATCTAGAAATGTACTGACTTTTAAAATGTTTGTTCTTTAGTGTTCGTTGTGCTGAAATCTTCAACTATAATTATAACTGTTTTCTCAGTTTAATTTTAGTTCTGATAATTTTTGCTTTATATATTGTAAAGCTAAGTAGTTGCATGCAAATTTACAATTGCTGTGTCTTCCCAGTGGGTTGAGTTTTTTAATCTTATAAATATATATATTTTTTGTTTTTAGTAATGCTTCTCACTTTAAAGGGTAGCTTATCTAATATTGTTATAGCTGCATCTACTTTATTTATTTATTTATTTATTTATTTATTTATTTACTTTTAGTGTCAGCTTGGTGCATTTTCTTTACCCTTTCATTTTTTATCTTTTGCATTTTAGTATTTAAGATGTGTCGCTTGTAAGCATTAATTTTTTTATTTTAACCTTCTTATGCAGCATGACAGTCTTTTTTTTAATTCAAATATATAATCAGTTATCATTTAATGTAATTGTGTTGGTTTCTGAAAGTTGCCATAACAAAGTACCACCAACTATGTGACTAAAAACACAGAATTTATTCTCTCATAGTCTGTTGGCTAGAGGTCTGAAATACAAATGTCAGCAGAGTTGGTTCCTTGTGGCAGTATGAGAAAATATCTGCTGATGTCTCCCCTAGCTCCTGGTGGTTGCCTGTAATCCTTGGTGTTTCTTGGCTTGTAGACATATCACTCTGGTCTCTGCCTCTCTCTTCACATGTTCTCTCTATGTGTCTATGTCTACATTTCTCTTTTATTCTAAAGACATCATTCACTGAATTAGGTCCCACGCTAATTCATTATGACTTGATCTTGCGTACATCAGTAATGACACTACTTCCAAATAACATTACCATTACAGGTACTGGGATTTAAGACTTAAACTTATCTTTCAGGGGGCACATGTCAACCCACAATAATAATTCGTGATATATTTGGGATTATACCTACCATCTTAACTTTTTCCCTAATTGTCTTATTTATTTATTTATTTAGAGACAGAGTCTCACTCTGTCACCCAGGATGGAGTGCAGTGGTGCGATCTCCGCTCACTGCAACCTCTGCCTCCTGGGTTCAAGCAATTCTTCTGCCTCAACCTCCTGAGTAGCTGAGACTACAGGTGTGCGCCACCATGCCTGGCTAATTTTTTTGTATTTTCAGTAGAGATGGGATTTCGCCATGTTGGCCCAGCTGGTCTCTGTTCTGTACGGGAAATGCGTGAGGGGAAAATAAAAGACACACACACAACACCATTAAGGGTAAACAAGCTTTATCCCATGTAAATGGCAGCGCAGATATAATAAGCAAATGATACAATAAGCAGATTGATATAATAAGCAGATTAATGTAATAAGCAAATTGATATAATAAGCAAATGATATAATAAGCAAATTGCAATTTGAAGGGGAGAAGGGAAAAGAGATATATATATTTACACTCACCAGACTATGGAGGATTCACCACCAGGCTGGGAAGCAACAGCCTGGGCACCAGAGTCGGCCACTGGTCCGTTCACAGATGAGGAGAGGTCTCATAAATCTTCGGCGCAGGCTGGGACCTTAGCTCTTTTGGTAATGAGTTGTTTGGCATGACTTCCAGTCTCGAGGGCCATAAAATGACCGGGCTCTAGGAACACAAAAAGGTCAACTTGTTTTTGCGATTGTCTATTATTTTTCAATAACTAATGTATGGGAATAGATTGAAATAGAGATTTCCCAGAAACAACGCTGGATGAAGGCCTCAAGGGCTCACACAACCCATTCTGGGACCTGGTGACCATTATTTGTGTCCATATAAAGTTTTGACAAAGCAGTGGAAAGTGGTGGAAAAGAACATAGATGGCTTGAATTTCGGTTTATATGCATATACCCCAAGGAAAAAGCCTGCTTTTAAGAATGTCAGTTAAACGCTATACAATTTCTTGTTTTTGTGTCATGTCTTAGTTATCTTAGCAGTTCTCTAACACCTTCAAAGTTTTTTTTTTTTGTACTTTGTCTGTTTATTTTTTTTTTTCATTTTTATTTATTTATTTTTTAGGCTGAGTCTCACTCTATCGCCCAGGCTGGAGTGCAGTGGTGCAATCTTGGCTAACTGCAACCTCCGCCTACCAGGATCGAACAATTCTCGTGCCTCAGCCTCCCCAGTAGCTGGGATTACAGGCTCCCACTACCATGCCTGGCTAATTTTTGTATTTTTACTAGAGGTGAGCTTTCATCATGTTGGCCATGCTGGTTTCAAACTCCTGACCTCAAGTGATCTGCCCACCTCGGCCTCTCAAGGTGCTGGGATTACAGTCGTGAGCCACCGCGCCCGGTCACATTTTTTTTAGTACTTGTTATAAGAGGAGCATTGCTGTGCTGCAAATTCTTCCACCATAGTTGGCAGCAAGTGTCTCCTATAAAGTTTTGACAAAGCAGTGGAAAGTGGTGGAAAAGAACATAGATGGCTTGAGTTTCAGTTTAACTACTTACTAGTTGAAAAGTTGTTCTTGGGTAAGGGGTTTAATTTCTCTTACCATTATTTATAAAAATAGGACATTGATATTGCTTTTCATAAGGTTTTTATGAGGATTAGTTATATACGAAGTAAAGACACCATGCGTAGTGTTTCTATCACATGTGTAAGTGTTCGGATCTACTTTTAACTGTTTTTCATCCTATTCTTTGCAATCTGTGTGTTTTGTACCAACTATGTTCTATCCATTTGTGAGAACACAGAATATACTCAATAAATTTTAATTGCATGAAAGCAGTGCTAGTTATTAGAGTCAGTATAGTGTAGCGAAAACAGCATGAATTTTACAGTCAGACAAGTGCTATCAAGTTTTAGCTTCAGTTACTTAGTCTGCAAAAGGGGGGAAATAATACCTTTGTTATAGTGATGTTCTAAAGTTCATATGATGACTCTATATCATATGTAGTACACTTTAGAATTGTGTAAATGCTAGGTCCTCCTATCTAGATTACTTGTGACTAATTTTCATAATAATTTACAAGGTAGAAAGTGAGAATTAAAACATGTGTTTCTAGGCTTGTTCTGAAGTCATTTTGGCATCAATCACTGGTCCTTTAAGAATTGTGGTTGCTTTCATTTGTCAGGACCACTCTAATCAGCTGCATGTCAGAACCATGATATTCATTTTGTTTTCTCAGTTTATTAGCATACCTGTATTCTTCAAAATATTTATTTCAGATCATCCCAACATTAGAAGAATTGGGAAGCCATGTTGAGACTATGGAAAGGCATGTAATTGAGATAGAATCTAGACTCTATCAATTAAGTATATAATTGGTCTTGGAACTACTAATTTCTTCTTTTTTTAAAATGTTCGATCTGTACTCCTTGTCCTCAAGTCTTCATTGTTTTACCTCCAGTAGCCCTTTATTCTAAGATATATTTCCAAAAGATAAGTGATTTTGCACTAACACTGGCATACCCATGGTTTTAGCTTTCCTCTGTGCCTGAGTTGAAACCACACTTCGAAAACTAATGGCTTCGGGAGTAATATTGAATTCAAAATATTTTAGAAAGCCATCTCAATTTTGTAATTTATTAAAGCTTAAGCGAAGGCATAAATTTATTTTAATAAAAGTTTTGAAGTTGTATTACTTAATAATATGTGTAAATATGACTACATACTATACATGAATATGAGAACATGTTTTAGCGTACATTTTGACATTTAACACTAAACATTTACGAGTATCTATATTTTTGTTTTCATATATTTTCATGTTACTAAATATGTCACAGTGCGTATAATTATTGTTTTTTAAATTACATTATGCATATAACATCCAAAGAGTTAAAAACATGTGAGTAACAATCACCCTGACATTTTAAAACAATTGCAACGTTAGACTCCCAACTAGTTGTCTTTTTTTTTTTTTTTTTTGACACAGAGTCTTGCTTTGTCGCCCAGGCTGGAGTGTAGTGGCGCCATCTCCGCCCACTGCAAGCTCCGCCTCCCGGGTTCACGCCATTCTCCTGCCTCAGCCTCCCAAGTAGCTGGGACTACAGGCGCCTGCCGCCACGCCCGGCTAATCTTTTGTGTTTTTAGGAGAGACAGGGTTTCACCATGTTAGCCAGGATGGTCTTGATCTCCTGACCTTGGGATCCGCCTGCCTCGGCCTCCCAAAGTGCTGGAACTAGTTGTCTTTAAAAATGTATATTTTAAATTCATCATGCTACTAAATTTTCAAATGTCTTCTTTCTTCCCTCTGAGCACTGGGAAATAATAAGTACTTTTTATATATGTATGTATATATATATGTACGTGTTACATATGTATTTATATGGTGCTTTTTATAATACACAATAAATAAATCTGCACTTGTTTGACAAAACTTGTTGCTGTTAATATAATTTTATATTTTCAATATTGAAATGAAGCTCTCTAAAAAGATGGCAGATGTCCAAGCAGTATAGATAGTAAGCTATGGGCTAGATAACCAGATTCAGTTTCTAAGGTAGAAGACAAGAAATTAGTTTATTGCCACTCTGGATAATAGAAAAAAATGCTTTGGTGGCCTAAAAAGAATTTATCAAATTTAGAGAAGTATCAGAAACTTAAAGCTAACTACTTGAGCTGTACAATGTGGAATTTCTGAAATAGATGTTTTCAAGAAATTCTGAAAATATCAGAATTTGCTGAAAAATGTGTCTTTAAAATCAAACTACCAGCCCTTTTCATTACAGAGTATAATTTTTAAATATGTTTTTGAAGGCAGTAGGTAAATTCTAATTTCACAGAAATCAGTATCAAAAAGATGAGAGGAGAGCAAAAGAGGATAAAGGAGAGAAAGGAGAAAAGAGAGAGAGGAGGAGGAATGAGAAAAGAAAGAGAAAGAAAAGAAAGAACCACTTATTTAGAGTAGATACAAACTCTGTTCAGACTTTCCTTATTCCCCTAAGGCTTTCAGTTATGATGTTAATTAACTTTATGAGTCATCTGACTGAAAAAAAAAAAAGCTTGGGACACTAAAATACCCTTTAAAAATTTCTTCATGAGGATGCAATTATCTAGAAAATTTTGGCTAGACACATTAGTTTCTTTCTGAATGCTTTAATGTCCTGAAGAGGACTAATGTCCCCACCAAGACCTAGGCTTTCCTTGCTTTATGCAGTAGAATGAAGTCCCCTTAGATATGGCATATAATAATTTTTCTAAATAACAGCGTATGTTAAATGTGAAGGGAGCTTACTATAAGGAACCCTAAAAAGCATAGCTTGGGAAAACAAATAATCACATCTCCATTCATCACCTTTGCATAATAAATCTGGATATGCTCTTTTATTCTAAGCAGAGCCCAACTGAAAACTAGATTAAACTGTATTAAACCTCTGGCAACCTGGGATTATATTTGAAAACTTCACATCGTCTTCTACCGTAATACAATAGTGAATAGCGAGATAATGAAAAGCCATCATCTTTTGAAGGCAGAAGTTTGGTGGGATGAATCTGCTTCAAGAATGCTAGTACTCAACATATTATTTTATACAAAGCAAGTACTCAGCACATACTGGTTAAATGGAAGAATAGAGAGCCAAGACATGTGAGCTATTTTGTGGTTATTATTATTTTTGCCAATGCCTTTCATTCCATTTATAGGTCTCTTGAATACTGTGCCCTTGAAGACCTGAAAATGAAAACGTCATTTGCTTAAAGCTAAATAGAAGTGCTTACCATGCTTTGTGACATTAAAGCTTATAAGCACTGTGTGAGACAGCAATTTCATGGACCCAGTGTCCAATGCTGGGAGCATTCATTAGTGCTGGAGTGTAATCAGAGAACTTACGATTTTCTTTTTAGAGAGAATTTACTTTGCATGTTTTCGAACCATAAAATTCATCAGTATTTGTTACCAAAAGATCTGTAATTTTATTATGTTTTCATTGATATTATTTGCCGTGTTAAATTTATTTTTCCCCACACATCAACTTGAAAGATAAAACCAAAATTCTATACATTAATTTTTGTGCATCAGATATTGGTTCAGTTCTTGACGTGTTTATTTATATGAATATTTTTTAGTACCATCCATGTTCCAGGGATTTTCCATATTAGAAAATAAAGGATTCTCTATGTTCCGGATACTTTACTATCATATATCAGAAAATTGATGTTATAAATATACCAATTTATGATATTCATGATGTGTACAGCATCTCTTAGACATGATGCCCTTGTGCAGTGCACAACCTACAGGACTGTATGCAGTGGCCCTGATATATAATGCATATTCCTTGCCTTCAGGGATCTCTCAGTATCGCCAAAAAAACTTAATCACAAATAATACTCTACTGCAGCTTGATTATACTGATAATAAAGATATGCATGAAGAGTTTTAGAAAACATAATGGGTGTCATGATGTGGAAGTGTGCAAAAGATTTCCAGCAAGAGGTTATCAAGAATGAGTAAAATATTTACCAGAAACACAAGGAAGTGGAATTCAATCTGAGTGATTTTCCATCCATGCTGGAAATGTCTGCTCATTTCTCCAGCTGATAACCTGTTCTCCTTCATGGCCACATAGCTGCATTTATAAGATCATATCTGGCAGGTACTAGTTGCTGAAACAATTTTGTTCAGATATGGTAGAAGATAGTATTGTCCTTATTTTCGTTACTCATGCAAGTATGAAATTCTTCAACCATTATTTGCTGAGTGCCTCCTTATGTGCCAGGCCCTGTACTGTGTAGGCATTGCAGATGCAAACAGGAATGAAACATGGTCAAGTCCTCAATAATTTTATTGAATTAATAGGGGAAGCAAAACAAACAGAAACTTATAATATAGCATAGAAAGTGCAAGATACATGTACTTATATAGTGCTATATTTTTTTCAAAGTTTTGGCCTAGTGCGGTGGCTCACACCTGTTATCCCAGCACTTTGGGAGGCTGAGGTAGGAGAATCACTTCAGGCCATGAGTTTGAGACCAGCCTGGGCAACAGAGTGAGTCCTTGTCTCTATTTAACATTTTTTTAAAAATTAAGAAACAAACATGAACTAACTGGAGGTGGTATATATTCCTTTATACATTAATAAACATTGTTGAGAAATTGCACATAACTCTGTTTTTTTCATTTGTTTTCTTATGAACAACATTTATTGATTTTTTTTTTTTTTTAAACGGAGTCTTGCTCTATCACCCAGGCTGGAGTGCGGTGGCACAATCTCTGCTCACTGCAACCTCCATCTCCCGGTTCAAGTGATTCTCCTGCCTCAGCCTCCTGAGTAGCTGGGATTACAGGCGTGTGCCACCACACCTGGCTAATTTTTGTATTTTTAGTAGAGACAGGGTTTCTCCATGTTGGCCAGGCTGGTCTCGAACTCTTGACCTCAGGTGATCCACCTGCCTCGGCCTCCCAAAATGCTGGAATTACAGGCGTGAGCCACTGCATCTGGCTGATTTATATTCTAATTATAATAATACTCTTTAAAATCTTTGGAAAAGTAAACAAAAAGAAAAATATTTTTTAGTGTATGTCCTTCTATTGTCGTTTTTTCTCTCTTTGTGTGTTTGTGCGTGTGTGTACATGTACATGCATGCATGGTTCTGTGTTTTGAATTTGGAATTTTTCATGTTTATTGGTTTCTATACTTCTTCATTCATCACTATGGACTGGATGATTCCTAGGTTCCCTGACTTTTCATGCCCTTGCTAATATTTTATTGTGATGGGCTAATTCTACTTATGCAAAATAATGTGTTTTTTTAAATATTAAAGGGTAGCCATCATTTTCATGTAATATATTGGAGATCTTTTGAGACATTTGTTTTATTCTTTACATTGTTCTTCATCATCATCATCATTATCGTCGCCATCACCATCATCATCGTCGTATCTGGCAAACTTTCACTGAATTAATTCTTGCTACATTTCTGGCTTTGGAAGACCTTTCCCACGCTTAAGGTTTTAAATATTTTTCCACTTCTAGCTGTATACTGGCTTCATTTTTTTTTCTTTTCCTATTTAAGTCTTTATATAGGTATTTTTTTTATAACGTTTGGTATGAGGCCTTCTATTGCTTATTGAAAGTATATTCTTTCACTACTGTTTACAGGTATCCGTTTATTACATAACAGATTCTTGTGCATAGATCTGTGCCTGGGCTTCCCAGACTATTCTTTGATCTTTGAAAACAAAACAAACAAAAACCTAAATAATTGCGCTTATAGATTTATTTTTACACATAAATTTTAAAATCACATTGCCAAATTGCAAAAAAATTTCACTGGGATGTTGATTGACATTGCATTAACTTCTACATTCATTCAGGGAGGATGGCCTTTTTTATTTTTATCTCTTATTTTACAATATTGAGTGTTCCTATCCAGCATATGGTATATCTAACTATGTAAATTAGTTTTGATATATTCTACAAGTCTGTTCATTTTCTTTATACCCTTTATATTTCAAACGTTTCATCCGTTTCAAATTCATACTTCTTATTTCTTGAATTTTCCAACAAATTTTACCAAGTGTTATGTTTCCATACTATCTCCTTGTAGGGGATCATCAGCGGTATATATGTTTTTGCCATCTCTTCTTTATGTAAAATAATCTGAGACCATACTTGACTTTCTTCCTCTATTTTCTTGCATTTAAGGCAATTTTATGCTACTATTTTTGTATTCCCATTATCATTCATGAGAATAACTTTCATGTCCTTGCCTTGAATTATATACACCAGCATGCTGCATTTTGGATCCTGTAGTTCCTGGGTTTATGGCTGTTACTGTCATTCATATACCTGATATTTTTGAGGCTGGCAGACTACTTTTGAAAAAAATTAAAGTGTTTGGTTTAATCTTATTTTTAGTGTAGTATCTTTTTTCTCCCTCTTCTTCAGTACAATCTATAACCATTTGGGCTTGGGATATGGCAGTTATTTGAATTTCCTGAGTTAAAAATATATGACCTATTTACTACTTTAGGCCCAGTGTGACTTTTTTCACAACTGTTGTTAAAAGTAAAAGGTGAACCCTATGCATTATCTTTTGTCAGGCAGTGATCATGATTAAGGTTTTCCAAAATATCTCTTTATTATCTTAGGAAAGAAATGTTAGAAGGAACCAAAGTGTCAGTCATCACTAGAAATTTTTATAATTAAGCTGTGATATCAGAAATTAATTATTCCTAAAGTATATAAATGATAGTCTGCAGAGAAAATTTTCAGTAACAGTCATTTTGAAATGATATTCCAGAAAGAAAATGGAAATGTCCCTACTGATAATAAGGGCTACTTTGACATTGTATTCTTTCGTAATATCTAAATGAAGAGTTTAAATTTCCCATGATACCATGTTATAAAACTTAATATAGTCTCTTTGTTTGAACAGAGAAAACAAATGACTAGTCACCTGGTAGAGTCCTTAGGAAGACTGTCTGCCACACATTTAGAATTCCCAGATTTTGCTTTAAGAGTTGTGTAAAGCAAAGGCTCTTATGACCAGTTGACTTCTCATTGCTTCTGGAAGTACTGTGTTCCTTCTATTTAAATATTATATTTGTCATAATGTGGAATACAGACTTAAATAGGGCACCTACCCTCCCGTCATGGAACTTAACAATTAGTAGAAAGACGAAGTCTGTCCAGATACATTGATAATATTAAAATATGCTTCAATGATCAAGAAATCATGGGCCTGGGTAACTGACAAGATTATGGTAATAACACTTGAGACTTCCAAATTAGAAAAAGAATAATGGGGAAGAGAGGAGATAACTTATATAATTTTGGACATTCTGCAGTTGCAATTGCAGTTCCAGTTACGTATGCATACAGAATTTGTAACAAAACACTGGAAATATGAGTCTGAAGCTCAGGAGAAATTTTAAAATTAGTGTTGTAAATTTTAAAATTTTGCTAATAATTGTAATTTATGTAGACTTAATTGTAGGAGGCTGTACAGTTTCCTATGATAAATTATACCAAGCATAAGATGATTGTTAGAGACATACAGGACCAACACCTGACCAGGGGTGAACTGACTGGGATAAAAATACAGAAGGAAAGGGCATTGTGTTTTGCAGTGATCATGGGTCACAAGACTAAAGTTGCAGGATTGGAATGGTGGCCCAAAGGAGCATGCTCATGCAGGAAAGAATAGGAATATATGGATGTATCAAGACCCAAACTATTCGTTGGATTTTTAGTGTGATAATGCCACTTTACAAATCTCCATAATTACAAAAACAGAAATAAAATCTTCTTAAGGCCTATAGAAAATAAATCTACTGTAAAGATCTTGTTACCAGAAGACCCTCTCTCACTAATAAACACCTGTCTTTCTTATTTAAGAATTTGATATTATTGCCATTATAACAATCTGTCAATAAGACACTTATGCTTATCTTCTTCCATGTTTTGTAAGACATATTATGAGTATGTGTGTTTATGTTATTACCTGTTATATAAAAATAATTTGTAATACATTATCTCATTTATTTCACATAACAATTTGTGAGATAATATAATTTTCATTGTTACAGATGAAGCACCAGCTTGGGAAATGGAGCAATAAGGGGAATTGAAGGTTAAAAAATGTATAATTTCCATTGTTTGTTTAATAGCTTACCTGGAAACATAAACACATAAAACATCTTAAAAGAGGGTTGCTCTGGTTGAAGACAGCTTACCTGGAAACATAAACACATAAAACATCTTAAAAGAGGGTTGCTCTGGTTGAAGACAGCCAGAATCTGCTCATTCCGATAACCCCGAAAGAGTTCCTGAGAATGCCAAGAGCACTGTAGAGCAGTTTCCAGAACCACTGGTTACTTGTAGCATATACAAATATTCAACATACACATATCAAAATTTTAATCTGGAATAAATCACATGTACTAAATAAGGAAAAATAGGGAGGAATTAAAAGATATTTTATTGCAGCAAATATAGAACATGCATGTTTTGTACCAAGAGAGAATATAGAGATATTTATTAGTATAAATATTTAAGATATATTTTGAAAGAATAGCTTAAATGGAAAGTATTATAAGTATTAAATATTAATGTTTAAAATGACAAAAGAAAATATCTTAGGTATGAAAGTCAATGCCAATAAGCAAAATATGTTGCAGTACCTTTTCGTATTTGGGTTGTATATGTGCATGTGTTTCCATAACACAGAAATCACTGGCAATCTTCTCTTTGGTAATATATGTTCATTTACGTAAAATTGTAAATTTCAAAAAAAACCATTCATTACTTAGTCTCTCATAAAAAGTGTCTTTACTAAAATGAAGAAAATGAAAACAAATAAGTTTACTTGTATTTACTATTTTGCCCAGTCAAGCAGCAGTCAGAAAATTAGGAGAACAAAAATCACTAAAAAGAAATTTTTTTTGGACCTTTGGTTAATTATTGTAGAATTTTATGAGACCGTAGGCATTCAGGTCGAGAATTTGTGTCCTTTTCAGTAGACTGTGACATTGCTCGATTTAAGCTTCGTCATGACTACACTGCCCCTGTCAGGTCACAGTCCAGGGATAGGAAATTCGAGGAAAAACCTCCTATGGTGTAAAAGGCATCGTTCTAAGATTGTTGCACACAGTTGGACTATTTGTGGGTAAATACAAGTTAATGGTATTAAAGCAGTCTGAGTGATTACACAACTATATGGCCTTATCCTAGTGAAAAAATAATTGGTAAAATGAGAACTATCATCATCCAACATCAGCAACCTGGTAAGATCAGCAAACCACAATTGCCTTTTCCATATAGGCCGCTGGATAATGATATTCTGCACCCTTCTGCCTTCCTCTTATTTGAATAATTATCCCTAATGTTTTATAATGAAAAGTGTACTTATATACAAATTAATTCTAATGCTGATAATACTTAATGTTAGAGTATAATTTATTAATTTAGCCAATTTCTTAAAAATAAAATATTAGTTTATTTAAAACCATGCTGTTAACTCAGTGATGAGTTTAATACATTAAATGGTAATGTGTATTCAGGTTGATGTAATTACTAATAATCAGTGTGTATTCATTTAATTAACATTTTAAGTACTTGATAGATAGGATGCATTTCTTTAGCATTACTGTAATATCCTCAAAAATGTTATTAAACCAAACAAGGTGTTAGGGTTTCTAGCACCTTCATATTCAAATGGAGTCCAGAGTCTGGGGGAAAAAATGTAACTGTGTTCTTTCACTGAAATATTTAGCCATTTATATTTCATGGCCTTTTCCCCATACTACATTTTCACTATAAGAATTTCCTTAATTTTACATGCCCATGGTATTAAATGTTATTAAAATGTTAACTCATATAATTTCATTAATTAATAAAAGTTAAAAGCACAATAGTCTGAATTACTATACACTATATCTTGAGGAACTCAAGAACAATTTACTACCTTTAGTTCATTATTTGTACAATAATACCTTGAGGTCCAGAATAGGTCTCATGGGTGGTATCTCCATTTTATAGAAATGCAGAAGCAAGCTAATCAAGGACATTTTGCAAGGCTCATGATATGGTCAACAGTTTGTTTAGTTGCTTATTTAGGAAGTTACTTGTCTGATTGTAAAATTAATTTTGTTGAATGTTGCATCTTCTATTTTATGCCACGGATTCTTAGAAGATCTTGTTCTCTCACTTAAAACAATCTGAATGTTCTGAGTTTTATCTACTCACTCTCGACTTTTAAATTGCAGATCGTTTATTCCTCTCTAGTCTCTTCAGCTTTTTTCTCAGGATTTTCTTTGTTTTGTTTATGTTTTCTTTTTTCTGTCTTTGTGTTTGTTTCTTTTGGAAGGCCTCATACCTCTCTGCCTTTCACTCAGCCTAGGTAAGTTTATCACTTTATAATCTTTCACCTATGCTTTAGTAATGCACATTAGTCTTTAAAATTGTTGAATTCAGCTGACCCTGAGTTTATATTATAAGAGACTTAGATGTCTCCTATCCAAGTCTGAGGTAGCTCTGTTAAATTAAGAGTTTACCTGGTGAAGAATCATTTTACATACATAATTCTTAATAAATATGAAAAGTCATTGCTTTAGCTACTTTCCTTCTTTGATTATGCAATGGTTACATAATGTTGCTACATTGCAAGGACTAAGAGAAGTGAAATCTAGATGGCAGATAAAAGATTTATAATGTTTTTGAAGGATAGGAATATATATAGTTTATTGTTTATAATATTTGATTCTATCGTCCAAGGTAATTCAGATCACACAGAGTAAAGCCATCATATTTTTAAAACAAGCAGATCAACGAAAAATGAATAGTTCATACGATAGTAAAAAGCAGTATATTATATATGTACAGCCCAAACTAGCTGTTTCGGGACCTGCAGGAGTGCTTCTTGAAATACAGTCTCCAGGCTTAGTGTAGTAAAAAGTCTGGTGCAGACCCTGAGAATTAGGTGGTTCTTATATGCACAAAAGTGTAGCAGGCAAAGTTTTTGTTTTTTTTCTCTTAAGGATAGCTGGAATGACAGCTGGTTTTATTTAAAGATCTATAAAGTACACTAAAGCAGTGTCCAGCATACATAAATATAAAAGTAGTTTATATCATGTCAAGAGTATAGAGGGGAGGCCTTTCAAAGAATGATCTCATAGGCATCTTTGGCAAAAAGCTGGCATATATCCTGTGTACTCCAGTGAGGCTTACATTAGCCAGGCATTCCACCCCCTAGGAAGTAAATTTCGTGGATTGATTTACAGTGCTTTTATTATCAAATCACTTTTTTGGGAGAAGAGAAGGCAGTCTTTGTGGGAGGCTGTTAGCCATCCTTGCATAAATCATTTCTCATTAATTTAGATTGCTACATAATGTCTTTCTGGAATTTTTTTGGATGTTCTACAAAGTCATATTTCTATCCTCATGTATCAAACAAAGCCATTGGCATATGATAGAATAGATTTATATTTAAATCTTTTTGTGGATTTTTGGTAACTTTTTCTTGATCGATAGTATTCCTACAGTAAAATTTCACAAATCATAAACTTTTCACTCATTGAAAATTTACAGATGTAACCATCATGCATATTGAGTTAAATTTTTCCAGCATCCACAAAGCAGACACTGTACCATATACCCTACCAAAGGTAATTACTATTTTGAGTTCTATCAACCTAGTGTTGTTTGGCCTTTTCATGAAATGTATATGTATTTTTATATATACACACACATACACATTCACACACATATATGTATATGTAAATAATAGAAATTGAATTAGAGAGTATTTACTCAGTTTTATCTGGCTGCTCTTACTTAACATTATATCTATGAGCTGTGCCCATATTGTTGCATGTAGTAGTAATTTGTTCTTTTTATTTCTTCGTGCTAGTTGGTTGTCTAAAATTACTCTAATGTAATGTATCTTATAGTAATAAGTAATTTACTATAATCTATTTTTCAGTTGCTGCTATTATAAATAGTTACAAATATTTTTGTACATGTATTATGGTGGGCGTACATAAGCATTCATTTATCTTCGTTTTTACATAGGAGTAGAATTGTTTTATCACAGGGTATTCACATATTTCAACTTCCATTGCTAATGCCAAATGGTTTTAAAAAGGAGCATCTCCATACACATTCACACCTGCACTGTATGAAAATTTCAGGTGATCCAAATATCATTCAGTGCTTGATATTGTCTTCCAGCCATTGTAGTGGGTATGTTTAATCTGGTTTTCATTTTTTTTCTGATGTTTAACAATGTTAAAAATCTTTGTATATACTTATTGACTATTAGAATGTTATTTTTATTAAGTACATGTCTAAGAACATTTTAAAAAATTGGGATGTCTGTCTTGTTCTTATCATTTGGCAGGAGTACTTTATATATTTTAGATATTAATATTTTCTCTAATGTGTATTATGAATATTTTTTCCAGCTCAGTATCTCAGTAATGTTTGGCTTTAAGTAATATTTATAGTTTTCAGTGTAGAGGTCTAGCATATATTTGTAAATTTATAAACATAGAAACTATTTTATAGTCTTTTAAATGATGTTTTGATGCTAATATAAAAAATGCAAGTAATTTTGTGTATTGGTTTTGTATTCAATGACTTGCTTAATTCATTTATTAATTATAAAAATTAATATGTAGATTACTGTAGAATTTCTATCTAAACAATTATCTGGAAATGGTAACATTTATTTCTTCATTATAAATCAGCGTTCATATTTATTTTATTTTATAGCCTTGTTGAGTTTTGTTTTGTTTTTCCACTTTGTACGTGTCTATGGAAGACTGTGAAAGCACAGTGAGTATTGATTTAGGGATTACAAAAACATTATAACAACTAGATGAACTCACAAATACAAAATCCATAAATAATAAAAATTACTTGTTTTAATATTTATATATGAGATAGAATAGAATATCATATAATAGTGTGTGCCTCTGTGTATATTATGATAAGATATAGTTTATTCAACTATACTCCTACTCTTGGATGTATGAATTACCTCCAGTTTTTTTTTAATTATCACTTCCAATACTGTTAGAAACTTTAGCAACAGCTAGTTATGTTTTCCTTTTTCATTCTTCTACATTTTGCATATTGACACATTATTTTCCATTTATAAATTATTTTCTCTAAAGCTAAACCATTTACCTGCTGATTTGTTCACTCATTTGTTTAACAAATATTTATTGATCACTTGCTGTATTTCCAGTTCATTTGGCAACTTTTTGACATGTTTTCCCTTTTTGTTTTAATGGACTTAGTAATTAATTACCGGAGTTTTTTAATCACAAAAGTATTTTGCAGTCAAAACCATTTATATATGTCCCTCTGTCTGCAGTATCATGGAGTGTCCATGGTAGATAGGATGAAGGCATACTAATTTCCACAAATCATAAGCCTAGTATGAGTATAGCTGTACTATGATGAATATCATGGAGAGCATACCTAGCTTTCAGCCTTGTTGTTTCTCTTTAGTCATTTGTGCTATTATAACAAAATAAGACAGATGGAGTAATTTATAAAGAAGATAAATTTATTTCTCACAGTTCTGCTGGCTGGGAAAAGTGTAAGACCAAGCAACCAACACCGCTATCTGGTGAAGGCCACTTTCAACTTCCAAGATGGTGCCTTGTTGCTGCATCCTCACATGATGGATGGGGGAAACCCACGAGGGGATGAATACTATGATGTCACATGGCAGAGGGCAAACCAACTTCCACAAGTCCTTTCTGCCCTAATCCATTAAGACTTAATCACCTCTTAATACCATCACAATGAGTATTAAGTTTCAATATGAGCATTGTGATAAGATCTTATGTGCTGTGGTGATTTATATTGCAGCTTTTCTTTGCTCTATCAAGAATTTTCTCTGATGTCGATTGAACAAGAGGAAAAATGTAATACATGAATTTACCTTTGAGCACCCTCCACCCCCACATTGTTTTGAGGTTTTGGCTTAACAGACTCATAGAAAGTACTTTGGAACTGCTGAATATATTAATTATATTTAAATGAAGAAATGTGAGCTGGTCCCTTGGTTCAGGGAAGAATCTGAACAGTTCCTTAAAAGATTTTTTTTTTTAGTTATTATTTTGTTCAGGTAAACAACTTTCTAGGCTGATGAAATAGGTAAAATTGCAAAAAAAAATGAGTAGACTATAATGAAAAATAACAAGATTAACTACTCTAGAGAAAAAATAAAGCTAGGATACAATAAGAGATATATAGTTTAGTTAGTTAAATGTTTGGCCAATGCCAAAAGGTTGAAATTTAATGTAAAAAGGAAGGAAATTTGCAATACCAAAAGCTTTTGGAGTAAGATTTATAGAAGATAATTTAAGTGGCAGAATGTAGGATAGGTGTAGAAGACAGAATATGAGGAAAGAGAAGACACAATCCAGTGTCTAGAACCTGAAATATGAGACTGGATATAGAAATGCAGATAGAATGGCAAATATAAGATTGTTGTGTATCAAGAATTATCAGAATTTGGCAATGACCTGATGAGACAAGCAAAATAAAAATGACTTCAGGGTTTTGATTGCCTGGAAATGTTATACAAGAAGACTGTTGAAGGATATATTATGTTGAGATAAGCGAATGACTTGAGAATAACAATGAAAAGACATTGGAATGTCAATGTTGAAATGTCCTGTAACTCAGGATGTGTAATTTAGGATCAAAAATGCATTAAAACTCTATTATTGAATGATTTGCCCAAGGGACTACTTGTAAAAAGCAAAGGGCCTTAAAGTGATGCTCAGCCAGCAGGCGAGAACAAGATCTTGCAAAGGACCACCTGAAGAGACATCTGGGAAACTCAGAGTGGAGAGGAATGAAAAGTAGGGTTAAAAACTGAATCAATAAAGAAAATGTGTGATAATTCACTCTGTTGAAGAAAGCAAAAGGATTAAAAATGGAGAGAGTGGTCTAGAAAGAAGGGAAAAAATCTTGATTTGACTCAAGTCAGTATCTGTAAAGGAGCAGCTATACTGACTGAAGCTTAGACTGGAGAGGGGTTGGGAGGAATATCAACAGGTTGGGAGGATGACACTTCTTATTAAATTGGAAAACAGATGAAGATAAATGTGCTTCTAGGAATATTTTATCTAAACAAACACTTGGACTAAGTCAAATAGTTAATAATATGTTACTTGGAAGCACCTGATACATAGTAGGTGCTCAATAAATGTTTGTCCAGTGAATAAGTGAACTCTTATCCCGTCTTATCCACATCCAATGCCTTTGGTACACTTTCTGAATACTAAAAATATATGAATAGGTGATTTTGTGAAACAGTTATATGGAACAGTAAGGTACAGGCCAGATTGGAAGCAGTTCCTGAGGGATGTAGGAGAAAAAAATGGGGGTATTAGGCAAACTCCACAACAGTAAAGAATCACAACATGGAATTCTAGAAGTAGGAGGGATCCTGCAGGTCACTGGATAGACCAACTTTGTTATTACATGGATGTGAATTTGAGGCCCAGTTTTGTTAAATAACTTACCATATACATGTCAAGGTTCAGTTTTAGGAAATTGAAACCACACTAGCCATTTTAAGCATGAAAGAATTCAATGAAAAGATTTAAGTGTACATTAAATCTTTGGAAGGATTGAAAATACAGCCTCTAGGCTTGGGGTTCAGGACTAGTTCCCAGAATGATACAGAAGATGGCCCACCCTGGTAGCTGCTATTTCTGCTAAAATCTGGGAATGGGAGGTGGAGATAGCTGCTGCTGGACCTGCTGACTCCAGCTTGCTACTGATGATATTATCCAAGGGTAACAAACAGCTACAACTGAAACTGCACCTTTCTTTCAGCATCCACACAGCTAGCAACTAGACATAGGACCCTGCTACAGAAAGCCACTGTTTTTACAGTGTCTCCATAACCATATTTGCCATTCTGAGTTCCAAATCTCATATGAGTTCATCCAGTTGGTTTAACCAAAGTCTCATGTGGAATTCTAACTACAAGCACATTGGGTACTATAGTTCCAACTTCTGCAGGAGTGCACCCCACAAGGAGGTTAGAACGAATGATGACTCCCAAGTAGCTTCTGAAGCTAAGATAATCACTGTAACAAGGACATGGAAGCCCTGTTGCTACAATTTCTTTGTTATCATTGAATACAAGTACACAAAAAGAAATCATGTGGATTCAGCCCTGCCTTCTAGAAATCATATTTTGAGAACTGAAAGGCCCATAAACAGAATGACCACTTAATTTATTGTTCAAACTAGGACACGTGAGAATGAACGAAAACATTCCTAATATTGATGCCAAGATAGTAAGCATGGTACAGAATTGCCCCAGGAAATCTGGCCTGAAGCCTGTTTACAAAATATTTAAGATTCTTCATGATCTTGCTTCAACCTCTCTTAGTAACCGCATTTCCCAGTGTAAATATTCACTTAGTTTTGCTCCATCCTCTTTGAAGTTCTATTTCCCCAACATTTCAATACTTTTCAGTCTTTCTGCGTGCATTATGCCCATTGTCTGGAAGGGCCCACCCTATTTCTCCATGTCTAATATCTGTGCATCTTTTAAAATCCATTTCAGATGTCACCTCCTCTGTTGACACATTCTCAGATTCTTCCTGGTAGAGTAAACTGATTCTTCCTCAGTTACACAAATATCTTGCATGAAAATATCTGTTTACATATCCTTCTTTCCTATTAAGCTGTGACCGCCTTGATGACCGGAATTCAGCTTATTCACGTTTGTTTGCAGGAGCCAGATTAGGTTCTGTGCTGAAAAGGTGTTCAAGAAATGTTTTGAAATAAATGGATGGGAGGAGAGAGAGGAAAGAAAGGTGAGGGGATGTCCTTCCAGGAAGGAGGTAATAAACCTTTTCTAGTAATTCTAACATCTTTATATGTGAAGGTTTTCCTTGTGTTACCAATTTGTTAGATCTTTAAAACCACTGAATGAATTGAGATGTGGAATCACATTCTTTCTTAGAAATAGACTTGCTTCCTGTAGACTGGATTTCCCTTTTGGTATTTGAAGAAAATATCTGTATGTATTGATTTTGATGACATACAAAATCAATACCACTGTATACCACTGGTGGTAACGTGGTAAAGTGTTCTCACTACATCCGGATAACCTTTCAAATATGTCATTCCTCAATTTGAATTGAATATATAAATGTTTAGGTTTCTTGGACTAAAAACATATAATCTTTAAAATCTAAGAAGATGAACTTAGATATAACAGAACCTACTGTACCATGAATCGCCATTGTGCCACTTTCCTTATCACAAGATGATTTTTTTTTGAGTGAGCTGTTTCATACTGCTTGTTGTTACCCTTGTTGATTTTGAGAAATTGCCAACAATGAACGCTAATTTATAAAATTTATTTCTTGCCTTTACCTCTGTAACGTGGCTTTCTGAAGTTCACCCCAATTTTCTATCATCTAAATATGATTTTTAAAACCCTAGCTTGTAATTTTGTGAAAAACTCAGAGCAAAACATATTCAGTGAATATTTCAAAAATCATGTTCTTTGGACTGTAAGGTGATATCCATGTTTGCTAAGGTTTTAGTTTTTTGAACTCCCTCCATGTTTGTGCTTAGTTAACAAGCACTTTTTTTTTTCTTTGCTACTCTTGGAAGACAGTTTCTTCCCGTAAATACATTTACAGTACCTTTTGGCTTATATAGCTTTTAATGAACAAAGAAGTTCACATTCTTTTATGAGAAAGGTGATTTTTTTTTTTTTTGGAAATTTCCTAAATGCTACTCAACCTTAATTGCACTTTCTTACATATGATACTGTGTGTTGCAAGGACATACTAAAGGAGATTTAATGTGTCATAAAAGTACATTTTTTAATTAAAGGGACATTTTCAGGATTCTCACTGTATATTTCACTACTGCCTAACTTCATCAAGTCCAAGTACATGTATATAGAAAATCATTTAGGGCAAGCTAAATGGCTGTTGAAATTTTAAGGCATGTTACCCTGTAACATGCCTGTAAATCCAAGCTTCTAAACTACCATATGTTCTCAGCAAAACCAAATTTAGTGAACTGCTGCTCCTGATCAAGATAGAATAAGAGAGACTGCATTTACTCTCTTGCTTTAAACAACCAGAAATGGACAAAATGTCTGAAACAACAGTCTGCAAGACGTTGGCTATCAGGCAGTGAATGACAGTGATCCTGAGAGATGAGAAACATATGAGGTGAGCCTCAGGATTGCCCCAGCTTATTGTCTTGAGGGTTTCCAGATGAATCCCAGGGAAGGGGAACCCAGGTGGAGCCTAACAAATTCCCAGAGTTGAGAAGCCAGAGCTGAGAGCCTGGAGAGAGGAAGGTGGCCAGAGCTCACAGGACTGAGAATGGGAGAAGAGCCATACAGAGATACAACTCTAAAGATCTGCAGAGGTCCCCCTCTGGTATTCAGCTGAGTCCGGATCATCGCATATATATGTGAGGAAACTACATGAAGCCTGACAAAGAGCCACCTAAAAAAAATCAGAGGTAACAGTGCCTGGTGCTTATATGGGGCTGGGAATAGTGCTTGTTTCCACAAGCCAGACTGCAATATCTCATGATTCACATCACAGTGGAGGGTAGACAGACGGGTCTGGCCTCAGTGGTGGTCAGTCATTAGCTGTAGATGGGCACTGTTCTGACCCCACCTAATAAATCTTACAAGCAAGACCCGAAAGGAACAAACTTGTCAAGTAATTTAACTGCATCCAAGAACAAAGTTCAAGAATATTTATAGGAATACAACTATATCCAGCAGCCAAAAGGGTAAAATTCACAATGTCAGACCTCCCATCTAAACTTACTGACTACGCAGAGAAGCCAGAAAATGCAACCCATAATGATGAGAAAAATAAATCTGTCCAAACCAACACAGAACTGACAAAATATGTTAGAATTAGCAAAGACAAATATTAAAGCAATCATTAAATCTATAGTTTATACATCTTAGAAAACATAGAAGATATAAAAATGCCCATTATTTTCCATCCATATGGTCGATACTATTTCAGAGAATATATTACAGGCACACAGTTATGTAGTAAAATGTAGTAACAGTGTTTCTCTCTTCTGGCATATTTTATTCCTTAGACTAAGAATAGTTTTATATTGGCAAATAAGTGTCTTTAGCAGAAATCACTTTAGGAATGGCTCAACAATTTTGTTTGAATGCAAAAAAGGTTTGTTATTAAATTTAACTTGAATAATATTATTTGTGGACTAGGAATTATAGTATTCCATTAATAATATTAGATAGCAAACGTTGTTCTGTCATAGATCTATCTTAAATCTGCAATAATTACTGTGGCTTAAATATGTTAACTGTGTATGATATAAAAACTGACCAATCAGAACGTGAATCAAAACTGTTTGATCAGTATTATTCAAATAAGCAAAAGCACTTTAGATTTTTAAAAATGTAGAATGACCGCTTCTTCAATAATTTGATGCGATAATAACATACATTTTAATTCCATGTTTGGAACTCTTCTTCAGTAAAATTTTATTGCAAGTAGCATACATATGTTAACAAAATTTTATTGCATCATAACAAAGAGATATGAAGTAAATTTTTAATCAGGATAAAATTCTGATCTGTACTGTGAATACATAATACTTAAAAAATGTCTAAGTGTTACCTTTTAGACAACCGAGGTTGTTTATAAAATCTGAAAAAAAATAGGCAACATTTTATTTTTTAGAGAAGAGATTTAAGGTATTCTTGGAAAATTGTGTATAACTGCCAATGTCTCCAGACTTTATGGACACTGTGCTCGTTAAATGGGAGAATGGTCAGATTATCTCTTATTGTGATAAGTTACTAGACTTTTATATTGTTATGAAGTATTTTATATCATAATATAGATTCTCTTAGTGTAGCACATTTTTTTCATGTAAAAATGTTTTAACGATGGTTGTATCCTTGACGAAGGATTTAGCATCAAATTTATAAGTATGATCAATCATGTATGATCAAACAGCCATAACAATAATAACCATCTTTAATAATTTAGTGAAATTGTGGCCTAATTATTAATTATGGAAATTTAGCCAGAAAGAACATGTTAGTGATCAGCTAGCTCAGCCTATTTATTTCAGGAAACTGAAGCTCAGATAAGTTTAGCTTCTTTCTCAAAATCATAGAGTTGCATCATAGTAGAGCTGGAACTAGAACTCAGTTCTCTTTTTATCATTTTCTGTTCCATTACTGTGTAATAAATCACCCCTAATTTAATAGCTTAAAACAATGCCTATTTATTAGCTCACAGTCTATAGGTCAGAAGTCTAAGGTGGCTGGACTGGTTCTTTGCTTAATTTATCACAAGGCCAAAATCAAGGTGTGGGCCAGATTGAAGTCTTATCTGAAGGATCTGGGAAATAGTCCATTTCCAGGCTCATTCAGGTTGTTGGCAGAATTCAGGTCCTTGTTTTTGCAAGCTGAGATCCTCATTTCCTTGCTGGCTGTTGGCTGTGGTTCACTGTCAGCAACTAGATACCTCTCTCCTGTCCAGGAGCAGAATCCATCCATCTCCAGAGCCAGCAATGGTACATCAAACTTCCTCCTGCTTCATTATTTCTGACTTTCCCTTCTGCCAACAGCCAGATAAAGCTCTCTGCTTTTAATGTCTCATGAAGTTAGATCAGGCCCACCTGGATAATGTTTCTATCTTATGGTCAATTGTACCATATAACATAACATAATCGTAGGAATGATACCTCATCAAAGGCACAGGTTCTTGGGACTAGGGCAGGGCATCTTAGTGGGGCCATTTTAGAAAGTCGGCTTGCTGCATTCCTGAGCCTATTCTGATTTTCTTTGTATTATATCATACAACCTCTTTCTGAAAAATCTGTAATATAAATATGAATATGCTCATAAAAAGTTTACATATATCTGAGTCAAATATAACTTTGATATTTGTGTGGCTTACTCCATCACTTTGCAAGATCTCAGCCCATTTGCTGCCTTCTTTTGAGAACCTTATCTAAAATTTTGCCTCCCTCGCCTTGTCCCTCTTACTCCCTTCCTCCTGTTTTACTCTTCTTACCCTAGTTGATAGTTCTTATCACTGGGATGTAAGTTCTATGAGGGTAAGCAACATGTTTGTCTCGTCCATTGCTGGATTCCCAGTGCTTAGAGCAGTGTGACATAAAGTGGTGTTCAGAGCCTTTAAATATTTATCTCACAGAATAAATGGCAAGTGTTAATATTAATATTAACATATTAGTCATTTGGCTATAATGACTTATTTACATTTTTATTAATCATTCCATATTGGAGTGATTTAGAATGCAAATGTAGAGTTTCTGGAGAAGTTTGAGGTGAAGAGCTTTTCTATCCTTACTAAAGTTGCATATAGGTGGAAAGTGAGGGAAGTAACATGAGCTTTGAAACGGCAGCTGTGAAAAGGAATCTCACCTCTCTTCTATGTAGTTGACCTTATTTAGAAAACCTTAATTTCTAGCAGTCTAAGATTACTAGAATGTAATCTAGTAATTGGGTGTGGTGACCTCTTCCTCTACTCTTCTATTACCTCCTTGATTTAGTAGAGCTGAACTACAAAAGCCATAAATAAGAAAATATATAATTTAGTCAAGAGGAAGAGAAATGTTAATGAAAATGCTATTAAATGTTTAGAGCAGTAAAATGTGAAAATTAAAAACTGTGCTGTCTCCCAAAATTAGTTATGATTTAGCTGAAAAAGAATAAAAGAAATTAAGAAACAAATCACTAGTAACAACATTATTCATTTAAAATAGAACCGAGAGAATAAAATAAACAAATTGGGAAATAAAACAGAATATGTAGTCTTTTTCAGAGCACTGTGTAGCCTAAGAATAGTTGACTACAGAAGAAGAATGAGAAGGAAAATGAAGACTATTGATGACTGTAGCAGAGAAAGGGTATAAATGGGCTTATTTATCAGGCTGCTCTTAGCTTCACCTGCCTGTCGGGAACTTACATCAAACTGTCTTAGCAAATGGAAAAAAAAAAAAAAAGCAGTAAAATAAGAAAATGAGGTGGTGGTAGTTTATTGGTTTGTGAAACTGAAAAGACCAAGTTTTCAGAAATTAGTGGGTGAATTCACAGGCTCATACTCATCATTGGAGTGTAGTCTATTCTCTATTAGTAGTCTCCACTTTCCTCTTCTAGCATTAAACTTAGACCAACAACTATTCTCATACTAGCCGTAAACACCTACATTGTTATATTCCTCCAGTTTCCAGCTTAATAATGAGAACTTTTCTTTCCTAGTAGCTCCAAATTAAAATGTCCTAGTTCACAATTTCATTAGCATAATTTAAGCCATTTGAACATCTATTAACCAAGTACTGGAGTCAAGGAAATGGCATATGCTACTTGGCCATGCCAGGTGAATGTGCACTGCTAGAGCTGAAGATGGAAGTGTAGAGGAGAAAAGTGAGATGAAGAGGGTGTAAGTTCGTGTAACTGCATGTACTGCCTGGCAAAAGATAATTCCCCCACACCTAGAGTCGCTGGATTTAGCAAATAAAACTATAGCATTTTCATTTGATTTTGAATCTCAGCTATAACAACGAGTAGGTTTTTAGTATTAAATATGTCTCATGCAATATCTGTGAGATATCTCTAGTAAAAATACTGTTGTTTATCTTATATTTTAATTTAACAAAAAATACTTTATTTTATCTGACAACCTTGCCCACACCCAAATGTTTCAGCAATAAACCACTGAAATGAAATCAAATTAAATGGTTGCAATGGGACTGAATGAGCAACAATTATGAGAATCCACTACTATGGAAATGAAGGACTATCTCTTTCAAAAAATATTGAGGCCAAGAGAATGCAGAAGTTATCTCTAGACAAATTATAATAGAAGAAATTAAACATGAAATGCATTATTGAAAACTAGGTATAAAAGATACCAGTGGAAGGCTGTTACTAAGGGATGAGGGAAGAGGAAGATCTGAAAAAGATTTCAGCAAGGTGGGTAACCTGTACAACATTCGTTTCCTTCTCTTTTATTTCAAGCCCCTGTGATTCAATTCTGGCCACTGAAACATGGAGTTAAATGTTACCAGAGAGTTTCTAGGAAAGGTTTTTACCTGTTCCTAAGAAAGTAATGCAGGAAGACACAATCTGTTGGACATGGCTTTGATGCTAGAATTGGTGTAACCATTTTGAAATAATCAAAGGAGCTAATTTGAAGGCAAAGTTTGTACACCAAGAATGGCAGGATATGGAAAGATGAAAAGAACTGAATCCTTGATGACCTATTGATGGATTAACCAGGAATCACCATACCTCTGGAACTCTTGTTACGTGAACTAGTATGTTTACTTATTGCTGAAGACACTAAGTTTTCTTGATTTGCAGTTAGAAACATTCTCGCTGACATAGAAGTTTTTTACTGCCAGTCAGAGTTCATATTTTGGATATTAAACTGATTTTAAAATTTCATTTGCTAATAATCACAAACCCAAAGCATTAAAACATTTTTTTCCTTAAAAGGTAAGAAGTTTCCCATCTAAAAAATGTCATGTTATTCCATAAAGTAGTCAGTAAAAACAAAAGCAAACACACGGATGTTAGAATTAGAACTTTTGGGGAAAAGAAATAACGGAAACTGACATTCACTCAATGGTTATGTCTTTAAAAAATAAAAGCAACAGGTACTTAGTGAAACTTTTGAATTGACATCATAACTTGACCTGAATATAGTTCTTTGAACTATCATTATGGAATTTCTCAGTTTGTGAAGGATAGAGCTCCTTTTCACGGAAACATTTTATATCTTGGTAGAATAGTGCCTCCACATATGTGGAGATGCTGTTACTGTATCCTTTTAGGAAGTGATAACTTTAAATTTTTTTAAAAAGATGTCAATTAAAAATCACTATTGGATGATACAAACAGGTTAACACAATTATTTAAGTTAACTGCTCTCTGCTTCTGATGTTAATAGATGACATTTGTTGGAATTTACACTTATTTTTAGCTCTGATTATAGGATCTCCACCTACTCTTGGAAAATCCAGCCTGTAGTATTCCAGTTACTTCATTTCATAACAGTATTCTGTTCATGAAGAAGGCAAGATTTTTACATATAGCCTCATTCTGTATTCATTGTTACTGTAAAACAATATGATGCTTTCTCATTTTCTGAAATGATGCACTACAGAGAATGCTACTATGATACATTTTGGTAACATGAATCGTATTTTATTCTTCACTTATTCACATGAAAATTGGCTTGCATTCTCATAGGGAGTAAAGAGTACTGGGAGAACCTAGTCAACAAAATTAAAATTTCTGAGTGTCATGTATTTTAGGACTAGATTCAGTGGCATACAAGAAAAAACTCATTAGATGGGTGACCTAAACATGATGGAAGTGTTACCTCTCATATGTAATGAAGTTTGTTTTTAGGTAATCCAGGGCTGGTATGGTGAGTCTACAGTCACTGGGGAGTCACACTCCTTTAAAGTGTCAGACTCTCCTCTATTCAGCATGTCCCTTTATCCTAGGATCACCCCATAGAACTGCTGACATCATGTCCACATTCTAGGCAGCAGAAAGGAATATTGGGTGATTGAGTGGAGGGCCAAAGGGGTGTGCACCTACTGGAATGAATTGTCTTCCTTTGAGGAGTCATAAGCCATCAAGATATAAGCAATACTTCTGCTTAGATCTCATTGGCTTATACTTAGTCACATGTAACCCTTAGTCACAGGGAGATTGGGAGTGACTTTTTGCTGGGTTTATTATTATTTCAAATAAAATTAACATTCTGCTCCTTAGGGAAGAGAGAATGAATATTGGGTAGATGGTTTTATCACAGGCTCTATCACAGTATGCTTATAATTGCATTCCAACCCCAAATGTATTTGTATTAGATTCAGAACTTGTACCTTTCCAATTTTACCTTCGTCTCCTGTCCTTTTTCAGACCATAGAAATTTTTTTCTGGGGTAGGGAGCAATTTCACTAATCCTATACTTTGATTTCCTATAAGTATGATTAAGCATATGAACATGTCATTCTCCTAAAAATATTTCAAGCCTTAGTGTCCATAATCAGCAAAGAAAGTTATATTCTACTTTATCTGTTTAGTAAGTTCAAAATTCTGATTTGATACTGATAATCTTATACTTAACACTAAAAATAACTGTATTTATTTTGACTTGATTGAACACCTATATGCCTCTCAAAAATTCATTCTGATAAAATAGGCCTTATAGTAAAATGATCACTTCTGCAAATTCCTATACAGTAATTGGGAAACTAGGGGGTGCACAAAAGGATACAATTAAAATGTTTCCAAAATATTAATTAATGCACATCAGTAATTCCTAAGGTAACCTTCAAAAACGTACATTTTCCTAAAAAGTTTTAAAAAAGAAAACTCACTCTAAGAACTAAGAGGGGATTGACTTTGATATTTCTGAGAAGCTTAAAAGGCACTGTGAGCATCACCTTTTTGGAATGATGCATGAGATTAATAACACTGCTCTACCTTTTGCAGGGCCTTTTTTTTCCTTTTGAATGATCAGTTGAGAACACACCTGTTAGAAAGCTCTCTGTAACCTGGATTTTCCTTTTTTTCTGCTAATTCTGTTGTCACATAAATCACTCTCTGCTGCCCAACTCAGCTAGCACCATTGAAGCCACATGGCAAGTGGAGTTATTACTCAAATCCGTCTCCCTAAAGGCTCAAAGGTTGTTTTTCAAAGATATTTTGGCAGGCAGGGGACACATTCCTTAATGGGTGCTGCTGATTGTTGGGAGACACGATCATGGTGATATAGGAGTAAAGAAGAAATTATCTAGGTGGGTAGTGAGGGTAGGGAAGTTTTTGGTAACATGTTTCTTTTCATGAAAAGCAGCCCCAAATCATTTTCTTTTCTAACAAAGAACAGCCTGTAAAATTGAGCGGCAGACATAGAAAGGCAAGCTAGAAACTTGCTAGGTGAATGCTGGCAGTTGTGCCAATAGGAAAGGGGGTACCTGGGGGCTAGGCATGTCCAACATGGCAGCTCCATCTTCCCTTCTCTTTGCCAGCCACATGTACAGTAAGGATGAGACAACATGGCACTGGCCAGGTGGAAAGCCCATTTGAATAATAAGATTAGGGTGGGATGGCCAGCTTCCCAGCATGCTATGTAACTGTTACACCTGGTCCAACTAATCTGTGGGCCCTTATGTAAATCAGACATTACTACCTCCAGCCTGTCCATAAAATCCAGTGTACTCTGCTGGGGGCTGGAAGCCCCATCTGGGTGCCCTTCTCTCTCACAGGAGAGAGAGCTGTTCTCCTTTTTCTTCTTTTGCCTGTTAAACCTCTGTTCCTAAACCCACTTCTTGTGTGTGTCTGCATACTGAATTTCCTTGGTGCAAGATGACAAACCTTGGGTCTTTACCCCAGACAACGATGCCACTTCAATAGGTGTTGGAAAATGATCGTCATATGCTAAGTCCACCTCTTGGTGGGGCCACAGTACCAGCTGAGTCATGAGTCATGCATTTGGTTGGGGTCAGTCGGTTGTCAGAATGCACAGGCTAAAAAATATCTCAAAAGATCAATCTTAGATTCCACAATAGTGATGCTATCTACAGAAGTAATTGGGGCCAGGTGTGGTGGCTCACGCCTATAATCCCAGCACTTTGGGAGGCTGAGGCAGGCAGATCGCTGAGGTCAGGAGTTTGAGACCAGCCTGGCCAATGTGGTGAAACCCCGTCTCTACTAAAAATACAAAAAGAAAAAAAATTAGCTGGGCATGGTGGTGTGTGCCTGTAATCCCAGCTACTCGGGAGGTTGAGGCACAAGAATCACTTGAACCGGGGAGGCAGAGGTTGCAGTGAGCCTATATCACACCACTGCACTCCAGCCTGGGTGACAGAGTGAGACTCTGTCTTAAAAAAAAAAAAAAAAAAAAAAGTAATTGGGGAAATTTCCAATCTTGTGACCTCTGGAACAATAGCGGTTCATCATTTTATTATGCCTGTGTCTTAAAAGAATTCAAACCTCATTCATAATCCTAACCTAGTGGCCTTTCATTAGTTTTACAAAGGCAGTTTAGTTGTGGGAAGGGCTATGATCATCCTTGCTTTAAGGTTAAACTATAAAATAAACTCCTCTCAAAGTTAGTTTGGCCTATGCCCAGAAATAACCAAGAACAGCTTGGAGGTGAGAAGCAAGATGGAGTCAACTATGTCAATTTCTCTTATTGTCATAGCTTTGCCATAATTTTGCAGTTTTACTAAGACAAATTCATTATGAATGAAGGTATTTCACAGCCTCAGAGCAGTCTGTAATTATAATGATGAGTATAAGTAAAAAGTGCCAGAAGCTATCCTACTGTCTTTCTTTGAAATATTTGATATTGTGCATTTTAGGAAACATGGAAAGAACACTGCCCAGCATGGAGGAAAGTAGGGACAAATTATTCTTGATTTTCAAAGGCTTCCTTCTTCTTTCCCAGGTTTCTTATGCAATAAAAAGAGAGATTCTGTTTCCTTACCAGAAAACTACCTATTTAAAGAGGCTTGCAAAGGCCAAACCAAAGGTGTGTTAAAGCAGAATGAACTGCCTCTCTGAAATAAGTATTCAGCCTACTTCATTCACACATCAAGCTTCATGATATAATAACATTGCTGGTATATTTCCATTGGACGTTTTCTCTGAGCATTCTGCCAACAGGAGCCATTTTTAGAATTGAGAGCTCATGTCTGAATTTCCTATATTTGTACACTAGCTATCACAGCCTTTCACATTCTAAGTGTGTGAAAAAGACTTGAGGTTGAATGGTAAAGCTATTTGCAGGTGTAGTCGTCTCTTAACCTCAGTGAGGGTTTGCAGCTCTTGAAAACTTTTGAGGAAAGCTTTCTGTTTGATGTGGATGATGGTGAGAGTTATTTATATATTGTGGAGCCAATGTAATTCCTTGGTGAGGAGAATTTTCCCAGCTAATGAGCTAGCAGTTGGGCTTAGGTCAAAGTGAATTAAAGTAGAGCTTTTAAACCTGAGTAGTCACATTCAGACCATGTCCCCCTACTTGTAAGGGAGGGTATTGGTGTTTCTATATATTTTTTAAAGGTAGAAAAAGTGTGAGCAGGATCTGTACTTTCACTACTTCTAATCCTTTTTGGCTAGGGCTTGGTCATCAACCTTCCCAGCCAAAAGACACCTATTTTTCCCAGTCTTAATTTTATTAAAGCCACAAAGGTGGAGAGGACAATACCTATTTATTAATGTCAGATGCTGACTCAAATGGCTAACAAGCCCCAGTGCAGCATGAAATAAACCATCATATAAAGCATGAGTCAGAGCTGGTTCTGTCAAACTTGTTTTTACATATACGGTTGTTTTAGACATCAAGGCAGCTTATAAAATAAAATCCTTTCTGAGTTCTATATACTTGAAATGGAGATGAAAATATTTTTGGTTTTTATGTACCAGCAGTTTTGAATACTCTCTAATTTTAATCCAAATGATAGATTTTATTTTTTAATTCACTAAAACTTTTTTTCTCAAAAAATATAGTCATCTGAAAACAGATAACTTAGGTAATTAAAACCTGATGGTGTCTCTCTTCTTCTTTCTTTCCATGTATATAGGTATGTTGTATGTATATGTGTGTGTATGTGTGTATGAAATGTTCATTTGGAAAGTAAAAAAATGTAAGTTTCTTGAACTGCATTAAATAAGAAATTATTTTTACTTTTATTTTTCTTTGAATAAAAGTTATTTTCTGACTGACTTCTTACTTTGATATCTCAGGTTTAGATATATAGCAACTGAAATGACTTGCCATCCAAATGATGGCCAGTGCAAATGTGGAGCACTAAAGTTTTCCTGTGTATCCCTGCATATACACATATATGTATATTTTATTGGCATATATATATAATATATAACCTGTATATTATATACTATCTTATCCACACACACATACACATACACACACACACACACACACACTTATGTATATAGTATATACCCTGTATATCCACTTCTTCGCTGGCAGCATTCACTAGAAAACTTTACTCAGAAGAAATAAAGCAATACATAGTGACTGATAATCATATCACTAGATGCTGTTGTGTTGCCCTGCTATAATTTAATTTTTAAATTAAGGTTACTGGAAAGAGGAGCAATTTAAATTTATGTGACACAAATTCTATACTCCATGGCTACAGGAACTTAATCATTGTAAACATACTGGAGTTATTTTTATTTGTAATCTCAATTTATTTAATAACTACATAGCCAGCCTGTATTCTGTACCCCCACTGCCTTGACTCTTTGCTGGGAGAAAAACTGAACCACTTCTATCCTTACAGAATAGTCCTTCTGCCATGATGGCACCGCTCCCTGTATAATAATATGATTTTACCTTCAGTGTTGCTCTTCTATGTTCAATTTGTAGCAGGTCTGTCTGATCGTATGCATATGCGTATTATTTAAGGAATAAACTGAAAAGCAACATCTCAGTGATTATGAATGATACTGATAGGCCCCTGAGAAGATTCTTTTTTTCTAAGAAGTGATTGGAAGGCCTGTTAGGGAAACTGAAATTCCTGGTTCCTTTTGTCTCTTATTAGAGTCGGACCTGGAAGGCCTTGATGATCTAGGTACTGTTTATGGCAACATCCACCAGCAGCTGAATGAAACAATGAGACGCCGCAGACACGCGGGAGAAAACGATTACAATATCGAGGTACTGCTGGGAGTGGATGACTCTGTGGTCCGTTTCCATGGCAAAGAGCACGTCCAAAACTACCTCCTGACCCTAATGAACATTGTGAGTAGTGACTCCTTTTTAAAGCTTTTTGATCTTTTAATTCACTTCTCTTATTTGTTGGTACCCTTTGGCAATCTGTGTGAGAACTTCCATGACTGTGCCAAAATATGTGCATGATGGCATTAAATTTAAATTATTGATCTACATATTTAAAGTACAGGAATGCTAAAATAAAGGAAGCATGAAGCGAAAGTTTCTTTTGGTTGATCAAGTAGTTTTCCGTTGTTGTCAAGGGGGAATCATAAATTTAAAAAGCCATAATGAGATGGAATTAAAACATGAATTGTAATTTTTATTTTGTTCTGGGGATAATCAAAACTCGCAGGACTTTGTCCATCTGCTTTCATGTTGCCTATGAAGGATGAAATAGTTCTTTCTAGAATCACTCTGCTTCACAGGATGATATAGAATGATTTATGCCTGGTAACTCTGTGGATTCTTGTTATTACAGCTTTTGAACAAATGTGATTTTTTTCAACATTATAAGACTGAAGGTAATATATTTATTAATACAAAGCATACAACTATTGGCACGGTGCTGCACAGCAACCACTAATGGTCTCTTTAAATTTATCTTTATTTCTCTTTTATGAACCTTAATCAGATTCAGAAGAAATTTTGTCAATATCCTGAAACTTGTGTTCTTTCTTTTTAAATTGGCAGAGAACAACTGAGGAGAAATAATAATACGTAAACCACCTACTTCTAAAAGATAATTGAGATTTTGATGTACTCTATATATGTTACCTCATGCCAATATGAAATATATATTATATTGATCTTGCAAATTTATTACCTAAGCCTATGCTGTTTTATTTCCCTATCTCTCAACCCACCCTCCCCCCTCACAACTTTTGATATTTAATATAATTTCTTGGATATCTATAGTTTACCTCTTTCCCCCATGCTTAAGATTAGATTTCAAGCAATGATAGTGAAGGAGAAAAATTCTTAGTTTCATGAAACATGATTTTGTTTATGCTAATATCTGTTAATTATATTTTGGTCTATTGAGATAGCAATTTATAAAATTACACTTATACCATATCTCTGTGAAATGGAAAATGAGTACAGAAATTCAAACACATTTTTATTTGTTCTTGGCACTAATTTCTGTTATGAAGACCAAACAACACACAGAAAACAAATTACTAGCCTTGGCAATAGATGTGTTCAGAGGATCATCATTTGTGAATCATATGAATGTTTTCAACTCTTGACTATGAACTTTTCATATTAACCTTTTGACTATTAACTTTTTGCTAGTTATGTAACTTTGGCATGCTTCTTGGACTCTCTGTCCTGCTTCTGTCTCTTTATCGGCATATTGAGAAAAATAATAGGGATGTTGAGAGGATGAAGTGTGTAAATACAAGTCATCCATTATTTACAGTGCCATATACAGATGCACAAATAGACAATCATATTTTAGTTTCTCTATGCCAAATTTTACTTCATAAGTTATCTAAAATTTCAAACTTCCTATGGAGATGTTATTCTTACGTCATTCATTATGTCCCTGGGCTACTTTTTTTCTACTATCTGGAAGACAATCAGTACAGACTTATTTGGCTTGCAAATGTGCCTAATAAGAAGGCTTTTGGAGTAATGCAATAGAGATTTTGATATGGTCTTGTCCTCGTAGAACTTATAACTATTAGAGGAGAAAAAATAAATACATGGGAAAATTAGAAGGAAAAAACGTAAACAATAAAAGTCATGCTATTATTAAGCCATATTATAGGCAGTATATCATAAATGCTATAACACTTTAGAAAATGGAGATGTGACCATAGTTATCCAATCATGAAGTGATAAAAGTATTAAATTGGGACTTAGGAGGGTAAGGCTTTAGTTTTAGTCATACTACTAGTTGGCTTTGTGACCTTAGACAAATCATGTCCCTTTCTAGGACTTAGTTTTCATCATTACAAAATTGAAAGATTCAACAAGTTTATTAGTTATGTAATTCATCAAGAAGTTAGGAGTTAAACTGCTTTTAGAGATTTCCTGTTGTTTTTTTGTTTGCCTTGTTTGTGTTTTTTGAAGGACATGTGAAAATGTAAAGGACTTCTATGTAGGAATGGATACAGTATATTCACCAGACAGTAAGTAGTAAGTATGATTTTGAGAGTGTCAAAGGAATAACAAAGTGATGCATTTTATGTTTTAAAAACAGTCAAGAGGACTTTTGTTCTTAAGTCCATTAAAAAAATTAGATAATAGACTATGACTCTGTCTCAAATACAAATTATTCTAAAGTAAATAGAGTATCAGAGAATGGAGCTATGGGAGAGAAAATAATTTTTTAATACTTAATATATTAGTTGCATTTTAAGTAATTAATACAGGTAAGAGATTTGGAGAGGTAAGAATAACACTCCTCCCCTTCCCTCCCCAACTTCATGACCAACTGAAAGATAGACATGGAAATCACACAGATGAAGAATGAAATAGTTTTATTATTGATGAGACCTGAATTGCACATACAATTGCATATACTTAAGTGTATAGTCACAAGGTTTTCATTATTCTAAATCAGTGGTTCTCAACTGAGGATAATTTGTGTCCACGTCAGTTCCCAGGGACATATGGCAATGTCTGTAGACTTTTTTTATTGTTAACACTGGTGGGTGGGGCGGGGGTGGAGGGGGATGCTACTGCTAATAGCGACAGAGGCCTGGGATGCTGCTCAGCATCCTACAGCGCAACAGACAGCCCTACACAGCATAGAATTTTTAATTATCTGGCCCAAAATGTCAACGATGCTGAGATTTAGAAACCTTGTTCTAAATTAGTCTTATTCCCAACCCTCATCACTCTCCAACTGGATAATTTCAGGTTTTCCCCCTGGAGTCAGGCAGACAACTTTAGGCAAGACAGACAGAAGACTTAAGTCTTCCTTCTCCTCCATACCCTCTGCCCTGTTGTAGCCTGTTAGACCCAAAATACTGACCTGAGCAGGCTCTTTCCTTTTCCTCCAATTCATCATCAAATGAGAATGAGAAGCAGAAAGAGAAACCAACGATACTGTAATGAAGCTACCTCATGGAAATTCAAGACCAGGAACATTCAGTTTTTCTCTAACGATGTTCAAATAACTATCTCCTTTGCTGGCCATGCTTTATGATTTCTCATGGTCATCTAAAATTATGGCTCACCAGGCTTGAGGCCTACATAGACACAGAGACTTAGATGAAATGTCAGATAGGGTCCTGGAGAGAAACTGTAGAAGAAAGCTAACAGCAAAAAATTCTATCTTTTTGCATTGATTAGTGTGAAAGGTGTCCCTATGGTAGAGAGAAGATCATGCTGTCCTTTAAAATTGTTGGTCAACTTTGCCTTGGTTGACTGCTCAGCAGATGTGCTCTTCCATTTACCTGGTTGTCAATTTCATTTCCATATCAGAACTGAGATGATAGTTTCTGAATTAAGGGAATACCTTTAGGTCCAAGTAATTTGCTTCAGAGTATCGCCTTAATTTAAATGGGATTCCCTTTTAAAGAGAAGCTTATATTTCTTATGTCATGCTTTCCTTTATTGAAAAGAGCTCGTATATTAAGTGTTAAATGTATATTTAATGAAAGAAGAACAAATGAATATAAATAATGTAGAGGTAGATCACGAACAATCTTGGGAGGAAGTCAGAAATTTTGGACTCAAAACAAGAGGAAATAGATGCCAAATGCAATGATATAATGGGAGCAGTGTTTAAGAAATAAATTAACAATTATTATTGGGTATCATATATTCTTTCCAACTATATTGCAAGATGGAAATTATTACAATTTTTCCAAAGGAAACAGAGACTTTGAAAATGTTAATGAAATTTAGGTAAATTTTAAAAAATTATTTACAGTTCATAAAACAGTCTCAAGTAATGATAAGGTGGTAAAGCTAATCATTAAAAAAAGACAGTGTTACTGGGAGGAGAAACTGGCTTAGAACGTTTAAGTTGTTTTTAATTTTAACTCAATCATAATTTAAGTGTAATGAGAACACTTAACACACAGTATTTACTGTTATATGTCACTAGTAATATTAAATCCCTTTGGTTTATCTGTTGTTTTAAATTAGCCATGCAAGTTGTCCACCTTTTGGATACAAATATATTTAATCTATTTCAGGGCCGTATTTCCTAACGATAGTAATGACTGTGCGTATGAATGCGGTAAAATTCTGTAGGTGTTGCCATGCAAATCTGGGTGTTTGGATGCATAAATTAAATAATTTATGTAAAGTACTTATCAGAGATTCAGGCACAAAGAGCTAAAATATTAGTAGTATAAGCCTTCACTGTTAACATTAAGTCTTTATTTTGAATCTAGACTCAAAACCAGATGATTTCAAATACCTTCAAAGATTTCATCACTAACCTTAATTCTCCATAATCTATTTTTGGTTAACTAAGTTAACACTTTTCTCTGGGGCTTAAGGGTCAAGTGAACAAGTTTGAGCAGACCCTAGATGATTTCGATATAACTTCCTAAGAAAGGAAGGATACCCTCTACTCATCCCCACTCCTTTGTGAAGCAATGGGGAGAATAATCAGATGTCTTTCATCTGCTTTTTTTAACCTCTTTCTATTTTGTAGATCTTGACATTTCACCAAGCTTCCTATATGAAGAAGAAACACATGGATATGAACATATCCAAGGTTTTAATGTTTCAAATAAGAGATTTGTCATATATGTTAAGCCTTTCTTAGGATTCCATATCATATCTTGTTATATCAAGAAATGTTTATAGTTTTACTAACTTGTAACATGGTTGATTTACTGGGAAAGTGGTTCTCAGCTCTGGGGCATGTCTCATACTATAAATACTGACCCATCGTCTGCCATGTGCAAGGCCTATTTTAGGTATTGGCAATATTCCAATAAGCATGATAAAAATTGTTGACCCTCTTGGAGCTGGCCTGAATCCTCCACCAAGCTTCAAGAGAGTAGAGTTTTAAAATTTTTAATTTCCTGACCTGGTCCATAATTATCAACCCAAACCTCAACAGGAGCAGTCCTCTAATAGGTTGATTGTTCCTTGAGTGCAGTTACTGTATATTATTAAGCCTCATAATTATATCCAAAAGTGTCTGCCGTGTGGTAGACATGCAATAAAAATTTGATCGATTCAGTCTTTTAATAAGTATTTTAATGCTATATGCCAGGTATATGGTGGTTAACATAAAATAAGCTTATTTCCTGACCTCAGCGAGATTATAGACTGGTGGAGAAATCAAATAATTACATCATAGGTTACATAAGAACTATGCAAGGAACTGACAGTTTTCTGGGAAAGAGAATAACAGAGCAAATGGGTGATAGAGGTTATACATAGACATGATGATTAAGAAAACCTTCTTTCTCCTGTAATCCCAGCACTTTGGGAGGCCTAGGCGGGCAGATCACGAGGTCATGAAATTGAGACCATCCTGGCTAACACGGTGAAACCCCGTCTCTACTAAAAATACAAAAATTTAGCCAGGCGTGGTGGCAGGTGCCTGTAGTCCCAGCTACTCAGGAGGCTGAGGCAGGACAATGGTGTAAGTAAACCCTGGAGGCAGAGCTTGCAGTGAGCCTAGATCGCGCCACTGCACTCCAGCCTAGGCAACAGAGCAAGACTCCGTCTCAAAAAAAAAAAAAAAAAAAGCAAGCAAACAAACAAACAACAACAACAAAACAACAAAAAAGAAAACCTTCTTTCAGGAATTGATTATTAAATTGAGACTTAAAGTAAAAGATCCAGCCATTTAATAAGGGCATGCGTTTTAGTAACTAAAAGGTCATTGTGGCTCAAATTTAGTGTGTAAGGAGTCAGGCAGAGCTAGGAGAAGAAGGCAAGCATCTTTCAGGTCATAGGAGGAGCTTAAATGCAGTATTAAGTACAAAATAAAAGCCACTGAGGGTCGGTTCCTGCTTCTCTCGGCCTTGTAAAGAAAAATTGAAGAGGCCTAGGGACAATGAAGACAGACCCTACTGGAAAGTGGGTATAAATGTCTAGGCAAGAGAGGATGCTTTATTAGACAATGAGGATTGCAGTAATAATAGATAGTTTATGGTAAAATCAGTAGGATTTGCTATTGAATCCATGGGCTGAGGGAAAGAGATGAATCTACCATAATTTATACGTTTTTTTAGCTTGAACATTCTGTTTGTTAATGGTACCATTTATGTAGATGAGTTGGTCAATAAAAAAACAGATTATGGAGAATTAAGGTTGTTGATGAAATCTTTGAAGGTATTTGAAATCATCTAGTTTTGGGTCTAGATTCAAAATGAAGATTTAATGTTAATAGTGAAGGCTTACACTACTAACATTTTAGCTCTTTGCGCCTGAATCTCTGATAAATACTTTATGTACATTATTTAATACTTTCCAACTCTAAGATGCATTCAGCCTTAGTCCCAGTTTACAAATGAAGAGATTGAAGCTGAAAGAAGTTAGGTGATGTTCCCAGGGTCAGACAGTTAGTATGGCAGAGTCAGGACCTGAGCCCAGATCTATATCTGCCTTCTGAGCCTTAAGCTCTTCCTCCCCAAACTTCACTGCCTCTCATTACAAAGTTGAGGCATTTTATATATCTCTTGCTAGATAAAACTCTGATGTCTTTCCTTTATCTGTTTCTGTGTCTTGTTTGTACGATTCAAGTCATTGAAATGAGAATTCAGTTAGTTACCTGATTGAATCAAACTAGTTAGCAATCTAGTTTAAGATTCTAACAGGCTGATGAGGCAGATTTTTATGGTTAAGATGGTAGGTTGTTTTCGTTCAATGTACCAAATATTTTCCATCAGCAACACTCTGCTGTCTGTGACAGGTCAAAGGTATCTTTTTTTATTTGCTAAGATCTATGAAATGGTCTTCTGGGTCTAATGTGCCTTAACATTTTTAGGGCCCTGTAAATAGAATTTATGCCTTAATCTCAGGATTTATTAAATGATAAGAAAGCAGTTCATTTAAAAGAATGCCTCCCAGTACAAAGAAACAGTCTTGGACTTCTACGAAATTATAAATTATTGAGTGAATTCATCAGTTTCTTTGTATATTGAAATTAGCTACTTATGATGGACAGTGAACGAGCATAAATGTGTTATCTGAACAGGGCAGGCTTCCCTAACCAATATTTGTAAAGAAAATATAAACTCCACAGCCGTACCCTGGTCCTTAAAAAGTATTAATGGACTTATTCAAGAGTTAGCAGCAAATATATGTGGTTACTGGTTACTTAACGATGGTTATATCAATACACTGCTTTTGATTTTTTAACTTTTTTGAAAACATTGAATGTGAGTGCAATGCAGATTTATCTGGAAAGTATACATATTCATGCAACCTTAGCATATCATGTAGCAGTTTTCTGTTTTGAGTCATTATCTATAATCCGTTTCTTACATTTGAATTCACATCAATCCTCTAGGCATTTATTCACCTAGCATACATAACCTACCATAGGCAAAGTCCTGTTAGATTCTTGGGAGACAAAAATTAATAAAACATAGCACCTTTCTACAAGGAGCTAATTGTAGCAGGTAAAATAAACCAATCAACAAATGATAATAATAAAATGTGATAGAGATCTATAAAATATATTAATCTTCAAGGGATTCAGTTGCAAAGTACTATGTAAACATGAATTGAAAAAGAGAGGATATGGTTTGGCAAATAATGCCAGTGGCCAGTGAAATCTTCCTAAGACGACATGTCATTTGAGTTGGACTTTTTCAACTCAACTGGCATTTTCCTGCTAGAAAAAGGGGAGATAGGTCTTGGAAGATGGGGAACAGCTTGTAACAAGATACTAGAAGTATTAATTTATGGAGTCTTTGGAGACACTCTAGATTGGTCTGCATGGTAAAATTGAAAGGTATTTAGGGGAGATGGCAGATGAGGAGACTGGAAAGAGAAGCTGGGGCTAACTTTAGAAAATAATAAGTGCCATACTAAGTAGTTTGAATTTCATCTTGTCAAACAAGAGTCATAAAGGGTTTTTAAGATTAGTGACTTGATCAGTCCGTGTTTTAGAAAGAGATGCATTATTAGAATTATTTGGAGGAGAGAGACTCTGTTACACACTATGCTATGAACATGAACACATAGTTTCTAAGTTCATAGTGTCTGTCTGGGTCCAAACTCCTTGTTGTGTACACTATACTTCCCTACCTCAACAAGCTATCTTAATTTCCCCAATGTGGATTGAACATACCAGATCACAGAGACAGATTGCATCAAGCACAAGTCGATTCAGCCACCTTTTATAAAAACATACTCACCTTCCCAGGAATATCCTGACCTATCACTCTAGAAGCGAGTCCCCACATCACATGTTACCTTAACGTAACACAACATCCACACAGTATTGCTGACTAAGAGGTCCCTTCGATTTTTACTGAAGCGTCTCAGTTGCCTCTTCCTTTCCCCCTTTGCTTTTGCAGCCCCAAATTCCCTTCGTGAAATTCACACTTTCTTCTTTCTTAAGTTACAGATATCAGACTGACCTTATCCTTCCTTACTTTGTTACAACCTTTGTATTTTCCCAGGTTGTAAAACACAGAAAAAGTTTATAGATTCCTGTGCGAACCATCTTTCTCAATCTTGAGGAAAGGTAAACAGTTCTACCTGGGCTTTTGCTATGTGTCCATTGTTACAAAGGACACAAGAGTTTGTAGGACCTCACAGCTGACTGCCTATTCTTGGGCTTTCCAAAGCTCCTTTGATACTTAAATGAAGTAAGACATAATTCACATAAAAGGAAAGACTCATGTTTATTGAAAACAACCATCAACCCTTACAATCTTCCTTTCTGGAGAGCTACTCAAATGTGCCCAAATCACCTAAATACAAAATATTTGCAAAAGTTTTCACAAGTTATTGCAACAGTCTGCATGAGCTGGTTGGTTTACTAAGCTGCTTGGTGTGGAGGTGGACAGGTTTGACAGATGTCTGCGGTACTTGGTAGTAGAATGACTCTAATACTTGAAGAAGAAGGAATCAAGGATGATTTAGTCTGTAACTGGGATAAAATATTTAGAAAAGAAAAACAGGTTTTAGAGAGAAGATGGGTGTGCTGTGAGGTATCCAGGTATACTTCCAAATAGATAGTCCTGTTAGTAGAGTTGAACAGATGGCCCTCACACATGAGAGAGATGAATCACTGTTAGATACATAAAAGTTTGGGGCCAGGCATGGTGGCTCATTCATGCCTGCAATCCCAGCACTTTGGGAGGCCGAGGTGGGTGGGTTACCTGAGGTCAGGAGTTCGAGACCAGCCTGGCCAACATGGTGAAACCCCATGACTACCAAAAATACAAAAATTAGCCAGGTGTGGTGGTGTGCACCTGTAATCCCAGCTTCTCGGGAGGCTGAGGCAGAAGAATTGCTTGAACCCAGGAGGCAGAGGTTGCAGTGAGCCGAGATGATGCCATTGTACTCCAGCCTGGGCAACAAGAGTGAAACTCCATCTCAAAACAAACAAACAAAAAAACCAAACTTTGGAATTCATCAGCCTATAGATACTGGTTGAAGCAACAGCAGTGAAGAGAATATTGCAGGGGAAACATGTATCAGGAGAACAGTCAAAAAACAAACAAACAAACAAACCTTGAGCAACACTGACATGTAAAGGTTAGGCAGAGAAAGTAGAGCTGTAGAGCTAATCTTGCTAAAGAAACAGAATAGTGACATTGAAGAATATAATGGTAAACAGTACCAGATCCCACAGAACATCGTAGATCGTTTTTTTTTTTTTCATGAAAGAAAGTTGAGAATGTTACTAAGAGAAGAAAAGTAATTCCTAGGAAGGAAGCGATTAAACCAGCAGCATGGAGGGGATTTTTGGAGTGACTGTCTAGAGACTCAGGGCTTCCATCATGACAAAACAGCAACAACAGCAACAACAACAAAACACAACATAGAGCAAGGTATTTGCGAAAAGAGAACAAGCACTGATATCATATAGACTTGATAGCTTTGCTAATCATTTGAGGAAAACACTGTGTGTCCTCTCTTGGTCTCAGTCTCTTTATAAAGTAGCAATGACAATGTCTGTTCTCTATAGGATTCTGAGTTCTCTAATATATGTTGAGCTTTCGCACTTGCTCTTCCCTTTGCCTAGATTGCTTTTTCCCTAAACAGTCACACAATTATTCCTTCCTGTCCATGGTTCTCCCTTTCCTAACTACCCAATCTCAAATAGTACCCAATCCTTAACTCCTCTTGTCCTCCTCTATCTTGTCACTCATATATTTGTTTTCTTTATTACACCTATTCCCATTTCAAATGACATTGCCCGCATGTCTTTTTGCATTCATTTTTTTTCATGCTTATAGGCTGTTTTGCCCAATAGAGTCTATGCTTCATAAGAACAGAGACTCAAAGGTATTGACTATTCCATTCTCCACCCCCAGAACATTTGGGCACATAGCCACTGTTCAATAAATAGTTGATAAGAGTATATCACTAAACAGTAGTTATTATTAATATGAGAATGGAGATGAGGGAAGAGTTGGCAGATTGGGAGACACCTCTGTTTTCTGAGGAAAAGGAATACTGAGTATGGGGCTGAGAATACAAGCAGGTATGAGTTTGGAACTTTTACCTACGTAAGAGATAGTTGTGGACAGAGTAATACTTTTCTCAGTCCATTTCAGTATTCTTTTATATCTAGCCAGAATCACTCAGGCTATCTTGTTGATACTTGTTTACTTTCAGTTATACAAAAGTCTCTTTAAAAAAATTTTGTATATATGTGGTGTTTATTTGCTTCTATATGAATAATAGCAGTAATTACTGCTAATTTTTTTTTATATTTGCAAGGGCCAAGCATCAAGTACTGTACCTATATGAACTCATTTATTCCTTTCAACAATCCTATGAGGATAATACTGTAATTATCCCAGTTTACAGGTGAGGAAACTGAGGCACAGAGACAAATAACATGCCCAGCATCACACAACTAAGATTGAATCCAGGCAGTCTGACGCAGAGCTCATGCTCTCCACTGCTAAGCTATCCAGCCTCTCAAGACCTGATCCACCCATCTGAACAAAAAATGAGTGTTGCTTTGTTGAAGCCAGACAAAGCTGTTCATCAGCTAGTCAGACAAAGCAGGTCAGATTGTCCTGCCAGCGAAATGTCCTGGGAGAATTTGTCCTGTCCGGGAACAAACCTGGAAGGAATTTTCATTTCAAGGAAAGGAATACTTGATTTGATTTTACCTTTTCCTCCCTCACATCATTGACAAACTCTTCCAACATCAGGTCATCTGAAAATTGAATTAATGTTCTGTTTACCCCTTCTTTCAGGTAATTTAATAAAGACTCTAGGCTCAACCCTGAACACCTCACAGAAAATCTACCCATGGTCCAATAGGTTGGCTCACATGGTGAAAAGATACTCAGTGTTTTTTTGTAGATGTACTTTGGTTTGCATTATGCAGTGTCAAATACGTCACTTAGAATGTTTATGCTTACTGCTTTTCTTGCAACCCCAAACACTGGTTATACATTTCACCCTTTATTTCTTTTCTTATTTAATTTTTCTTCTCTAGCTCCTCTTTATTTCTTCTCAATATTTTCTGGAATACTGTTATACTGATCATCAATAAATCCTTATTTATATTCAGTTTAGAGCCTCGCTCCTCATTTTCTTAAAATTTACCTAAAGAAGATTATGAAAAGAAGCTGCAAATTTTACATTTTCTTTCTCAATATGTTTCCACACTATATTCTTAAACTCAAAGGTTGAGAATCACTATTGATGATTTTAAAACCACATCCTATGTATAACGACAGCATTGTGGCCTGCAGATCTGTGGAACTACAGCAAAATGGGTATAGCTATGACCCTGAAGTCAGACTGCTAATTTTCATCCCTTGCTCGTGTACTAATTGTACTTGGGCAAGTTACTTAACTTCTCTGGGCAATGAGAACATCTGTCCTCTATAGGATTCTGAGCTCTCTAATATATGTTGAGCTTTTGCACTTGTAAAATGGAGTTAATATCTCTAAAGTTATTTCAAGGATTAGTTGAATCAATATAGGTAAAGTGTTTAATGCAGTGTCTGGAAGCTGATAAGCTCTCTGTATTATTAGCTGTTCTTTTTTGTTGATTTTGCTTTTACTTCAGAAAAATTACTTTCCTTTTCACTAAAAGTTGTAAAATTACTTTCTTAATAAATAAGAATTATTTAGAATTATTAAGAATTTCCTAATAAGAATTTAGCCCATCTTGACAGATTCAAATTGTTAATTTAGTATGATATCCTTTTAGTTCTTTCTCTATATTATTTGAGTGTTAAAAACAGCCAGATCATGAGAATTTCCTTATGCCTATGTAATTTTGTAATCAGATGACATTTTAAAAAGTCTAAATAATGATTTTTTTCAATATTTTTCTTTGCTTTTAAGAGTCAAATGAGTAAGCATTTAAAACGTAGCATTTTTCTCAGGTTATAATATTTTACAATTCTTATTTAATTTCAAGGAGATTGTTTCATTTATGTGTAAATATAGGAAAACATTGACATACTGACTGGTATGTAAGCACATTCAGGTGTATGAAGCAGCTTGTCCTTTGCCCCTCTGAAGCATGCATACTGCCATCTGCTGGAAATAGCTTTTAAATGATTTTTCCCAGTAATTTTATTGATAATTTAAACTAGATGTTTCATTGAGATTGAGATTTAACAAATTTCAAATAGAAGAATCTTGAGGTCCCTTTCAGTAAAAACTGTGATTAAGGCAATTGTTTTTCTTGAACTTTTCAGGTAGATTATGAAAATACACTCACAATTTTTTTTTTAAACTTTGTGCATGGATGGGGGATAGGAGCTCAAGTACTTTGTATTTTGCCGAGTATAGTTGTATGATCTTGCTTGTTTTGAGCAACAACACTGTGAAACAGACAAAGCAAGTAAAAGTAGAGTTTGTCAACAAGAAAATCGAGACTCAGGTTAAATGACCAACCGAAGGTCACTCAGTTTATCCGTGGCCAAACTGGGAACAGAACCCAGGGTTTTGAATATCTAATAATATGGTGCCATATTATTTCTCCAGCTCTTATCATACTCCATGTGTTTCACAATATAAAAACACTACATCTCAGGAATTGATAGGGCCTGGCAAGATGAAAAGCAGTCAAATTATTAAGTATATTTTGGAAGTGAATAATATGGAGGAACTTTTTTAAGCCTTGAAAATCAAAATAATAAGATACAGTGCTTTGTACAGTACAGACAGCTGGTTATTTGCCACATTGAAATAATACTTTGTGCTATGCAAAAATATTATTCCCTTGTATTAGATTATTTCTACCTATAATAATTTATGTATACTTTGTGAATCTCAAAATGTGTGCTGACTCAGAACATTCTTAAACTGATTTTGGTTTCTACTGGGTCACCCTGTTTTCTAATTAGCCTGGCATAATAGTGACTTTTGTTAAGTAATACTTTTATTTTGGTGAATGGTAAATCTGAATTTTAAAAATGCTCTTTTATTCATTTTATAATATCCTATTTGCTATTGAGATTAATAATTTTGTCCATTGTACTTTCTTGACACTGTGTTAATTTTATAATTCACTAAGTACAAATGAATTTACTAATTTAGGATGATTATATGTGCATTTTATACTAACTCAAATATCACAAGCTATTTGTCATTATTCCCATCTTTCCTTCATTTTATTATTCTAAGACTTTCTGTTGTAGGAGCTTCCTATAGCATTGATGTATTACATATGTTACAGTATAGCTGTCACTGTTATATGCATTGGCTGTAAGTGCCTCCTACTCTTCCTTACTTCTCCTTCTCCAGAAATTAATTCACTTTTTCTGTTTCCGTTTCTTTAGTTTTGTTTTATTGTTATCTAGTTTTATTTACTAACATTGCTTTCAACCTTATTTTAACACAAAGTGCATTTTACATCTCAACTTCATTGAACTAAATACATGTTATAACTTGGTGTGCAAAGCCATGTTTCTAATTTGAAACAGCTGCCTTACAAGAAGCCTCTTGGGATAGACATGAGTCTCTGAATGAATGTGTTGGTGACAGGCCTGGTTGTTGACTTTTAACTTTTATTGCAACTATAAAGTTAGGAATATGTTATCAGATAATGAATCCAGAACAGGAGGGTGGAAGATTTGATTCACTTTTCAACTAGGCAGCATGAAGTGTGGCATAAGATAAGAGAATCAGCCCATGACTAAAAAGCCCATAAGAAACAACAGCTTTTTGTCTAACATTGACTTTTTCTTTATATTGAGCTGAAATTTACCCCTTTAATAATGTGAATGGTTTTAAGTTTTATTTTCTATAGATATATACAATGAATCAAACCCCTTTTCCATATGAAGGCTATTAATTCTTGTTTTTCTTTTCCATTTCTCATACTCTAATATCCTTAAAAAACCCTTTCCTCCCTCTCACTTATAAAATTTTTTAGCGATTTGTTTGCATGAGTTAACTCTCTTAATTCTCACCCTAACCCTATGAGATATTATTTTTATTATGTCCATTTTATTGAGACTCAGAAAAATAAAGGTCTCACAAGCAGTGAGGGGTTGAACCAGGATTTATCTGAGACTATTAATGTGTGACATTCAGGCTTTTAACCATTATGTATCCCCAACCCTTCTTTATAAGACACATTTTCTGGCCTCCTTGCTGTTAGCTCTTCTCAGGATATATTCATGTTTTGTCAAGCACCTCTGTCATAAGACAGCCCAGAAAAATGCACTCAATACTTCAGGTTTTCTGTAGCCTAGAGTGGGACAACTTGTGCATGAGCTATCTGCCTGCACACTTATGCAATCCAAGATTGTATTGCAGATTTTTTTTCACAGCTTGGCTTATCTCGTACAGGTATTAAATTGGGTCTTACCATTCTATGTATGTGAGTACATGTGTGTGTGCATGTGCATGTGTATATATGTATAAATGTATGTGTGTATACATGCATTTTTCCACTTAAAAGGACTTCACATCTTTTCAAGTTATACTTTGTTATCTCTAGTATATTCTAGCTTAGCCAGATTTTTTACTTCCACCTTTGCTGTTCTTTTCTTGTTTGTGACTTCTACAAATTCAGTAAGTATGCTTTCAGTCTACATTCAAGACCCTGATTTTTTTAAAGGTGTTCTGTGCAGTCACGTTGGATTCTTGAAACAATTCAATTGAGACTTCTTGGTCTTTTTCTTGGTTAGTGTGGCAAATCAAAATACTATGATTTGTGAATTTCTTGTTTTAGAGCATTCTTCAATCATTCTTGAGTTATATTTATTTTTAAAGCCACTCGCTATGAGATTATGCCTGTCTTTTCTGTGCAGCTTTCAGGTTGCTGTGTCTACTGTTCAAATCTCCTGGATCTGAAGCTGAGTTGCAGTTAGTTTTTCATCCCTCTTTTAGTCTTTTTAACAAGTGTCGAGTCTTCATTCTAAGAACTTTGCATTCTAGCCTGGTAACTCCACCTTTCTCCTTCCTGCTAGCATTTTTTATTTGCACTAATTTTGCACTAGGTTAATGAGAAGATACAGTTACAGTCCACTTCAGATTCATATCTGCCAGTAGCTCACTCTGTGTTTTGCATGTCAGATAATTTCTACAGGCTTTATTTTCTTCATCTGTATAAAACAGAATTGGACTATGACCTCTGAGGTTGCACTTATTCCAACATCTATGATTTTAAAGTATACCAAGTCACTTTTAGAAATTTCAGCCTAATTTTTTAAAATTAAATAAAAAGCAGTGACTCAAATTTGCTCTTCTGAGTTGCATCCAGGGCTGACATTCATCTGACAGGTACTCGTACAGTCTCCTTAGTAACTTAAATATTGGAGGATTTCTATCTTGTAGGACTTTCAAGCAGTCATTGCCTCACCTGCCCCACCTGCTAGCTGGCCCTCAGATACACTACCACAGCTCCTGCACACAGACCCCATAGCCATTGGCTCTCTCAACCAGACGTAGCACCCCTGGTTGTCACACAGGCACCCCAGTAAGCAAATGCTTGCTGTTTTCCTTTACTGTGGTTGCAGGCAACTCACAGGCTAGCAGATGATTTGCCAAAGTTACCCTCCTGTGGTTGCTTTTGGCTAATGTTATATTTGGATTACATCACACATAGACTCCTTCTAACACTGCACTAGTATAACAAAGCCCTTTTGAGCATGTCCTGTACGTTCATATTACTGTGGAGTTTACAAAATTAGCAATTTACATATCCACACATTGTACCAAAGCTAAAAGTAAATGACTACCTTTCAGAGTTCAGCTATTAAACTCAATTTAAAAACAGCAATTTACTCACCTATTTGTGGTGATTACACAGCTTATATGTACATCTCATGAAATCCTCGGTGTTTCCTTTCTTTTAGCAATTATCTTTTTTTGTTGCTAGGTGAATGAAATTTACCATGATGAGTCCCTCGGAGTGCATATAAATGTGGTCCTGGTGCGCATGATAATGCTGGGATATGCAAAGGTAAAATGTCTTAAAACATGAATTATAAACATTAGGGACTGGGTTAGCAAATAGAAGACTAAATTGTTCAAGCTACATCTAACTTAAGGCATAGATATATTCCATATAAACCCCTAGTTGCTTGAAATTGAGGAGAAGAAACTGCCACATGAGTGGAGACTTCCAAATTTGAGCAGATTATGAATGATTTTTGTGCAGCTGCCACTTGCTTATTTATTTCTGTCTAAAGAGGTAGATAATTACCCTGACTTTAGGTGTGACTTATGAATGGAAATGAATGGATACTATTATGAGGAGAGAGAATTTCCTTAGCCTATTGTTATCATCGAGTGTGTGTTTCATTTATTCATTAGAAGGGATTATATTGAATGCCTACTAAGTGCCAGACATTTTCTAGGTGCTTGGAATATATAATGAAGAAAAAAGACAAAGATCTTTGTCTTCTCTTGATTCGCTAAAAACAATATTTTATATACATATATCTTTCCACTTAAGAGGAAGGTGCAGAGTGAATATTTTTCATTTAAAAGAGCTTTAATTTTTTCAAAAGCAAAGAGTTGGATAAAAATGCACATAGTAGGCATTTCATGTAATATAATTGAGTTTAGCTCCTTTAAGGAGGAAACATACAGGAAACGACTAGCCTGACAACTTTCTTGATGTTTAAAATTACACATCTCTCTCCCATAGTTAATCCTCCTGATTATGAAATATTAACGAAGTTGTACATTTAGGAAATAGGAAAAATCCATGTGTTTGCATTTCATTATACAGTTAACATCCACTTATCATTTTATAATGATAGAGTGTCATCAATCTATTTTATATTGCCAACAAGGAATATGAATTAACTCCAGCTGGAAATAACAGCCTCCAATTGGTTGTTAAAGCATTTGTTTGGAAAAGTATGTGATCCGTATATTAAAAAAGGAAACTGATTTTATTAAGAATGTAAACACTGGTAATAACATTTGCTGAACTATAACAAAATTCGCCTGTCAGTCAAATAGGGACTAATTTTTGGTTCCAAGTTCAAATTTTCATTTCATCAGAACTACTCTGAGAAGTGTGGCTAGTGAGTTCTTGAAGGTTGGGCCCTTTTCCCCCCTGAACTTTTAACTCCTGACCCTAATGTGATGGTAGCAACATTCAAAGAACTTATTTTCTTATATCAGAACTGGAAGAGTCCACCCCTCTTCAGTAGCATGAAGTTAAAAAAAAAATGGGAGTTTTTGTTTTTGTTTTTTAGTGTAAAGTTAATATAATTTGATGGTTCTCCATAGACTAAGATTTCATCAGCCTTGTCAACTCATGGAAGAATTCATATTCTCCCCACATGTTGATTAATTCTGGATCGTAAAAAATAAACAAAAATCTTAACTAAGATTTTATACCTTCACATCTCTGGAAAAACATGCCAGAATCTTTCTCAATGTTTTTGTTCTTAATTCTATGAAACTGAAATCTAAGCCAAATCAGAAATTATTTAGACTACTAAAATTATTACCTAAATGATTAATGTTAAGTTGCCTCACAATAGCAAATCTCAGTATCAAACATTCCCATGCTTTGGGAGGCTGAGGCAGGAAGATCATTTGAGGTCAGGAGTTTGTGACCAGCCTGGCCAACATGGTGAAACCCCATCTCTACTAAAAATACAAAAAAAAACAAAAAAAAAGCCAGGAATGGTGGTGGGCGCCTGTAATCCCAGCTACTCAGGAGGCTGAGGCATGAGAATTGCTTGAACCCGAGAGGCAGAGGTTGCAGTGAGTCCAGATGGTGCCACTGCACTTCAGCCTGGGTGAGAGAGTGAGATTCTGTCTCAAACAAAACAAAACCATTCTCATAAATGGTATAATTTGACTTTCCCACAGGTAAAATTGTGAGATTCTGTCTCAAATATAACAAAACCATTCTCATAAATGGTATCATTTGACTTTCACACAGGTAAAATTGATTATTATTAAAATATCCTTCATGGGCATTTAGAAGTCACAAATCAAAGCAAATATCAGAATAAGCCCCAAATATTATTGAATCATTGTTTAAATACTTTAATCCCAAATTCAGCTTCAGAGGAAATTATCAAACGAAGCCTTTGGGAAATTGTCAGGTGTGTCTTTAACATATTGTTTTCACTTAGTCCATCAGCCTCATAGAAAGGGGAAACCCATCCAGAAGCTTGGAGAATGTGTGTCGCTGGGCGTCCCAACAGCAAAGATCTGATCTCAACCACTCTGAACACCATGACCATGCAATTTTTTTAACCAGGCAAGACTTTGGACCTGCTGGAATGCAAGGTATTGCTGTCAATATGTAGAAGAAATACTTGAGGGCATGACTTTTAAAAAGTAATCCTAAATCAGGCAGTCTGTTCAAATGTTCTGCTCTCCACCACTGCTTTCCACCACACACCGGCCAAGCATACATTTTCTTTCTTTTGCTTACAGTGACTTATGTGGAGTTCTCAATGTTAAATGCCACTTAAATACCATCGTAAATTATACTTGCTTTTAAAATAGTGATTGTGCATTTGGGGCATGGAGGGGGTGCTGTAAAATGCAGTGTGATTTCCACTAACTGTTTGGAATGAGAAAAGAGATGCCATGAGAAATGACTGCTGCCAAAGAGCTTTCTTCCAAAGTCAGCTTACATTTATCTAATAAATTCTGATGTGGACTTTGGAAGAAGGAGACTGATGATTTTCTTTTTAACATTGATGGAATTTCTGGCTTCCTTCATCAGTACCACGATATGAAGGACCATTTACTAAAACAGAAAGGCAGGGCTTAGCTGGTGGGCAGAAGAAAATGGTAACCCCAGGCCATTCCTTCCCTTAGGAAAGGAGAAAATGCAGACCCAGTGAACCTTTTTAGAGAACATTACCTGTGGCTTTCCCAAGAGAATGTGACACAATGCTAGTAGGGAAATAATGCTACCCCTGTTTCCTGAAAGGCTTTTACTTTTTTCCCCCTAGGCAAAAGTCCAGTTGTAATTCTTAATGGGTTTTCTCATAAAATGAAAATAAAAGTAATTGTTATTCTCTACAGGATATGCTCCAGTCACCGGCATGTGTCATCCAGTGAGAAGTTGTACCCTGAATCATGAGGATGGTTTTTCATCTGCTTTTGTAGTAGCCCATGAAACGGGCCATGTGTAAGTCACTGCTGACAGCTATAAAGCCAAAAAAAGATCTTTTCTTTCCTGCTTCTCCCAGTATTGTTTCCTCTTTGGGCAGAATGCATGCCAGCATACAATTCTTGTCTTTTGCCAAGTGTGAAGAGCTGCAAACAGAGAAGAGGTCATGCACGGAAACTAAATGAGTGACTGGCTTGCAGAGGCACTCCTGTGGTTTTCAGAGCTATAGAATAAGAAAGGCATTTCTGTCAGATTGCTGTCAATTTCCGTTTCTGTGACTTCTTCAAGAAAGCCACGTTGACTCAAAAATACGTTATTTCCCAGGGCTTATTTTCAAAACCAAAATTAAGTGAAGGCAGTAGCCCCTGATTCTTACCACTGAGGTCTCTTTGTGTTCTAGGTTGGGAATGGAGCATGATGGACAAGGCAACAGGTGTGGTGATGAGACTGCTATGGGAAGTGTCATGGCTCCCTTGGTACAAGCAGCATTCCATCGTTACCACTGGTCCCGATGCAGTGGTCAAGAACTGAAAAGATATATCCAGTATGTCCCCTGCTGCATGTCATGAAAGTATTTATTTTATAGCCTACAGACATGAAACTGACTCTTAGGACTTGATCATAGCAAAATTCCCAGTAAATGAAAACTATTACTGATAAACATTTTCTTATGACTTAGAACATTCAGCACAAAAATTTTATCATGGAGTCACAATACTTGAAGCCATAAGTCTAGAATATAAGTAAACTTTTAACTGTAATGTAATTTTCCTTTAGTAAATTGTTATCGAATCTTTGATTAATGGTCAAACTTGAGGATGGGGGGAGGATGGTCATGTGGTTTCTGCATATGATACGAGCTGTGCTCTACAGTATAGGTGTCAGGATGTGCCCTACCACACCATGTGGTGGTTTAATTAGTGACTCAAATAATCGTGGCTCTACTACATTCCTAAGTCATGCTTGGTTTACTTTCCTGGCATGAATACAGGTAAAGAGTCTTTTTCTAAATGGAACCAAAACCAAAACCTTAAATACATGTTTTTGCAAATTTGCTGTATGATCTGGGATGAAATTCTAAAGTATATAAGCTAAGACTACTTTTTTTTAAATCAGGACATGATTTTTTTAAGTGAACATTTAACTACATGCAATATTTTTCTTCCTACAGTTCCTATGACTGTCTCCTTGATGACCCTTTTGATCATGATTGGCCTAAACTCCCAGAACTTCCTGGAATCAATTATTCTATGGATGAGCAATGTCGTTTTGATTTTGGTGTTGGCTATAAAATGTGCACCGCGGTATGTTGCTCACAGTTGATGTAGATTTTGCAGCTCGAAATCTATTTGTGTAGCTCCTGCTTGGTGAGATTTACAGACTCACTGGTGCAAGTATAATAATATCTAGCAGTTATTTTGTGTTCATTGTGTTGCTGTGTGCTACAGCTAAATGCTTTAAATATATTGTCTTAATTAATTCTCATGACAGACTAGCAGAGAGCTGATGTACTTTTATTTTACAGAAGATAAAGCCAAGACTTAGAGATTAAGCAACTTGCTTAAGGCACACAGCTGGTAAACAGGGGAACTGGACTTTGAAACCAAGGCTGCCAGGCTCAAATCTTCATGTTCTTTGCATCCCCTGCTTTTTGTGACCTTCAGAGAAGATGACTGTTAAGCCTTAGATTTATTGCTTTTCTTTAGCTTGATGGCAGGATTCCATGTATGTGTGACCATAGGGAAGGATTGTGCTGGTATAGTCTAGTAAAAGAATCATATGGCATACCATGGGGGTCAGGACAGTGGGTCAGGTCCTGGATCTAACGCTTTCTTTTTTTTTTTTTTGAGACGGAGTCTCACTCTGTCGCCCAGGCTGGAGTGCAGTGGTGCAATCTCAGCTCACTGCAACCTCCGCCTCCTGAGTTCAAGCAATTCTCCCGCCTCAGCCTCCCGAGTAGCTGGGATTACAGGCATGCACCACCACCGCCAGCTAATTTTTTTGTATTTTTAGTAGAGACGGGGTTTTACCATATTGGCCAGGCTAGTCTCAAACTCCTTGACCTTGTGATCTGCCCGCCTTGGCCTCCCAAAGTTCTGGGATTACAGGCGTGAGCCACTGTGCCCAGCTGATGCTTTTTAAATATATAAACTTGGGCACCGTATTTAATCTCTCTGGACTACTTTCTCATGTGTAATATGTGGATAATGATAGTATGTATCTGATAAGATTGGTGTGAGGATTAAATTTGATAATATAATTAAAGTGCTTAGCACAAGAAAGGCACGTATATATGTTAAATGGAATCCATTAAAGCCAGTCTTGCCTGTAACTATTCACATTAGATGTATATTTCATTAAATTTCCACATTGGTCTTTAGTAATTCATTAAAAAAAAAAAAAAAAGAAGGCCTTTTTCTATGTTGGAGCAAGCTTTGGGTGTTAGAGCAAGGAACGTAAGTGTTTCATGGGGCTAGAAAGAAATTGATCTGCTGTTTGAAACCTTCCATATACAACCATTTGGTCTGTCTATAAGGTATACACTGTGAGCTCCTAATTACTTGCATTAATGTTTTAAATCAGAGAATTCTAAAGCTTTGGCTTAATGTCATGGAAAAGTGGAATTTCCACATTCGATAATAAGGATTAGAACAAAAAACCCACATCTAAAAATGTGTACTAATAAAAAAATTTCTATGCACATAAGGGTGTATGTAGGTAATTAGCAGTATAGGCAATAGATATGTGGATTAGCTGTTGTTTGATATTTTTAAAAATATAATGATTGGTAAGATGTTTACATTTAGAGAGAAAAAGAGCAAACAAGCAAAGAGAACACACAAATACACATGTTTGCTTATACAAACATTTGGATATTATAATGTGGTGTGTTCAGAAAATAAAAACCATTCTGAAGAGTATGAAAACCAAGACTCTAGTCTTGTGCTGTTGCTGTCTTACTTATAACCATAACTATAGCCCTAACTTGTAACCCATATTTCTCAGCAATGGATTGGTATGAGAATCAAATATATGGAAAATATTTCATAAACTATATGAATGTATTATGATATTTTGTTGTACCTAGAATACTTTATCTTACACAGAAAGTTTGACAATTTTTTTCTGCTTTTAGTCAATTAATTATAAGTATTTATGATTATTATTATTATTATTATTATTTTGAGATAGTGTCTCACTGTTGTCACTCAGGCTGGAGGGTACAGTGGCTTGATCTCGGCTCACTGCAACCTCCACATCCTGGGTTCCAGCGATTCTCCTGCCTCAGCCTCCCAAGTAGCTGGAATTAGAGGCATGCACCAACATGCCTGGCCAATTTTTTTGTGTTTTTAGTAGAGACAGGGTTTCACTATGTTGACCAGGCTGGTCTTGAACTCCTGACCTCAGGTGATCCACCCATCTCAGCCTCCCAAAGTGCTGGGATTACAGGCATGAGCCACTGTGCCCAGCCCTTTTATTATTTATATTCAACTATCTATCTGATACCTACAGAGATAAAGAAAAGACATTTTGATAGCTTGAGAGCTGCCAAACCATTATATTTTCATATTTACAATATTCATGATAATTACTAAGTCTTTAGAAAATTTCAACATTGTCTATTTGAAAAACAAAACATAAAAACAGCAAGCAAAAACCTTAAAAGTCAACCAGATAATCTCAGACAAATCATTGTTTATCATTGTTATTTTAGAAAAGCAGAATAAAAGTATTTTCTACCTGAAATTCTTATGCAGTTTTTTTTCAACATGTCAAAACATTGGCTATTAACTTGAAATAAACACATCCAAGAAACAGGACAGAAGAAACTGTATAGAATATATTTTTGGTGCATGTCATGCTAGCTGAGAGTTCACTGACAATTTGATTATCTATCTTCCAGTTCCGAACCTTTGACCCATGTAAACAGCTGTGGTGTAGCCATCCTGATAATCCCTACTTTTGTAAGACTAAAAAGGGACCTCCACTTGATGGGACTGAATGTGCTGCTGGAAAAGTGAGTATATCTATTTACACAATAAATATGTAAGATATGTTGCATAATTATCATCTTTAAAGGTCTGGAAAATGGTAAACACAGCTGCACTGTCATTTTTATGAAAACCATAGTATGCAAGGCTTTATTAAAGTAATGTACTAAAATAGTGTACTAGTTCCCTGTGGCTAAGGTAACAAATTTTCACAAACTTGTTGGCTTGAAACAATGGATATTTATTCCCTCACAGTTCTAGAGGCCAGAAGTCAAAAATCAATTTCAATGAACTGAAATCAGTGTGTGGGCAGGGCCATTCTCCCTCCAAAGGCTGTAGTGGAGAATCTTTTCTTTGCTTCTCCCAGCATCTGGTGGCCACCCCACATTTCTTGATTTGTGGCTGCACCACTCCAGTTTCTGCTTCTGTGGCCACATTGCGTTTTCCTCATCTTTATGGGTCAAATCTCCTTCTACCCCTCTCTTATAAGGATACATGTAACAGCATTTAGGACCCCATGGATAATCTGGGATAATCTCTCCATTTTAAAATATTTAAGTTAATCACATTTGCAAAGACCCTTTTTCCAAATAAGGTAACATTTACAGGTTCCGGGGATTAAGACTTGATATCTTTGGGACTACCATTCAGCCCACTGTTGGCAGAATAGGAAGAAGCAACTCAGCAGACTATCTGCCCCCTGGTAGTGGGATCTGATTGACTTGCTGGCATGCCATTCCTTGTGAAAGTTGCCCAGAAATAAAGTCATGTGAACTTATACAGAAGATTTGGCCTTGTTCCTTAGGGAAGGATGCCCAGAGGTTTTAAATCTCAAATTGTGTAGTCAGGATTGAATGCTCAGAAATTGGCTGAGTGCCAAGCTATGCTACTCATAAGGGCAAAGATCCCAAAACAAAGGCATGTTAAGAACTCAAGTTGAAAAGCTTTGACTAGTTTAGAAATAAGAAATTGTAGGCAGGACCAAAACCTGGTACAGAAGATTTATATGGCATTTACTTCTTTTAAAGCTCAATTTCAAATGTGTATAAACTGTACTTGTGACAGGGATTATATGCATAATAATAATAAAACCTGTCTTTTTAAGTGTTTGCATTATATTAGGCACTATGCAAAGCACCTTGTATACAATGTTTTGCTTTGGGAAAATTCAATATCATAAACTTCTGACTAAAAACAAGAGTATAACGAGTTAATTCATTTTTGCTTTATAAAAAATTATATAATTAACTTTTTAACATTCAACTTTCTTAAATATATTGGTGTTATATTGAAATTTATAGAAGTTGAGTTTTAACAAATGCTTTTATTGTACGTAGTGTGAAAAAGTAAGTCAAAATGTTAGAGAGGAAAATGGCTAATGTCTCTTGAGCACCATGCCAGGCACTGTAAGCTAGGTGCCTCTATAGTATTAGGGTTCTGGTAGCCCCACTTAATTACTTCTTGGTCAGATGGCCTTCAACTACTTATGAACCTTTCTGGGCCTCAATTTTCCTCATCTAATTGTTGATGATATATGTATGACCCATCTATCTCTCAGAATCATTGTTAATGAAACATTTTAAAAGTTAAATAAAAGTGCTTTGAAAGCTGCATATGTTTTAGACATGTTATATTATTATCTAAACCAAGACATAGTTTATTTTATCATTTTTAAAAAGATCATGTAGCCCTCAAAATATTCTGGTATGATATAGGTAGTGACAGATGAAGGGTAAAATCTTACCAACTGTGCAAGCTGGGTGCTCAAAGAGTTCTTATTGATTATAGTGTTTGATGCTTACTGGTGAATGTATCATTTAAAAACTTGTCTGAGTGAATGTTGTTTTTCCATTTTAATTTTCTACTTGAAAAATACAAGTCTAAATTACCCTTTAATAGGGTATATTAATGACATAATTGCTTTTGGATAATTTTAAATGCATCTCCACCTGGAAGAAAAAAGAGCAGTAAGAAAGCCCTTCAACTAGATGGTTCTTGTATAACAACTTCAGCTTTAGTGTATGCGTGATTTTAATAATTACCTTTTGTCATTTTTCTAAGTGGTGCTATAAGGGTCATTGCATGTGGAAGAATGCTAATCAGCAAAAACAAGATGGCAATTGGGGGTCATGGACTAAATTTGGCTCCTGTTCTCGGACATGTGGAACTGGTGTTCGTTTCAGAACACGCCAGTGCAATAATCCCATGTGAGTATATCCTTGTAACTCTTGTTATTTTTGGAGAGACCAGAAAATACTTCAATATTATGTTATTAGTATTCTGTTTTATAAAGTGCATGTAAAACACAGGGCAGGAAAATAAATTGTTCACAGTTCATAAACCAGTCTGTGTTTTTGATACATCTCCATTTATTAATCTTGTGACAAGCAGTCAGTGATGAAGAAGATCAAACGAAGATTGAATATTTTTAAAGAAGTTGCTGTTCAGGAATATTAAGAAGCTGAACAAGGAAAGTAGGTCACTGTGCCCTAAGGGCGTGGGCATGGGCACTGCGAGATTGACTGCCAGAAACAAGAGAGTGTCCAGGAAAGAGCGGTACCAAGCATACAGACTCTCTCTCTTCAGGGAGTGGAATGTGATTGCTTCAGAGGAAGGCAAAAGAAAGATTGTGATAGAAGGCCAGGTGACTGTTGGGGGAAAGTTATCTATTCATTCACTCAGACTACAATTACTGAATTCCCTATTGTGTGCTCAGCAATCTTTACGAAGAAAAAAACAACTGAATTCTCACATTTAGAGGATTCTGCCTTGTCTAGGGTTTAATATGTGAGCAGCTTTTTCTCTCTGTTTCTGGCAGCAGGATGTCTCTGAGCACGTCTTTTGTAAGACTATCTGATGCCACATACCTGCCTTCCCAGTAAGAGATGATGGTGGTATTAGAAGTAACAAAGACAATAAAAATTAAAAGATCAGCTAAAGTTCATTATGAGCCAGAGTTGTTAGGAGTGCTTTAAATAATGTCAACTCATTTAATCTTCACAGTTTTCCTCAAAGGAAGATACATTATTATTTGCATTTTACATATGAGGGAACCGAGCCATGGAGCGATGACCAAAGTTTCTTTGAGCTGCATCTGTGTGTTTTATACATGGTAGCAAAATATCATTTTATTGATTCAATATACATGCTTTTTTTTTCTTACACACTTTTGCCATGCATTTAAAATATATGATTTGAAAAGCTGATTTAAGTTGAGCTTTGTGTTTTGTTTTATTTTTCCACCCAGCAGGGAGAGAAGGGTGCTTTGGAAAGGGACTGAAATTAGGAAGTATGAGTTCATTCACTTTGTGCTGGCAGCCCAGAAACTTTGGCTTTGTGCCCTCAAGCACTGTGTCTGCAAGCTTCAACTGCTAGACAGAAGCCAAAAGGCCTTTTTAAATGTTGTCTTTTCTTTAGGCCCATCAATGGTGGTCAGGATTGTCCTGGTGTTAATTTTGAGTACCAGCTTTGTAACACAGAAGAATGCCAAAAACACTTTGAGGACTTCAGAGCACAGCAGTGTCAGCAGCGAAACTCCCACTTTGAATACCAGAATACCAAACACCACTGGTTGCCATATGAACATCCTGACCGTGAGTAGCCTCGTGCTCTCCTTCCTGCTGTGTGGATGGTTACTCACAGTTTAAGCTTTGCCAGCACGAACCCCATGGACTCTTGATCCCTATGTGGTAACTTAGGAAACTTGGTGCTTATAGGAGTAAGTTCTCCTGGGTTTCTAAGAATAAGGCTTAAATACCCTTTCTCTAAAGAGGTAAGAATGGTGCAATAGTTCCTGGCAAGCAGCACTATCACCATCAGCGGTGAAAAGACCAGTGGAAAGGAACGCCTGGGAGAGATGTTGGAATTCCTGATTCAACCGAAATCCCTCTACTAGGAAATACTTCTGGAATATTGTGATCTTTCCTTTCTGAACTAGAGAAAAATATAGTTCTTTGAAAATTGAGTCAGGACCAAGAGAAAGATCATAATTTAATAACAAAAGATACCTTATAACCTTTTACTTTTTTACTATAGTTTAAAGATATATTTGGAAATTTTCTTTTAATGTTTCACTTCTTACTTCTGAATTTTTGGTTAAATATGTCCAATGGCAACTTTTTGCCATACTTCTTATTTGAGTGAATGAAAGGAAATAGTTATATGATTACATGCACCACTGGGTTCAGTTCAAATCCATGTTAAAGGAAAGAGGAATACACGTTAAGAATTCAAAGTTGCAATGCATTAAGAAGAAATGCATTGTTTTTATCTATTTTGGTGAAGTGAGTTGCATCCTGTAAGAGGCAAAAACTATGTTAGATGATTGAGTCAAATCACAGACATTCTTTCAGTGCTCTAATATTACGAAAACTAAACTGGTTTTGAATTAAGATTTATTTAAGAGCTATGTTGAAATCTAGGGTTGCCTGGGGCAGTCCCAGTTTATACCTGTTGTTCCTGCTCAGTTATTACTAGAACCCCTTTTCTAGTTTAGATGACAAATTTTATGGTCACCTTAGCTAAAAAAAAAATGTCAAATGTACATACTTTCCTCCTTACTCCTTATTTTATTTGTTTATACGGTATTCCTTTTGTTTTCAGGAAATCACAGTGAAACCTTATATTTAAAAATAAAATAAACTATGCTGTTCAAACATTCCATTTTATGTAAATAGTTAATTTTATCCTCCATCTTATGCAGCCAAGAAAAGATGCCACCTTTACTGTCAGTCCAAGGAGACTGGAGATGTTGCTTACATGAAACAACTGGTGCATGATGGAACGCACTGTTCTTACAAAGATCCATATAGCATATGTGTGCGAGGAGAGTGTGTGGTAAGTTCAAATTGCTTCCCCAAAGGCTTTCTACGTTATCTACGTTTACTGTCATTCATCTGCACATTTTTAATTTTTTAAACTATTTTATCTTTGAAATCACATTATAGTAAGTGTCTATGAATAGTTCAATAGCTAAAATAAATTTGAGAGACATTGTACTTTCTCAAATCAAACTTTGGTCACTGGCAGAATCAAGGTTTAAATAATTTTCCTAATTTCCAGCCAAATGCCTTTTCTGAGTAACTCTGAGGCCTCTAGGTTGGGAATACAAATTGGTAATAATGCATTTGCTTCGGGTATTTTAGTAGCCATCTGCTATTAAAATACAAGGTCTTTTTAAAAATAATCAGTGCTAAGTATATTTAATCTTTTGTTGTAAAGATAATAAGACATTTCTTTCTCACCTTCCAATCAATTCTAAGTTTAAAGGCTAAATTTCACATTAGAACAAAAGTAGTAGAGAAGCAAACATGTTTTTTTGCTCCATTTAATCTCAGGTTAAAAATGCATTTTATTTCTTGTGTTCATAGTTAAATCGATATGAAATTATCTTATTAACTGAAACACTGCTCCTAACATATATTTCCTTTATACTTCATCAAAACTGAAGTGCTGTATTAATGAGTCTAAAGTAATTGAGCTTACATTTTCCTGAAAGCATAGTATGTGTTGTTCAGCTTTTACCTGCCGCAGTACCTAGTACATTAAACGTATGTGTTGTCTTTATTTTCCCTGCCACCTTTCATCCCATACTTTTGAGTGCAGTAGTGTATTGTGTATCATTATTCTACAGTGATTTACATTAAGAACATGCCTTGGTTCAGAAAACCTTCAATATTTTCCTGTTTCAAGGGAAAATGTAAATTCTTCCTGGTATTCAAGTCTTCTGCAGTCTATTCAATGCAGATTTTTCACTGTTCTTTCCTTATCATGAAACACTAACCTTCCATTGGTTTAAATATGGGTTTAGATATTGACCTCTGCACCCACTTTCCATGAACATACTTCTCTGGCTTTGTTGTAACTCATCTGCTTTCCTGAAATGCTTTTCTATTCTGTGTTTCTTTGGCCCCTGTGAAAATCTTCACCACCCTGGTGAAGTTTTGTCTCACATCATAACCATCTTTTAAAGATTGCACTAATATACAACTCACTATATTATCCATCATCATAAATGTGAGAGCAGCAAGGGAAAAGCACTGTCTTGTTGTTTTCTTGTCTCCTCAGCATCAGCTACATCTGTTTTCATTACATGTGTGTTTGATGACTATGACAATTTAAAATGGTGTAAATATTTCATTGGACTGGAGGAAATATATTCTTTATTACTTAGGGTACAAGTCATTTGGTTTCCCATTATTTTTTTTAAAAAACTGAGGTATTAAAAATTATGACTACAGTGGCAGTTTGCTATAAATTGGCTGACTGTGGGCCATGACTGAACAAAGGGTTCATCATTCTCTGGGATGTTGACCACTACTGGGCACACTAAAATTAGCCACATTTGACATCTTCTCTCTCCAGAAAGTGGGCTGTGATAAAGAAATTGGTTCTAATAAGGTTGAGGATAAGTGTGGTGTCTGTGGAGGAGATAATTCCCACTGCCGAACCGTGAAGGGGACATTTACCAGAACTCCCAGGAAGCTTGGTAAGATGAGGTCTCTCATGGATTTAGTATTCTTCTCTGTGATTTGTACTTTTTGAGGCTTCTTCCTTTAGAAATGCAGCATTTTCTCTATAAACATAATCAAAATTTAGCTGCTGATTTATTGTTATTCAGATTACCTTTTAAGGAACTTAAAAAAAAAAAAGAAATCACTTTGAATGAATTCATACTCCCTAGCGTCAATGATGAAAAAAATACATACTAAATTTAGAAAAGAAACAAGTAAAATCAGTATCAGTTATACTAGCTAGCTAAAATCTGTGTTTTATTTTGCATTTTTAATAAAATGCAGATTGAATTATTAGAATTGGTGTTTATTTTGAATTCTTGTTGCATATAAATTATTGATCAGGAGTTTAAAAATTACAAAATTTTAGATACAACTTTTAAAATATCACATTAGTTTTACTTATTTTAAAAGTGAACAATTTTATCCTGTTTATAAATCTAGGAATCTTGGATCTGTATTTCACATAATTTTTAAAAATTTACTTTAAACAAAATTGAGGTACAACCAAAAACTAACCTGAGATGTAATTGCTCATCTCTATAAATGTTTATGCTTGTTACATAGTCAATAACTTGAACTTAGACATACACTGAAGGTTCAAAGGTGGAACAAAAAGCTGTCTTCATGCATCAAATAATAGGCAAAATTATCCATAGTTTAATAATATTCATTGGAATTTTCATAAAAGATTTGTATACAGACATTTATTACTGAATAATTTCTTGAGTTTGTATCAGATACTATTCAGTTATTCAATAAGGATTTATTTGGCAAATGTTTCTGGGAATTCAGCACTTAAAGATAAATTTGATGTGGTGTTTGCTCAAGAAGATTTTGATGTCTTCCAAAGAGCCGTTGGTATCTTATAAAATCATGAAAGTAAAACAAAAACAAAGAAATATGGTTTACGTTAAGTAAATTGTCATTGGGGTAACTTTTCCTTTTATAAAAAAGTTAGTCTTCATCCAAATGAAATAATTCTCTTAGTTTTTGTATTTTTTATTCCCATTATACCCCTGATACCTAACTCAATTACTAGGAGACTATATTCTAATGTTTTTCTTGTTACTGATGTCTTTGCTATTCCTGTGTTATAAATTACCATGTTTTGTACTTTGAAAATTGTTAAAAAGCAAATATTGCTATTTCTGACTGATTGCATTATTAAAGCAAAGAGAAATATAATTATATACGTGTATTATATTTCAGTGGAGTCAAATGTAATTTTCTTCATCTTGCTGTGAAATAATATACTGTGCTTTCTTGGAGTTACATTTTATTCTTTTCTTTTGGATGTAAAATAATTCATTTTGTTTTATTTCCACAGTGAATAATGTAAAGAAAAGGTTTTGCCATGTTCATTCATTGTATATTATGTATAATATAAGGTATTGGTACTGTTTTTCAGAGAGTTCAAACATCATGCTAAACTTGCAAATCAAGGCCAAAAGAACATTAGAAAATTTTCATCTGTCATACCAATTCAAACTGTTCAAAGATAATCTAACTTCCATATCTTTGCACTAATATTGTCATCATAGTGATTTAATAGACTAATTAACCTTTTCCAACAGGAAAACATTTAAGCAAGAGGTGCCATAAAGAATTGAAGTTGCTGGAAAATGAAATCTGCAAGTATTCAACTTCAAATCATCTACTTAGTCTTACTTTCATGCTTAGTCTTACTTTCATTGACTATTAACAGTTTATTGGCATTATCTATTACAAATGCATTGTGACTTCAACACATAAACTTACAGAACATATTTTATAACTTGCCTAATAAAATATGTGACTTATGGGATAGTCAATGAAACAACAAGACTTTGATAAACATGAACCCTCCACTAATTAAAGACATTCTATTTAAGGGAAGACAAGAGGCGCTTTCACTTTACCCAAAGGAGCTCGTAATATTTCTCTTGCTGAAACAAGAGAAGCTAAAAACGTACTGGGTAAGTTGTAGCAAACTGCAGAAAGATGGGCATCCATAAATGGCATCAAGCTGTTTTGCTGTACTTGGCATCTTAAGCATGTTCCTTTTAGCCACTGTGTACTCAGGCAAACATGGTACATTTCATGTGTTAGACTTTACCCCAGGCTAAAGTGCTGAACACCCTGATCCCAAAAGGACCACTTTATTTAGTTAGGACACTAATAAATATTGTGAAAAACTTAGGTAAATCTATTCATAGGTGTATATTATTATACATATACAAATGACAAAAACACTTGTTTTTTCTTATTTCATCAATAATTGTGGATTGATAACTGGATTTCTGTTAATATTCTCCATAGAATATGTATTGGATGTTTCATAATGTATTGAAGGTGTAGGTTACATAATCATTTTATATTCATTTATTTGTATGATAATGAGATGTATAACATCTGTTCTAATTGACCTGACTATTGTCAGGTCATAATATTTATGATTTATGGTCATAATCTTAATTCTAAATGATTGTAAGATAATTTTTAGGACATGTGATAGTATCAACATAGTATGTGATATATGACATTTACAGTAATAGGAATGATATATGATTTTAAAACACAAAGCAACCTATTAAGCATATTGATTTTCTTATTTCTGGCTTAGGAGGTTTTGAGGTTAGGGTGCATATAAAGGCAATGCATAACACATCTTGCACACATTTTCCAACTAAGTGGTTTAAAATCCATGTTGTCGATTTGGTTAAAATAGTCCCATCATAAAACTTGCCTAAAGCTTTAAAATTAATACTGATCACAAGAAAAATGAAAGCACTGATTTTTCTGTTGTAACTCCTTTAGAATAAAGAAGGCTTTAAATATGAAAATATTTTAATAATTAGAAGTTTAGCTGTCTATACTTCCCTCTTAGACTTTTAAAATAACATGTAAGCAGATAACATATCCCAAAAAGTTTACAACTTAAGTGAACTTTCACTAAAAATTGACTCCACTTCAAAAGGATGGTTTAGAAAACTAGAATCACACAGAGGGACACAGGAAAGTATAGTATTTGCCTGAATTGTTGTTCACATCATTTGAAGGTCAACGCAAGATAAGTGACTAATACGTTGGTAACAAGATTAACTTTTTTCCCTCTTTAATAAAAAAAAAAGTTGCCTCTAATTTCATGTTGGATGTCACAAAAGCTACCAATGCTTTGAAGTTAATTTCCGAAACTGCTTCTTTAAATTTATGGATGCCCTCTTCTGCACGCAGAAGCAGTAAGAATGTAGTGCTCAACTAACCATGGTTGTTGCTTTTGTTTTCTTCTTTGCTTCCTACAATATTTACTACACATGCAAAGGGTACCTTAAGATGTTTGATATACCCCCTGGGGCTAGACATGTGTTAATCCAAGAAGACGAGGCTTCTCCTCATATTCTTGGTAAGTGTTTCTGTCTGCTGTCTCTGCTTTAACATGCACTGAAACATTGAAATGTCAAAGAAATCCTAAATATAGATATGTATATATGTACACATATATGTGCATACGTATATGTACATACATGTGCATACGTATATGTACGTACATGTGCATACGTATATGTGCGTACATGTGCATGATGTGCATGCGTATATGTGCGTACATGTGCATGTGTATATGTGTGTACATGTGCATATGTATATGTACATACATGTGCATACGTATATGTAAGAATCAAAATAATATATAAATGCATTAATTGAATGTTATGTAGGTTTTTTTTGGTCATTTCTCCCAACTATGCTTACTTTAAAACAAGAAACATAAAAAAAGTAGAGCTTTAATTTTGTATAGAAACTGGGGTTGGTTCCTAACTATATGAGGGAAAAATCATTTGACAAGCTTATATTTCTTATACACTTTTTGCTCTAAGGAATAAGAAAATAAATATGTTAATAAAATCCACTAAATCAAGGAATATCAGAAAAATTCATCATACTTATGTTTACAAATAAGTTCTGATATTTTGATTGATCCAATACTGTACGTATCCTTATTTTTATTGTATTTCACATTCTTTGAAAAGCAACCACAGGTGAATTTTACTAATCTAATCTTAAATTATTCTAATATCTGACATGTGTCAGGTTTTTGACTGGCACATGCAGATCCATTTGCCACGGAGAGCTGATTATAATTTCCACAAGAAGATTTTTTTTTCTTTTATGAGACGATTACATGGAAATGTCACTTTAAAGAGGTTTACATTTAAATTGTATAGACAAGTGTAAACATAACTTACTTATTCCTTGGCCTATAAGAACACTAAGATAATTTCTGAAGCTAAGACATCACGTATCAACTCCATGAAAATTTGTAGCAAATTGTTTTATTTCAGTTGTGACTTTAAAAAGTGCATTGTTTTATGGTGTTTCATAGAATTTTTAAACACATTTAATTTATATTCACTACTAAATGTCGTAATAGTCTAGCAGTCAGCTATAGTTCTCTCTCAAGCATTTAAAATCCCTTATTTTTCATCCTAGAATTCATATTAATGTCCTTGGAAAAAATAGACCAGTTTAAAGCCCAAGAGGAATAAATACATTTAATTAAAATTACTCATGTTTTTCACACATTTTCAATAATTGTAGTAACATGAAATTTTGCTTTCTAATGTAACATTATATGCTGATAAACAAATCTAAAATTTAAAATCCCATTCATTATTTTTTACTCATTAAGCCAGCATTTTATTTCATTGTATAATATGTAATAAATATATACTACATTAAGAATTCCATTAGCAGTAAGCAGCTTTTTCTAACTATATGAGTAGGTGATATGGCTCTGGAATTTTACAATCATGAGAACTAAATTGTTGCCTGAAAAATTACTTCAACTATGTTGGATGACTATAAATATTTTGACCAACTTTAAAAAATATATGCAATAATTAACCGTTACATTATATGCTATCCTAGCATAAATTGTTTCTATTAATTATTGAAAAGGTAGCTATCATTTTCAAGATATTCCCAGTTTTCTAAGGAAATATATAGGATAAATGATTTAGAAACTATTAACCTCTTTGACGATGTTTTCAAATGGGAATATTTGCAAACATTATTTTTGCCTATTTAACCATCTTGCTGTATTTTTGACTAGTTAGGAATGCTTCTTGAGAGTTTTGAATGCCTAATCAAGACAATGGAAATAATATCAGAACTAACACCCATTTTGATTCCTTGCTACTAATAAAGAAACATGGTCATTGATTTGTAGAAAGGATATACTTGCTGTGAATCTTCAGCACTTAATATGATAAAATAAAATGTATGCTGGTTACTCATTTTTCTCCCTTTAGCTATTAAGAACCAGGCTACAGGCCATTATATTTTAAATGGCAAAGGGGAGGAAGCCAAGTCGCGGACCTTCATAGATCTTGGTGTGGAGTGGGATTATAACATTGAAGATGACATTGAAAGTCTTCACACCGATGGACCTTTACATGATCCTGTTATTGTTTTGGTATGTGGCATTATGGGCTCATGGTATAGTTAGCTCAGCTTACTTTATAATTAATTTATCTGAAAACACTTTTACCTTGAACATTAAGTGTACTTTGAACTTTGAAACATGAGTTGCTTTTTAAAATAATTCCATTTATCTTTCCCCCCACTCTTTGTGCAATATTTTCATGTAATTTATTATATAGACATTATAAACTGAATAATGCAGCATTCTGATTTTTGACTTAAATAATCAGTTATCATCTTTTAAAGACAACACTAAAAGTAGATTTTTGTATTTACCCACATATTTACCATTTTGTATGCTTTTCATTCTACTTTGTACATCTGACGTTCCATCTAGTATCATTTACCTTCAATATAAAGATCTTCAGCATTTCTTGTGGTGTGGGTGTATTGGCAAGTAATTCTCTCATCTGTCAATGATCTGAAAATATCTTTATTTCACCCTCATTTTTGAAGGATATCTTTACTAGATATAGAATTTGAGTTGCTAGTTTTTTGGTTTTTTATTCCCTGTTTTCCCTTCTTTCAGCACTGTGTTTTTATGATCTTGCAGCGAGTTCCAAGGGTTTGGGGGCTGATCAAAGAAAAATATATGGCCACAAGGTGGCAGTAGCACACACACACTTTATTTGGGCTAGGCCTCAGCTGGTTTGCAAGTGGGGCCACTACCTAGAGGAGAGAAGGGCAAGGGAACTTCTGAGAAAGAGGGGAATCTGAGGTGGTTTATGTGCCTAGGTGGTGTCATTCAGCAGCACAGAAGAGAGTCTGTGGGTCAGAGGGCTCCAAGGGAGGCAGCTGCGTGAGGTCCTTATAGCCAGAAGGTCTTATTCATATCTAGCAGATGTTGGATGTAGTTTCCTAGAGCTGTGCAAAGCAAGCAGTCCCTGAATGGCTAAAACTCCCTCATTTGGGCAGCGTTAAAAACAACTGGATGTATAAAAGTTTGTGTTTGGCATCAGAGGGCTTTTGAGCTAACAGATCTCAGCCTCAGCCTGCTGTGAAGAAAGAACCTAGGGGCCAATATACAGGAGCCCTCTTTTACTCATTTATACAGCACTTGCCTTCCAGAATCCATCATTTATGAAGAGAAGCCTCATTTATATTGCTGCACTGCATGTAATGTGTCAGTTTTCTCTGGCTGCTTTTTAAGATTTTTCTCTTCATCTTTTTGTTTTGTCTTGTTGGTTTAGCAGTTTGACTGTGATATACTCAGTTTACCGTGTTCTTTGTATGTCTTATGCTTGGGGTTCACTGAGAATCTTGGCTTTGTAGGTTGATGTTTTTGACCAAATTTGGGTAAATTTCCCATGATGTGTTCTAGTTAGTTGTTTTTCCCAAACCCTCACCCCCACCCCATCTTTCTCTTCTTCACTCCTAGGACTCACTTAAATCAGTTGAAATTGTTCTACAAGTCTCAGGCTCTGTTCATCCTTTATAATCTTTTTTAAAATACATTTTTCAGATCGGATTATTCCTTTTGAGCTCTAAGTCACTATTTCTCTTAGGTGATCTCCAATCTGTCCTTGAGCCTATCCAGTAAATTTTTCGTATCCGATGGTGCACTTTTCTTTTATAGAATTTCCATTTGGTTCTTTTTTTTTTTTTATTTCCATTTTTCGGCTGAATTTTTCATAATGTTCACTCATTACATCTAAGTTACCCTTTAAGTTCTGGGTCTTCACATTGTCAATTTTTTTTATGGATCACATTTCCTGCTTCTTTTTTTCTTGTACACTCGACATTTTGGAAGATAAATTGTAAGGTGTCTGGTTTTGTTCTGGCAGGCGGTTAAGTTATTGTCAGATCATTCTGATCCTTTAAGGCCTAGTTTTATTCTTCCTTACAGCTAGTCTATTTCAGTGTTGTCCTTCTTCCCATGGTGTGGCCTTTCATGGTGCCAGGCTCAGCCCTGCCTGGTTTCTGGTATCACTGTCCCACCCCCAGCACTCCCACTGTGGACTGCCTGGTGTCTTGGCTTGAGCATACACAGACCAACCCTCAGTCATGGACCCATGTAGATTTCTAGGTGATCTCTCTAAGCAGGCCCCTCTTTAGTGGCCGGCTCTGAAAGTTCCAAACTCTAATCTAGCTCCAGGTCCAGAACCTGGCCCTTGTCAGGAATAAGATCTGGCTTGTTTCTCTTCTTACAAGGATTGGTGTCCTTTGTCATGACATACATTGCCAAACAAAAAAAAAAAGTTTCTGCAAATATTTTGCCCAGTTTTATAGCTTTTAATATCAAGACGGCAACTCCATTACTCCCTCATGGATGAAAGCAGAAGACAGCTACTTGATTTGAAATTTATTGTTAGTTTCTGTTTTATACAGAATTTTTATTTATTGGATTTCCTATAAAATATTATACTTAAGTCAAATTGCTCCACTCAATTTTTAGGGTTTTTCTTCTCTGAAAATTAGTTCCATTTTGAAATATCTGTTCAAATCTTTTGCCCATTGTTAAAGTTGTTATATTTTCTTTTTGTTGAGTTTCGAGAGCTCTTTGTATATTCAAGTCCTCTGTGAAATACATGATTTGCAAATGTTTTATTCCAGTCCATAGGTTGTCTTTTCATTCTTTTAGTAGTTTCTTTCATAGAGCAAAATCTTTTAGCTTTATCGAAGTCCAATTTTTTAATGTTTTCTTTTGTGGATAAAGATTTTGGTGTTATGAAATTTTTTTTTGTCTAATCCAGCATCAAAACATTTTCTCCTACTTTTTTTGGTAACTGTTTTAGAGTTATACATTTTACATTTAGGTATATGTATCACTTGGGGTTAATTTTGTATGAAGTGTTAGGTCCTTATTTTTGCATATGGATGTCTATATTAGTTATCTATTGTTGTAAAACAAATTACCCTCAAACTTAGTGGCTGAACACAAGCAATACTTATAGTTTCTGTGGAACATGTATCTGGACACCACTTAACTGGCTAGTTCTGGCATAGAGTATCTGATGAGTTTGCTGTCAACTGTGGCTAGAGTCATCTCAGCTTGACTGGGGGTTACTCTGCTTCCAAGCTTAGTCACATGGTGCTGAAAGGCCTCAGATGATTGTTCCCCAGCTTTTCCATGTGGTGGGTAGCAGTCCATGATTCTTTACCACTTAAGCCTCTCCATAGGATGCTTATACATCCTCACAATATGGCACTGACTTCCACTACAGCAAGTGACTCAAGTGAGCGAGAACATGGGACAGTGAAACCGAGACGGAATTCTCAGTCCTTTTTTACCTAATGTATCTACATTTCTTAAACCATCACAATGTCCAGTTGTTTTAGCACTATTTGTTAGAAGTCTGTCCTTTATTAAAATGCCTTTCAATTGTGTCAAAATTAATTATCCACATTTATGTGGGTCTATTCTAGACTCTCATCCTGTTCCATAATAAAATATATGTTAATCAAAGTTTTATTTAGCTTATTTTAAATATGAATGATTGGAGGCCAGAAGCTGTATTTCATGCTGATATAATTACATTGTATTCTTTTCTAGCAACATGAGTATCTGGCTTTAGAGACCTGATGCTTAACCATCATGATAGATGCTTCAAGACTTGCCCACTGATTATAATCTGACCACAGCAAGTGGTGTGGGCTGGAGGTACAAGAGGGAGATTTGTAGCTAGGAGATGAGGGTGTAGACAAGCAATGTTCTATCATTATGACATTGCTTTTCCATTCTGAGTCCTGGAACATGGTGGCTAGGCTGTCTGGGGCAAAGAGAATTAGATATCTGGCTAGAGTGTAAGGGTTGTTCGAATGGTGCTTGATTTTTAATGCTGTTTTAAAAAAAAAGACAGAAAAAAGAGAATAAAAGCCAGATAACCAGATCCTCTACCCCCACTGATTTTAGTATCACCTCATTTCTCAAACAAAAGGTAGTTCTAAAAATTTAGTTTGGAATACCAATGAATTGCACATTTCTCTCTTTGCATAATCAGTAAAATCCTATGAAAGCTACATGAAAATCAATTTTTTTAAAGGCAGCTTTGCCCTGAACAAAATTAAAAGGCAAGAGACAAACTGAGAAAATATTTGCAACTCATATTACAAAAAGGAATTCATATCTTTAGTGCACAGATTAGGAGAGAAAAAATGTGTACAGTTCCAATAAAAACCAGGACAGTCATGCAATGTACAGTGTTTAAAATATGTGAGTAATAAACTTAGGAAAATTAAACTTTATTAGTTATCAAATAAATAACAACTAAAATCATGATATTTTTCCCATCCAATTAATAAAGGTGAAAATTATGTAACATGTAGTGTCAAATGGCCACTTTCATACACTCTCATTATTAAAGTAACAATTGTTCTAACTGTTCCGGAGGACCATTCACCAGTCTATCAGAAGAACTAGAATTATAAAAAGTGTTTGTTCCCTTCAGTCTACTAAGAAACGCCAGAAATCCCCACAAAGGTTGGGAAAATTTCTAATGAAAACAAATATTGAAGAGTTACCACACACTTATTAACAATAATACATAACAATTTTAGGATTACAGACTATGCTGACATTTAAAAGTATATTTTCTTTTTTTAACTTTTTTTTGTACAAGTGCAATTTAGCTACATTGATATCTTGCATTGTGGTAAAGTCAGGGCCTTCAGTGCATCCATCACTGGAGCAATGCACATTGTACCCACCAAGCAAGTTCCCATCATTCAGCCCTCCTTCCATTCCCTCTGACCCCTCTGAGTCTCCAATGACCATCATTCCACACTCCAAAAGCATGTTTTCAAAGAATATTTTGAGAAATGTGCATGTTACATGAAATAAACAAAGCCAGGAAAGTAAATATGTCTGTACACACACACACACACACACACACACACACACACACACACACACACAGAATGCAAATATCTTGAGGGACTATCACAATAATAAAAGTGACTGGTTTTCTCTAGTTAGGTAGAATTATGATTTTTCGTTTTCTTTCTATTTTTCCATAATGTATATATTTTCTGGAGGGAACATTACTATCTTTATCATCACAACACAACAATTTCCGTTGAAGACAATTTTAAAATGCACCAAAATTTTTAAATTTAAAAATTCAAAAAATTTAAAAATTTAAAAATTTTAATTTAAAAATTTTAATCCTTTAATTTTAATTATAATTCTTTACACTTAAAAGTTAAAATCCTTTAAAAAGGAGATGATATAATTTAAGGAAACCTACAGTGAACCTTATAAAGTTATTATTTTTATAATACAAACTCTTACTCCTCAGTGTATGTATTTTTTAACACTTTTATGTTAAAAGTTTTATAGATACTTCATCTTTTTCTTAAACAGGGCACATTTGCACTATGGTTTATAGAAATAAAAACATTATAATTTTTGAAACTATTTGAAAGTTTTCAGTTTTAATAAGAGCAATATTCTGAAATATTTGTAATTTTACACTCAAAATTTAAAACCCTCAGGTGATTTACATATTGATTTCATGTGTATGTTAGATTATACCTCAAGAAAATGATACCCGCTCTAGCCTGACATATAAGTACATCATCCATGAAGACTCTGTACCTACAATCAACAGCAACAATGTCATCCAGGAAGAATTAGATACTTTTGAGTGGGCTTTGAAGAGCTGGTCTCAGTGTTCCAAACCCTGTGGTGGAGGTAACCATTGAACACATTTATTATATTAAAATGTAATGCATATAAAAACCAATCTTGCTTCTACCTTTATTGCTGTCTCTAATCGAGGCCACAATCTGAGAAACACCAAACATAACCATCAAAACATCAATACAAAACATTTTTACTGAAATCTCAGAATCACCAAATCATAGGATTCCTTTCATAACAGTGACAGACCTTAAAATCCTCTTGCCCTTTTCTCTCAGGTCCTTTGTCTTGCATTTACTGTAGTGGTACCCTTAATCACTTTATTCTTCCCAAACTCCAAAACTCTCCCAAATTCAGTGTACTCTGGTCCTCATCTTTCTTCTTACCTACTTTTGCTTTCTGTATCTCTCTGCATTTCTACCAGAGTTAATAACAAAAGAGCTATTGGTTACATGACTGTGTAACTGACTATGCTATGTATTTGAAACCAGATACTGTTCTAAATGCTTTATATATCAATGCATGAATACTCACAATGGCCCTACGCAGTTGGTACTGTTGTTATCTCTGTTAAAGTGGTAGCAAAACTGAAGCACACAGAAGATAATTGCCCAGAGCCCATAGGATTCAAACCCAGATAACCTGGCTTCTGAACACATGCTCTCACTCACTGCACTGTGCTGCCTCCGTTCCCTCTCCAGAGTCCATTAAGCTGGATTTAATGTCTCTCAATTTCTCCCATCATCCATTCCTCTAGTTCTAAACAAGTGCTCCATTACCAATTTCCCACCATGGGCAGGAGAAGGCAAGAGGCTGTTACAAAAATGACAGCAAATAATTGAGAACAAAATTTGTATTAGGCAGTGCTTGTGTAAATTATTTATTTTATAATTTTAAGTTCAAGGCTGTATTTCTAAAGTGTTTTCTTGAGGGAAGAATACAATAGTTAAGTATTTTAAATGACATCTCTTTATCCATTACAAGATGCTTATTTAATTTGGACCCTCCCTTCTGCTGTACTCTCAACATTTACTTGGTCATAATATTTGTCAGATATACCTTCTTCATATCTACCACATCTATTCCTTCTTCACCAGACTCCAGTCACCACTTTGGGAGGGACGATTATTGCAATAGCCTTTTAACTAGTCAACTAATATTGATGTTCTTCTCTTCCTTAATTTACAGGGTAATTTTTCTTGAATGCATGCATGAATGAATGGTAAAATTATATTATTTCCCAGATTAAAATCCTTCAGTCTTCTAACATGTTGCCCTGAAGACACAACATCACTTTATGTAGCATTCTTTCTAAAAATGAATCCCTTGAATCTCATCATTAGAACACAGTTAAACAGGCCCAAATTTCGGAACATTTTATAAAACAAATAGTTTTTAAATTTCAAAACTAGTAAATGCCGTAAGACAAAAAGAGGTTCAGTAATTATTTCTGATTGATGGAGGCTGGAGACATAACAGTTAAACGCAACATATGATCCTTGACTGGAAAAGGATTGCCATAAATAACATGATAGGGACAACTGAACATTTTTGAATAGGTCTGTATGTTAGATAATAGCACTATGTCTATGTTAAATGTCCTGATTTTAAGAATTATATTATAGTTATATAAGAGAATGTACTTCTGAAATCTGTGCTGAAGTATTTAGGAGTGAAGGATCAGGATGTCCTCAACTTTCAAATGGTTCAGCAAAATTATATGTATATTTACACACATACACATATATAAAGAAATATAGCAAATGTGACATAGTCACAAAAGATCAATCTAGATGCAAGGTATACAAATATTGTTTTTTCTTACAACTTTTGGATAGGTTTGAATTTTTTCAAATTTATATACATAATTACAAATATAAAAGTTGATGTTTGAGAGACCCTCAGTAACTCCCTATAACCTTCAGGATAATGTCCAGAAACTTGTTAGACACTGAAGGCTTTCAAGATCTGATCCTTCCCTAACTCGTGCACTCTTCACACATGATCCTCTAGCCACATGAAGAAACCGCAGTTTTTCACACGTTATTTCCTTTGCTTGGAGAATAATTCTGCTTCATTTCCATTACCCCATACTATTTGAACTTCAGTATTCTGCTGAAGAAAAGTACTGATCCTCTAAGCTTTCCCCTCCCCTCCAAGTTACAGATCTCTTCCCTCTGTGTTCCTTTGGTGCCCTCTACTGTAAGTTATTTACATAGTTTTCTAAAAGCCTATGTCACTAAGTATTGTCACAGTGGTTTTCGTATCTACCTCTCATGCTAGACTGTGTATATTTAGAGTCTAGTTCTTTAACATGCATGCAGTTGCAATATTTATCAAACGTATTCTCTGAAAAGGTAAAAGTTTTTGTTTATTTAATGTTCTTTGGGACCTTCAGCACCTATTGAAGTGCCGGTTTGTATGCACTCAATACATATTTATTGAATGGATGAATAAATGTATGAATGAGTAAGTGAATAATCAAGTAACTATCAGCATGAAGAAGTGATTAAATCCAAAGAACTTTATTTCCTTTTCCAGGTTTCCAGTACACTAAATATGGATGCCGTAGGAAAAGTGATAATAAAATGGTCCATCGCAGCTTCTGTGAGGCCAACAAAAAGCCGAAACCTATTAGACGAATGTGCAATATTCAAGAGTGTACACATCCACTGTAAGCATCTATTTTAACTATCATATCTGGAGGTCAAAATCAGGACTTCACTGCCTTTAGCTCTTTTTAGTTTTGATTTTATTTTCAGTCAAAGCTCTATATAGACATGGTTTAAATAGTCAAGTCACTTCACAGGAATTATATAAAGCTGCAGTTCTGTGCCTTTCACCACATTCTTGTTCCTCAAAAACAACCACTTTCAACTGTTATATTTATTTTGATATTTGGTAATTACTTGCTTCCATCTAAGTCAAATGTTTTTGCTTCTATTCCTTGACTTTTTTTGGGAGGTGGGTTAGACATTATACATTGAATTTTCACTGTGAAATCTGAAGATTGTATTATTTTATGACCACTCCGCAAATGCACACCCAGAGGCCACACTTTCTCCTTCCCTGCTACTCCCATTACTGACCTAACATACCTTTTACTGATCGCAATATTCAGGGTTTGTATTAACATGTATCTCTCTTAATACCTGAGTCACACAGCATGCATTGATTATTATGGTTTCTTTCTTGTAACGTTTCTTCCAGAATAAATGAATATTTTGATTTTATGTATTTGATCTTCTACTACTTTTCCCTAATTCATTCCCAAACTCTCTTTCTCAGTATCAATCCCCTCAAAATACTAAACATCCAAGTATCCTGTCACTTTAGTCTCCATAGAAATGGAAGAGTCTTAGAGAACAGAGAGTTCTCTGTGTTCCAGCTCCAGCTTGGACTTTTTACCAGCTTTCATCCTAGGGTTTCCTTTCATCATCCTCCTTGGAATTCCTACTACGTTTCTCTTCTCTGGGATTTACTGTTACTCCAAACTATAATATATCATCCCTCAGACTCAAAAATACTGTTCTATTATTATCTACACTCAAGTGTTGCTGTTGAAAAGTCAGTTGCCATTCTGATTCTCAGTTCTTTCTCAATGACCTGTTTTGGTCTCTTTGTCTTTCAAAGTTTGTAGGACCGTCATTTTGTTCCTAGTGTCCTGAAATCCCAGTGATGAAATTGACTTGGTGCTCATTTTTACTCATCGTTGTGCTGTGTACTTATAGAGTTTTTTAATTGAAAAATAAAAATTGTATGTTTTTATGGGGTACGATGTAATGTTTTGATGTATGCATACATTGTGGAATGATTAAACTCAGCTAATTAACCAATCTATCACATCACATACTTATCATTTTTTGTGGTACACACATTTCAAATCTGCTCTCCTAGCAATTTTGAAATATCAGTTTCATAATTATTAACCATAGACACTATGCTGTTCAGTAGATCTCAAAAACATGTTTCTTCTAACTGAAACTTTGTACCCCTTGACCAACATCTTTCCATTACTCCTTCACCCTCACCCAAGCCCCTAATCACCACCATTCTAGTCTCCACTTCTGTGAGTTCCACTTTTATAGATTCCACATATGGAATCTAGAAAACAAGTGAAGGTCACATGGTATTTGTCTTTCTGTGTCTGATTCATTTCACTTAGCATAACTTCCTCCAGTTTCATCTATGTTGTGGCAAATGACACAAACTTTTAAATAAATAAAATGTATATCTTTTATCTCTGGAAGATTTTCTTGTATTTTTTTTGTTTTGAAAAAAATTCTCCCGTGTTCCTCAGTGTTCTTTCTTTCTGGGACATTAGTAGCTTGGATTTTCTCTCCTATTGTCCATTGTTGCACTTGCCGAACCTTTCATTTTTGCTATCATATCATTAATATTCAAGAGATCTATTCAAGTATTTCTTTTTCAAGGCATTTGATTTTTATTTCACAGATGCAATGTATTCTTTTATCTCTTCTGGAATATCAAGGATTCATTTCCTGTTTCTAAGTAATTTCTTTTGAGTTCTTTTCTTCCACTTCTCCACACCCACTCCACCTCCATCATTTATGTTAGAGGATTTCTATGTGGTAATCCTGGGATGTTCATACGTGTATAAAAATGCAGTGTTTAGAAGGCTGATTAGAAGTTTGCCTTACAGTCGTGGCTCGTGGGCTCAACTATAGGGTGATCTGACTCAGCTATTTTATTGAAAGAGCCTCAATTAATTGTATATTTAGTGTTTTTCTTATAAAAAAGATTCCATAGAACAGAATCAATTTCTTGCCTAGGGAGTGTAAGCCAGTTTAAAGGCTGTTCTGGAAATGTGTATAGGTTTCTAAAGCGATCTCACCATTTCACAGATGGATTTTTACGTAACCTTCTGTTTTCACTGTGGTTTCTTTCTCTCTTGATCATGTCTATTGTATCCAGTTAAGTCTGGTTCACATTCTACAGAGGATAAACCTCATGTCTTCTGCGTTGGAGGAGGGCAAATCACCCTGTATGGTTAAGAATCAGGAGGTCTAACTGCTTCCAAACAGACTTTTCATTAGTTATCCTGCTTTCAGTCTTGGCTTCACCCTTGTTTTCACAGCTCACACTGAATCTAAGGCCTCTAATCCCTAAATATTTCTAAAGTTCTACAGTGCAAGTCAGTTTGCTCATCACCTTGTACTGCTGAGTTGGACTTCATTCTTCTTAGATCTGCTGAGTTAGTTTCCATATGTCCATCTGTCTTCTAGGTTCCAAAATTATGTTGCTGTGACTTCCTCTCAAATTTCTTTGTCTTTCTAGATTTATAACATTTTTGTCATTTACTTTCATTCTGAGATCTTAGGAGGGAATGGAGGTAATCAGAAGTACCTATATCTGTGAAGTATAATATTTGTCTTCAAAAGAGAGTCATCACTGAAGTCTTCAAAATTGAGCAAAATTCCTCAGTCCAGTTGCCTTGAGACATTCATTTTACCACCAGTTTGACAAGCTAAAGCAGTCTTAAACTGTGAATACCAAAGACTGCCAAGGTTTTAGCATGGTTATATTTTGGTGCCTCATATATATGGAAAGAAAAATAAATTGCAGAGGGAAAGTAACTTTGGAAAAGGCAAATCCATTTTAGCCTGAATTACATACAGACAGCTTGCATAACCAGATGGAGTCAATGGTGACCACCCTTTGGGACTTGGTAACCATGTGTACTGGAGAACTGTGTGTAATGTTGTATCCACAGCTGATTTGGAGAGTGCTTGGGACACTGACACTGACATTAGAATTTGGGAATGTCCCCTGGTTAATATTTTGGAAAATGCCTCTGGAAATGTTTCTATCGGGTGCATTTGTGTGAACAGTTTTTACCCAGCCCCAATGCACACCACCCTTACCTCTTGTCAGGCCCAGTAAGGGCCAATAAGAAGAACTGCATTATCCAAACAGTATAGATATGTCAAGTAGCCTTCATAGCAACAACTGTAGAAATAAAACAGTCATATCAGTTAAAATATTTAAACATGAGTGAACTCTCCAGATTTTATAAAAATGTGCCCTCGTCCAACCCAGAAAAAGACATGAGGTGTATCCTCTGTAGAATGTGAACCAGATTTTTAACTATGTATAATAGACATGACCAAGAGAGAAGGAAACCATAGTGAAAACAGAAGGTTATGTAAAGAAATCGTAAGTGTGTCTTAGCAACCATTAGATGGATTCTGTTTTAAAGATTCACTGTCAGATGTTTAACACCATTAGGCAATGTAACTGAGAGTGAGTTGGTGCTATCCTTGAAAACTGCCTTCATGCCTGAATCTAACAGGGCAACTTTAAGATGAGTTTCAGAAACCCTCTGTAGATCATCCTTTAGGAAAGAAGAAGATTTCAGAGTCACTGAGAGGCAGAAAAAAATAGGGCATTAAAAGTTTCAGCCACATCCTATTTGAGAAATAGGAAAACTTTTACACCGTTGGTGGGACTGTAAGCTAGTTCAACCATTGTGGAAGTCAGTGTGGCGATTCCTCAGGGATCTAGAACTAGAAATACCATTTGACCCAGCCATCCCATTACTGGGTATATACCCAAAGGACTATAAATCATGCTTCTATAAAGACACATGCACACGTATGTTTATTGCGGCACTATTCACAATAGCAAAGACTTGGAACCAACCCAAATGTCCAACAATGATAGACTGGATTAAGAAAATGTGGCACATATACACCATGGAATACTATGCAGCCATAAAAAAGGATGAGTTCATGTCCTTTGTAGGGACATGGATGAAATTGGAAATCATCATTCTCAGTAAACTATCGCAAGGACAAAAAACGAAACACCGCATGTTCTCACTCATAGATGGGAATTGAACAGTGAGAACACATGGACACAGGAAGGGGAACATCACACTCTGGGGACTGTTGTGGGGTGGGGGGAGGGGGAGGGATAGTATTAGAAGATATACCTAATGCTAAATGATGAGTTAATGGGTGCAGCACACCAGCATGGCACATGTATACATATGTAACTAACCTGCACATTGTGCACATGTACCCTAAAACTTAAAGTATAATAATAATAAAATAAAAGTTTCAGCCTACTATTGTTAAAAAGTTATCCATTATATCCATCTTTCTGAAACCACTTCCTGAACTGCAGTGTGCCCACTAGGTTGCAAGTCACTTAGAGAGCAGAAAAGTCTAGGCTTTGCAGGTAGAAATGTGTACACTATACATACCAGTGATAATTGCAATATTAAATCCCCGCACCCACAGCTGGGTAGCAGAAGAATGGGAACACTGCACCAAAACCTGTGGAAGTTCTGGCTATCAGCTTCGCACTGTACGCTGCCTTCAGCCACTCCTTGATGGCACCAACCGCTCTGTGCACAGCAAATACTGCATGGGTGACCGTCCCGAGAGCCGCCGGCCCTGTAACAGAGTGCCCTGCCCTGCACAGTGGAAAACAGGACCCTGGAGTGAGGTAGGTGTGTGAATTCCGTGCATGCATAAGTAAAGTGTGTGTGTAAGCATGTGTAGATATTTTAATTTGGCTTAAACATCAGTTAGGCTTTGTGTGAACTGAGAAACTACTGCATATTTTGTAATTACCTGGAGGTGTTAGGAAAAATTAATGCTTTAAGACAGTACATGTTAGGGGCAAACCATGTTTATGTGTTTCATAACATAGAGAAGAAGTCTGAAAGATGACTGTTCTTTTGTCTAATATTTTTGTTGACTTCCCTATTCCTTCAGTATAAATTCCAAACCCCTGATATTGAATGCAGGGCCCAGCACCATTTGGCACTGCACTAACTCCTCTTATTCTTTCTTCATTCCAACTCTTTGTCCCAGTTCGAGTAAACTTCACACTGTTCCAAACAGACCATGCTTGTTTGAGCCTCCTACCTTTCAGCTGACTTGTACTCCCCCTCCTCCTACCTGATAATCTCTCCTTCTCCACCAAACCTCATCTCCGTAGTCCAAATGACCACCTTCCAGGTGGTACCTTTCCTGGCAGTTCCTCCTGTATATCTGAAATGCAGTACAACTTAACTTTACCATGCTGTTCATGACAGAGTATTATAACTCTGATTCTTGAATCTATATTTGCCACTAGTACACACATTTCTCAAAAATAGTATGCCTTGTTTCCTCAGCACTCAGCTAGTGCCTAGCATACCTGTCCAGATGATGTTTGTTTGCTAATTGGCTGACTCAATGTTGCATTGTCAGCTATTACCACCTGTCTTAGATATTTCTAAAGACTCAAAATAAGAAATCTTGGGGTCATAGGAGAATAGTTTATAGGAGGAAAGGGCATGAAAAAGCAGACAGAAGACTAAAGAGTAAGTGGAGAATAAGCCCAGAAAGGAAGAAACAAGCAAGTTGTCTTATCTATTTCTTGCTGCTTTAACAGAATTCCACAGATTGGGTAATTTATAAAGAACAAAAGTTTATTTGGCATATGGTTCTGGAGGCTGCAGAGTCCAAGAGTATGGCACTGGCATCTGGAGAGGGTCTTCCTGTAGCTGAAGGCATCACATGGCAAGGAGGCATGCAAGAGAGACACAGAGGATCCTTCTATCAGTAGCCCATTCCTGCAATAACTAACCCATTCCCAAGATAATAGCATTAACCCATGCCCATAAATCACCTCAGAAAGGTCCCACCTCTTAAAGGTCCCTCTCAACATTGTTACAATGGCAGTTAAATTTCAACCTGAGTTTTGGAGGGGACATTCAAACCATAGTACAAGTGCAGGTCACCCACATAGGATGATAATGATAACACATATCAAAGTCTCAGTAGAAGTCCCTCCTCCACAGCACCTTCCTAGGGCCATTACATGGAACTTTCTGAGCTTAGTTTTAGAGCAGTAAACCTTTTCATTAGAGAAATGAACTTAAGAGCACAGAGAAATAGTAGTTCCAAGGATGTTGAATTAACCATCCAAGGCAACTTATCAGTAAATTCTGCTATCTGTAAGAAAGAAGTGAGGACTGTCAATACTATGATTGGGTCCCTGAGAACAGACATCATCAACATTGTATTTAGAAACTACAGCAGATGTTACCATTGTTATTAATCATGGCTTCTTTCATATGATATGCTTACTAGGTGTCAGGAATTTTGTTACTGCTTTATACACTTTGTTCCTTTGCCTTCATTTAGTCCTAAAACAATCTTATAAGACAGGTATTATTATCCCAGCTTTCCACTAGATAAGGAAGGTGAATCTTATGTAGAAAAAACAATGCTCCCAGGCTGGTAAATAATGGAGTCAGAATATAAACTCAGTAGTATCTGTCTTCAAAACCACTGTGCAGCATTACTTAATAGAGAACCCACTCCAGATCTCTGTGTCTTTGTGTGTGTGTGTGTGTGTGTGTGTGTGTGTGTGTGTGTGTGTGTATGTGCATGGTCTTGGTGCAATAAATGTCTGTAACCACAGCCTTTGTCTCTGCAGTGTTCAGTGACCTGCGGTGAAGGAACGGAGGTGAGGCAGGTCCTCTGCAGGGCTGGGGACCACTGTGATGGTGAAAAGCCTGAGTCGGTCAGAGCCTGTCAACTGCCTCCTTGTAATGGTAGGTGTCACACCAATTGACTTCACTGCTCTGATGTTTTTAAACCTCAAAAAGCAGAATTTCCTTTTGAGAGAAGTTATAGAATTTATATTTGTTTACTGATAAATAACCAAAGGAAAACACCTGTGAAATATTAGTCCAGTTCAGTTCTTTAAGATCAGCATTTGAGGTAATGTCCTACACTTTTTAATTATCATGATCACTATAGCCCTGCCATTTCTGGCTGGTGGCATTGGAGTGAGGGCTGTGCCATGTATATGTAACGTCTATCAATTTGTGTTGCTAATAGGAACCACTTAATTTTTCCTTGTTATATTTAACTATAACTTCACATCTTTATTAAAAGCATAATTTTGCAAAGATTTTGAAATATTTTACTAAAATTATTCAATTTTGATCTGTGGGTAATGTTACTCAACCCTAAAGCCATTTCCAATAACTGTCTGTCCATAGAGTAACTTCAAACAGACACCTTGCACATAGGATAAAATTCAGCATTTGCCTGACCTGCCAACTTGCTGTATGGCAAAAGCAGAGTATATTTTCTTTATTTAGTCAATTTGCTATTTTAAAACAGCAAAATGGGGCCAGGTGCGGTGGCTCATGCCTGTAATCCCAGCACTTTGGGAGGCCAAGGTGGGTGAATCACCTGAGGTCAGGAGTTCGAGACCAGCCTGAACAACATGGTAAAACCCTGTCTCTACTAAAAATACAAAAATTAGCTGGGCATGGTGGCGCATGCCTGTAATTTCAGCTACTTGGGAGGCAGAGGCAGGAGAATTGCTTGAACCCAGGAGACAGAGGTTGCAGTGAGCTGAGATCACGCCACTGCATTCCAGCCTGGGTGACAGAGTGAGACTCCATTTCAAAACATAAGTAAATAAAACAAGCAAAATATATTGGATGGTTTTGGGCTCTATCACTGTCTCCTTCTGCCTCCATTTCCATAGCTCTCTATCCACATCTCTGTCTGTCCTGTGCTCGGTCATCTGTGTCTCCATTTGCTGTCCTCTGTCTCTCTCTTATTTTTGGTGTCTGTCTTGCTCTGTCTCTGATGAGCTGTCACCTGCTGCCTGTATGTGGCTCATTTTCTATGTCAGCCACACATGCTTTTTCGAGGCCTTACTCTTTCTTCTTGCTGTCCTTCCCTCTCCCTCTCCTAGTCTCCCTGGCTGTACCTCCTATCATTCTTTTTCCCTCTCATCTTCTCTCTCCTCCTGCCTCTTCCTGGCTCTCTCTTTCCCCTCTTTCCTTGTTCCATGTGTCTGTCTCCCTTTCTCTCCCATTTTCTCTTTCTCGGTGTCCTCCCCTTCACCCTCTCCCTTTCTCTTTCTTTATCCTCCCCTTCCTCTCCAACTTGGTATGTCTGTCTCTGTCTCTCCATCTCTTCCACCTCTCTCTCTCTCCCTGTCTCTTATCTCCTCCACTGCCTTAGTCTGTTCTAGCTGCTATAACAAAATACCTGAGACTGGGTACTTTATTAAAAAAAAATTATTGCTCAGAGTTCTAAGTCTAGAAGCCCATGATCAAGGCATCAGCAGATTTAGTGTCTGGTGAGGGCTTCCTAGATGGTGCCTTGTTTTTCTGTCCACATGTGGTGAAAAGGGCCAGGGAGCTCCCTTGATTCTCTTTTATAAGGGCATGAATTGCATTCATAAGCGCTCCACCCTGATGGCCTAGTCACCTCCCAAAGTCCCCACCCTGTTAGTACCATTGCCGTGAGGATTAGGTTTCAACAAAGGAATTTTGGGGGCACACATTCAGGCCATACCCACCTTTTTCCTCTCCTTCCAGCCTCTTTTTCTCTACTCCTCCATCTTTTACTCCTTGTGTCTGTCTCTTTCTCCTCCTATCTTTCTCTTCCTAGCCCCTCCACTGACATCTTTTTCTCTTCCTGTCTCATTTTCTCTCCCCAAGTCAGTCTCTCGCCACCCCCATCTGTTTGTTGCACTCTCTCTTCCGTTATATTTTCTTCTCCTGCCTTGTTTTCCTAGCCCACCCATCCCCATCCACCACAACCCTTCTCTTAAATGCAGTTCTGCTAAAGCCACGACAGTGACAACTGTGGACGTTGTTTTCACATATTAGAAGACTCAGGCCTAAAGAAGTTGCTTTTTCCTTGGCCTCCAACACCATAAGTAAGACATTGTTTGAATATTGACATCTGCTGAATGGTGCTTTTTGTCAAGAAAATTGGCAAAGCACTATCTTGTCAAATGTTTTATTTTTTGAAGCTCATTTTCAGGCTTTAAGTCTTCAACCCTTATAAATTACTTCATTATAAATTTTCATCTGAAATATATTATAGCAAGAACATATCTGACCATGAGAGGGAGACATAGGACTTATATATTTAATCATTTTACTTTGGAAAGTATTGACATATGTAAGAGCTCAAAATACAAATCAAAACCAAAAGAACAAACTTTACTCAGAAGTTTTAACATATACTGTCACCAGAATATTTTATTCTTATGTAGTTATTCCTGTTAAGAGGCTGCCACTTTGTAAGTAAGCTTTATTGATCTTGGAGCTGGTACAGCTGTGCATTTCTACAGACGTGCCCAATGGTTAGCAAGAATTTTCTTGATTCTCCTTCTTTAGCCAGAAGAAATTGTTTTGAATATAAAACCAGGGAGCTAATAAGATAGCTTAACTATCATAGTGATTTCATATCCCTTTTAGTTGTTCTGTTGTTCTAAAATTGAGGCCCAAAGGGCAATCCTAAGAGTTCTAACGGTCACATGTTTCTACCATATTTGAAGTAAAATAAGTAATACTTTCTATCAGAATCTCAAACTGCTATTAGAATCAAATGGCCTTTTGAGACCATGTGTGAATCTCTTTTCCAGAACCTCTTATAATGATTTGGGGGTGGAACGAGAAGTCTGAAAAGTTGCCTTAATTTTTTTGTAATTGATTGATTTTTTTCATGTGACTCCATATTTTGATTGATTGTACCATTTTTTTTTTTTTTTTTTGCCTGTAAGCTCTTCTCATTTATCAGTAGGCAAATTCCCATAAGGTTAATGTATTCCTTTGCTCTTATTTTTCTCAGAATATCTCTCCCTTTTGCTCCTCCACACAAAAGTAAATTCTGGCCCTAATGAAACCCAGGTTATGAACAGGACTCTGCAATGCCAAAGTGCTCACACTTAGACATGGGAGACCTTTGGTTGGACTCCTTCTCTAACTCAGAGAAAACAGGTCGTACTTCTAAGAGGGGCCTCCTAACAGGGGCGATGAGGGAAAGGGGTTAGAGGAAAAAGAGAGGACAAGATCGAATAATGTCCTCTCCTCTTGAGACCTAGAGCCTGACACATACAGAAAGAAGACATTTTTCTTATTTTAAGATACAGGTTTTCAAAAAAAATTCACACATGAGAAAATATTTAAGGTGAAACTCATTAATATAATGCTCATTCATAACATAATTAGATGATGACCTAGCTTATATGAAGTATTCAGACACATTATACCATATAATAGACCTGCACATGTCAAGCATATATGAGTCATTTCACAATTTGGGAAGTGGACATCGTATTACAGCTCAATGTTGGTAATTTTAGTCCTCTATTGGCTTCGCCAGCTGACTCTCTCTTTTTTTGTTTCTAACTTTAGAAAAAGGATTTTTTCAATTTTTGGGGAGTTATGTAGCAGGCCTCTTTCTTAGCAGTATAGTATTACCCAATAATAGGCTGTAACTTTAAGTGATTCTATTACATAAATGCCACAATTGACAGTTCTTTGCATTTCTTCTTTGGGCATGGATCAGTGTTTCTGTGTTGCACATATGCAGGGATGCTACTCTATGCACTGGTTCTGTTATCAGAGAGGCACAGGATATGTCTTTATTTCATAAGGTATACCCAGGATGACTAAAACTATGCACAAGTTAACATTTTTATGAGCTTAATATTTGGATTATCTGAAATCCAATTCTTGTAACCTGGAATCAATAAAATTTTAAAGTAATAAAAATAATGTGTACACATGCAGTATGAAGTGTTTTAGAAGTGTTACTTTAGATGTTATCAAGTGTTTTATGAGTATTACTTTAGTAATTTTTAGACAAAGTGCTGTCAATTCAATGAAATTACATTTTATGAGTGTTACTAAGTATCCTTTAAACATAAAGTACTGTCAATTCAATAAAATTAAATGTAAGAACCATGAATTATTCATAAGAAATTTGGCATACTTTACCCAAATTTGTGCATTCAAATAACAAATAATCTGAGAATATTCAATGATAAACATGAAACTATTTTATTCAAACTGGAGAATTTTTTTTTTTTTTTTTGAGACAGAGTCTCGCTCTGTCACCCAGGCTGGAGTGCAGTGGCACAATCTTGGCTCACTGCAAGCTCCACCTCCTGGGTTCACGCCACTCTCCTACCTCAGCCTCACGAGTAGCTGGGACTACAGGCGCCTGCCACCGCGCCTGGCTAATTTTTTTTGTATTTTTAGTAGAGACGGCTTTTCACTGTGTTAGCCAGGATGGTCTCGATCTCAAACTGGAGAATTTTTTTAAATCAAGATGGTATTTTGATTATTCTTTGGAGAATACCTTTGTAAGATTTGTTTTGTTTTTACAAGTGTTTAGTATTTATTTTGATTTCACATTTTAACGTAATGTAGGGAGTACCCTCTGAGAAAGTCAGAAATACCATAAAATAAAAATACAGATGCCCCTTTGCATCCTAAAAATTTAACCACAACGTTAAATAAATTATCTTTGCCCATTCTAAAATCAGATATAGGTTCCTACTTGGAGAAAAAAATACCCTCTGTGGTCTGAAGACTCCTGGTGGAAATATTAAAATAATGATCATCACAAGGACTTTGTAGACAAAGAACTACTTATTTTAGTGAATTCATTCTAATATTCATATTTTTAATGCAAAAGCTCGTGTGGATCACTCCCGTTAGTGTCAGATTGCACTTAAATCTTTTTACATTCATTAAAAATTTTAATTTTTTTCCTCCTTTTATTTTATGTTTAGATGCTAGTGTTAGTTTATTTTCTTTTTATTTTTGCAGATGAACCATGTTTGGGAGACAAGTCCATATTCTGTCAAATGGAAGTGTTGGCACGATACTGCTCCATACCAGGTTATAACAAGTTATGTTGTGAGTCCTGCAGCAAGCGCAGTAGCACCCTGCCACCACCATACCTTCTAGAAGCTGCTGAAACTCATGATGATGTCATCTCTAACCCTAGTGACCTCCCTAGATCTCTAGTGATGCCTACATCTTTGGTTCCTTATCATTCAGAGACCCCTGCAAAGAAGATGTCTTTGAGTAGCATCTCTTCAGTGGGAGGTCCAAATGCATATGCTGCTTTCAGGCCAAACAGTAAACCTGATGGTGCTAATTTACGCCAGAGGAGTGCTCAGCAAGCAGGAAGTAAGACTGTGAGACTGGTCACCGTACCATCCTCCCCACCCACCAAGAGGGTCCACCTCAGTTCAGCTTCACAAATGGCTGCTGCTTCCTTCTTTGCAGCCAGTGATTCAATAGGTGCTTCTTCTCAGGCAAGAACCTCAAAGAAAGATGGAAAGATCATTGACAACAGACGTCCGACAAGATCATCCACCTTAGAAAGATGAGAAAGTGAACCAAAAAGGCTAGAAACCAGAGGAAAACCTGGACAACCTCTCTCTTCCCATGGTGCATATGCTTGTTTAAAGTGGAAATCTCTATAGATCGTCAGCTCATTTTATCTGTAATTGGAAGAACAGAAAGTGCTGGCTCACTTTCTAGTTGCTTTCATCCTCCTTTTGTTCTGCATTGACTCATTTACCAGAATTCATTGGAAGAAATCACCAAAGATTATTACAAAAGAAAAATATGTTGCTAAGATTGTGTTGGTCGCTCTCTGAAGCAGAAAAGGGACTGGAACCAATTGTGCATATCAGCTGACTTTTTGTTTGTTTTAGAAAAGTTACAGTAAAAATTAAAAAGAGATACCAATGGTTTACACTTTAACAAGAAATTTTGGATATGGAACAAAGAATTCTTAGACTTGTATTCCTATTTATCTATATTAGAAATATTGTATGAGCAAATTTGCAGCTGTTGTGTAAATACTGTATATTGCAAAAATCAGTATTATTTTAAGAGATGTGTTCTCAAATGATTGTTTACTATATTACATTTCTGGATGTTCTAGGTGCCTGTCGTTGAGTATTGCCTTGTTTGACATTCTATAGGTTAATTTTCAAAGCAGAGTATTACAAAAGAGAAGTTAGAATTACAGCTACTGACAATATAAAGGGTTTTGTTGAATCAACAATGTGATACGTAAATTATAGAAAAAGAAAAGAAACACAAAAGCTATAGATATACAGATATCAGCTTACCTATTGCCTTCTATACTTATAATTTAAAGGATTGGTGTCTTAGTACACTTGTGGTCACAGGGATCAACGAATAGTAAATAATGAACTCGTGCAAGACAAAACTGAAACCCTCTTTCCAGGACCTCAGTAGGCACCGTTGAGGTGTCCTTTGTTTTTGTGTGTGTGTGTTCTTTTTTAATTTTCGCATTGTTGACAGATACAAACAGTTATACTCAATGTACTGTAATAATCGCAAAGGAAAAAGTTTTGGGATAACTTATTTGTATGTTGGTAGCTGAGAAAAATATCATCAGTCTAGAATTGATATTTGAGTATAGTAGAGCTTTGGGGCTTTGAAGGCAGGTTCAAGAAAGCATATGTCGATGGTTGAGATATTTATTTTCCATATGGTTCATGTTCAAATGTTCACAACCACAATGCATCTGACTGCAATAATGTGCTAATAATTTATGTCAGTAGTCACCTTGCTCACAGCAAAGCCAGAAATGCTCTCTCCAGGGAGTAGATGTAAAGTACTTGTACATAGAATTCAGAACTGAAGATATTTATTAAAAGTTGATTTTTTTTCTTGATAGTATTTTTATGTACTAAATATTTACACTAATATCAATTACATATTTTGGTAAACTAGAGAGACATAATTAGAGATGCATGCTTTGTTCTGTGCATAGAGACCTTTAAGCAAACTACTACAGCCAACTCAAAAGCTAAAACTGAACAAATTTGATGTTATGCAAACATCTTGCATTTTTAGTAGTTGATATTAAGTTGATGACTTGTTTCCCTTCAAGGAAACATTAAATTGTATGGACTCAGCTAGCTGTTCAATGAAATTGTGAATTAGAAACATTTTTAAAAGTTTTTGAAAGAGATAAGTGCATCATGAATTACATGTACATGAGAGGAGATAGTGATATCAGCATAATGATTTTGAGGTCAGTACCTGAGCTGTCTAAAAATATATTATACAAACTAAAATGTAGATGAATTAACCTCTCAAAGCACAGAATGTGCAAGAACTTTTGCATTTTAATCGTTGTAAACTAACAGCTTAAACTATTGACTCTATACCTCTAAAGAATTGCTGCTACTTTGTGCAAGAACTTTGAAGGTCAAATTAGGCAAATTCCAGATAGTAAAACAATCCCTAAGCCTTAAGTCTTTTTTTTTTCCTAAAAATTCCCATAGAATAAAATTCTCTCTAGTTTACTTGTGTGTGCATACATCTCATCCACAGGGGAAGATAAAGATGGTCACACAAACAGTTTCCATAAAGATGTACATATTCATTATACTTCTGACCTTTGGGCTTTCTTTTCTACTAAGCTAAAAATTCCTTTTTATCAAAGTGTACACTACTGATGCTGTTTGTTGTACTGAGAGCACGTACCAATAAAAATGTTAACAAAATATACATCTGGCTCTATCTAGATTTTATCATTAGGTTCATCATGGGGTAATGGAAACGTGTATTTCCTCCTACACAGTAAAATGGCATCAAATTTATTTGCTACTTGTAGTTGCTTGAAAGACTCAAGTGACTGTCTCCTGTTTTCACATCAGGGTATATTACAATGATTTTTTTAAAAAACAAAAACAAAAGAGGTTGCAGGAGGTGGCTTTTTGGTTAAATCTATCTCATAGAACTATGAAGAAGATGAGGAAAGATGGCTATCATGCTAGTATTTCAGAGAAGGAAATGGTGACCTTCTGTTTTTAAAATCTGCAACCTCTGAGTGATTTTTAAATAAAAGCTTTCCATCAATTTTGTACCTTCATTACCTGAGAATTGGCGGAAACACATTATTCAAGACTCAAGAGTCTGTGGAGGCAGGAACCATCACAGTGCAAGGCCTTTTGGTATGTCACAGGTAGATGCTATTGTACAGTGGTTTCTTCAGCAGAGGCAAACAGACTCAGGCTTGTCTTCATACCTGAATGGCCTTGGGTAACCTCAGTAAGTTTCCGTTTCCTCATCTGTAAATGGGAGGTGAAACTATCATAACATTATTGTGTGACTGCTATGAGAAATGAGATGATAGTAATAAAGCTGCTAGCACAGGGCCGAATCATAATAGCTCACAGTAAATATTAAGTATTAATACTAATTCATTGTCCTTGTCCTCATCATGATCATCTTGATTACATAACTGAACCACAGCATTCCTCTAGGGTCCATAGCTAGTTTAAATTATGGTCACTATGTCTTATCTATGGTAGTAAACAACAGGGATCCAGGAATTTAAAGACAAACAATTTAGCTTAAAAAATGGATAGGATGAACTTAAAAATGATTTCCAGTCCCTGATTTTGAAGAATTTTCACTAATTATATCCATTCTCCCTTTGCAAGCAATACATAATAAAACTAAGGCACTAGGTATTAATTATGTATTTCTGCAAAGGTGATCAATGGTGCAATAATGTATAAAGTCCCAAACTATTAGCAAATAAAATGTGTTTTTCATATATTTACATTAATAGGCATTGCAGAAATTTATTAAACAACAAAAGTCATTCCTCTATACACATCTTGCATTTTCTTCAAGAAGCAGCTACTTAAATAAAGGATATAAAAGAAAAAAATCAATTGAAAAGTGATGAAAACATGAATAAGCCAAAGAAGACATCACTAGTTGAAAAAGTATTTAAAAGGGACTGTTAAAACTGCTTAAATGGCCAGGCGCAGTGGCTCAATCCTGTAATCCCAGCACTTTGGGAGGCCAAGTAGGGCGGATCACCTGAGGTCAGGAGTTCAAGACCAGCCTGGCCAACGTGGTGAAAAACCGTCTCTACAAAAATACAAAACTTAGGCGGCCATAATGGCGGGTGCCTGTAATCCCAGCTACTCGGGAAGGTGAGGTGGGAGAATCCCTTGAACCCAGGAGGCAGAGGTTGCAGTGAGCTGAGATCACACCATTGCACTCCATCCAGCCTGTGTAACAGAGTAAGACTCCATCTAAACAAAAAAAAAAAAATAAAAAAATAAAAAACCCAAAAAGCTGCTTAAAATGCAGCAAAATATAAAAACCACCTTAGAGTGCACAGATGTTATCTAAAAACATCAAACTAATATTAGAAATATTCACTTTGGGCCCAGATACTTTGAGATAGTTCATGTAGAGCCAGAGACAAAATTTTTAAATTTACTACAATACTGCCTACTAAAATAAAGCATAATTTAATAAAATAAATTTAACATAAGAAATAGACATTCTAAAAGAAAACAAGGTGCTGTAACTTCTGCAAAATTATCATAGAGTTTACCTAAAAATTGGAATTACCTTTTAAACTGCCTTCTTTCCTGGTAAATTGGCAGGTGTCTAAATGCTGATCATCTGCTTTGTGGCAACAAACTAATGTTACTGCATTAAAACTGTTGCTTGGAAAGGCTATTTTTCAGCCAATTCATAGTTTCAAGAGAATTGTTGATTTGACCAATTAGCTTTCAACCACTGGATTGTTAACAATTCACCTGGGACTGAGTAGTGTTGTTTTTGTTCATTTGTTTAATCTACCCAAAACTCCAAATTAGTCTCTCACAGAAGAGAACGATTATTCATAGCCAAGTGTTATGCACATATCACCAATCTTACTATCCTGTATGGTTGAAACCTAAATAACAAAGCTCTTCCACAATCTGCTATTGAATAAACAAATGGTGCTAAAATCACAAATCTACACAAAGAACAACTCTTTCAGATGAGATATTTGGAGACTTACAAGAAGATACTCGCTCCCACTAGTAGTTAAAGGTAAAAACAAACTTCTCATGGTGGAAGATACAGAGCCAGTAGGTCTGCTTGCTATTCCTGAAACAAAATGACAAGATTTCTAAATTTCTGAAGAAGTTATGATACTCTGGTTATTGTGAGCACTAAAATCAGACTGCTGGTTTACCTCCTGGTTCTGAAGTCAGCTAATGGTGACTTGGAGGAGTTACTTAATGTGACTAAGCCCACTTGTTTTATATGTAAAATGAAAATGATAACAGTACATACTTCATAAAGCTGTTTGAGCAAAAAAAATTGAGAATCCTGGAAAAACAATAAACACAGTACCTCATGGGATAGACATTAAGTGTTTGGTAAAAGATTGCAATTGTTATTTTCTCCAGAATATCTATTTTTTAAAAATGTATCTTTTGATGGATGATCAACAAACTTCAAAGGATTCCATTTGAATATTTTAAACCAAGGAAATGACTTCCACAAAGTCCCTTCTGCCCAAAAGTATCCCATGTGCCCAAAAGAATGTGGAACACAAGAATAGAAGCAGAAAGTTATATGAACTATGTATATAATGCAACAGGTTTTTCATAATAGGCACAACCTGGCAAATGACTCCAAAGATTAAGGCAACTGCTTTTTCTATGGTGGCATCATGTACTACAAGATATTGTCCTCAGACTTGCTGCCACCAAGTTAATCCTCTTCTCTTGATGACAGCCTTTCTCTGGGACCTGGAGAAGGGGCTCTTGGTCTTATATGCCAAGGGAAGAAGGGCTCATATATACCCTTTAATTGTAATTGAACTATATACATTTTGTCCCTGGACAAACAAAAGAAAATCTATTTTGTATTCATTAGTACCTAGAACTGTGCCCTGCCCATGGCACAAACTTTGTAACTATAACATCTACTACATTCTATAAAAACTCTGCTGCCAAAAACAGATTTCTTGGAGCTATGACTGTGGTATCCCTTCTGTTTTTAGACTTTTTATGTCTCTGTTAACTTGTTTGACAGGAACAGGAACTAGCTAGTGTTGAAACGGAAAGGATCTTTAGATATTATCTAGCCTAGCACTCTTCCTTTTCCAGGAATAGGATTAGGACCCAAAGGTAATGTCTCCAAAATCTCATTTGTGAATTTGGATGTAACTGGGATTAGAAGAGAGATTAGTATTCCAACTTTCAGTTCATTTTTTCTCCCATAGCCAGGACGCGTCTATTCCATAAAAATAAGGGACTCCAATGAAAGGGAAGTCAATTATCCCAAGATCAGCAAGTGTCTGTGTGATCATCCTAAAGAAGAGAGTTGAAGTGTGCATTTTGACAGCTAATATGTGAAGGTCTAAGAGTGAAGTACTTTGCACTTCCAAATGAACCTACTGCAACTACCATATTACCCAGAAATGTGTCCAGCTATATGCTAGGGACATCTTCATTTGTATATATTGGCAACAGGAATGAGTTACATTTCTATAGCCTTTTCAGAAGACCTGTCCAAAATAATGGAATGTATTAAATAATATTCTGGTTTTGTGTAGAGTGGGGCATTGCAACGCTTATTTTTACATCTCAGATGTTGCATGGTGTGTGGAGATAGCAACATATCGTCTAGTGGAATGCTTTAGTTAATTTCCACAACATTCCTAACATGGAGATTCAGTTGTTAGAAGCAGCAGCCACTCTGATTCCATCTGCTTTTGCTCTGGGTTTTCATGACCATTAGAAATGTTCTTGAATGATGTGAGTGATCTGGATAGTCTCTTCAGCCATATAGCCAGGTCTATGATTTTCTTCCCTTCGTATTTGTTCTTCTGACTTGAATCTTTAGTGTTTTCTTATACAGATTTACTAAATTTTCAAGCAGGCCCAGGTCTGCATTATCATACAAGAAAGAATCAAACTTTTGCTTGACTCTGTTTCTGCTTCTTGACCCACTTTCTGATCTCCTTTCTTCACCACCAAACTTCTCAAGGGGCTGGCTTACATTCTCTGCCTCTCCTCTTTCCTACCCTTACCAGCATTCACTCTGGGGCCCACTGCAGCCTGTATTCTACCCCAAGAACACAACAGAAGAAGCACTCTCAAAAGTCATTCCTAATTACTCCTTCTCACTTGGAGAATTCATGGATTCAACAAACTTTTATTATGCTCTGATTGTGTGCCAGACAGCATTCTAGGTGCTTAAAATATAGTAGTGAGAAAATAACGAAAATTCCTGCTGTCCTATAGAGGGTACATTGTAGTGGAGGAAACACAGCAAACAATAACCACCATGCATGGTTTTGATATCAAGTATGTTAAAAAGTGATTAAGAAGAGCATAGTGCAGTACTGAGTGGGAGAGTAGTGGTAGAACTCATTTAGAGGGTGAAAAACTTGAAGAAAGTAAGAAAATTATCTCTACAATCTCTGGGGAAGAACATTCCAGGAAAAAGCAGCATCCAGTGCAAAGGCCCTAAAGTGCAATATGTCTGGTAAGTGCAAGGAACAGCAACAAGGACAGTGAAGTGGATATGATGCTTGATGGGGTCACTAGGAGAAGATAAAAGGAAATAAGAGATGAGAAATCACACACAATCTCGTGGGTCGGTATAAAAACTCTGGCCTTCATTTTTCCCAGATTCTCTCCAGCATTACATGGCCTTGGTGAGAAGAACTCAGGATTTGGTCTCATGCAACTTGGGTTTAAATCCTGCCTTCCACTCACGAACCGTAGGACTTGTTTCTTTAGTATGTAGTTCCCTCATCTACAAAGTTGAATGAAAGTATTATCTGACAGACTTCTAGTGTGAATCAAATGAGCTCATGTGCCTAAAAATGTATTTTTAAGGATACTATTACAATTGATTTTATTGTAAATTTTTATATTATAGACTTTGCTATTGTACAGTCTGGTATTACATAATTTATATGTCAGATGGGAATTTGTAGGATATCCAGGGCAACACTCTCTGACCCCTCATTCTCAGTCCCATTGGCTGGCTCCTCCATCTTTCATGACCTCTTATAAAGTTAATTCCAAATCTCCATGAGTAAGCCTTCACATCTGTACCAAACCACAAACACATTCCCACATGTCTGCTGAACATCTTACCTCTGCCGTCACAACTGTACTTCAGCATTTCTAAAAACCAAGTGATTACTACCCTTCCAAGAAACCTAGTTCTTAGTCCTATGTTCTGTGTTCCTCATTAAAATCAGCCTTGCCAAAAACCAGCCATGCTTTTTCACTATCATTCTTTTCTTTGTCTTTTACTCTGCATATATAAACAGCTCCCTTGTTCTGTTTATTTCACTTCTAAAATGTCTCGTGCCTCTGTTGCCTCTTTTTTGTCCCTGTTGTCTCTGCCTAGTTCACAATAGGCTTTGTCTGGAACTATCATAATTGCCTTGTGATTGTCTCCCTCTCTTTGGGGACTTCTCCAATGTTATACTCACCCTGCCCTCAGATTTTCTTTTGTGTGTGTCACTATCCTATTCAAGCCATGCCATGCCAAACCAAATTGTATCTATGCTTTCTGCTTTTCATATTTCGTGGTCTTCACTCCACTTTTTATACTCCTAGCTCACAAATCCCATCCAAGATATTTCTATTTTTTTATCCTTGTTGTCCCACATAAAATTAACCCTAGCCTCTTAAGCCCCTATAAAATGAATTCCTTTCTCCTCTACCATCCTTGTGAATTTGATTTTAGAGAAGGAAAGGACCATTTCTCAATCTTTATATACCCAGAGTCTTGCACTCTTAGTAGATATTTGTTGAATTTCATTATAATAGTCTCAACTTTCTTTCATCTCTTATTGTTTTCACTTACTTTTTTTCCATGTGGTGTTTTCTTCTTACAAGAAGAAAGTAGATTTGCCTGACCAAGAACAACTAGCTTGTCAACTCCAGTTCAGGTTACTCTTTCCAAGGGGCAAGCTATTAATAAAATAGTTAAGAAACCTAGTTCCCATATTACATGGAAGTTTACAACCCTTATTTTGATCACATTATTAGACTTCTTAAACTACTAGATGAAAAAGAAAAGAATCTATACTGTTGTAGTCACTTATACATGGCGAGAGTCAGGGTGATTGGAAGAGAAACAATTTAAAGTTTATATCGTAGCCTGGCAGACATTTCCAAATGCAGTGAGGAAGTGTGGTGATCTTATCCAGTCTCCTGTCTTTAAATACCATCTATTGGCTGAAAACTCCCAAATGTATTTCTCTACCCCATATGTTCTCTTGAATTCCAGACTCATATTTATAACTACTTACTTGACATTTCCAGTTGGATGACTGGTAGAAATTTATAGCCTAAGAAGTCCAAATTTGGACTCCTGTTTTTCCACTTTACTGGCCTGGCCCCCAGCCCACCTCGTCCAGAATTTTTATTCCTTCTAGCATCTCAGGATCAAACCATGGAATTACCCATGAATCTTTGTATTAGTTTTCCATTGTTGCTATAACAAATTACCATAAACTTAGTGGCTGAAAGAACACAAATGTTATCTTACAGCTCTGTAGGTCTGATACAGGTCCCATTGGGCTAAAATTAAAGTGTCAGCAGGGCTGCATTCTCTTCTGGAAGCTCCAGTGGATAATTCATTTCCTTGCCTTTACTGGGTTCTAGCAGCTGCCTATATTCCTTGGCTTGTGGCCCCTTCTTGTTTTGGCACAATTTCTACTTGAATCATCTGACTAAATGTCAATGCACTGTATCTCTTCTTAACTGCATAGAAACCTAAAGAAAAGACTTATGTGCATTCTCACACACCACCCATATATAACACACATCCTTTAAAGGCAGAGACATTTAATCGAAGAAATGGCACACATATTTGTCATTGTGTACAGTGAAACAATTAGACACCCAATTTTAGCATTCATGGAACAAATCATGGTTGTGGATTGTATGAGTGAACTGAAGCTGATGTTTCTAGCAGAACATCTGTGAAGAACAGTCTAAAGCCCTGCCCATTGGCTTTTCCATTTGAATAGGTCATTAACAGTTATAATGTAGAACATTTACCTTCCCAAGTAAGATATGCCATATGAATATTCTCAATTGAAAAAGAAAATAAAAATTTTCCAAAGTACTCTCTTATAGTTAGCTTAGCACTTTGTTATTCAAATATATACTCATTAAATTTAACACAGGCCCTCCTACAGTTTATTCCTTTGTTATTCCACAAATGTATTTTGAGCTTTAAGAATATGTTGGATAATTTATAAGCCTATGAAAATATTTCAAAATTTATAATAATATTCTAAGCTTGGCAATGACAAACGACATATAGATTAATTTTTTAATATTATAGGTATTAAAAAGTCTTTTTGAAATTCATTATTACAGGCCAGGTGTGGTGGTTCACACCTGTAATCCCCATACTTCGGGAGGCCGAGGCAAGTGGATCACTTGAGGCCAGGAGTTCAAGACCAGCCTGCCAAACATGGTGAAATCCTGTCTGTACTAAAAATAGAAAAATTAGCCAGGCATGTTGGTGTGAACCTGCAGTCCCAGCTACTCAGGTGGCTGAGGCACAAGAATTGCTTGAACCTGGGAGGGGAGGTTGTAGACAGCTGAGATTGTGCCACTGTACTCCAGCCTGGGCGACAGAGTGAAACTCTGCCGAAACAAAGAAAGAGAGAGGGAGAGAGAAAGAGAGAGAGAGAGAAAAAGAGAGAGAGAGAAAGGAAAGAAGGAAGTAATTAATTCACAATTAAGTTCCTCAAAATCCGTAAGTAGCTGATCATAGCTATAATGAGCAATAATCTCTGAAAAAAAAGCTTTAGAAAACCTGAGTTTCCTATTTCAACATTTCTATAAGTATTTATGTTTTTACTTTCTTCACCCTGGGTTTTCTGTGCTACCTACTTCCTGTTATGCTTTTTAAAATCCTAAGGTAGCACTGGAAGTCCTCCATGATTCAGAAGACAGTGAAGGTGAATTACGGTTCCAGGAAGTCAGGCATTTCCAGAGTGAACTCTACTGCATTTTCACACACCTCGAGGCCAAATATCTTCTAGCTATTACACCACGTTTAAAAATCTAGGATTCATCCCCCAGGAGTGTGTGCTTGACATTTGTCCAGCTCTTCATCTGGAATAAACAGTGTAGTGTATTAAACAGTGAAATGTAATAAACAGAACACCTGTATGCTCAATCCGATCTGTGCAGCTTCTCTCCACCTTCTCATCTGTCTGTGATCTGCCTCCCCACTGAGGACACTGCTTCTCCCGTGTCTCTCAGGTGGTTGCTGGTTATTATCTTCCACATGGCTTTGTATCACAGGGCCTAGAAATAGATAGGTATCTTCCAGGACCTCATTGCTGCTCCCAGGTTATTTTAGTCTCCTCCACTATAAAACACCCGGCTGTGAATATACACCCTTCACTACTCCTCTTGTTTCAGTCATCTTCACGCTCCCCCCGACCCCCCTCCCAAGACACTACTATCAATTCTTGAAGAGAATGGCTTACCATTACTCTCTTCATCAGTACCCCTATAATTCTTGGTGATTTTAATATACTCATTGAAAAGTCTTCCAATATCATGGTATCTCCATTCCCAGAACCCCCTACTTCAGTGATCTCACCATGTGTCTTACTTCAGGCCATAGTCTCTGAGAAGTAGTCTGTTCCATGTGTATTTTCTAGCTTCTGGTCACCAGCAATCCTTGGCATTCCTTGCTTGCACATGCATTACTCTAATGTATGCCAGTTTTGACATAGCATTCGCCTGTGTGTTTCTCCGTCTCTGTGTCTCTGTTTCTCTTCTAAGGACATCAGCCATTGGATTAGAGCCTACCCTAATCCAGTATGACCTCATTTTAACTAATTATGTCTGCAAAGACCCTGTTTCCAAATAAAGTGAAATTCTTAGGTTCCAGTTGGACATTAATTCTTGGAGAATATTATTCAAACTAGTGCACCTCCAAATTTTTCTTCTTTTCTAGTGTACTAGAGCAATTGTTCCTCCTTCTACTTGTGGTCTAGATTATACTTATTCCCACGTTCTCCAGGGTTTTCTTTTATTTTTCTCTTGAATAATTAGCCTTTCCCTCTTATCTCTACTATTATCATAGAAATACATTTTAGTGTCTTTCATACTAAAGATTTACTTGATCCCACATTCTCAGCAACTTCTACCTCACTTTGTCTGCTCTTCTTTTTAGACAAACTTTTTGAAAGAATTGCCTATACGTGTTGTCTTCATTTTGTCATTGCTCATCTCTCTTCTTTACCATAGTTGTTTCCACCCCAATCGTCTTCTGAAATTGATCATGTCAAAAAAGTCCCCAGTGACCTCCTGTATTAGTCAGGGTTCTCCAGAGAAACAGATTTATTATAAGAAATTGGCTCGCACAACGATGGAGGCTGGCAAGTCCAACTGCAGGCTGGTCTGACAGGCTGGAGACCCAATGCTATACTTACAGTTTAACAGCAGTTTGCCATAGAACTGGGATGGATGAGCCAATGTTGCAGATGCAGGCCAAAGGTGGTCTGCTGGAGAATTTGCTCCTGCTTGAGGGAAACTGGTCTTTTTGTTCTATCCAGGCCTTCAACTGAATGAAAGGAGCCCATTCACGTTATGAAGGCAATCTGCTTACCTCTAAGTCCACCAATTTAAATTATTCTCATCCAAAAATACTCACAGAAACACCTAGAATAATGTTTGACTAAATATCTAGACACCTCTTGGCCTAGCCACATCAACACATAAAATTAACCATCATGCTGCCATATTGTCAAATCTAATGAATATTTAGCTGTCCTTGTATTATGTATCATGGCAGCAGCATTTTACCACCGTTCATTACTATCTGAATTATTTCTGTCTTGGTCTCTAGGAAACCACTCTCCTGGTTCTCTTCTGAAACTATTAGTTGCTCTTTCTTGTTTTCCTTTGCAGATTCCTCCTCTTCTGCCCAACATAAAATGTTGTTGTTCTTCAGGCCTACATTCTTGGGTCTGTTACTGTCTCCTTCTGTATTCTCCTTCTTGGTAAACTTGTTTTCTATGGCTTTAGGGATCCTCTAGAGGCAGGATGTCAGCTCCATTTTTATCTCCAATTCAGATCATTCCTCTGAGATTCATGCTCACATGTCTACAACTGCCTATCTAACATCTCTACCTGGATATCTTAGAAGAACCTCAAACTGAACATGCAAGTAGGATTTAATTTCTTCCACACCTGTCCTCCTCAATCTACCTCCTGCCTGGCCGAGTTTCTTCCATAGAAATGGTAACACTTCCACTTAGTTACTTAAGTCAGAAAACTTAGAAGTTAAATCAAATTTTTTCCTTCACTCTCATCCTCATACCATATCTATGACATCAGAAAAGCAAAATATCAGATGTAGCTGTTTAGCTCTACATCCACAGCTTAGTTGCTGTGGCCATCAGCCCTCACTTGGACTATGAGTTTCACCATTTCTACTCCTGATTGTATTTAACCCATAACAAGGTAATTGTTTAAGATGTGCCCCAGCTTAAGCACATTAATGGCATTCCACTGCAGTAAGAATAAAATTCAAACTCATTACTCTAGCTCTGTGACCTGACCCCTGACCCTTTATTCCATCTAGTTTTATTCCATTTCTTCACTTTCCATACTTTAGCTACAGTGATCTTCTTTTATTTCCTTAAGTGCAATGTCTTCCCACCATCTGTTTCTTTGTGTATCCTGTTATTACCGCTTAAAATCTTTTGCATTTTCCCCACTTGTTAGGAGACATGCAGAGAACAATCTGTTTTGAGCAGATTAAAATAACTTTCAGAAAGTTATTTTAAAAGATTTTAAATGAAAGAAGGAGTTCACAAAATAATAAAAAGAAAGGACAGAAATAAAAAGAGAAAGTACTACCAGGTAAATGCGGGAACAGGGAAATGCAGGACATGTTGGAAGGAAAAAGGTGACACTTTATTATTTATTTATTTATGTATTTATTTATTTATTTTTATTACACTTTAAGTTCTAGGGTACATGTGCACCACATGCAGGTTTGTTACATATGTATACATGTGCCATGCTGGTGTGCTGCACCCCTTAACTCGTCATTTACATTAGGTATATCTCCTAATGCTATCCCTCCCCACTCCCTCCACCCCATGGCAGACCCCGGTGTGTGATATTCCCCACCCTGTGTCCAAGTGTTCTCATTGTTCAATTCACACCTGTGAGTGAGAACATGTAGTGTTTGGTTTTCTGTTCTTGCGATAGTTTGCTCGGAATGATGGTTTCCAGCTTCACCCATATCCCTACAAAGGACATGAACTCATCCTTTTTATGGCTACGTAGTATTCCATGGTGTATATGTGCCACATTTTTTTAATCCAGTCTATCATTGATTGGCATTTGGGTTGGTTCCAAGTCTTTGCTATTGTGAATACTGCCACAATAAACATATGTGTGCATGTGTCTTTACAGCAGCATGATTTATAATGCTTTGGGTATATGCCCAGTAATGGGATGGTTGGGTCAAATGGTATTTCTAGTTCTAGATCCCTGAGGAATCGCCACACCGTCTTCCACAATGGTTGAACTAGTTTACAGTCCCACCAACAGTGTAAAAGTGTTCCTATTTCTCCACATCCTCTCCAGCACCTGTTGTTTCCTGACATTTTAATGATCGCCTTTCTAACTGGTGTGAGATGGTATCTCATTGTGGTTTTGATTTGCATTTCTCTGAGGGTCAGTGCTGATGAGCATTTTTTCATGTGTCTGTTGGCTGCATAAATGTCTTCTTTTGAGAAGCGTCTGTTCATATCCTTAGCCCACTTTTTGATGGGTTTGATTTTTTCTTATAAATTTGTTTAAGTTCTTTGTAGATTCTGGATATTAGCCCTTTGTCAGATGAGTAGGTTGCAAAAATTTTCTCCCATTCTGTAGGTTGCCTGTTCACTCTGATGGTAGTTTCTTTTGCTGTGCAGAAGATCTTTGGTTTAATTAGATCCCATTTGTCAATTTTGGCTTCTGTTGCCATTGCTTTTGGTGTTTTAGTCATGAAGCCCTTGCCCATGCCTATGTCCTGAATGGTATTGCCTAGGTTGTCTTCTAGGGTTTTTATGGTTTTAGGTCTAATGTTTAAGTCTTTAATCCATCTTGAATTAATTTTTGTATAAGATGTATAGGACCTCTTCAAGGAGGACTACAAACCAGTGCTCAACGAAATAAAAGAGGACACAAACAAATGGAAGAAGATTCCATGCTCATGGATAGGAAGAATCAGTATTGTGAAAAAGGCCATACTGCCCAAGGTAATTTACAGATTCAATGCCATCCCCATCAAGCTACCAATGACTTTCTTCACAGAATTGGAAAAAACTACTTGAATGTTCATATGGAACCAAAAAAGAGCCCACATTGCCAAGACAATCCTAAGCCAAAAGAACAAAGCTGGAGGCATCATGCTGCCTGACTTCAAACTATACTACAAGCCTACAGTAGCCAAAACAGCATGGTACTGGTACCAAAACAGAGATATAGACCAATGTAACAGAATACAGCCCCCAGAAATAATATCACACATCTACAACCATCTGATCTTTGACAAACCTGACAAAAGCAAGAAATGGGGAAAGGATTCCCTGTATAATAAATGGTGCTGGGAAAACTGGCTAGCCATATGTAGAAAGCTGAAACTGCATCCCTTCCTTACATCTTAGACACTTTATAGAAATTGCAAGTAGCCCCATATGCCTTGAGCTTAGTGCTTGTGGATATAGTGGGTTCATTTGGGTCCATTTCTCCCAGGCCCAGTTCTTCATGAAGTATATGACACTACCTCTGAATATGACAGAGCAGAATTCTACTTGGGGCTAATATGAAACACTGAGAAGTTACCATATTCCTTCCAGACCTAGAGGTGAATATGGTTTGCATTTTAAGTCACCTCAGGGATCCTGGAAAGTTTCAGCTAACAAATATAAACTTTAAATTGAATTTACCTGTAGATGGTAATCTCGATTCTATTACACAAAAGCCTCTCCTATATATTAATGAATCCTAGGAACCCATTTTTTTAATGTGTCAAGCCTGTTCCTTAGCAAACTATTTTCTTGTTAAGTTTATGTCACTTAACTTTATTAGTAGCTTAAAGTGCCTTCTACTTTCTAAAACACACATTCCACGCTCAAAGTAACACCTACCAGTAAGTGAGCAAATATTCTTAGTTTCTAAAATAAAAACTAAATGAAACTTCCCATATCTACTTAACACTCTCTAAAAACTAAGGTACATGCTCTCATTTTATTAGGACAGGTTATGACTTGCTGGTGCAAAGAGCTGTTAAGGTAGTTCTTCTCTATTTTCTATTAAGAGACACTCCTCATACCAGCATCATGAAATTTATGAATTTGGTCACATTTTTAGAGGTTTTCTACAAGCTGTTCAATTTGAATTATTGAGTTAGTGACTGATGTTCATGTTTCAAATCCCTTTTTTCCATTTCAATATTCTGGCTGATGCTACATAGCCTCTTCCTGTATTATTGTTCTCACCCTATTTCACAAGCTCCTGTGCCCAATATCCATTCACTGACTCAGTTCTCATTTTGTTTTCCAAGTAGGTTAAGCCATAGACTGTTGTAATTTTTTAAACTTTTAAGGTACATAGTAGGTGTATATATTTATGGGGTATATGAGATACTTTGATACAGGCATACAATGCATACTATGACATCAGGGTAAATGAGGGTATTCATCAGCTCAAACATTCATCCTTTCTTTGTGTTACAAACAATCCACTTATATCTTTTAGATATTTCTAAATGTACAATAAATTATCGTTAACTTTAGTCTCCCTGTTGTGCTATCAAACACTAGATCCTATTCATTCTAACTACATTTTGTACCCATTAACCATCCCCACCAGAATAGGACATTGATAACCTATCAAAGCCTAATAAAAAAAGTGTAATAAACCTAAATGTATCACACTTAAACTGTTTGCTATCAAATACTGGATCCTATTCATTCTAGTTAACTATATTTTGTACCCATTAACCATACCCACCAGAATAGGACATTGATAACCTATCAAAGCCTAATAAAGTGTAATAAACCCAAATGTATCACACTTAAAAAATTATTTGCTATACTGATGATGTGTAGTTATTAAAAAATGGATTCCTGAATCAAACTGCTTCGATTAAAATCCTAACACTGATCTTCTCATCTACAAAATGAAGGCAATAATTGTGCCTACTTCACAGCATTGCATGAAGATAAACCACATAATACATTTAAAAAGTTTTAGCATTATATCAGTGATTGGGTAAACAATAAATTTAGGCATTTTATTTTTTGTTATTTTCATTTCTTGGCTGATTTTTTTCTTGTACTTTTATCTATTTCAAATCTACTTTATGTTTACTTAATTATGCCAAATATAAAATCATAAAGAATAGAGAGGTGTTGTTAATAAGTTGAGTAACATCTATTCTAATTTTGATGTGACATAAAGCAGAAAAGAAGAAAATACCCTTTTTTAAGAGAAGAACAATATATAAAAGTCACACTGTATAAGAAGTCTGTCCTTATGTTAAATGACATAAAGTTAACATGGAAATATTATGCTAAGGCTTGGCACATGAAAAAAATGGGTTAAGCATATTTGTGAAAATTGGGAACTAATGTTGTTTTTCCCATTTTGATAAAAAAAATTAGTAAAGATGTTTCTAATGGCTAGAAGGCATATAGTAGACTTTTATATCTATTGTATAGGGATTGGGGGCACTGGATACTAGTGAGCTCCTGACAACTTTAAGGCAAAGGCTATATGGCCAGTCTTACAGCAACTAAGATGGTCAAAAGGAGAAACCATGACAGGAAGGGAGCACTGCAGCCTTCCCAGCGTGCAAACACAAGCCCATGTTAAATAATGTAATTCTGATGCTCTGCACACTGGGATTTTTCTGATCCACATATTTGATGAATAGTGGAAGAATTCAAAATTACTCATTAAGAACAACCTCATTGATAAATATGTATAAACAGTAGAGACATAAAAATAGAGTTGAATTTAGAAGACAGTAGTGAAGAAAAAAGAGCTGAGCCACTAGTACTTATATTGACTGCCTTTGGCCAAATGCTGTCTTCCTTTTTGTCTTTGTTCCTACTTTACATGTAGCTCAGAGACTCAGAAAAACATTCACATGTCAATATGTAGAAGAAAAATTGATAAAGCTATATAAGAAAAAGACAACACTAATCTGTGGCTTGTAAATTACGGGATTTACGTGGTGTTTAACTTGAGAAACAAAAAAGCTATAGGGGTGGAAATCTAATGTCTGATGCTAGACAAATTGTAGAAATTAATTATGGCAACATAGGCAAATACTATTGGAACAGAATATTCAGAATCTTAGACTATTAGCCCAGCTGTGTCTGTTACAAAAGTTGAGAGAAATAAGAGGCAACAATTACTTTTATCAGTGACAGCGTTGCAAAGATGTAAGGATATAGAATCCACGAATGATGCTTAGAATGCCACAAACCATTAAAGCAAATTTATTTATTAGCTTAGACTTTCAAAACCTTTAAAATAGTCAAACATTTCCTCATCAGTAGATGACAATCAACTTCTATTCCAGCTTGAAATCTAAAATTTTATTTAAAAATATCTCAGAGTTTTAGCTTCAGGAAGTGCTTATTATCTGCCACATTAGTCTAGGTTATCAATCTAATTAAACTGCATTTCAAAATTTTCTCTTGCAGTTTTCTGAGAAAATTCTATTTGTCTCTTTTCTTTGCTCATTTGCTCTAAATATTTCTTTCCATCATCATCAATCTGCAAAATTACTATGCTCACGCTTTGTTGTGAATTCTTAACTAGAGAAGAAGGGGGTGGTGAGTCTCCACTTTTAAGATAATCTGGTTGTGCTTATACACACATTTAGAGATCAAAATTGAGTCCATTTAATTTAAAACAATTGTAATACATAAGCAAAGCAAGCAGAGAATGAGAATACTTTGGGGTAATTAAGAAATCTTCCTATCCCAGCACTTTGGGAGGCCAAGGTGGGCAGATCACATGAGGTCAGGAGTTGAGACCAGCGTGGCCAACATGGTGAAACCCCATCTCTTCTAAAAATACAAAAAATAGCCGGACGTGATGGCATGTGCCTGTAATCCTAGTTACTCAGGAGGTTGAGGCAGGAGAATTGCTTGACCCCAGGAGGCAGATGTTGCAGTGAGCTGAGATCATGCCACTGCACTCCAGCTTGGGTGACAGAGCGAGACTCCATCTCAAAATAAGTAAATAAGTAAATCTTCCTGAAAGACAATCATTTTGAACAGGAGGCAAAATGACTACATAAAAAGCAGACTAAAAAGTTTAATACAAAAAATTTAATACAACTTCATTTATTTATTCCTTAAATATAGGTTTCCTGCATGACACTCATGAGTCTTTAACTTAAAATGTCATTGAAATGTTGTAAAGCTAAAAAGTATACATTGTTACATAATTTTCTAATTCAGAAGTAGTTAACTTTGATTCCATTAATGGGACTTCAGGGCATCCGTGAATCTGCTAAAATTATATGCAAAATGTTGTGTGTATGCAGGGATGAATAATTTATGGAGAGATATTTCATTGTATTCATCAATTTAATAAATGTGGTATGACTCCCTAAAATATTGAAGCCACGTTTTTAGAACCTATGTAACATTTTAAGTAAGTCAGAATCCATACCTGTGATCATATCTCCACATACACTAATTTGGACTTGATAATTCATTACATATGCATACGGTGACATACATCAACAGTTTAGAAATTTTTCTGATCATCTGGGGTAGTTTTTATTTTTCATAGGATATTTAGCCATTTTAAAATTTGAATACACTTCTACAAAAATCTGATTTATTTCATATCTCAAAATAAACATCTAAATATGTTAGGAACCATACCAAATGACATGAGCCACCAAAACAAGAAGAAAAAGTATATAAGGACTTTTACTAGTTCATTTCAATATGACACGGTTTTGATAAGTAATTACCAACGTGGATATACTCTTTGTCCAATTCCCTCAATAAGGGATTTCATGAAAAATTATGTCTAATGGTTGTTTCTTCCTCGCCTCCTTCTAATACTCTTGGGAATATGAGCCAGGAATTTCTGCCAAACCTCTTAATAGCACCTTCACCATAAGATTGTCAGAGCAGAAGCTAAATCATGTACATTAAGCATTATATCAATAAATGCCATGTGGAAGCTAAAACCTCCATACTGCCATTTAAATCCTTTAATGACCTTCTCCTTGCTCCTGGCATCTAGACCAAGTGAACACTTTAACCACTGATTTCTGATCCATGCATTCTCTAATGCAGCCTTCTGTGATAGTCTCATTTTCTCCTCTTTATCAGCTATGTTCTTGGCCCCTTGGATTATGTTGAAACCATTGCACATGTACATATACGTGTTTAAAATAAATGAAAGCAAGCCATTATTGCACATTTCATGATACCACCATTCTCAGTTGAGTGCCACTATCTTCTTCTCCGCTTTTTGTTTGTTGAAGAATCTCTTTTAAATAAATAGCCAGAGTTCCCCATTGATAATAATTATTATATTTTATTTTAGAATCCATAATAATATATGCAGAATCACATTTATTTCTAAATGTGAAAAAATATATACATACCAACAAAACATGTAAATACATATAATTGCATATGTGGCAATATAATGTTGACTTTGCAATTAGAGTTGTATGATTCTTAAATAATTCATAAATATTGAAAATGTGACTGTTTGCCTTAACTTCTGGCTTCACAATTTTGTTTTTGGAACTCTCTAACCTCCAAAATGTTAATTGAGTATAAAAGAGTAATTATAAAGTCCTTCCAGCAAAACTGAGTGTATTAGCTTCATTTATTAACTCTTATTTATCTTTTATTTCTTTAACATTTATTTAGCTGTTCGCCAAGCACAGCATGTTATAAATTTAAAATCCAGAAGAGATGAAAAGCAATGTTAGAGTGATTTTTTTTAAAACAGAGATATGATCACCCTTCCTTTTTTAGTTTCTTTAGTAGCTCATAACTCTGGCCTTTGCACATACTGTTCCTTGTTCTAAGTCTATTCCTTCACCAAACACCACTTTCCACTTCCCTTTCTAACTCCTGTTTGTAATTCAAGATTCTCTCAACCTTCTTCTGACTCCACAGTGACTCCTCTTGGTATTTCCTTTGTTCCCTGTGCAGATTTTTAACGCCGAAATGCCATTTTTATCACTTGTCTGGATCCCCAATTAAACTGTACAACTTTTTAAGTAATAGGCTTTTTTACACTCCAGTGCTAGTTGCTAGGAATGTTGAATAATGAATGAATAAATAGACTGATAGATGGAAAAATGATTGAAGTGGACACAATAACAGAAATAGTGGCTGACAGTTTAACATTAATGCAATGATGAACAGATAAAATACGAAAATGCCACATAAATGATGAATGCTCTTGACAAAAGCCGGAATATGATTTAAATTATAGCCCTCTTTTTCTATTTAAAGAGGGGAGAAGCACTTACATTATGAAAGAAGAATTTTGAAAAAATGATTATAAAATAAATGACAAGGTTATTGTTAAAGAAACATTCATCTGCAAAATTCATTTTGTTCTCCAACAATTTTTGACGAGTGTGTACAGAATATGTATCTATATGGAGACTTGTTCTTATGCCTGATCTTATGACATTTGGTAGGTAGTAGATCGAGGTACCAGTAGTATTGTTATATTTAAGAAAAGAATTTGGGTGGTGAGTGAACTCTTAAAGAAGAAAATGTAATAAAAAATCACCAAGAGCTAATTTAGCTAAAAGATATTTTTCTTTCTTTAGCATTGATGTCTTATATGACAAGTGAGCCTACTCAGAATACACATACATGTGTCATTCCTTATGTCAAAAAAATATTATTCACTATGTACTTATGTTTCAGCTTAACAGTTGTCAGAATATATAGCACTTCTGGTACTTTTAAAAAATATTTTTATTTTATTGGTCACCTAGGCTAGAGTGCGGTAGTGTGATTTTGGCTCACTGCAAACTCCGCCTCCCAGGCTCAAGCGATCCTCCTGCCTCAGCCCCCTGAGTAGCTGGGATTACAGGCACCCGCCACCATGCTCCACTAATTTTTGTACTTTTAGTAGTGATGGAATTTCACCATGTTGGCCAGGCTGGTCTTGAACTCCTTACCTCAGATGATCTGCCCGCCTCGGCCTCCCAGAGAACTGGAATTACAGGCATGGGCCGCCGCGCTCAGCCACTTTATTTTTGGCAATTTCAAATAAGAATATTCTGGGACATGAATCAAATGAATGTAGATTGTAAAGGGCCTTAAATGCCCCTAACTAGACCCCTGATTCTGATTTAGAAAAGATAGGGCCCCTAGAGAACACAAAAATTAGTGAGGCTTGTGAAAGGCTTTGGGGGACCATTTTCAGTGTTTTTCTTTTTCTTTAGCAGAATGCAATATACAAAGAAACAAAAATGATAAAAATGTGACAGGTTTTGCAATGCTTTTCTAACTCCAAGTTTTACTTACAAAAGCTCATTTTATGTAAATTTACTTCTACATGAGTAGTTATAATTATATTCAAATTTTGCAGTGAAGTTTTGAGAAACAAACACAAACAAATTAGAGCCTCAGGACTGAAACTACCTCTCCACAGTGGTGTATAATGAAAAAGAATAGATGGTGAGATTTATGCAGTGAGACAGACAAAAGCATTATCCAGGATGGCAAACACTGGCAAAGCTGAGATTAAAAAAACAAAATCGAAACAAAACAAAAAAGGGGAATGTATGCATGAAGGACAAAACACAGTTAAAAAATAAAAAGGAAAGTCTTTTAATATGTGCATTTTTTGCAAAAATAAAACAATTCAATTGAATTGCAAGGGTGGAAGATGACTGAGAATGTCTATCAAACAAGAGGTGGTCAATGGAAATTCAACATGCAGTGTTCATCTTTACAAATAACAATATAGCGGAGAGGTAAATAAATGGACTTTAGGGCCAAATCACCTGTTTTGATTCCTGCTTTGCAGCTTACGAGTTTTGTACACTGGCCAATTCGCATCATCAGTCTTGCCACTGTTTATTCATTTGTACAATGTAGATACTGCTAATATATATTATTACTAATATGCTAATAGGATTGTTATGGACAAAACACATTGAGCAGTGCCTGCCACACAGCAAGCACTGTATACCCATTGCTGCTATTAATTTGAGGCACATAAAATACTTTAGCATGCTGTATTTATTGAGTTTCTTTGATATTATTTTTTCTGTTCCTTGAAGTAATTAGTCTTTTGTATAGGCGGCCCTTAACTTCTACAGCGCTCCTGGGAATATCCAAATACAGATTTCTTGAGTGTTACACAACACTGAATTCATGGAAATTTTTATGTTATGGAAGGAGACATTATTATAGTTTAAATTTAGAGATGAGAGAATGTTGAATCACATCTTAGTTCACCAGGTAGGCTAGTATGTGGTTGACAACCATGAAGCAAATAGCACAGAGCAGAAAATAACCATCACACAAGGTATTTCCTTTTTACTCTCCATGAATTTGTTACAAGTTAGAGTCTTACTACTTCATGGTTATGTTATTATTCCACTATGTATTACATGACAATCTCTCTCTGTCTCTGTCTCACCCACCCCCACCTTTATCTTCTTGTTTCCTCAATGCGCTGTATTCAAAAGATCCCAAAGACAGTTTTACTGAAGTCTTATGGAAAGAGTCTGTGGGGGTGAGGAGGGGAGGCTGGAGATTGCCATACAATACTTTTTAGAAAAGTCTTTCCCTGAAGCTTTGCTATTCTGAAAAGCTGCTTAAAGTTCTCTGTTCTACCCCCAAAACTCCTGGCCCCTCTCTTGCCAGGCTCCTAATTCTTCATTCCTGCAAGAAGCATCACGCACTTTTCTATGGAACTAAGCTATTTTGTCTGGACCTCTTTAATTCTACCATCAGGAAGCTGTTGCAGCAAATCCTTAAAAGAGATGATAGCAATTAGAGCCATGATACTGACATTAAGGATGGCAGTAAGTGATAGATGAAGTGTTTAAAAAATAAAATTCAACTCTTTAATGGTCAATTGAATATGAAGAAAAAAGTTGAAGATAAAATTGCTAAGCAGATTTCTGGCTTCATAGCACATTAAGTATATTAAAATGTATCCCCTGCCTACATTATATATAATACTTGATATAAACAGTTATTTATAATAGCTCATTGAAATTTATTTATGAGCAATTAAAATGCAGTAATTTGCCCACTGCACTCCAGCCTGGGTGACAGAGCGAGACTCCGTCTCAAAAAAAAAAAAAAAATACCGTAATTTGTATTTGGCTCTGATTTCTCTCAAATCACCATGCACATGTAGAAATTATTGCAAAGTAAAGAAAATCTAACGAACAACTAGTTTTCAAATGTAATAGAAATATTATAAATACTAAATCTAACAATAACAAGGTTGGTATAAAGTTATATTTTGTTGATCATTACATTTTTAATAATATTTATTTTGTAGTTTTGTTTTCTTATTGCTGAGCGAATAATACTTTTTCTGGTTTCAGAAATTTTAGAGGCTCCTAAAAAGCACGTAGTCCCTGGGCACTGTGCTTATAGTTCTTAAAGAATAAAACAAACCAAATTTTAGCAAACATCAAGGACTTGGTGTCACCCATAGAGCCTTTAAAGAATTTTTAGGAGACATGTATTCAGTGGACTGTGCTGTATTTATGCCTAGAAAACCCATATGAAGACTTGCTGACTTTTTGATGTCCTCAGGGAGATAACCATCCTTTTGAAAACTTCATAGAGGAAACCATCAACTTGGTAGATATTATTAAATTATTGTTATTTTAAAATTAGAATGTATATAGAAAAATTATTCTTGAGATAAATTAGTGTAAATACATATGACTTATATTCTCCCTCCCCAGAGCTTTAGAAGTTTGATTCTCATTTAAGTTCAGATATACTTCATCTTAAGCTACACCTGTCCTCTGGCAAAAAGTTGCCTTTTGAAAGGCCACAGATGAATAATACAAAATAATACAAGTCATTTCCAGTAAAATATTAGATTGTTCTAAATTTGTAGGTAGAACACAGAGCTATCAGCAATTCTTTTGAAAGTGAGTTACAGGTTGCCTTACAATTTCTGATGGCTCATCATTTACACCAAAGAGAACAAGTTAAGGAAGAGAATCTGTATACACACACACACACACACACACACACACACTCTCTCTCTCTCTCTCTCTCTCTTTCTGCCTCTCTCTCTCTCTCTCTCTCATACTCAGTGTAGCAAGTAGATGTGACATGATGACAATGATTATGAGAACATAATTTGAATTGCCCGGGAGAGTTTATAAAATACTTTCTCAAGCATAATCTCATTTAATCCTCTTTCTAACCATGTGATGAAGGCAATGCTTAACAGATTTCTAACTAATTTGTTCATTTACATGACACTCAAAGCAGAGTTAACCCAGGTTGTTGAGGTATTGATATACTTACAATAGCAGGACATGTGATTTGCAAAGTTTTACTTCACCAAGAAACATGAATAAATGGTTACAAATATTTTGAGGGAAGGTAAATGAAAAGACTGACTATAATTCTGTAGTAAAGAGAAAAGTTATGCGATTTTTAAAGTTAATTATCTCCTGATTGTTATCAGATGAAAGCTACTTGAAAATAAAGCAAGAGAAATTATGATGAGATTTTACCCCTGCGTGACAGTATTTTATTATTTTTCTAATTTAGACATGTATTATGATAAAGAGGAACATAATAAAAATTCATAGAAGTATAATATATGTGGGTCAAATATACCAGTTTGGCAGATCGAGTCATTATAATATGGAGGACCTATATTATATAATGAGCTCAATTTATTTAACAAATAATTTTGAAAAATACCCTTCTGTTCAGGAAGATGCCTTTCTTTCAGCACCTAAAGAATATGCATTTATGCATTCAGTCAATGATTCTATATTAGCCCATGAAGAACATTTCAACTGAATTTGTGTGAAGAAGGAGGGTGGTGATGTTGGGGGTGTTAAGTGGGGCTTTGTTAGCTTATTACATTACAGAATTTATTAGCTTATTACATTACAAAATTGCTTTATAAAATATTGACATATATGACCACATTAAAATTTAAAACTCTTGAAAGTCAAACAGAAATATAAGAAAATCAGTTATGATATACATGACACAAATGAATGGTAGCCTCAATATCCTTAAATCATAAAAAAATCTATAAGTCTATTTACCATTCTTTCTCCTTCATTTATTCATTCTACAAGTTGTATGATATTTTACTAGACCAGAATTTGGCAAACTTTTTTTTTTCCTGTAAAGGACCAGATAGTAAATATTTTCAATTGTGCAAGCTATAAGGTTTCTGTTGCAACTACTCAATTCTGAGTTTTAGTGTGAAGCAGCCATAAATAGTACAACAAGTGATGGCTATGGCTGCATTCCAAAGAAATTTATTGACAGAAAGAGGCACCAGGCTACATTTGACCCATAAGCTGTTATTTGACAATCTCTGGTTTAGGACATAAAAATAAAGCTATGAGGAAAACAAAGTCCCTGCTCTCAGAGAACTTTTATTCTAGTTATGAGACAAATAATAAATAGGTCTACACATGTAAAATATTAAATGGTGAAGATATGCTGTATAGCTGAGTAATGAAATAAAGGATAAAGACAAAAGATGAAAAACAGGTGAAAAATGAAAAAATGGATAAAAATACAGAACTTAATCTGTCAGAAACATAAGATGCTGAAAAATCTTAACATCATTAAAATCAAAGAAGTTGAAACAACATGGCAGTACAATTTCTCATCTGTTGAAATAGCAGTGACTAAAGTGACTGATAACTCATAATGTTGTCAAGGATGTGGAGAAAAGGGCATTGTACTAGTTCATTTTCACCCTGCTAATAAAGACGTACCCAAGAATGGGAAGAAAAATAGATTTAATGAACTCACAGTTCCACGTGGCTGGGGAGGCCTCACAGTCATGGTGGTGGCAAGAGAGAATGAGGGAGAAGTGAAAGCAGAAACTCCTTCTAAAACCATCAGCTCTAGTAAGACTTATTCACTATCATGAGAAGAGTATGGGGGAAACTGCCTGCATGATTCAATTATCTCCCACCGGTTCCCTTCCACAACATGTGGGAGTACAGTTGAAGATGAGGGGTGGGGACACAGAGCCAAACCATATAATTCTGCCCCTGGCCCCTGTCAAATCTCAGATCCTCACATTTCAAAACCAAGCATGCCTTCCCAACAGTCTCCCAAAGTCTTAACTCAAAATCCACAGTCTAAAGTCTTATAAGAGAGAAGGCAATTCTCTTCTGCCTATGAGCCTGTAAAATCAAAAGCAGGTTTGTTACTTCCTAGATACAATGGGGGTACAGGCACTGGGTAAATACAGCCATTCCAAATGTGAGAAATTGGCCAAAACAAAGGGGCTACAGGCCCCATGCAAATCCGAAATCCAGTGGGGCAGTCAAATCTTAAAGTTCCAAAATGATCTCCTTTGACTCCATATCACACATCCAAGTCATGCTGAAACAAGAGGTGGGTCCCATGGTCTTGGATAGCTTCACCCCTGTGGCTTTGAAGGATACAGCCTCCTTCCAAGCTGCTTTCACAGGCTGGTGTTGAGTGTCTGCAGCTTTTCCAGGCACACTGTGCAAGCTGTTGGTGGATCTGCTATTCTGGGGTCTGGAGGATTGTGGCCCTCTTCTCATAGCTCTACTAGGCAGTGCCCCAGTGGGGACTCTGTGTGGGGTCTTCAACCCCACATTTTCCTTCTGCACTGCCTTAGCAGAGGCTCTCCATGAAAGCCCTGCTGCTGCAGCAAACTTCTTCCTGGACATCCTGACGTTTCCATACATCTTCTGATATCTAGGTGGAGGTTCCCAAACCTCAGTTCTTGACTTCCATGCACCACAGCCTCAACACCACATGGAAGCTGCCAAAGTTTGGGGCTGGCACACTCTGAAGCTATGGCCCAAAGTATACCTTGACCCCTTTAGTCACAGCTGGAGTGGCTGGGATGCAGGGCACGAAGTCCCTAGACTGCACACAACAGAGGGACCCTGGGCCCAGCCCATGAAACCATTTTTTCCTCCTAGGCCTCCAGGTCTGTGATGGGAGGGGTTGCTGTAAAGGTCTCTGACATGCCCTGGAGTTATTTTCTCCATTGTCATGGTGATTAACATTTGGCTCCTTGTTACTTATGCAAATTACTGCAGCTGCCTTGAGTTTCTCCTTGGAAAATGGGATTTTCTTTTCATTCTCATTGTCACAGTAACTTTTATGCTCTGCTTCCATTATAAAGCTGAATGCCTTTAAAAGCACCCAAGCCACATCTTGAATGTTTTGCTGCTTAGAAATTTCTTCCACCAGATACCCTAAATCATTTTCTCTCAAGTTCAAAGTTCCACAAATCTCTAAGGCAGGAGCAAAATGCTGCCAGTCTCTGCTAAAACATAACAAGAGTCACCCTTGCTCTAGTTCCCAACAAGTTTCTCATTTCCATCTGAGACCACCTAAGCTTGGATTTCATTGTTCATATCATTATCAGCATTTTGGTCAAAGCCGTTCAATGAGTCTCTAGGGAATTTCAAACCTTCCCACATCTTCCTGTCCTCTTCTGAGCCCTCCAAACTGTTCCAACCTCTGCCTGTTACCCAGTTCCAAAGTCACTTCCATATTTTAAGGTATCTTTTAAACAGTGCCCCACTCTACTGGTACCAATGGATTGTATTTCTCCATTTTCATGCTGCTAATAAAGACATCCCTAGGCTAGATGTGATGGCTCATGCCTGTAATCCCAGCACTTTAGGAGACGGAGGCAGGTGGATCACCTAAAATCAGGAGTTCGAGACCAGCCTGACCAACATGGAGAGACCCGTCTCTATCAAAAATACAAAAATTAGCCTGGCATGGTGGCGGGCACCTGTAATTCCAGCTACTCAGGAGGCTGAGGCAGGAGAATCTCTTGAAACTGGGAGGTGGAGGTTGCAGTGAGCTGAGATCATGCCACTGCACTCCAGCCTGGGTGACAGAGCAAGACTCCATCTCCAAAATTAAAAAAAAAAAAAAAAAAAGACTTCCTTGAGACAACCCTGTGTTAGTCAGGTTTCTCTAGAGGGATAGAACTAATGGAGTAGATATATACATATGAAGGGAAGTTTATTAAGATTAATTCACATGATCACAAGATCTCACAATAGGCCATCTGCAGGCTGCGGTACAAGGAGAGCCAGTCCAAGTCCCATAACTGAAGAACATGGAGTCCAATGTTTGAGAAGCATCCAGCATGGGAGAAAGACGTAGGCTGGGAGGCTAGGCTAGTCTGTCTCTTCACGTTTTTCTGCCTGCTTAGATTCTAGCTGTGCTGGCAGCAGATTAGCTTGTGCCCACCCAGATTAAGGGTGGTCTGCCTTTCCCAGGGCACTGACTCAAATGTTAATCTCCTTTGGCAACACCCTCACAGACACACCCAGGATCCATATTTTGTAACCTTCAATCTAATCAAGTTGACACTCAGTATTAACCGTCACAACTGGGAAGAAAAATAGATTTAATGGACTCACAATTCCATGTGGCTGGGTAAGCCTCACAATCATGGCAGAAGGTGAAAAGCAGTTCTTATATGGCAGTGGCAAGATAGAATGAGGGAGAAGTGAAAGCAGAAACCCCTTATAAAACCATCAGATCTCGGACTCATTCCCTACCACAAGAACAGTATGGGGGTACTGAAACCACCCCCATGATTCAGTTATCTCCCACAGGTTCCCTCCCACAACACATGGGAATTATTTATGGGGGTACAATTCAAGATGAGATTTGGGTGGGGACACAGAGTCAAACCATATCAGGCATGAAAACTCACTGCTAGTGGATCTGAGAGGATTCAAAAATATACTGACATTACAAATAAGCACTCTTTTATCAAAGACTTTCACTTCTTACAATGCCTCCTATAGAAACAAAATTAAAAGGTATAAAAATAAATATGTTAGGATGTTTGCTGTAGCAATATATTTAATAGCAAAGAATAAAAAAATTCATTTATGTATCAATAGAGGATTACTTAAATTATGACAATTTCATTCACTATGTGGCATAGACATTTAAGAAATGTCTATTAGCACTTAACATAATGAAGCTGGTTTTAATATACTTACATGGAAAGTTTCTGGGATAGATCACTCTTAAAAAAAGATTGGTAAGTGTACATAGAAAGGTTCTCGTTTTGTCTTAGAAAACAAAATGAAATGTATTGAAAACTAGTGGGTAAAAAGAGTTTTCAATAAACCGTGTTGCAATAACTAGAAATATATATAGGATAAAATATATAGGAATATATATAGGAAAAATTGGACTCCTATATCATACCATCAGGTAGATTGACGACTAAAGGAAAAGAGTCAATTTTTAAAACGTATAAGTTAGTACGAATTAACATCATTATGCCCTCAGAATAGTGAATTATTTATTTAGCAGGACCTAAGAAGATTACTTTAAAATTAAAAACTTTTTTTAGATCAAAAGATCTTCAGAGAAGGCAATGAGTCTCAACTCAGCAGAATATATTTAGAACATATATAAGCTAAAGGATTTGTTTTCCAGAATAAAGTATTTTTGAAAATCAATAAGAAAAAGATAATCCAATAAAAATAGAAAGATAGAAAGCTATTCACAAAAAAATAGTGTATTAGTCCATTTTCACACTCCCATAAAGAACTGCCCAAGACTGGGTAATTTATAAAGGAAACAGATTTAATTGACTCACAGTTTTGCATGGCTGAGGAGGCCTTTGGAAACTTACACTCATGGCAGAAGGCATAGGGGAAGCAAGACACTTTCTTTCCAAGGTGGCAGGAAGGAGAATGAATGCAGGAGGAACTACCAAGCACTTAAAAAACCATCAGCTCTTGTGAGAACTCACTCACTATCACAAGAACAGAATGGAGGAAACCACCGCTATGATTCAATTACCTACACCTGGTCTCTCCCTTGACAGGTGGGAGAGATCTTGAATTACAACTCAAGATGAGATTTTTGGGTGGGGACATAGCCAACAAATGAACATACAGAAACAAATAAATTCAAATGAACATGCAGAAGTGTTTAACCATGATAATCATGAAAATTCAACTTAAAGTCACAATAAAATAACATTTTATATCCACCAGATTGGCTGACAGTCCCAAATGATGGTAAGATAGTAGAGCAATGGAAACTTTTGTATACTATTGCTAGAATATAATTTGCCTTTTTATATAAAAAACTATTTGTCTTTCTAATAATAATGAAGATAAACATAGCTACTACCAAACAATTATATTTCTAAATGTATAACCGAGATGTGATCCTAGGAAAATTGTTTATAGGAGTAAAAACTGGAGAATAGAGAATGGTCATCTACAGTAGAATGGATAAATTGATTGTGATATATTCACACAGTTGAGTGTCATTAGCAGTGAAATGAATGAACTACAGTTACATCCATTAAAGCAGTACATATAGCAAAATGAAAAAGAGAATATGCTCGTTCTTATTTTCAGTCACTGTTAAGGGAAAATTCTCCCAACTGGCTCTATTTGAGATACTGCTTTCCTTAATATCTAAGTAATGTAATTTAGCTGTGCATTGTTAAAAGGAAAAACAACTAATTGCAAGCTTTGAAGGAACCCTGGAAAAGAGAAAATATATTGTAAAATAACAAAACTTACATATTGGCTAAAGCCCACAGTGCATGTATGTGCAAAGTTCATGCATGCATATTCTTCCCATTTTAAATATATATGTATTGGCATCCTTCTATTGATTTTTGAACATCATTATCCTTTCTGTTGCATTATGATCCCCAGACTTACAGAAACTTGGTCTTTTACATCTTAAACTCAAGAATGAGAATGGTGCCTGGCTTTAAGTTTTCTGAAATTTTCTTTAAGTGGTCCTATCTAATATTAGATGTAAAATTTCTTGTGGTCAGTTACAACCCTTCTCTTTACCTTTATTACACCATCTAACACGTGAGGACTTAGAAGACATTTTAAAAAGAGACTCAATGTGTACTTCTTGGTAAGATTATGAAAGTTTACCACCAAATTCCTAAAGATTAACATATAACTTACCCATCTTCTTGATATTATCTTTCCTCAAAATGTATTCATTCTAGAGCACTGTAAAAATGATTATGGGCACAGGCACAGATTAGAAATTAAAATGGACTTGAAAGACTATGTACTCAAAGTTATATTAAAAGAGAGAAACTATAATGAATGTTGGATCTAGAACTACCACTGCATTTCCTTTGTGCTACTATTCCTCCCTGCTGTCAGAATTTGGATTATCCTATAGTGTCTACAATAATTGTAGTATAAAATAATGCTTGTTGAAATGGTTAAAAAAATCCTTGTGTGAAACAAGAGGTAAAAATTAAGCTAAATGTTAAACATTTGTAAGATTTTAATATCTTTTTTCCACATAGCATCATTTTAACCAATTCAAGCATGATTTTAAGCTACACTTTAAGCTAAAATTTCTACACACACACACTGCAAAAAAAATTAGATAAGTACTTTCCAGAATATTTTCTCTGCTCTGCAGATTTTAATGGGAAAAGCTGTAAATGGACAAATTAATTGAAAAAGAAAGTGCTGGGTAAAACAAAATTAAAGAAATTTCTTAGCTGCAAGACTTTATAGAGCCTTTAATGTGTTACAGAGAATTATGACTCTCTAAAAGTACAATGTAGATTAGGATCAAATAGCGATATAAGTATTGTTCCACAGCACCAGAATTTAGAGATTGCAAATTTTTAAATGGTTGTAAAAATTTTCAATTTACCACACAACAGCCAAACAGGATAGTAATTGGAAAGAACATAGAAAAAAGTGTGTTTTTTGTTGTTTTTTAATAGGCAATATGAAGACATGTTTGAATATCAATGGGCTTGATTCAGAAGAGGGAAAGTAAGAAAGAGGATGAGATCTAGATTTCAAGTGAAGAAGGTGACTTAGAAAGGATTTGGGATTCTTATTAACCTGTAACAAGATGAAAAATAATGTGGGTAAAGATGCATCCAGCTGGATGGTTTTCTTGTTGGGAGGAAGACTTGGGTCTCATCTGATTGCAATTGTTTTTCTTCTTAAGAAGAATGATCATCAGCTGCATGTGTCGGAAGGTTTTTTTTTTTTTTTTGGAGAAAAGTTATGAAATTATCATCTTCAAGTGTTGGAAAATTAAACTTACTAGAAGCATGGTACAATTTTCTCAATATAAATGTTCATCCATGATTTGGAGAGATATTTTGAAAATGGGTGCCATTGGCAAGGTTCTGTTATTTGGGGCCCTGTTTGATTGGGTGCAGGTGTAGAGAATGCAAATAGTTTGTTATTGATGAAATATTGCCAAGAAAGTAGAAGAGGAGGAAAGAAGGGGCAAATAAGTTAAACTTTTTGTAATGAAGAGTTATAATGCCTACCTAAAATTTCTTTGGTAAAATGGGAATTGAGGGCTTGAATGGTGGGAAGAAATAGTGAAAAACTGGTAGGAGCAATAGATGTAAGATTTCCATTGTCATCAAATTGCTACCATAAGGGTACCAGGATAAATGATTTATTATGCTCAGGCAGGTTACAGGAGGTAACTAGGTTATATATAACCATATTTCTTAAATGCCTCATCATCTGGACTCAGTCATATTGAGCAAAGTATGTTAAATTAACTTTGCAGAAAGCATTGTTATTTTTAGCATAGCATTGATAATTGCATCTTTTGGATAATCTTAGAATCACGGAGAACCAATTTGGAGTCATCAAATTGTAAAACTATTGAATGTTTGGTGGAAAATCAATTTTAAAAATCTCTTGTACATATATTTCCAATACCTGTCTTATTGAAGTGTTAACAAGATCTTTAACATTTCTAGCAAGCAAAGACATAGAAACTAGAAATAAGCTCCACAATACCCAATATCCAGGTGTGTGGTTTTGTTGCTAGGAGGAAGACTTGGCTCTCATGTGATTGCAATTGTTTTTCTTCTTTTGCAGAATGATCATCAGCTGGATGTGTCAGAAGGTTTTTGGAGAAAAGTTATGAAATTATTATCTTCAAGAGTTGGAAAATTAAACTTACTAGTAGGCATGGTAGAATTTTCTGAATGTAAATGTTCATTTGTGATTTGGAGAGATATTTTGAAAGTGGGCCCCATTAGGAAAGTTTTATTATTTTGGGCATTGATTTATTAGGTGCATGTACAGATAATGCAAATAAGTAATATGGTATTAATATGTGTATTATGTTATTGATATTTTATTTATTAAAGGTGAAGTTTTGTTTCATTTTGGTGAATTAAAACATATTTAAATATAAACATAAATTTCCTCTGAAGTTCACTCCTCCAAACCTTCTTGTGGACTTACATCTTAATCTTTTTTATCTTATAAATGTTTCTTTTTTCAGGAACACTGAAAGTTGAACAGAAAATGTAACATCTGATAATTTCAATTATTTTTCAACCACATAATGAAGAACAGATATAGTAGAATATGAAATTAATTTTCAAGTAGGCCAAACTAAACACATAAAAATAGTGAGGAAATTGATCACTTCTGGGAAAGTGATTTCATAGATTTTATGGACTTGCTGCATACTTGCTTGTTTTCTGCCGTACTACAAAGATTGAAAATCAAATACCTATGTGTCCTAGAGGAATTGAGACTGTATTAAGTTTTTAGAATGGAGGGCTTTAAAGAAGAATAAAAAAGATTCTGAATTCTGGGAAAAGATATAAAATGTATTGATAATGACTCTCTCCTTATTTATAGTTATTTAATAAGAATTTACTTAACATTTCAAGATGTTCCTTAAGATTCATTTTATGCACATGAAACTTGTTCAAGTATTCGAATATACTGTGTTTCATTAAGTGTGAAATATATTAACTTAGTTCATTGGCTTTGAGTGAATTTTGTGACTATGCATGTGTCATCATCTCCCTTAGATAGAGATAAGGCTAACTAGATTGGATGGTAATGAAGCCTTAGGAATTTAATAGACTCATTTATATAAATTGGCAAATTATGCAAGGATTCAAGTAAATCTACACCACACAAGTTTAGAAGCTTAATTTATTCTCAGATGTGTCTCCCAATTTGTAACATACTGCAATTAAGAGTCAGTATATGGTGGGAATAAGGTAGTCTTTCTAGTCAGGCAAACTTGGAATAGAATTCATGCTCCATCATTCGTGAGACAACTTACTTGAAGCTTTTGAATATCTATTTCCTTGTCTTTAAAATGAGTATGATTATATATACTTCACAGTCCTTGTGTGAGAATTAAATGAGATACTATAGAAAAAAAGGCCTTGCTGAGTTCCATTTAGGTCTTTCACTATATGTTAACTGGTTCTGAGCAGTCAGAATAGGTTCAGCCACAGTAATAAATCTTTTTTTCTTTTTTTTTTTCCACCCTCCACCTCCCACCCGAGACAGAGTCTTTCTCTATTGCCCAGGCTGGAGTGCAGTGGCGCTATCTTGGCTCACTGCAACCTCCGCCTCCCGGTTTAAGTGATTCTTCTGCCTCAGCCTCTGGAGTAGCTGGGATTACAGGCTCACGCCACCATGCCCAGCTAATTTTTTGTATTTTTAGTAGAGATGGCCAGGCTGGTCTCGGACTCCTGACTTCGTGATCCACCCGCCTCAGCCTCCCAAAGTGCTGGGATTATAGGTGTAAGCCACTACGCCCAGGCCAATAAATCTGTATAGTATTTAATATGTCTCACAAATAAGGTGTTAATCATAAATAGCAAATTCAAATGATTACTCTGACACGAAGAATTCCACAGTAATATGGAGTAATTATCTATACTTATGCAAAGCTTATTAATTATTGATTTTTCTCAAGATATTTAGATCTTGTTCTCTCCAATATTTAGGCTTCCACTAAACCAATAAAGAGTTTAGCCTCAACTTTTGCTTCCTACTGTTGAATTGCATCTTTCAAAGCACCTGGTCCTAAAAACTTGATTGTTAAATTAGCCTTCTCCATTAGATAGCGCTGCAATTCATTCATTTTTCCTATTATCACTTATTAAATTCCCAAGGAACATAAGGCACCTGAGTCTTGGTTACCCTCATCACTCGCCTGAATCGTGAAATAACCTCTTAAGTGTTCTCTTGACAATCCACATTCAACAGCTCAGTTAGTGATTCTCTTAATCCTCAAATCAGAATAGTATTTTCTTCCCACTTAAATTATGTCAATTACTTCTCATTGCATTTAGAATGAAATCTCCAAGTATGGCCTGCAAAGACCTCCATGGTCTGGTTCTACCCATCTCTGCAAGTTTATTTGGATCCATTCCTCCTGTCCCTCACTATTCTTCTGCCACCTGGGTGTTCTTTCAGTTCCTACAACCTAGTGAAATCTATCATACCACAAGGCTATGGCGTATGTAGCTTTCTGCCTGAAATGGTCATTCTCAGGGTCTTTAAATGATCATTTCCTTCTTAGCCTTTAGTTCTGAGCATGAAAAATGTTAGCGCTACTGAAAGATCTTTCCTTATCACCATATCTAAATGAGTTCTCCTCTTGCTTTTCTTTTTTTGGTTTTTTTATTTTATTATCATTATACTTTAAGTTTTAGGGTACATGTGCACAATGTGCAGATTAGTTACATATGTATACATGTGCCATGCTGGTGTGCTGCACCCATTAACTCGTCATTTAGCATTAGGTATATCTCCTAATGCTATCCCTCCCCCCTCCCCCGACCCCACAACAGTCCCCAGAGTGTGATGTTCCCCTTCCTGTGTCCATGTGTTCTCATTGTTCAATTCCCACCTATGAGTGAGAACATGCGGTGTTTGGTTTTTTGTTCTTGCGATAGTTTACTGAGAATGATGATTTCCAATTTCATCCATGTCCCTACAAAGGACATGAACTCATTGAGAATAAAATACCTAGGAATCCAGCTTACAAGGGATGTGATTTTTTATTTCTCAGAAAAATCTCGATGAATTTTTGCATTTAAATTATATAATTAGTACATTCATGAATTACTTAATATCAAATTAATATCATATGATAATAAAGCTCTTAATATTTGATGTATTTACAATGTTAATTTAATTTATCCCATATATGGGTAAGGTATATCTCCCCATTCTTTGGATCATTTTAATTTTTTTTTCTTTTGAGATAGGGTCTTTTTCTATCACTCAGGCCGGAGTGCAGTGGCACAGTCATAGCTCACTGCAACCTTGCCCTCCCGGGCTCAGGTGATCCTCCCACCTCAGCCTCCCAAGTAGCTGGGACTATAGGCACCTGCCCCCATGCCAGTCTAATTTTTGTATTTTTTGTAGAGATGGGGTCTTGCCATGTAGCTCAAGGGGACCTCAAATTCCTGGGCTCCAGTGATCCTCCTGCCTTGACTTCCCAAACTGTTGGGATCATAGGCATGAGCTTCTTTGCCCATCCTTCATTTTAATATCCTTTATTAAAGCTTGAAAATGTTCCCTTTAAAGGTTTTGTTCATTCTTTGTTAATTTAATTCCAACCTGATGTGACCATGAGGTACTTTTTTATACACCCAATATTACTAATTAAGTAATATCAAATGTTAACACAAAAGTGGAGAAATAACTGGAACATGCTGCTGGTGGGAATGTAAATCTGCATGGTGACTCCAGAAAGCAATCTGGAGGCTCTTAGTAACTTCAATATGCATGGACCCTTTGCCAGAACATTTCACTCCTGGGCAAACTAATGCACAAGTCAATGAGGAGACATGACATGCACAAGGATATTGATCCCAGTGTAGTTTGTGACAGTGAGGAGCACAATGCAAACAACAAATACATGACATATGGAGAATGTACACAGAGAGGATGTACAGAATATTATGTAGTAGTTATTAGCAAAAATTTCAGCAACATGGTTAGATCTTTTACAGGTGAAAAAATAGAAAGCTATGAGATCTATAAACACAGTCTTACTTATGTAAATTAACAAAACATACACATAAAATCATATTAAATGTTTTATTTAGATATTATTTGAGGACATCTCTGAATCATATAACCGAGATGAGAGATTAGTAAAGAAGAAAAATAAAAACAAGAGAAGGATCTTGCAAATGTTCTTGATGATAAAGTGTACTGAATTGGAGCATAGCTCATCTATCCTTTGTGCTTAGGATAAAGAGAAAGAACTTTTTGATAGGTTGTACAAATCCTATTGTGGGATAGGGGAGATATGCCAGTCAGTTTGGAGCCTAACAAAACCTAGGTGTGAGGGTTTCTATTACTTTTTTTACTACTACTCCATAATTAGGATGCCTGTCAACCTCAGGTTGAATTACAATTTTCAGGATAACTTGTGGGCAGAATCATACTAAAAGATGGTACAAACGGTTTGAGTACAAATATTTTACCCAAGTCTTTTCTAATACACTATGAGTAACAATACATAAATTGATTATAGATTTGTGAGCTCTAAATGTTAATGAAGTCAACCTTTCCAAAGCTGTTTCAAAATGTAGCTCCTGCCTAAACAGAACTTGGCCTGACCTGAAGTATTGACTAAGGCAGCTTATTGTCTTTGACGGGCATTTTAGCTTGTTTATTTATGATACAATTAAAAGAAAGTTTTGAAGAGAAAAGATAATTTGATGACATATTAGCAGAAATAAAGTAGATTATCAGAGAATACTCCATTTCCCACTTGCCAGTAGTGTCTCCTCTTGACACCACATTTATACACATACCTTTCTCCATAAAGTACCCTAAATTATAATATTCACGAGGCCAGAGCCACATCTATGTTGTTTGCTATTTTTTAATCTTTAGAATGTTGCTCACTAACTAGTACATAACAAGCTCCCATTAAATACTTACTAAAATTGAAACAAATAATTGAGGTTAGGTCAAATATTTAGAACATCTTAACACAATATAGCATTATTACTTAACTTGGATTTATATCTTTAGCATCACATCTTATCATAGACTAAAAACTGCTAAAATTACCATAAATTTAATAGTTAACAAAACTTTGTTTACACTGCTAAACATTAAAGTAATATTGAAAATGGAAGAAAAAGAGTTGTGTTTTGTCATTGGTTAGGACCAACTCTTGGCCACTTTGGTGTTGTCTAATGAATGTATCAGCTGTCAAATCAGTGTAATCACCTAAGCCTAGATGGAGCACATGTTAACAAGCAGTATCAGACCTGTTTGGTTGATATTCTTAGGGAGACTTGATAGTGTTAAAATAACAAGTAAAGTGTAGTAAGTTATGTAGAAAAAGAATCTCACCGCCCCCCCAAATAACAGTAATACAAAAGACCTGAGAGAACTAGATGCTTTCATTCATTGCTTTATTGAATCACAGATTTATTTATCAAATATTTGGGCACCTGCTACATGCCGAGCATTGTGGTTCTTGCTGGGAATACAGAAATGGAAAGAAAGATGGAGTTTGTATTCACATAGAAATTATAGACTAGATGAAGATACAGATGGTTAAGTAATTACAAAAAATAATGTGTGATAGGTACAATTTTAGAGGTAAAAAGACATTGTAGAGTAGATAAACAAGGCGTTTCATCCAGTATGTGAGGTTATAAAACTCCTTCTAGAGGAAGTACTCAATAAGTGAGACATAGAGGTTAAACTGGGTTAGACAGAAAAAAGAGGAAGGAGGAAGCAAAGAGAACAATCTGTATGGAGGGATCAGGCTTGAAGGCAAGCAAGACACGGCTTGTTTAAGCAAATAAAATCTACATTTTTTACTACCTTGTTAAATGACACTAGACAAAGCATATGTGTCTAAAGGAAAATAGTGCTATTTAGTTTGCACAGAAGAAACCATTCGGGAGAAAAATGTGTCCAAAATTCTGAATAAACATGAACTTTCACACCCAATTAAACAAAATAAATCCCAGAAAAAAATCATTTCAAGTTTGCTACCTCTCCCTAATCTCACATGATTTATTTGTTCACAAATTGATCCATTCTAGAAGCAACTAAAATGAAACATTTTCTTCCTAATATACTTGACCCATTTACTAGACAATAAGGGACTATTTGGGTCTTTATCTGCAAAACATATTGGAGAGAGTTGTTTTGATTGTGTGAATCCTTTTTAAAGGGGAAACACTGACCAGCAAATAATTCTTTTATGCAGCTCTTAAAACTTCCCCCCCACCTTATCCACTAGATGGCATATATGTATGTATATACACACACACACACACACACACACACACACACACACACACACACAATAACAACATATTTAATCACAGAGATTATATTCATATAATATGAAACATTAAAGTATACATGCAATACTTCACTTTTTATAATAATTTGACTAGCTAGTGGAAAGACATATATTGGAATTTTTCATTTCGGTCTAATTTAGGTTTATGTCAGTAAATAAAGATTTCTTGGTGGCTTACATAACAACTGCTTTTAAACCACAGATACCATTCCCATAGTAATTTAAATTGTTAATTCTATGATATACATGTTTACTTTTTTGGTTTTTTTATATCTCATTAATTTTAGCAAGGTGGATACTTGCAAATGACATTATGTCATAAATGTCATAAAGTTATTTCAAAGCCAGAGTGAGCTGTTTTCATATATTTTATGCAATCATGATAGCCCTGACTCAGAAATATAGTCTAAACCTGTTTATTTTTCTTTTGTCCAAACCACTCACAGGACTTATTTGAATGAGCAAGCGCTCTCTCCAGGGCTGGGCCTGGAGTGTTCTCCAAGGTGTTCTAGCGGCATAGTTGTTCCTAGTTATTTACAAGGTTACCTCCAACATCACCTCCTTGGTGAGATATCCCATCGTTTGCTTATATAAAGTTTCTTAACCAGTCACTCTCTTATCTACTGTTTGGTTTATTTTCACAAAACGTATGATTTAATCTTGTTTATTAGGTGTTCATTTTTCATACTCCCACCACTAAAATCTCAGAAGTGACCTCTGCCTTGTTCTCCTCACCCTTGTATGCTTAATGCCTACAACAGATTGGAGAGATATTTGTTGAAGAGATCAGTGAGATGTCAGGCCTCCTATGACACTAGCAGGTCATTTTACAACTTCTGAGCCCTTAGGTCCCGTATTAGGCAAGGCCCTTTTGTAAATAAAATGACCACAAGATATTAAATTTTATAAGGCCTTCACATGTATTCATGGAAACAAACAAACCACTTAAATTCTCCTCTATTGCAACAAAATACTTATACAAATGTGTACATGTGTGCTTAAGAGCACACATGCAAGAATGCACTGTCAAACACTCTCCAATTGATGCCTACAAGTTGTGGGGATTATGAACTGAGTCAAATTGTCATGTTGCCAAGTCTCTAGGATACTTCTGGGGGAGCATGCAGTTGGGTAATTTGTTGATTCTGCACACTTGTCGATTCTGTGTTTATTTTAAGAAGGATAACTACATAACTGAGAAAACGGACAAAGTTCTACATGAGCATCTATTGCTCTACTTGGCTCTCTCCTCATCTACTCCTTATTCTTCCCAAAGAAAAGGGGATATTAAATTGTTTAGTCAGAGGCAGAAGCATGTTGAGGCTAGAGCTAGTCTATAGGTGATCAGGTCAGTGTGTTTTTAAAGGAATGATCCCATACTTTGTAGTATTTATTTGACTGCTTCTCTTCCAGGAATCCAGGAGTGTAAGTGGCATCCAAGAGGTATTTTTATTTATGTCTGTCCATCTTCCTCTGTTTTTTTTTTCTCTCTTTCTCTATCTCTTTCTCTTCACTTCCCTGAGTGTGCTGGACACTGTGGTATAGAAAAGACCAAAATTTAGTTTCAAAAGAAGGTTAGAGACTTGATTAGTCATGAGACTCACTGTATAGGTGCTGTCATCTGGTCTTACCATATTTTGTACTGAAGGAGAGTTTAAACAAGGGTCTTAGCTTTGGCTCTTATTTGCCATTTATTGGTTCTTCTCATGTGTATGCCAAGGAAACTCTGTAGGCAGCAGGGGTGACTGGCAGAGCAAAATTTAGAATTTCAGAGCCCTTGGCCACAAAATCATTAAATGCTACCAAAATCCGACCTCTGCCCTCATGCTTAGAATAATGGCACCGTATTTCTGGAGATATCCTTGAAATATACACCCCATTTAAAAATAATTTTTAAACTGCTTTTGGTTTAATTAATGGTTTGTTTTTGTTTGTTTGTTCATTCATTTAGTTTCCTAATTTATTCTCAAAAATAAAACCTCCCAGAAAAAAAAACAGTTCCTTGCACACTCTAGGCTCTTCTATGAGATATTCTCAAAACCAATATTTATTTTTGTCTATGCTTTCTCATTATAGAAAGTAGATAAAAAAGGAAGAAAAATTTCAGAACACACCTAACTTAATTTTGTAACTTATTTATAGTAGCATAATTTCTAATTTATTTTTATAACTCTTACTGATTTCTCTTTTGTCTTATATTCCAAAACTGTCTTTAGATAAATAAAAATTACCTTATTATTTCAGCTCCATACTGTATGTATCCCTACTGTACTAGTCTGCAATCACTCCATATGATGTATTTGGCCCCGTTGCTACTTGAAATCCTTGATCTTTGTTTCCCAGTTCAACATGTTGAGGTTCAGTGATTAATTTTTCTTCTTTTTCTAATGGAAATCAGCACTCTTAGCTTTGGAATATCTGCTAACCATTATTGAGAGTATGCAATGTTCTATGAAGAGATTCGTCCCCTTCTCTATCATCTCCCAATGTTTGCAACATTTATACTTCAAAATAATTTATTCTCTTTTTCTTGGTGTGGATTACTACTCGCAAATATTCTATTAGTTTTTTTCTAGCAGAAAAGAGTTGCATATACTCCTTTCATGATATAATGTTGGTCTTTAAATTCTACCATTATTTATTTTATGAGATCATTTTCAGTCTTTAAATTTTGAGATATTTTAAAACTTTCACATAATCTCAACATCTGGAATGATCTAAGCACTGACTTTCAGTTTCTAGACTCCGTAGTGTTTGGGAGATTGGAGTGAAGAAAATAAGGTGGTTGATAGGTTCAGCCTGGGTTCCAGTACAGTCTGTCCAGCTCACACTGTTGTAATTATCCAACTCTGCAAACAGTTTGAAAGATTCTTTCCTGGGAAAGCATGAATAAAAGGCACATAGTGTATTTACAGGTTTGAACTGCTTTTCCTTTTTATTGTATTAAGATCATGCTACATCCATTCCTTATTCCTTTTCTCAGGACCTGGGATTTCCACCTGAGTCATGGTCTGCATTCAGTTCTTCCCTGTCTGCCCAGAGAGATACACCCTCTAAAGGTGAGGCAACATCTTGTGTCCCTGAAGGATGGTATTCCTTTTGTTAGAAACAAAAGCCATGTTGTTATTTTGATTCCTCTCTTGCCAACTGTGGGGATCATTTGAAATACATTTGATGCTCATTCATAGCATCTGTACTAGCCTCTGTGATGAGTAGTTTTTCTCCTCCTTCCTTTTGTTTAATCTTATTTTCTATTTGTGTAGCTGCTACCTCTACCTTCCTGTTGGAAAATAAATGTGTCTTTGTTTCTAAAATGACAGTCTCTAGCCAAGCACAAATATTAGATTTTTCCCCAAACCCTAGAGAAAGAGCAAGAGAGAGAAAGATATTAGTGAGTTTAGCACCCAATTCAGAATGTATGCTGTCAGGAAAATAAAATATGTCTTCAAAGAAAATTAAAATGTAAAAAATGTTCACAAATACCAACTAATAAATAAAGCTGAAAGAACACTGAAATAATTCATCAGCAAGTCCATGTCAACTGCACTCTCATGGCTAACTTATCACTGAGAGTGAAGTAAGTCCAGAGTTAGAGGGCCTGGGGACCAGTCATCAGCAGCAGCATTGGCATGTGGTGCCTGGGATGATGCTTCCAGGAGATCACATGAGGCCTCTTATTACATTAGTTTGAAATAATGTACCCTCTAACTGCCCTTGAGGTACTGCTAAACTAAGCAAAGCTTTTGGTCTTCTGCAGGCTTATGAATACAGGATGGCTGTCTCTCCATGGTTTATGTATTAAACAATACTAAACATTGTTGTGTCTCTCCCTCACCAACCCACTCTTTCATTTTGTAGCTCTTCATCATTGGTATAGAATATTGCCACACTTTATTTCTTGGGCTTTGACCATAAACATAATTTTATTCCTGTGTCTTTTTAGAGATAAAAAAGCAAAATAAAAAAGAATACATTAATTCTCTTTTTGAAAGCCAGCACTCTAATCTTTGGAAAGTACGAACATAGAACAGTAAGGTAAAATGAATGTAATTATCTAGTACACTAGGTCGATCCACAAAAATATCTGGCCAGTAGGTGAATGAGAATCACTTATACTTCCTACTAGATATAAATCTTAAGAGTTGAAAGATAAGTCAAGGGTATCATATTCCTCCTGACATTGACTGTTTTTACTGGACATCAATTAATTTGAAACTTTTCTTTGCTATCCATTTATTGTATGAGTGAATGTATGTGTGTAAGTGTGGGTGCACATGTGCAACAGAGGTTGCCAATGGCATGCTCTTGTGCATAATTTACATTATGTACTTCACTGCTTTAGATGTGTGAACTGAGAAATGCTTCATTTGGAGAAGCTTCTAGAGAACAATAGGCTATGGCAAACTCTCCAGAAAGTTATGCAAGCCCTTCATGCTACAGGATTATCTGGCACAAGAACAACATTTATTTAGTATGTAAACACAACAAAGGAAGTCTCCATTTAAGATGGATATGTTATGCTGATATTTTGAAAGGAAACAATAAATTCTAACTTCAATTGAAATAAATTTTGGTTTAGAGTAGTTTTGTATTTATATTTCATTTCTTATGGGAAGATTTACCTTTATGATGTTATCTCCCTGAGACACCAGTTTATAATGGAATAGGCTGAGTGTTGCAAATCAGATCTAAGGATTTCCAGTTATTTATAGCATGTGCAATGCTCTGTTGGCATCTTAAAGTGAAGTTGAACATTAAATATTAGCTTATTGTGTTGTAGCTTATTAGTGTATTGGCACTGAAAATGCACTGCACACATGGATGCAGTTATGATTAGAGCCTCTGTGTATCAACAGAGTTAGAAAGCTTTAGATAAATACATGTAAGAGATCTCAGTGAATTCTTGCCTACTCTGTGCTGGAACACCTTGTGTGTCTTTGGGTATTCCAAAATCACATTTTCCTCTGCCCACATCTCTGTGATTTACAAGAGAAGAGGAAAGATCAAGGTCAGAGCAGCGGTCTTTAAATCTGGAAAAGCCAGATGCTGCTGGTTATCTATGCATATAAACTAGTTTAAGAAAAATTATTAAAATGCTTTTTTCCCAAATGGACACAGAATAAGTCAAAGAATAGAAATTAGTAATAATGATATTTTCAGAATTTTTGTAGAAATAATTATGGTCTCATTTCTCTTTATTTCCCCAAATGGTAAGCATAAATATTATTTTAAGTTGTTCTTTTCATTTAGCCATAGAGTAGTATTCTATTCTCATCTGCAGGTGGATTTCTGGAGCGAACAATCTGCATTCAACCTTTTAAAGATTCACTCTTGATTTTCAAATGAAGAGTTCTCATACACTGAGTAAGAAATATTGTAGCTCTGTGACATCTGAAGTTTCTTCTGATATTTTTCTTCCTGCAATAGGGATACAAACTGACAGGCTTTTGAGACATATGTATAAGCAGATATTTATTTTTACTTACAGACTATTTTTAAAAATGGAATACTATCTTTAGACTGAGTGTGAAGCCTCCAGTTTGACATATTCCCACTAGATCCTGGTGTTTTTTTAATTGGACTATTTCACTCACTTATGTTCTCTCTCTCTCTTGTTCATGTGACCAGTTGAGTTTGAAAGCTTTTGTAGAGCTTTGAGATACTTTTACTTTCCTCACACTGCTCTTTTGACTGGCCTTCAATCATAATATGTAAGAATATAAGAATCATTTTGACTTTTTAAAACTTTTCTCTTCCCATGACTATTTTTAACATCAAAGCAAAAAACACAAGAAAATATATCATGTAGCCTGAAATATTAGCCTCAAAAATAGTTTGTTCCATTTATTATGACTGAATAAAAAAAAATTAAACCCCTCTCCCTCTAATCTTTACCTTCCTTGAATATGATTTCTAAAAAAGAATATAAACTGTGGTTCAAGTTTCTATTTAGAAAATTATTTTATCATCCAAATTTCAATATACAATATTCATTCATTAAATGAAAGCATTTGAGCACCTACTATATTCCAGGAGTAGTAGAGATAATGTTCCTACTTTCAAGAGCTTACATTAAAGTGGGAAGAGATAGTCAATAAACATAGTGGTAGTCTTGAGTAGAAGACAATGAAGCAGGGCACTGAGGCTAGAAAGTGATAAAGGGCTGCTATTATTTGACATAAGATAGTCGAGAAAGGCCTCGCCAATGAGGTGACATTTGAACAGAAGTCTAATTGAATTTTTCTAGGAAGAGGAAACAGACAGAGCAAATGTATGCCTTGAGGCAAAAAATGCTTTAGATGGCCAAATAGGAACAGCTCTGGTCTACAGCTCCCAGCGTGAGCGACGCAGAAGACGGGTGATTTCTGCATTTCTAACTGAGGTACCGGGTTCATTTCACTGGGGAGTGCTGGTCAGTGGGTGCAGGACAGTGGGTGCCATGCACCGTGTGTGAGCCAAAGCAAGACGAGGCATCGCCTCACCTGGGAAGGGAAAGGGGTCATGGAATTCCCGTTCCTAGTCAAAGAAAGGGGTGACAGACAGCACCTGGAAAATCAGGTCACTCTCACCCTAATACTGCGCTTTTCCAATGGGCTTAACAAATGACACACCAGGAGATTATATCCTGCACCTGGATCAGAGGGTCCTATGCCCACGGAGCTTCACTCATTGCTAGCACAGCAGTCTGAGATCAAACTGCAAGGTGGCAGCAAGGCTGGGGGAGGGGCGCCCACCATTGCTCAGGCCTGAGTAGGTAAACAAAGCAGTTGGGAAACTTGAACTGGGTGGAGCCCACCACAGCTCAAGGAGGCCTGCCTGCCTCTGTAGGCTCCACCTCTGGGGGCAGGGCACAGACAAACAAAAGATAGCAATAACCTCTGCAGTCTTAAATGTCCCTGTCTGACAGCTTTGAAGAAAGTAGTGGTTCTCCAAGCACGCAGCTTGAGATTTGAGAACAGGCAGATTGCCTCCTCAAGTGGGTCCCTGAACCCAGAGTAGCCTAACTGGGAGGCACCCCCCAGTAGGGGCGGACTGACACCTCACACAGCTGGGTACTCCTCTGAGACAAAACTTCCAGAGGAACGATCAGGCAGCAGTATTTGTGGATCACCAATATCCACTGTTCTGCAGCCACTGCTGCAGATACCCAGGCAAACAGGGTCTGGAGTGGACCTCCAGTAAACTCCAACAGACATGCAGCTGAGGGTCCTGACTGTTGGAAGGAAAACTAACAAACAGAAATGACATCCACACCAAAAACCCATCTGTATGTCACCATCATCAAAGACCAAAGGTAGATAAAACCACAAAGATGGGGAAAAAACAGAGCAGAAAAACCGGAAACTCTAAAAATCAGAGTGCCTCTCCTCCTCCAAAGGAATGCAGCTCCTCACCAGCAATAGAACAAAGCTGGATGGAGAATGACTTTGACAAGTTGAGAGAGGAAGGCTTCAGAAGATCAAACTGCTCTGAGCTAAAGGAGGAATTTCAAACCAATGGCAAAGAGTTAAAAACTTTGAAAAAAAATTAGATGAATGGCTAACTGGAATAACCAATGCAGAGAAGTCCTTAAAGGACCTGATGGAGCTGAAAACCACAGCACAAGAACTACGTGACGAATGCACAAGCCTCAGTAACCAATACAATCAACTGGAAGAAAGGGTATCAGCAATGGAAGAAGAAATGAATGAAATAAAGTGTGAAGAGAAGTTTACAGAAAAAAGAATAAAAAGAAACGAACAAAGCCTCCAAGAAATTTGGGACTATGTGAAAAGACCAAATCTATGTCTAATTGGTATACCTGAAAGTGACGGGGAGAATGGAACCAAGTTGGAAAACACTGTGCAGGATGTTATCCAGGAGAACTTCCCCAATCTAGCAAGGCAGGCCAACATTCAAATTCAGGAAATACAGAGAATGCCACAAAGATACTCCTCGAGAAGAGCAACTCCAAGACACATAATTGTCAGATTCACCAAAGTTGAAATGAAGGAAAAAATGTTAAGGGCAGCCAGAGAGAAAGGTCGGGTTACCCACAAAGGGAAGCCCACCAGACTAACAGCTGATCTCTTGGCAGAAATTCTACAAGCCAGAAGAGAGTGGGGGCCAATATTCAACATTCTTAAAGAAAAGAATTTTCAACCCAGAATTTCATATCCAGCCAAACTAAGCTTCATAAGTGAAGGAGAAGTAAAATCCTTTACAGACAAGCAAATGCTGAGAGATTTTGTCACCACCAGGCCTGCTCTAAAAGAGCTCCTGAAGGAAGCACTAAACATGGAAAGGAACAACTGGTACCAGCCACTGCAAAAACATGCCAAATTGTAAAGACCATCAAGGCTAGGAAGAAACTGTATCAACTAATGAGCAAAATAACCAGCTAACATCATAATGACAGGATCAAATTCACACATAGCAATGATAACCTTAAATGTAAATGGGCTAAATGCTCCAATTAAAAGGCACAGACTGGCAAATTGGATAAAGAGTCAAGACCCATCAGTGTGCTGTATTCAGGAAACCCATCTCAGGCGCAGAGACACACATAGGCTCAAAATAAAGGGATGGAGGAAGATCTACCAAGCAAATGGAAAACAAAAAAAGGCAGGGGTTGCAACCCTAGTCTTGGATAAAACAGACTTTAAACCAACAAAGATCAAAAGAGACAAAGAAGGCCATTACATAATGGTAAAGGGATAAATTCAACAAGAAGAACTAACTATCCTAAATATACATGCACCCAATACAAGAGCACACAGATTCATAAAGCAAGTCTTGAGTGACCTACAAAGAGACTTAGACTCCCACATAATAATAATGGGAGACTTTATCACCCCACTGTCAACATTAGACAGATGAACGAGACAGAAAGTTAACAAGGATATCCAGGAATTGAACTCAGCTCTGCACCAAGTGGACCTAATAGACATCTACAGAACTCTCCACCCCAAATCAACAGAATATACATTCTTTTCAGCACCATACCACACCTATTCCAAAATTGACCACATAGTTGGAAGTAAAGCAATCCTCAGCAAATGTAAAAGAACAGAAATTATAACAAACTGTCTCTCAGACCACAGTGCGATCAAACTAGAACTCAGGATTAAGAAACTCACTCAAAACCACTCAACTACATGGAAACTGAACAACCTGCTCCTGAATGACTACTGGGTACATAATGAAATGAAGGCAGAAATAAAGATGTTCTTTGAAACCAACGAGAACAAAGACACAACATACCAGAATCTCTGGGACACATTCAAAGCAGTGTGTAGAGGGAAATTTATAGCAATAAATGCCCACAAGAGAAAGCAGGAAAGATCTAAAATTGACACCCTAACATCACAATTAAAAGAACTACAGAAGCAAGAGCAAACACATTCAAAAGCTAGCAGAAGGCAAGAAATAACTAAGATCAGAGCAGAACTGAAGGACATAGAGACACAAAAAACCCTTCAAAAAATCAATGAATCCAGGAGCTGGTTTTTTGAAAAGATCAACAAAATTGATAGACTGCTAGCAAGACTAATAAAGAAGAAAATAGAGAAGAATCAAATAGACACAATAAAAAATGACAAAGGGGATATCACCACCGATCCCACAAAAATACAAACTACCATCAGAGAATACTATAAACACCTCTACGCAAATAAACTAGAAAATCTAGAAGAAATGGATAAATTCCTCAACCCATACACCCTCCCAAGACTAAACCAGGAAGAAGTTGAATCTCTGAATAGACCAATAACAGGCTCTGAAATGGAGGCACTAATTAATAGCTTACCAACCGAAAAAAGTCCAGGACCAGATGGATTCACAGCCGAATTCTACCAGAGGTACAAGGAGGAGCTGGTACCATTCCTTCTGAAACTATTCCAATCAATAGAAAAAGAGGGAATCCTCCCTAACTCATTTTATGAGGCCAGCATCATCCTGACACCAAAGCCTGGCAGAGACACAACAAAAAAAGAGAATTTTAGACCAATATTCTTGATGAACATCGATGCAAAAATCCTCAATAAAATACTGGCAAACCGAATCCAGCAACACATCCAAAAGCTTATCCACCATGATCAAGTGGGCTTCATCCCTGGGATTCAAGGCTTGTTCAACATATGAAAATCAATAAACGTAATCCAGCGTATAAACAGAACCAAAGACAAAAACCACATGATTATCTCAATAGATGCAGAAAAGGCCTTTGACAAAATTCAACAACACTTCATGCTAAAAACTCTCAATAAATTAGTTATTGATGGGATGTATCTCAAAATAATAAGAACTATCTATGACAAACCCACAGCCAATATCATACTGAATGAACGAAAACTGGAAGCATTACCTTTGAAAACTGGCACAAGACGGGGATGCCCTCTCTCACCACTCCTATTCAACATAGTGTTGGAAGTTCTGGCCAGGGCAATCAGGCAGGAGAAGGAAATAAAGGGCATTCAATTAGGAAAAGAGGAAGTCAAATTGTCCCTATTTGCAGATGACATGATTGTATATCTAGAAAACCCCATTGTCTCAGCCCAAAATCTCCTTAAGCTGATAAGCAACTTCAGCAAAGTCTCAGGATACAAAATCAATGGGCAAAAATCACAAGCCTTCTTATACACCATTAACAGACAAACAGAGAGCCATATCATGAGTGAACTCCCATTCACAATTGCTTCAAAGAGAATAAAATATCTAAGAATCCAACTTACAAGGGATGTGAAGGACCTCATCAAGGAGAACTACAAACCACTGCTCAATGAAATAAAAGAGGACACAAACAAATGGAAGAATTTTCCATGCTAATGGGTAGGAAGAATCAATATCATGAAAATGGCCATACTGCCCGAGGTCATTTATAGATTCAATGCCATCCCCATCAAGTTACCAATGACTTTCTTCACAGAATTGGAAAAAACTACTTTAAAGTTCATATGGAACCAAAAAAGAGCCCACATTGCCAAGTCAATCCTAAGCCAAAAGAACAAAGCTGGAGGAATCATGCTGCCTGACTTCAAACTATACTACAAGGCTACAGTAACCACAACAGCATGGTACTGGTACCAAAACAGAGATATAGACCAACGGAAAAGAACAGAGCCCTCGGAAATAATGCCACATATCTGCAAGTATCTGATCTTTGACAAACCTGAGAAAAACAAGCAATGGGGAAAGGATTTCCTATTTAATAAATGGTGCTGGGAAAACTGGCTAGCCATATGCAGGAAGTTGAAACTGGATCCTTTCCTTACACCTTATACAAAAATTAATTCAAGATGGATTTAAGACTTATATTTTAGACTTAAAACCATAAAAACCCTAGAAGAGAACCTAGGCAATACCATTCAGGACATAGGCATGGGCAAGGACTTCATGTCTAAAACACCAAAAGCAATGGCAAAAAAGCCAAAATTGAAAAATGGGATCTAATTAAACTAAAGAGCTTCTGCACAGCAAAAGAAACTACCATGGGAGTGAACAGGCAACCTACAGAATGGGAGAAAATTTTTGCAACCTACTCATCTGACAAAGGGCTAATATCCAGAATCTACAATGAACTCAAACAAATTTACAAGAAACAAACAAACAACCCCATCAAAAAAGTGGGCAAAGGATATGAACAGACACTTCTCAAAAGAAGACATTTATGCAGCCAAAAGACACATGAAAAAATGCTCATCATCACTGGCCATCAGAGAAATGCAAATCACAAACACAATGAGATACCATCTCACACCACTTAGAATGGCCATCATTAAAAATTCAGGAAACAACAGGTGCTGGAGAGGATGTGGAGAAATAGGAACACTTTTACACTGTTGGTGGGACTGTAAACTAGTTCAACCATTGTGGAAGTCAGTGTGTTGATTCCTCAGGGATCTAGAACTAGAAATACCATTTGACCCAGCCATCCCATTACTGGGTATATACCCAAAGGATTGTAAATCATGCTGCTATAAAGGCACATGCACACGTATGTTTATTGCGGCACTATTCACAATAGCGAAGACTTGGAACCAAAACAAATGTCCAACAGTGATAGACTGGATTAAGAAAATGTGGCACATATACACCATGGAATACTATGCAGCCATAAAAATGATGAGTTCATGTCCTTTGTAGGGACATGGATGAAGCTGGAAACCATCATTCTCAGCAAACTATCGCAAGGACAAAAAACCAAACACCGCATGTTCTCACTCATAGGTGGGAACTGAACAATGAGAACACATGGACACAGGAAGGGGAACATCACACACTGGGGACTGTTTTGGGTTGGGGGGAGGGGGGAGGGATAGCATTAGGAGATATCCCTAATGTAAATGATGAGTTAATGGGTTCAGCACACCAACATGGCACATGTATACATATGTAAGAAACCTGCACATTGTGCACATGTACCCTAAAACTTAAAGTATAATAATAAAAAAAAAATGCTTTCGTGTGTATGGAAAATAGCACGTATGTTAGTATGGCTGTGGAAATGGGTAGGAGGATAAATTGGTAGGGAAAAGAGAAAGACAGAGAGAGGGATGAGGGAGGGGTGGATCACATAAGTCCTTATATTCCACGGTAAGGATATGGTTTTACTCTGAAGGAGATGGAACAACCTCAAGAGGATTTTAATCAGAGGAGTAAGATGATCCGGCATCTTGCTTTAAAAGGATCACTGAAGCTTCTGGGCAAATGTATAGCAGGGCAAAGGTTGAAATACGTAGGCTGGTTAGAAGGTTATTAAAATAGTTGAGGTGAAAAACAAGAGTATACCAAAATGGGTAGGTAATTCTGAAGGTAGTGAGTAGTCCAATTATAATATATTTTTAAGTTAAAACTGGTTAGGTTTTCTGATGTATTGGACGTGGGATGTGAGAAAGAGATGAATCAGGGAGACTTCCAGCTTTAACCCAAGCAACTGGAAGGAAAGAGGGGTCACACATTGAGAAGGGAAAAAGTGATGGAGCAGCATGTTGAAAGGAATGTTATTTTGTCTTGTTTGGGGCATTTTAAGTTTGAATTGTCTATTTGACATCCAAATGCTTTTGTTGAATAGGCAGTTGCACATTTGAAACTAGAATTCAGGGTATTGGTATAGCCTAGGCACTTAAATTGCAGTCCTTTTTATTATGTAGATAGTATTTTTTCTTTTTTCTTTCTTTAGCTGTTTCTTCTTTCTTTCTTTCTTTTTTTAAGTGACTAGATCCCTTTATGTTTCTCAGTCTGAAGTGTAGTGTCTATTCATAGGCATGATCATAGCCCTGAACTCCTGGGCTCGAGCAATCCTTCTATATTAGCTTTTTAAGTAGCTGGGACTAGAGGTGTGTGACACTGTGCCTAGCATATAGATACTATTTAAAGTACAAGACAGAAAGATTTCTTAAAAACTGAAAGTTTGAGAAGCGATCTAAGCATGGGCCCCAGAGCACACTAAATCTTAGAGACTGACAATATTATGAAGAAGTAACAAAAAAGACTGAAAAGGAGTGGCCAGTGAGATTGGAGTAGAACCAAGAGACAGGTTTCAAAGAAGCCAAGTGAGAAAGGAATTCAAGAAGAAGGGTGTGATAACCCAAATACATACAGTTAATAGGTCAAGGAAGAGAAGGACTGAAAACTGACCATTGGGTTTGGTAACCTGAGGTTCCTGCATGAGCAGAGTGAGAATGTTTCCAGTGGAATGATTGGAAAAAGCACTGATTGGGGTGGCTCTAGAGAGAATGAGAGAGGAAGTGGAGAGAGCAAGTATAGATTGCTCTTTCCAAAAGCGTTTAAGGAAAACTGAGAATTTGTCAGTTGCATTGGAGAATGTGTGGCCAGAGGCAAACTTCGTACCTATGAAAGATGTAACAGCATGCCAGTGGGAATGATCCAATAGAGCAGGGGGAAATGATTTTACGAGAAAAAAAGGGAAACATTGTAGGAAGCATATATTAGACGAGAGCGTGAGAGCATACAGGTGGAGGAGTTGACTTTAAATATGACAAAATATATAGAGAGTGAGGGCAGATTATGGGTAAAATTTTTGGTAAATTGGAAGATATGACGTTGGGAGGAAATTGAAGTTATTCGCGCATTACTTCTATTTCTCAATTTTCGGAAGAAAGTCCTCGTAAATTATTGTTACATACAATAGTATGCTTAGAAATAAATACCTAAAATTTCGAAAAATGTGAAAAAAACATTATATGTGTTAAATACTAATAATGTCAATAGTATTAAATTAAGTTTTATGTACTTAAGGGTAAAGAGTAAATTCAATTCTCAAAATTAATTACAAAAAAGTGACAAATAATTTTTGTGCTTTAAAGAGATGAAATGAAATAATAATTTTTGCCTATACTTGGGGTTTACTAATAAAAAATCAACTATTTTAGCATTTATTGTATTGTAAGCAACAGGCATACTTTAGCTATGTCTACACAGACCACAGAATCTTTATTTTTATAATGACTCCATAAAATACCTAAACATAATTAGAGTAAGAGGTGACAAATTTAATATAGTTTGAACTTTTCCACGAATTCTGTCAGTTTACAATGCCCTTGATCTGATCACTTTGTAAATTACATACAAATATTTCCATTTCAACAGCAACTGTGGCAGCAAAAAAAGAATGAGATATATTGATTGTTTCCAAATGAAAAAAGTATTTGAAATTTATCTTCACAACTCTTTACAGACAGGTTAAGCCTGATTGATTATCACTACAAGTACCAATAATGTTTCATTAACATTATTTACTTGTTAGGTATATAATTGGATTAAAAGAGCCCATTAGTGGTTAAAAAAAAAAAGTGAAAGTGAAATTTTCACTGGAAATAAATCAGCAGCATACTCTTAGCAAATGAAAGACAGAGTATTACATAGAATTTCAGCAAAATTAGGGGAAAGGTAAAGTTGTTTTAGGATTAAATTAAATTGGCAGAGCACGTATTAAGTAACCTAAATCAATCTGTTTTCTGAGCTAATAAAATATTTAGGGTAATGAGAAAAATAAAAAACATTATGAAGTAAGATTTTATAAGAAATCTTCCTTTAATCCATGTTTCACCTGTTATTGAGACTGTTGTTTTAGCTGAGTTATCACAGCATCAAATTGCCTTCTTCACATTATGCTATATTTCCTTGAATCTACCATTTACATAGATAAGAGTCCACTAATACTATTTGCAATAATCAAAATAAATAGACCTTCTTGTTTGCAAAAGTATACTTCAGTAGAGAAGATACAAAATCTTAATAAAAACAAGATATTTTAGTATTGATGGTAACAAATTTAAAATATGATTTATATCCTCAGGAATAATAATCACAGTAATATAACAGGAATGTAGTTCAACATTGACTTACTGAGTGCTAACTATGTACCAGGCACTACTCTTGCATTGGGGATTCAGGGCTTAAAAACACAAGGCAGAAGTAAATAAATTCTAGGCAGAAGTACAAGAAATAGAAGGGATGAAACAAGTGACATTTCAGAAAGAAAATGCCATTTGAGCTGTTTCTTGACAGATAAAACCAAAAATGGTTAAGAATGAGGAATTACTAGTTCAATGTTAAGTAGCTTATACCTATATTTTATGTACATTATTTCATCAAGTGTGCAAGTGAGGTTGTTGTCTTTGGAGTACCTGCCTCCCTACTCCATAACACCATCCCCCTGCTGCCCATTTTTAGGTTACAATTAAGAGTATCACCTCTAAGCAGACACGTTCAAATCTTGATTATGCCATTGCAACTTTAGACAAATACTAACTTAATCCTGACAAGTTTCACGTTCCTTATTTTTCATTAGGGGTAACAGTTCTATATGAAAGAGTAATAAGGAATACATGAAATATGTAGAGTACTTGGCACTATGCTTCATACATAAGCACTACACATCAGCAATACACAATAGTTCTTGCTGTGTTTCTTCCTCTTTCTCTTTCCAAAATTATTGTTATTATTAAGCCAAGGCTCAAAGAGAGTGTTTTCAGCCACTTAAATAATAGCTACCTGTATCAAATCATGAACTCCCTTCTACTGATTGTAAGTCTCTCTCTCTTTTTTTTTTTTTTTTTTTTACTGTAACATTTTATGATTCCATTTGGAGGCTATTTTGACAGATCAAATTAATTTGCAATGATTGACAAATGTTCAGTTTGGTCTGCTGCCTTTATTTCAATCAACTCATCCCCATACAAAATGGTAGCGTTAGTTGAGAGCAACTGCTCAGAACCTCCTACTTACTCAAGACATAGGACATACATTTCTCGGCTTTGTTCTTCTTTATGGCCTTAAACTCTCTACTCTTTTGCTGACATCCTCTCATCTTCTGAATACAGACCATGTGGTGAATTACAAAGTTCTTTTGGGCTGGGCACGGTGGCTCACGCCTGTAATCCCAGCATTTTGGGAGGCGGAGGTGGGTGGATCACCAGAGGTCAGGAGTTCAAGACCAGCCTGACCAATATGGTGAAACCCTGTCTGTACTAAAAATACAAAAATTAGCTAGGTGTGGTGGTGTGTGCCTATAGTCCAGCTACTCAGGAGGCTGAGACAGGAGAATTGCTTGAAACTTGGAGGCGGAGGTGGCAATGAGCTGAGATAGTGCCACTGAACTCCGGCCTGGGTGACAGAGCGAGACTCCTTCGCAAAAAAAAAAAAAGAAAAAGAAAAAAAGGAAGTTCTTTAATATTGGGCTATCAAGAAAAACCAACAAATACTGATGATTTTATGTGAATCAATAGCCCTCTTTAATCTGCGATAGTCCAACTTCTAGATTTGCATTAGTGAGAAAGGAAGGTGTGGTACTGGGTCATTTAACAATGACCTGTTCAATTTTTGGACAGTAACTGAATGTGTCTTTCCAGGTTTTGATTTCTTAATCTTCATGAAAGATCAGGATTATATTTAACTTTTAACTTTTATGCACCTAATTTCTTTTTATATATACCCTTTCACTGAAGCAGATTCCAATTTCCAGTCTCCAAATGCAAGACAGACTTCTATGTGGTTCTTCTCAGTGCATGGGTGGGATTCAAGGTGATGGAAGAGTGGAGAACACGTGAAAAGTGTTATATCCTGGCTGCAGTTAGACTTTTTACCATTTTAGTTAAATTATTATAAGGAAGTGAAATCCTATCTTTGTAGCTACTTTTAAAAAATTACTGTAAATCATCATTTACATACTATATATTCATTAGAAGAAAGGCTTTATCTTTGATGAATCAATATATTAGCAGTTACAGCAATTCTCTTATAACATCTTTTGTATACATTCATCTCCATACTGCTATTATATCAATCAATTATTCAGAATTATTTGAAGAATGTTTTAGACCAAAATATTTGCAACAAATAACAGTCTTTAGATTGTTTAAGCATGCGTCTTAAAAATAATTATTCACAATTTCCAAAATTTCTGTTTCCTTTTCAGCAGATAAATTACATAAAGGTCAATATTAAATTATAAGAATAAGATACAAATTATACCAGCCTAAACGTTATCTGTGTCTATTCTTTTCAGTTGTAAGATATAGTGTATTGATTATTTGATTGATTCATTAACCCAGTATTTATTAAATACCTGACAAGAACTGTGCTAGGCTCTGAAGAATATAGTAGTGAACAGAACGAATAGGTTCCTTGTCTTTATTAAATTTTGAATGTAACTTACTTTTCTATAAGCCGATTTGTAAAACAAAAACAAAACAAAAACCAGTATTATGCCCTTTCCTGGTAAATATTCAATTACTTCATGAAATTATTATAGTTGGAAAGATATGTTATAAAGAGAAAGGATCAGATGGCTTTTGAGATGAGCTCTCAATGATGGTAACTGTATCTTGGAGATGTCACTGGGGTCAAGGGTTAACCTCTCAGCTATCCCGGTACAGAAACCTAATTAACCAAAAACCTAACTTTAACCGTTCATTCATCATGAGTATAGCTTGGGAAATGTGGATAGATTTTATATATTAAGTATTTCAGGTCTAAATTCAGTGATTGCAGGAAGACAACACCCTGTATCAATGGAGAGTTGTCAATTTTGTATATTTCAGTAGTCATGGAAATGCCTTAGTCGATGGTATGCAGCAGTGTGAATTAGCAGCGCTAATTCATACTCAGCACTTAGGAGTGTAATGGGTGGCCTGAGTTTCTTCCAAGACATTGTTTAATTGATTATAGCTATTAGTGCACAGAGTTATTGCCTGTTAGATGTTAAACACACACACACACACACACACACACACACAAATATATGTCTATTTCCAAAACCCTCACTATTCCATGTTCAAAGTCATGAGATTTGTTTACAGTTATTAGTGTGGTATAGAAACAGTTTTAAGCAGTCCCCAATATTTTTAATGTAACTACACAATGTACATCCTGAATCTAAATGGTAAATGCTGTATTGAGAAACATCATTGATAATCAGAAAGTTGTTTGGGGCACCTGGATTCAAAACAAAATAGTTAAACCATCTTGAGGGATGCTTTATTAAGCCATAGGATAACTATGCAACTATTCTTGACACACAACAGAGAGTGCTGTCCCTGTGACTGAAACACTGCTCTCTACTGGATATAGCATTTCAATATTTATTTAGGCATGTAGTCATTGACTTACAAGTCATCAAAATTATCTTGGAAAATATATATTAACATTCCTCCTTTTTATGAGAATTTACATATATGTTAATATTCTTCCTTTTTATGAGTTTAGCAAATGTTATGCATAATCAATTTAATTACAACTTTTGCTTGGGCAGTGTGGGTTGTAAAACTACCACAGAAAATGTACACGTCGATTAAAAGTCGTATTCTGATTTCAAAAACATTAAAATGGAAATGAAGATGAATAGTACTGTCAAAGTTTTATTACAGATTGATGAAAAAAATGTTAAATAGGTTAAGTGAAGATTATATTTCTCTCACAAGGCAGAGTGTGTGAGTCATTTGCCCTGTGTCTACTCAGCAGTACTTGACTCTTGGGGTCTTCTCGAGATACTTTGTGTGTTTCTGAGCTGGACTAGGTAATAAAGATGGGTCTGGGCTTAAGAAAGTTTGAGAGAAGGAATTTAGACTCAGCTGAGGTTATATATACTTGGTTTTACTTGTTAACCAACAAACAAGTTTTGGTTGACTGGAAAATGGCTTCTCAAAATATTTCCATGTCTTAAACCCTGGAACCTGTGAATACTATCTTATATGGCAAGAAAAAAGATATTTGTAGATGTGATTATATTAATAATTTTGACGAGATCAGGCTTGTTCAGGGTGGTATGGCCGTAGGCTAAATTAAGAATTTTGAGACGGGGAGGTTATCTTGAATTATCTGGGTGAGCTCCAATGCAACCACATGTGACTTAATAAATGGATGCAGAGCAAGATTTGGCTACATGTACAGAAGAGAAGACAGTATGAAAACAGAGCGGAGAGAAATTTGAAGATGCTGTCCTTGGAGACTGAAATGGTGTGCCTACAAGTCACAGAATATTATTGGCTAGGAGAAACTGGAAGAGGCAATGAATAGATTCTCTACTGCAGCCTCTGCAGGGAGCACAGCCCTACCACACCTTGATTTGGGGCATCTAGACTCTAGAACTGTAAGGGAATAAATTTCTATTTTTCAGTGGCACCAAGTTTGTGGTAATTTGTTACCACAGCCAAAATAAATTAATACACAGGTAGTGAAAAAATAGGCACAAGATTAAGCATCCACGAAGGTATAGACGTGGCTCCATGTTGCCTCCCCTCTTGTTTATGCAGGTGCACCTGAGACTGGCTCTTCTTAGCAACTGAGGTGTGTAAGGAATCTGAAAGGTAAGTCAATATCAAACCTCATGTTCTTATTTCTATTGTGTTGATACATTTTTAGATAACATGCAGTTAAAAAAATTGCTAAAATCAGTGGCAAAATAGTTTTTCTTTATTTATTTTCATTAGAGAGATAAGACTATGTCAAACAAAACGGTCTATGGCCTTGGGATTGTATTCTTCTCCATTAGCAAGGAGAGTGTTTCAATATGGGTGAGAAGTGTTGTCTAAGGCAAGTCAAAGCATCCTGCAAAATTTTCCTAAGCTCTGGCATGGGATTACCATGAGCATGGTAAACTACTTAATCTTATGCACATATGTGTAAGAAAGACAGCTGTAGAAGCCGACTGATAGTATGAAGCATCTTTCCCTAAACACCCTCTTTCCCCTCACCCAGTACTACTCTGCCTTAATTACCCAGAAAGTCATACATTGAAATTATCCCCACCTATCTTCAATTAAAGCCATTCACAGTAGTTTCTGTCTCTGGAGCAATATTGCCTAATCTGTATTTGAAAGTCTGGTTAAAATATATTAATAATATTTCAAAGGATGATAATTTTCTTAGATTTAAAACTAAAGATACTCCTAATGACTTCAATTGGAGATCAATATCCTCTTGGTCTCCAGCATCATGTTAATGAAGAAATACTACAGTTCCCTGAACTCTTCTTGCTGCTGGGGGAAAGAAAAGCAATTGGATAGTGAATAACCAATATTACTTCTTTTCCTCTGATGCCCATCTCCCTTATGATGGGTGTGTGCAGCCTTACAATAAGCTCCATTTCTCCAGGAAACTTGAATCAGTCTCCATTCTCTGAAACAAAATGAGCTTTTATTACCAAAAACACTTTCTAGAAAATAATTTAAAAATGCAGAATACATTTTATTTAAAATGAATATTCCCTTAGAAACAAAATGAAAACATGAAATGATTTATATGTTTATATTTAACCAAAATGTTACAACTTTACATAAAAATTTAAAACAAATAATTTAGTCCATGCTTTTCATTGGCTTCACAAAAATCAAGGAAAACTACTCTTTGTATAAACATTTGTCACATAGGTGTGTTTATACATATATATATGTATAAACATTTAACATATGTATGTGTGTATATACATGTATAAACACACATACACATCATAGGTCACATACAATAGTGAACATTAGAACTTAATTTATATATATTATATTTCTATTATAACACTTTTGATAAGTCTTTTGAAATTGCAGATTATTTTATGTTTTATATAACAACCAAAAAAAATTGATGCCAGCAGTCTTCAAAGAATAATATTCCAAGAGGTGAAATGTCCCAAGGTATTTTTTTCTGTTGAATTGTTTAATATTGGTAGACATTCCTGATATAAACTCTATTTTAAAAGATTACTTTATATTATCTTAAAATTTTTATTTAGTAAGTAATCAAAAGGATAACATTTAAATGGAAAATTTTTTTTCACTATGAGTTTTCTATATTTTAATATTGAAAGAAAAAACTCAAAATGTTAGTCATTTATATTCTCAAGCTAGCTCTTATTTTGATGATAGCAATGTCTGTGTCTGGAGCTAGATTTGTCAGGATCTGTAATCAGTTGTATAAAAATCCTTGATGTGATTTTCACATTCAACACTAAAGTTGATCAACCCTTTTAGATATTGTTTTGAAACATGAAGATTTAGCTTTATTGTTTGGGAATACAATTGAGAAATGCAATATATTTGGAAAAAATCATGGACCTCAATAATTAATCAAATTCAGACCTTTTTAATGAATAAAAAGATGCATATAATTGGTCAGATGTTAAAGGCAGCTCATAACATAGTAAAGACATAGGTCTGATATTATTTCCATAACAAGCTATGTACTCATTGTTAAGTTGTTGTGGTTCTGCGCCTCAGTTTTCCTATTTGTAAAATGGGGATGATGAGAGTAAAATATCCATGTCTTAGGGTTGGTCTGAGGATTAACTGAGGCCATCCACGAGAAGCATTAGTACTATGCCTGACACGTAGCAAGCACTTACTAAATGGGTGTCTAATATTATTAACTTAGTGATTGATAATTCTTCCATTTGATGAACACTTATTAAGCATCTACTCTACTTCAGCCACTGATAGGCAGGCATCTAACTATGTTAAAAAAAAATCAAGCAGTACATTCTGGAATATAGGTAGAATGGAGGTTAAAATAAGAAATCTAAAGACTTTAATATAGGTTTTGTCTTTTTCCAAATAGAGTACAGTGGTGTGTCAATTTATGAGTTTGATGTAAGAGAACATGAGATTCTGCCTAAGGATTCTAAGAGGAAGAAAAGACTTTATCAAAGTATGAATGCATAGAAAACAAAAGAGACAGGGAATGGCAAATGAAAGGAAAAAATATAAACCACATTGTTTTCTATTGTATTCTTTGGTATCTATTATTAATGTCTGTTGATAGTTCTATTGGACATTTCACCTCGTACAAAGTGAATTCTCTTTTCTTTGATTTGCTGCCTAGGAGTAACCACCATCACCCAAGTTTACATGTAGCCATTTCATACATTGAAGATGAGTGTTTCAAATATTATATCTATATCATGGACTTAACTGAGCCATACCATGTGAGAATGTGGTATAATCTATGAAGCACACACAAATGGTAATTATTTTTATACTTTAAAAATCTACATATAAAGATATCTGTACCCAAAATAATATTTCTTGAAAACATAAATATACCTCATTCACTTTTATTTCCTTAATGCTCTCCCAACACTGCATGGATATTTGATGAATAAGTAAATAAGCACATGCTTCCAGCTTCCATGCTTCCAGCAGTGCAGTGACTGAAAGACTGTGGGACATCTCGTAGCCAGCTTCACTTGCTGTACAATGTGACCACTCTGTGACCAGTGTGCCATGCAGATAAAATCGATTGAAATGGAGCATGGCTGAAACTACTTTGAATATGAATGGAATTAATCGGCAGGACAAGTACATGAGCATTGATAGAAAGCATCAGTTATATATTTTGCCAAGGTAATGGAGTCAGTGAGAGAAGAGCACTTCCAATATAATTTTACATTAACTAAATAACCAATGGTCACTTTTAAACATGCTGCTGCTGCCTTCCTGGGTCATAGCTAATCCACTTGGATGCTCTGGGAAATTGGGGGTTGCACAGAGGAAGACACATTTATGTGAGTCATACCCTATCATTTTCAAAATACTCGTTATATTTGTCTTTATAGGAAATAATATCAACATTATTTTGAAACATAATTGAATAAAGTAAATACGTGCTTTATGTAATGGTGCATTCGAAAAGATAAAAGCTAATCGATTTATGATTTTATTTCATTTGTGAACAATTTTCACATGTTCATTCACTCTATTTTTCCCCTAAAGTCTGTAAAATAATTTTTGTTAATATATCCCTAATTGAAGATATGCCCTAGGGTAAATGACTTCATGAAAACAATTCTGGAATTATTCAAAATAAATGTCACTTATTTTAGCTTAATTAATTTATTATAAAAGTACTTTGACTGAAACAAAATGTGTTCTATTCTTTGAGTAAGAAAAAAGAAAACTTGACTCCAACTCTGCAGACACTTCCAGGCCAATATGGTAACCTGCTTGTAAGGATTCATATGTTCTTTTCAAGGTTCCTAGTAAATGTATTAAATGATAAATACGATGCCATTTAAAATCAAAGCCAATCCATTATAAATAATGGAGACTGGAGAAGTTATAGTGGCAGGCTTCTAATTTTGGATTAACTCAGAAACACGAACTAAAACTAAACACTAAAACTATATTTAGGGAAATAGTTACAGGCTTTGAGGATTTTCCCTTCCACCTGCTAAGAAATAGCTTGTCACTGGCTAATCCTCCCACTAAGAACAAGTGAAAAAGTGAAAAAATCACACAATCAAACAACCCGCCTGTTTGAAAGCTTTGAAGGGTAACTAAGACAGCCAAGACTTAAAGAACCAAGATTCCAGAGAAAAATAAAACTCCTGAGATTATTTTGACTTTCTATACGGAAGCATTTTTCTTTTCAAGTAGTTGTTTATTCACAAATTTCATGGATACAGATGCTCACCAGATGAGAAGAAAGTAATTATTAAAAGCTGAAGAAACTGAATTTTGAGAGCTTTCAGCAATCTCATTGGCCTGTGAGCAAAAAAACAAGTTCAAAGCTGACAAGGCAACAACAACAACCAACAAAAAGAGGTGTAAATACCCAAGAAATGCAGAAAGTGAGACCAATAGTCTGAGCTGCTTTTTCCCTTACAGAATTTGGTGATTCATTAGTAATTCAAGCCAAGAGGCAGACATGCTAGACTGGAAGTGGCTGCTATGAAGATGAGAACCTCCCTGTCTTGGGAAAGCAGCTGACTTAAGTAATTTTGTAAAGCAATATTTGTACTACAAACTATAGGGCTAAAGCCAGAAAAGACTGTTTAAAAACAGTTAGTAAATTTGTTTCTCACAGTGGTATAGATTACCAATTCTGAAATTACTTTATATATGTACAATGTTTGAACAAATAAGTAAATATAATGAAGATGAGAACCATATTTCTCGCTGTCAGAGAAAAAAGTTATAATGAGCAAAGGGAGAATGCTAGAATGAACTCGATGGTTTTGTGTTAGAATGGGAGATATGAGTATAAATATATGACTTAAAACAACCCACATTTATTATATTAGTGTTCTGTAGGTCAGAAGTCCAACATGGGTATGACAGGGCTAGAATCAATGTGCTAGCAGGGCTGCATTCCCTTTTGGAGGCTCAAAGGGAGAATCCATTTTCTTGTCTTTTCCAACTTTTGGAGGCCTCTCCTTAGTTCTTTCATGTAGCCCCCTCTATTTCACAGCCAGCATGGGGTATCAAATGTTTTTCATGTTGTCATTGTTCTCTGACAACAGCTAAAAAATCCTCTACTTTTAAGGAATCATGATTACATTGGCCCTACCTATATTAATCCAGGATAATTTTGCCATCTTGAGGTCCCTGATATTAATCACATCTACAAAGTTTCTGTTTCCATAAATGTAACATATTCAGGGGCTCCGAAGATTCTTGTGCAGTCATCTGAATACCTGTTAACTTAGGCTTTGTATGTTTTGGGGCTATATTTTTGCCAACATATATAAGATCTCTCTCTCTCTATCTCTCTCTCTCACACACACACATACACACACACACAAACACACACACACACGGATATAAAATCAGAATTGAATTTAACAACTTTCCCTGTGAAATATAACTTTTATCATCATGTGATTACTCATTTTATTGCTAGTAATTCTATTTGCCTTAACACCTAATTTGCCTTATGTTAAAATAGTCACAAAAGAAAATGATTAATAATAAATGCAAAGAGGGAGAAAATTATAGAATTGATTGAACAAAATTATAACATAAAACAAAGATGAACTCTCGGAAGGAAGTACTGCCAAAGAAGATGTGAGAAAAAAGCTGAAGCCAAAATAATGACATATGACATGAGAAAGACTTTTTGACTAAAACAAACATATAAACAACAACCTTGAGCCTGAAGATTGAAAAATTATTCAAATTCTTATTAAAATTGATGAAAGCACCATCCTTGAAATTAAAAAAAATCTCACCCAGGATACCACTTAAAAAACAAAAATGATTTAAAAAAATAGGTAGCTATGTTGCAGAAGTCATTCTCACTTTGAATAACCCCCTGTAGTGCTAAATATAAGAAAATATAAAGCTGAGAGAAAATTTATGATGATGATATACAATTTTATTTTCAGTCAAGTGTTCATTCATGTGTGAAGGGAATAGAAAGATATATAAAATATACCTGTTTTGGAAATTTGCGTCAATCAGGGGTAACTATTTCTTTTGCAGGTACTCACTAATCATTTGATTCTTTTTAAAGGGATTGAGAACACATTCAAAATGCCAAAAGAAAGAGATTACCAAAGGAGAAAGACTTTAGATAATATAAATAATACTAGGTGATAACAAGGCCTTGTGTGCCCTGACTGCTCAGCTAGTCCCATAGCCTGTTTAGTTTGAATGCCTATGCGGTTGGGACACCTCCTTCTTGGGAACAGGGAGTTGCTGCTGTCCAAAGACAAACCTACTGAACACTGCCTGCCAATTGCTTCCAATGGGGAAGCACCCACTTATAACTCAAATGACTGGCAATGATTATTTCTAATTATATATTTTTTTCTTAATAGGGGCACTGAGAGCCAGGCCCTCTCTATTCTCTAGTAGAAATGTCACAAAGTAGTGAGGGGAGTGACAGGTCGTTGGAGCAGCTGCTGCCAAAATGCCGGCTGTAGCAGGGAGGCACAAGTGGTGGTGACAGGAGTGGCTGCAGGAGCAGCAGTGGCGGCAGTGGGTCCCCTGTGCCCCATGCCCCCAAGGGAGGTGACTGCACCACCCCACCCTTGCACAGCCAGGCAGAACCCACTTCTAGGACCGGAGCCTCCACTGCGGCTTCACCCTTGCTCCCCATTGCATACCAGGGGCCTGTGAGCACCCAGCCAAAGGCACAGCCAGGACTTGCAGGGCTGGCCCTGGGAGCCTTGGGTTCATTTGTGTGGGGTTGGTCAGGGCTACCATACCACCTGAACCTTGCCAGCTGCCCTGAGAACTGGTGCAATGGGGTCGGGTCAAGTCACCCATCAGTGGGGGAGCAGTGCGATCAGGCATGGAGGGGCAGACAGAGAGGGACCCTGGGGCAGATCTGGGCCTGGGGCAATGCCATGCTCCATGGAGCTGGTGGGAGCCAGGAGCAAGCAGGAGCCCTGCTCTCCTGGGCACAGCTGCAGCCACCCAAGTTGTGGCTACAGACCCAGGGACCTCTGCACTCCCAGTAGCCCAGGAAGATCCCCTTTTGCCCCCACAGGCTCAGAGATGTCTGCTGCTGCTGCCTGGCCTCTCCTTGCTATCAGCACCCACTCTTATCATGGAGCAAAATTGAGACTGAGCCCAGCCACTCTTGCATCCCGGCGGGAGTGCACATGCTCAGGGCAGCACTGACATGCCAGCCTCCTGCCACCTCAGCCCCCTCCAGACTTTGGGTGCCAACATCATGGAAGAGAGGCTGAGGCAGGGCTGAGGGCAGCTTATGAATGGCAGCAGGAGGCAGACAGGCTCCTGGGTGGAAGGGCAGATGTCCCCAGTGAAGCCCCACCTTCAAGCTGGGGAGGGTCTGAAGCCTAGAGGCAAAGCTGCTGGTTTTGTGGACCAGAGTAGAAACTTGTGGTGCTTTTTCCAGGCCCTCCCATGGCTGCCCATGGACCAATCGGTGTATACTTCCTCCCTTCTGAGGCCCATAAAAGCCCCAGACTCAGTCAGACTCAAAGAGACAACAAGATGACCAGCTGCAGGGAGGAGCTATCCTCTCTGCAGAAAGCTGGACACTCATTGGGACAACCTGACTAAGAGAGGAGCTACTCGCTCTGCTGAGAGCTGAGGAAATGATGGGACAATCAGCCACAGAGAGAAATTACCCTCACTGCTAAGAGTTGAAGAAACAATGGGACAACCAGCTATAAAGAGGAGCTACTGTCTCCGCTAAAAGCTGAACACTTGTCAGGACTCCCTGGCTATGAAGAGGAGCTGCCCATTGTGGGTCTCCTATGAGCTGTTCTATTGCTCAATAAAGTTCCTCTTCATCTTGCTCACCCTCCACTTGTCCGTGTACCTCATTTTTCCTGGACACAGGACAATAACTCAGGACCTGCTGATGGCAGGGCTAAAAGACCTCTAATACAAACAGATAAAACATGTCTTTTGCCTGCCATGTTGCAGGTGACAAGAAGGAGAGAAGAGCTGTGACCCTTCGGGGGGCACCGACCTAGGAGCTCCCTGAGCCAGGGCTGTGACAACCTCTTTAGGGCTCTGCAGTTCCTGGTATTTCCAAGCTTCTGAGAGCCACACCATGTTGTCTGGTGTCAGTTGTGGAAATCACTTATGGTATACCTGGTCCAGCTTCAGCCTCACAGGGAGCCAGTGCCAATGCTGGTGCCTGGAGCTGCTGGCCCCGCCATAGCAGGTGTGCCCAGCTGTAAGCAGTGGCTGGATGCCATGCTTGCTCACACACCCCTCACTGCTCTGTGTCTGGCTTGCCCTTGGCAGGTGTGGGATCCAGGCCAGTAGTGGGAGCTGACTGCAGCCTGCCAGGCCAAATGGGCAGAACGAGCCCAGCAGCCAGAGCAAAACTCAGGCAAAGCTGCCACTGGCCACAGAGGTTGCCAGCTGGTGAAGTGACACCCCAAGGATCCCATAACAGTAGCATGATGCACAATTTTCCTGGACCCAGGAAGAAAAAATATGAATGTTGGAAATAATTACTCTCATTGTCTGCCATTTCTCTTTCAAATACTGTCTTGCAACATTTATACATTTTCTTCTGGAAGGGTTTGGTCAGGGCCTTGTAGTGCCCTTACTTCTGAGTCAATATTGCAAAGTTATGAATTCCATCTTTATCTAATTTTCCAATTAGATAAAGCAAGAATGTATTATAGCAAATGCCCAGAAGCCCCATCAACTTGCAAGTAGAATTTTCCAAAGTTTTCTGAAATAACCATTTATGTAAACATCTGTAACACTGTAAACAAGGTATCATTCAGTTAAGAGATGAGTAAAGTAAAATTAAAAAGTCAAGAATCAGAAATTCTTTATGTAAAAATTAATGATTATATGAAACTAGTAAATATTATTTTTAACATACAAATCTCTTATAAGTTGACTTAGCAAAGAAATAGTATCCTAAATGATATGTCTAAAATGTATAAATAATTATTGAGCTAATAAGTAATAATGGCTAATAAACACAATATAAGTGTTCAGTCTCACCAATAATACAGAATAGAATTTAAAATGCTATGTATTTCTTGTCTAGCAGCATCGAAAATATTTAAAAGATAAAAACTTGCTGCAGAGAAGAAAATGTGTTAAAATAGATAGTGCAAGTGGGCATGCTAGCCAAGCGAGGAGAAAGACAGTAGACCAAAATGCTTGACAAAAATTTATTTCCTTGCTCTTATTAGGAGACAACCCAAGCTGGTTCACTCTATCTGATACATAACAGTCTAGGCCAAGGAGAAATTTTTTTTTAACTTTTAAGTCCAGGGGTACATGTACAGTTTTGTTACAGAGGTAAACATGTATCATGGGGATTTGTTGTACAGATTATTTCATCATCCAGGTAGTAAGTCTAGCACCCATTAGTCAATTTTCCTGATCCTCTTTCTTCACCCACCCTCCACCCTCCAATAGGCCCCATTGTATGGTGTTCACCTCTATGTGTCCATGTGTTCTCATCATTTAGCTCCTGGTAATATGGTTTGGCTGCGTCCCCACCCAAATCTCAACTTGAATGATACCTCCCAGAATTCCCACGCATTGTGGGAGGGACTCAGAGAGAGCACTTGAATCATGGGGGTAGGTCTTTCCTGGGTTATTCTCGTGATAGTGAATAAGTCTCATGAGATCTGATGGGTTTATCAGAGGTTTCTGCTTTTGCTACTTCCTCATTTTTCTCTTGTGGCTGCCATGTAAGAAGTGCCTTTTGCCTCCTGCCATGATTCTGAGGCCTCCCCAGCTATGCGGAACTGTAAGTCTAATTAAACCTCTTTTTATTCCCAGTTTCAGGTATGTCTTTATCAGCAGCATGAAAATGGACTAATACAGTAAGTTGGTACCGTTAGAGTAGGGTATTGCTGAAAAGATACCTGAAAATATGGAAATGACTTTGGAACTGGGTAACAGGCAGAAGTTGGAACAGTTTGGAGGGCTCAGAAGAAGATAGGAAAATGGTGGAAAGTTTGGAACCTCCTAGAGACTTGTTGAATGGCCTTGACAAAAATGCTGCTAGTGATATGAACAATAAGGTCCAGGCCGAGGTGTTCTCAGTTGGAGATGAACTTGATTTAGGGTATCTGGTGGAAGAAATTTCTAAGCAGGAAAGCATTCAAAAGGTGACTTGGGTGCTGTTAAAACCATTCCTTTTTAAAATGGAAACAGCATAAAAGTTCTGAAAATTTGCAGCCTGACAATGCAGTAGGAAAAAGAAAAAATATTTTTTGAGGAGAAATTCAAGCCGGCTGCAGAAATTTGCATAAGTAGCAAGGAGAAAGTTAATGCCCAAGACCATGAGGAAAATGTCTCCAGGCCATGCCACAGACCTTCATAGCAGCCCCTTCCATCACAGACCTGGAGACCCAGGAGGGAAAAGTGGTTTCATGGACTGGGCCCAGGGTCCCTGTGCTGTGTACAGCCTAAGTACTTGGTGTCCTGTATCCCAGCTGCTCTAGCTATGGCTGAAAGGGGCCAATCTAGAGCTTGGGTCATGGCTTTAGAGCGTAAAAACCCCAAGCCTTGGTGGCTTCCTTGTGGTGTTGAGCCTGCAACTGCACAGAAGTCAAGAATTGAGGTTTGGGAGCCTTTGCCTAGATTTCAGAAGATGTATGGAAATGCCTGGGTGCTCAGGCAGAATTTTGCTGCAGGAGTGGGGCCCTCATGGAGAACCTCTTCTAGGGCAGTGCAGAAGGGAAATGTGGGGTCAGAGGCCCCACATAGAGTCCCTAGTGGGGCACTGCCTAGGGGAGCTGTGAGAAGAGGGCCACCATCCCCCAGACCCCATAATGGTAGATCCACTGACAGCTTGCACCATGTGCCTGGAAAAGCTGCACACACTCAATGCCAGCCCATAAAAGCAGCTGAGAGGGATGCTGTACCCTGCAAAGCCACAGAAGCAGAGCTGCCCAAGACCACGGGAACCCACCTCTTGCATCAGCATGACCTGGATGTGAGACCTGGAGTCAAAGGAGATCATTTTGGAGCTTTGAAATTTGACCGCCCTGCTGGATTTCGGACTTGCATGGGCTTTGTAACCCCTCTGTTTTGGCCAATTTCTCCCATGTGAAACTGCTCTATTTACCCAATACCTGTACCCCCATTGTATCTAGGAAGTAAATAGCTTGCTTTTGATTTTACAGGCTCATAGGCAGAAGGGATTTGCCTTGTCTCAGATGAGACTATTTGGACTGTAGACTTTTGGGTTAACGCAGAAATGAGTTAAGACTTTGGGGGACTGTTGGAAAGGCATAATTGGTTTTGAAATGTGAGGGCATGAGATTTGGAGGGGTCAGGGATGGATGATATGGTTTGGCTGCGTCCCCACCCAAATCTCAACTTGAATTTAATCTCCTAGAATTCCTACATACTGTGAGAGGGACCCAGGGGGAGGTAATTGAATCATGGGGGCTGGTCTTTCCCGTGCTATTCTTGTGATAGTGAATAAGTCTCATGAGATCTGATGGGTTTATCAGGGGTTACCACTTTTGCTTCTTCCTCATTTTTCTCTTACTGCTGCCATGTAAGAAGTGCCTTTCACCTCCATGATTCTGTGGCCTCCCCAGCCATGTGAAACTGTAAGTCCAATTAAACCTCTTTTTGTTTCCAGTTCCAGGTGTGTCTTTGTCAGCAGTGTGAAAATGGACCAATACACCTGGGCTCAGCCAGAGCAGGGCAGAGGATGGCCAGGGGACAAAGAAGGTAGAGAGACAATGGGATTTGAAGACCAGCTGCAGAGAGGAGTAACTTCTCTGCTGAGAGCTGCAGAAACAACCAGTGAGCAGAGAGAAGCTACCCTCTCCACTGAGAGCTTCAGAGACCTACAGAAATGTCCTGATAACCTGCCTGCAGAGAGGAGCTGTCCTCTCCAGGGCCTCCTCTCTGCAGAGAGCTGACCACTCGACTGGATGGCCTGCCTAAAGAGAGGAGCTGCCCACTCCTCTGAATTGTTTTAATGCTAAATAAAACTCTTCTTCTTCCCCTTCACTTGTCTGCATACCTCATTCTTCCTGGATGCAGGACAAGAACTCGAGCAAAGGCGCTGCAGTGACAGAAGTTTCTGGCTAGAATAATCGACACGCCAGAGATCTCATAACAGTGTCATTCTCATTTGAGCTACAAAGAGATAATAATGGGATAGCAAAATTAAATATACTTTGAAATGTAATTTTAATATTAGAGTATATTTCGCCTTGAGTTGGTAAGTTCAGGTGAACACAGTCCATGCAGGGTTCTTATATGTCTGCATTTGATTCTTTCTGTCTCTGATGGAGAAAGCAACCACTAGGCAAGAAAACAGAGTGTGTACATGATTTCAGTGATTCTTTTCGATCTCAGATATTCACATCTTTTTTCCACGGTCCCCCACTCACCTAAAAGTTTCATTTGGAATTATAAAATATGGTTTTCCTAAATGTATGTTTTTCTTAACTTATATATATATATATAATTTATATAAATAATTAGACTTTCTAAGGATACATTTTTAAAATTTATTTTAAGTTTGTGGATACATGTGCAGAACATGCAAGTTTGTTACATAGGTATACATGGTGGTTTGCTGCACCTATCAACCTGTCATATCTGTTTGAAGCCCTGCATGCATTAGGTATTTGTCCTAATGCTCTGCCTCCCTTTGCCCCTCATGCCACAACAGGTCTTGGTGTGTGGAGTTCCTCTGCCTGTGTCCATGTGTTCTCATTGTTCAACTCCCATTTATGAGTGAGAACATGCAGTGTTTGGTTTTCTGTTCCTGTGTTAGTTTGCTGAGAATGATGTCTTCCAGCTTTATCCATGTCCCTGCAAAGGACATGAACTCATTCTTTTTTATAGCTGCATAGTATTTGTATATGTGCCACATTTTCTTTATCCAGTATACTATTGATAGGCATTTGGGTTGGTTCCAAGTCTTTGCTATTGTAAATAGTGCTGCAATAAACATACCTATGCATGTGTCTTTATAGTAGAATGATTTATAATCCTTTAGGTGTATACCCAGTAATGGGATTGTTGAGTCAAATTGTATTTCTGGTTCTAGATCCTTGAGGAATTAAGGATAAATGTGTAGTATGGAAAAATGCAAAGTTAATGAAGACTATTTAATATCTGTAATTACATCTTATTTACTCTTAAGGTTTGATGGACATTTACTTTAGATCTCTGATATCTCCATTCCACATAGAATACAACTTGTCACTTCACTTTAGTTTGTTTTCATACCACATACTGAATTCAACTGATTGCAGAGAGAGATAGTACCATACAGTAATGAGAAAACAGCTCAGGAGTCAGGGTATATGGAATTGGTTTCTCAACAGATTGCAGAGAGAGATAGTACCATACAGTAACAAGAAAACAGCTCAGGAGTCAGAGTATGTGGAATTGGTTTCTCACATTGTTTCTGGCTCCATAGTTCTGAGCTTGGCACCACTTTTCGGGGTGTTAGTTTATACTTTGTCAAAATGTACATGGATTAGATAAATCTAAGATTTCTTTCAACTTTAGCATTATCCATATCAGTGAACAAAATTATCATTAAGTCCTATGTATTGAATGCAATACTGTGGAAGAATTTGGGGAATAAAATTATACACTTGATCCAAGCTGAACAGAACAGCAGAGATAAAGCACTTGGACCTCTCTCTGAGTATTCTTTGCATACCTGATGAGATCACCTCCTCAGGACAGAGTAAAACCAGATCACAGGTGAAGAAGTATGAGCTCAGAGAGACTGAATGTGGTTGACACAGGCAGAGGCATGGGAGGTTCCTTAAATTGTTGGCAATCCTGTTTGAAGGCCTAAAGGTTAATGACATAGTATTCACCTGAGAATTCTTCCATGTTCTTTGGTCTGGAAATTTCACCTATGAGTCACCCCTACATTAATACCTACACATTTTTATGATTCTGGTTTCAAGCTTCTCAATGATAAGCATTCATAAAAATCACCTATTCAACCACAGAAACTTGGGTTAGAACTCAGAGGTTCTAATTTTATAATCTAAGATGGGGCCTGAGAATTTATGTTTCTACTTTTGAACAGCATAGTTTACATATTACAGGGAAGTTAAAACTCAATAGCAGGATCGAGATTAAATGTTTTATGCCATGTGCTCTAAATTAAGTTACTCTTTCTATGGCTAATTTTCTTCTCCCTTTTTGAAAATTTTAGATAAGATAGCAAAGTCAAGTCTGGAGCAATTTGTTAAAATGTAAGCTTTGTATTTTTTTAATAGTGTGAGAGGATAAAGAAAAAATCTTTAGTAGGAGAAAAACACCAGGCAGGATTCTTGCATGTTCTATGTCCTTAGAATCTGAAATATGCATAATGCTCTATTAAAGGAGGTGTTGGTCCCACACTGCCAAAATTACCACCCCTGTATATATATAAATTGGGATGTTAGTTTGGGCAGTAAAAAGTTAAATGAAAATTCTATGCATGCTTTACTTTCTAAGATATTCTTTCATGAAAAAAAAACTTTTCTTACCTCAAAGAGAGAAGTGCATCATTGGTGTTTTCTGGTTCTTAAGCAGTGCTATTACAATATCTGTTGTCTCCATGAGAATGACATTGGACTGCTACTGCAGATGGTGTAGTCGTGGTTGTTTACTCTTAAATTACAGTCAGGAGAGATGAAAAGCATGCATGTTTCCATGCAGGATGGACCCGTCAAGATAGGAGCCTGTAGAAGGTGGGATTAGTTTTGAGAGATTTCACATATTCTTGGCCCAAACCCAAACTCAGAAACCTAGGTAATTCTCCCAACTCAATAGCCTAAGGCTGCTTTATTTATACATTGCTTGGCCATGAGACATTTTGTACTAACAGTAAACAGGCAACACTAACTGAATCATGATTGAAAATAATCCATAATGATCTTTCTGAGACTCAGAATCACTTATGGAACCAACCATTATCTGCTTGCTCCTAGCACTGCTCTGTGATAGATGGCATGGTTCACATAGTTTGATTTGAAGATCGAATGAAAACTCACATGTAGGATCCCTTGGCACAATGCCTGGTATGTGGTAACTATGCAATAAGTATCCCTGTTTGGCTTCCTTAATCTGAAATATGTATTCCTTGCTTAATATCTTTATTTAAGATACTAATATTTTACTAATTTAAGAAGTTTTCTTTAAAAAAACAAATGTTCCAAAATAATTGGAAATAACATGAATTTTTAAATCCAAAGATATGGATTCACCCCCTAGGTTGACTAATAGCAGAATTAACCTAGAACTTTATTTTATGCATATTTAATAAGAATTATTCCTTATAGTGTAATATGTAAAAAAGACATTAATTATGCAAATATATTTATAAGTTCAGTTATAAGATGTTTATAATAGCACACATACTATCTAGATATTATAAAAATTTTATATTATTGGAGATATAGTGTCTAAATTGAAACCCCATTATAAAAATCTTGTGAGATAGAGGAAAGAGACACAAAAGAACATACAGCCTCTCTCTCTCTCTCACACACACACACACACACACACACCACTACCACATATACACAAAATACTGCCTGTAAGTTCACATATTTATATTATTACTCAGGAATTCTCAATTTTGGGGGTCTGATCATATATTTTATAACTACTACTGATTCAAAGTGTATCAAAGGAAAATGATTTGCATCAGAAGTGGAAATGAAGTACAGAATAAATCAGACTATGACCTGACCTGAAGAGACTCTCAGTTAAGCAGGGTAGTGATAACAGCCCGTACTGACATAGGGCTTAGCATATGTTGGGCACTGCTCTAAATGCTTCATAGTCATATGTTTCATCTTCCTCTGGAGAATGAGGTTAATACCCAGTTTACTATTCTGATTGGGGATTAAGTCAACTGATATAAATAAAGTTCATACTACAGTCCTAAGGATACATAAATAAGCATTGTTACAGGATGTTGTGAATGTAAATAATGGGAAATAATTTAAATTAGGTCAAGAAAAAAAAGTGCCTTTTTATAAGGACACTGAGGTGTCTCATGGAAACCTTAATTCAGAAATGCCGAGGGACCTAAGAAAAGTTTGCAAAACATAAGAATCCACAGCCAGAATCTGCTTCTGTTTTATCTTTTTGCTATTCACCAGGCATCTGGTACATTCATGTTTGTTTGCAGATCAGCTTTCTTTTTCTTTCTCTTTTACTTCCTTTTATTTTCCTGATCCACTTCCCCCAAGATGATGAGATCATGATTCTCCACATTTATCACATTCTTATCTTCTCTCTTCATTAATCCATCTTGAGCCAAGTGTCCAACCCTGGTCCACTCAATCATGTCCAGGAATGCAGAATCCTATGGTAAAAATGTGAGTATTGGTAGCTGCACCTTCAGTGAGAGTTTAAAGAAATATGGATGTGAACTGGATGGATGTTTCATAACATCCTCTAAATTTTCCATGAAGACACCACAGTATCCTTATATAAAAGCCTTTAGAAAGTCCTATTCACAAAATGGAATTGAAGAAAATTGAAGTAAAATTATTAAAATGCGTAAGGCCAATAAAATTATGAGGCTCAAACAGAACTTACACAATCCAGTAATAATTACAAACAATATGCTAAATTGCTAGTATTTCATTATGACCCATCACTATGCAGCAAATGCATAGTTGTATACTATCCATACATGTCTTCTGGACCTAAATCAGTAAGTTGCAATTTTAGGAGTACATAGATTTGGAATTTTGGGCTCGTGAAAGAGACTCAGTGTAGTAAATAATGACTACATAGAGGAAGGAATGTTAGAATTCTGAGTGAGCGTCTGCAAGCAGCTATTCTCAGTCATGGTTAAAATAGTTTAGCCCACTTTTCTCTAGAATAAGCGAAAGAGTGCAGGAATAGTGACTAAAATAGCCATTTATTTGCATTTTAAGAATGCCTATAAATGTTTGCTTATGAAAGTCAAAGTAGCAAAATTCACTGTGGTGAATTAGAATATTTCTCTATAAACAACATACTGTCAAAATAAATTAAATAGGTAGTTTTGTCCACAAATTACTACATTTTTCTTAGAGTTATGCATCAGTGCTACGGAAGGCATACATTTTAAAATCAATAATAGTATTTTTCAGAAAGAGAAAATGTTTTATTATTTGTACTGAATAGTTACTCATACATTATTTTAAAATGTAATTTTTTTCTGACATTTAATTTTTACAGTTAAATGTTATTCACCACCGTGTTCTGACCTTTGGTGCTATTAATAATGAAATGTATAAATATCTATATTTATTCTAAAAGCTATGTACAATTTCAAATGGATATTTTGGCTAAACAAAATAGATTTCTTAGCCCGTGGAAATGGACTTTTATTGTGTTTACATGTTTAATATTTTTCCTATTTAATAATGAAATTGAAATACAGACTCTCATAAAAGGACTCTAGATTCCATCTTTTCCAATCTCCTTTGCAAGTCAGAAACTTCCCCCTATTTCTCTCTGGAGACCTTTAGTTATTTGAGAAATTTTCCTTGTTTCTGAGGTAAAACCTTCCCCCATTAGCTCAACTAATTCATTCATCCATGTAGATCACACCCATAGTTATTTAAACTCTTACCGCAGGCATACTCACCAACGTCCAAGTCTGTGCCATGAAATTCCACATTCCTGGAGGTGATCGAATGGGCCAGGGCTGGGCACTTGACTCAAGACACATTAGTGAGGAGAGAAGATAAGAATGTGATTAATATGGATAGACCATCATGTCCTTATTCTGAGCACAGTGGAGCAGAGGAACTGAAGGAAATACCTTGTTCATATTTTGGCCCTTTGGAAGAAACATTAAAGAGTATGTTAGCATTTCATGTTGGTTTTCTCTTTCCCATATTAACCAACTTCAATGCCCCAATTGCTCTCCAAGTAACATGGTTTTACTATTCTCCTTGCATTTTTTGATGTTCTAAAATATATTCATTTTCCCTTCAACTTATAGTCCATGTGAAAAGTATAAGTGAGTATTATTTTCCTTGGTTTGGACACTATGCAGCCTAAAATTATTATTTACCCATATAAATATATATACATAGTACATATTAATTTTATGGCTGAAGAAAACTTGTTCCAACTAGTCTGTATTGATGTACTTTGTTTTCAACATAAACCATTCTTTTATTCTGTCAAGTTTCTCAGTTCCTCTTTGTCCATTTGAATAACTCATAGCACACTAATTCTATACTCCATGAATTATATATTCTGCCCTCTTTGCTTTTTCACATATATATTTAATAAACATGTCTTCAATATTGACTTATGTAGGTAGTTTTAAAGTGTAATTAATCATCTGATTTATCCAGACATACTTAAAAATACATGGATTCTAGGACTTCACATTGAAGGTTCTGACTAAGTAGATCTGAAGTGGGGCATGAGATGCATGTATTTTAATATAAAGTTTCCTAGTTAAATATGGTATTTGTCATTACATCTAGATATCAATAATAAAATTTCTGAAGACTCATAGAAAAACAATCTAGTGATCATTAATTCATGTTTTTTTTTTTAACAAAAGAGGAAGATGTACTGAAAAGAAGTCTTGTTAGTCACCCTAGGCTGGCATGAAATGAGCAGAACTAGAGCTCAGGACTCCTCATGTAGTCCATAATCCTATCCACCACATTTCCTGGACTTTTGTGTTAATTACTGCCTTCATGCATTGTTTGTTTAACTAAATATTCATCTACAGTATCACAAACTTCATTCATGTTCACAATAACTTATAAGACATATATTTTATGATCTAAATAAAATTGCCATATTTTCAAGCATTATTGGATGACTTCAAGTGATTGATTTAGATTTATTTGCAGGTTCATTCCAATGCATGCTTTTAAATCATACACACTTGAAGAAGATTGGAAAATGTGTACACCACAGCTCTGCAGTTCATTCACTCTCTTTCCTGGTGGGACACCCCAGGGAAAGAAAGAAGATAGATTGATCAAATCTCCCTATATGTCTTCTTTTGAGAAGTGTCGTTTATATCATTTGCCCACTTTTTAATGAGGTTTTTTTTTTTAGCCTGAGTTGCTTAAGTTCCTTATAGATTCTGAATGTTAGTCCTTTGTCAGATGCATAGTTATAAATATTTTATCCCATTCTGTAGGTTGTCTGTTTACTCTGTTGATAGTTTCTTTTCCTGTGCAGAATCCCTTTAGTTTAATTAGGTACCAATTATCAATTTTTATTTTTGTTGCATTTGCTTTTGAGGACTTAGTCATAAATTATTTGCCAAGGGTCATTTTCCAGAAGGGTACTTTGTAGGTTTTCTTCTAGAAATTTTATAATTTGACATGTTATGTTTAAGTCTTTAATCCATCCTGAATTAATTTTTGTATATGGTAATAGGTAGGGGTCCAGTTTTCTTCTCCTACATGTGGATAGTCAGCTATCCCAGCACCATTTATTAAATAAGGAGTCCTTTCCCTACTGCTTTTGTCAACTTTGCCGAAGATCAGATGGTTGTAGATTTGTGGCCTTATTTTGGGGCTCTCTATTCTGTTCCCTTCATCTATGTATCTGTTTTTGTACAAGTACTATGCTGTTTTGGTTACTGTAGCCTTATGGTAGTCAAGTTGGGTAATGTGATGTCGCTGGCTTTGTTTTTTTTTTTTTTTCTTAGAATTGCTTTGGCTATTTTTGTTATTTTTTGGTTCCATATAAATGTTAGCATAGTTTTTTTCTAATTCTCTGAAAAGTGTCATTAGTAGTTTGATAGGAACAATGTTGAATCTTTAAATTACTTTTGTCAGTGTGACAATTTTAACAATATTATTTCTTTTGATCCATTAGCATAGAATGATTTTCCATTTTTTCAGCAGTGTTTAGCAGTTCTCCTTGTAGAGATTCTTCACCACCTTGGTTAGATGTATTCCTAGGTATTTTATTTTGTGTATGGCTATGGTAAACAGGATTTTGTTCTTGATTGGACTCTCAGCTTAAATATTATTAGTGTATAGAAATGCTACTAATTTTTGTACATTAATTTTGTATCCTGAAACTTTACTGAAGTTGTTTATCAGTTCTAGGAGCCTTTTGGTGAAGTATTTAGGGTTTTCTAACTATAGAATCATTTTGTTGGTAAAGAGGGATAATTTGACTTTTTCATTTCCTGTTTGGATGAATTTCATTTCTTTCTCCTGACTTATTGCTCCTGCTAGGACTCCAGTAATATGTTGAATCAGAGTAGTAAAAGTGGGTGTTCTTGTCTTGTTTCAATTCTTAAGGGGAATGCTCCCAGCTTTTGCCTGTTGTGTGATGTCAGCTGTGGGTTTGTCATAGATGGCTTTTGTTATTTTGAGGTATGTTCCTTTGATGTCTACTTTATTAAGACTTTTTATTATGAAAGAATATTGGATTTTATCAAACACTTTCTCTGTGTCTACTGAGATGATGATACAGTTTTTGTTTATACTTCTGTTTATGCAGTGAATCACATTTATTGATTTTGTGTATGTTGAATCAACTTTGCATTCCGGGGATAAAGCCTGCTTGATCAGGGTGAATTAACTTTTTGATGTGCTATTGGATTTGGTTGGCAGCATTTTGTTGAGGACTTTTGTGTTTACGTTCAACAGATATACTGGCCTGTAGTTTTCTTTTTTCATTGTGTCTTTGTTAGATTTTGTTACTGGGATGATGCTGCCTTTGTAGGATGAATTAGGGAGGGGTCCTTCCTCCTTAAAGAGTTTTGTAGGATTGGTACAGTCAGAATGACTATTATTAAAAATCAAAACAAAACAAAAGCAATCAGAGGTTGGTGAGGCTGTAGGGAAAAGGAAACACATAAAATTTTGGTGGGAATGTAAATTAGTTCAGGCACTGTGGAATTCAGTTTGGAGATTTCTCAAAGAACTAAAAATGGAACTACCATCCAACCCAGCAATTCCATTACTGGGTATACACAAAGGAAAATAAATCATTCTACCAAAAATACACATGCACTTGCATGTTCATTGCAGCGCTATTCACAGTAGCAAAAATGTGGAATCAACCTAGGTACCCATCAATGGTGGATTGGATAAAGAAAATGTGGTACATATACACAATGGAACACTACACAGGCATTAAAAAAGAATGAAATCATGTTCTTTGCAGCAACATGGATGCATCTGGAGGCCATTATCCTAAGCAAATGAATGCAGAAAACCAAATACCACATATTCTTATATATAAGTGGAAGCTAAACATTGTTTATACATGGACATAAGGATGAGAACAATAGACAATGGGGACAAGTAGAGTGGAGAGGAGGACAAGGATTGAAAAAGTACCTATTGTGTACTATGCTTACTACCTGGGTGACAAGATCAATCATATCTCAATCCTCAGCATCACACAATTCACCCATGTCAAAGCCCTGCAGATTTACCCCCAAATATAAAATAAAAGCTGGAAAAAAATCTCCCAGGAAATGCACTAATGGTAGACCTCCAGACAGACAGTTTGAAGATATTTTTCAGCAAGTGAATCTTTCTATGGTTTTCTTTTAGCATAATGCACCTAATTGTGTAGGATTATTTAAGTAAGCTTAGAGCATACAGATTTATGGAGTATGACTTCCTGGATAATGTTCCCTAAGCTGATAACTGTTTGAATATAAATGGAGATGCTGCATAAAGTATCCTCTGTGTAAATGATTTGACTACAAACATCACTTTAAGACTTAATACTCTAATCTGAGTTGGAGCATTGTGGAATGAAAGGACAGGGGAAATGCATTAGAGATTCTGGATTTCTCCCTGCTTCACTTGTGTTTTTAATTATAATATTCTAGAAATAATGAGTAATTATTGATTATGGGCAAGATTTATGATTTGGGGAAACCCAATCTTTTGAGGTAGATCAGATTTTTTAGTGGGCAGAATTGTCTTTCAGACCCACAAATCATAATACCTAACATACTTTTTAGAAAAAAAAAGGATGGGATCTAAAAACATGATGAGGGCCTGATTCAAGGATGGCTGGCAACTTATCTTTGGAATTAGGGAGGAAAAGCTTTAAGGTAGATTATGGGAAGAAGTCTCATAAGGAGGATTTGGAGAAAATAACCTTAGATCTGAGAGAAATATCTAAGTAGGGATAAAGGGAAAGAAAGAGAGAAAGAAAGAAAAAATCAAAAATTTTGCTAATAGCCCTGGTTAATTAAATCTAACTTTCTAAAAGATGTGCCAGATGGAAAAAAAATCAGTAATACTGTTTTCTTCCTGTTATTGGACAGCCTTGTAATGCCCTTATGATTACCAAGAAAAATATTATATTCCCACAAAATAACTCAATTGATTTATCAAAATCTGAAAAGGTAGGAGGAAGCCAAGGCCAGACAACTATCAAAGTACAAGGATATTCTGTTAAAAAATAGGAAACTTTATAGGAAAATACCACAAGAAACCTGGAAAATTATTATTGGCACATTGTAATGCTTGATACTACATTACAGAAGGAATTATGTTTGATGATGGATTTCCAAGTAGCTGAGAACTTTTGTGAGCAGGTAGCATGACAGCTGACCTCCTACATTTGACGAAGGTAGAAGACTGGTTAACCTACCTTGAAAAAGGTAACTAACCACATCCTCCCCAATCCACAAATTTTTTTTGTTTTATTTATTTATTTATTTATTTTTATTTTTATGGGTACATAGTAGATGTATATATTTACAGGGTACATGTGATGTTTCGATACAGGCATGCTATGTGAAATAAGCACATCATGAAGAATGGGGTATCCATCCCCTCAAGCAATTTCTCCATTGAGTTGCAAACAACCCAATTGCACTCATTATTTTAAAATGTATGGTTAAGTCATTATTGATTATAGTTATCCAGTTCTGCTACCAAATGGTAGGTCTTATTCTTTCTATTTTTTATACCCATTAATCATCCCCACCTCCTCCACACCCCTTTCCCAACTATCCCTCCCAGGCTCTGGTAATATTCCCTCTACACTCTATATCCATGAGTTCAATTGTTTTGATTTTTTTGATCCCACAAATAAGTGAGAACATGTGATGTTTGTCTTTTGTGCCTGGCTTATTTCACTTAACATTCTTGGTTTTTATTTTTTTGTGTATTCATTGTATGTTTTTTGGTTTGAGGTTACCATGTGGCTTATAAATACTATCTCATAACCCATTTTTTAACCTGATAACAACTTAACACTATCTGCATAAACAAATACAAGAACAAGCAAAAAGAAAACTAATAAAAACTCACCTTAGCTTCATCCTCCAGCTTTCTAATATTTTGCTGTTTCTATTTATATCTTATTGTACTATGTCTTGAAAATTTGCAGTTATTATTTTTGATTGGTTCATCATTTAGTCTTTTTACTTAGGAAAAGACTAGCTTACGCAACACAATTGCAGTGTTATAATATTCTTTTTTGTCTGTGAACTTATTCTTACCGTAAGTTTTATTACCATCAGGTGAATATTTATTGCTCATTAATGGCCTTTTCTTTCTGATTGAAATACTCACCTTAGCATTTCTTATAAGACAGGTCTGGTGTTGACGAAATACCCAGGTTTTGTTTTTCTAGGAAAGTTTTTATTTCTCCGTTATGTTTGAAGGATATTTTTGCCAGATACAGTATTCTATGGTAAAAGGTTTTTTGTTTTTTTTCTTCATTCAGCACTTTAAATATGTCATGTCACTCTCTCCTGGCCTGTAAGGTTTCCACTGAAAAGTCTGCTTCCAGACGTGTTGGAGTGCCATTTGTATGTTATTTATTTCTTTTCTCTTGCTGCTTTTAGGATCCTCTCTTTATATGTGGCCTTTGGGAATTTGATTATTAAATGCCTTGAGGTAGTTGGGTTAAATCTACTTAGTGTTCTATAAACTTCTTGTACTTGGATATTGATGTCTTTCTCTAGGTTTGGGAAGTTCTCTGTTAATATTTATCCCTTTGAATAAACTTTCTACACCTATCTCTTTCTCAGCCTCCTCTTTAAGGCCAATAACTCTCAGATTTCCCCTTTTGAGTCTGTTTTTTAGGTCCTATAGGCATATTTTATGGTTTTTTATTTTTCTTCTTTTGTCTCTTCTGATTGTGTATTTTCAAATGGCCTGTCTTCAGACTTACTAACTTTTTCTTTTGCTTGATCAAATTCTGCTACTAAAGGACTCTGATACATTCTTCAGCATGTCAACTGCATTTTTTTTTAGCTCCAGAATTTCATTTCTGCTTAATTCTTTTTAATTATTTTAATCTCTTTGTTAAATTTATCTGATAGAATTCTGAATTCCTTCTCTGTGTTTTCTTGAATTTTGAGTTTCCCTAACACAGCTATTTTGAATTATTTGTCTGAAAGGTTATATATCTCTGTTTCTCCAGGATTGTTCCTTGGTACTCTATTTACTTCATTTGGTAAGGTCATATTTTCCTGGATGGTGCTAGCAGATGTTCTTGGTATGTAGGCATTGAAGGGTTAGGTATTTATTGTAGTCTTCACAGTCTTAGCTTGTTTGTAGCTGTCTTTCTTGAAAAGGCTTTCCAGATATTTGAAAAGACTCGTGTGTTGTGATCTGAGCTGTTTCTGTGTTAGGGGGCATCCCAAGCCCAGTAACACTGTGGTTGATGCAGGCTTGTAGAAGTACTACCTTGATGGTCCTGGACAAGATCGGGGAGAAGTCTCTGGATTAACAGGCAGAGGTTCTTGTACTCTTCTCTTACTTTCTCCCAAACATGCAGAGTCTCTGCATCTCTCTGTTCTGAGGCACCTGGAGCTGGGGGTGGAGTGACACAAGCACCTCTGTGGCCACCACCACTGTAACTACACTGGGTCAGACCTGAAACCTGTAGACCACTGGATCTCACCCAAGGCCTGCTGCAACCATTCCCTGGCTACTGCCTATGCTCACTCAAGGTCCCACAGCTCTACAACCAGCAGGTGGCAAAGCCATCCAGGTCTGTGTCTTTTCCTTCAGAGTGGCAAGATCCCCAGGCCCTGGGTGGATCCAGAAGTACCCTCAGGGAGTCAGGGACTAGAATAAAAATCCTTAGAGGTCTACATGGTGTCCTATTGTACTGCAGCTGAGCTGGCACTCAAACCATAAGATTTCACTCTAGTTGGTTTCCATGAAACTCTGTTGTGGGCCAACATCTCTTCTGAGCTTGAGGGGATGGATACCCCATTCTTCCCTTCTCTTTCCAAAGGCAGAGGAGACTTGCCCCATAGCCACCACCACACTTGGCCATGAGGAGTACTGCCAGACCACACTGATTTTTCCTTAAGGCCCTAGGTATCTTAAGTCAGTTTTTGGTGTATCCTGTCTGGCCTGGGACTCACACTTCAGGGCAGTGAGCTCCCATCTGGCCCAGGGCAGATCCCAAAATGCCATCCAAGAGTCACATCCTAGAGTTGGGGGCCCCAAGAGCCTGTCTGGTGCTCTATTCCCAGATGCACACAGGGGTGTGACAGTGGAAGCCAGCAAGCCTCAGAAGCTCACCCAAGGCCCTCAATATTGTACCTGTGTATCGTTGCTGGTTATTCATGGCCCAAGGGCTTTTCAGTTAGTAGGTGATGAATGATGGCAGGACTGGGTCCTTTCCTTCAAGGCGGAGGGTTCCCCTCTGGCTCAGGGCATGTCTAGAAATGTCATCTGGGAACCAGGACCTGGAATGGGGTCCTCATGACTCTGACCTAGGTGCCCTATCTTGCTGTGGCTGAGCTGGTATCCAAGATGCAAGACAAAGTCTTCCCTGCTCTTCCCTATCCTTTTTTAGGCAGAAGGAAGGGGTCTCTTTTGGAGCCACAAGCTGTGAAGTCTGGAGTTACAGGAGGGGTGGCACCATCACTTTCTTGACTCATGGCATCACAGTAGGTCACATGCCCTCTCAGTCCACTGTCTCTGGGCCTAAATCAGTCCTAGGACTCACCTAAGTGTTGCAGTCCTTATGGCCTAGACTGACTTTTAAGTTTACTTAGAGACCCAGAGTACTTTGTCCCTCGGTGGTGAGGTTTTCTGGCACTAAAATTTGGACTACTGGGATTGGAGATTCCCCTCTGGCTAGGGTGGTTTAAATGCTCCCTTTTTGGGCAGGTGTCAGCTGAGTTTGGTCTGATTTTCCTTTCTGCTCTAACAGGACAACACTGAGTTCAATGCCTCACAATTGCTGTGTTCTCCCTCCCCCAGAACCCAGAGATGCTCTACACACCAACCCACTGCTGCCGGAGTAGGGAAGGGTGGTGTCAGCAATTCACGACTGTTTTTTTCTATCTTTCCAGTGCCTCTTTCAGTGACATAAAGTTAAAACCAGGTATATGAGTGCTCACCTGATTTTCAGTTGTTATGAAGGTGTTTTTTTTCTTTGTAGATAGTTGTTAAATTGGTGTCCTTGCCAGAGGGATAATCCATGGAGCTTTCCATTCTGTCATCTTGCTCCACCTCTCCTCCCCAATCCAAAAATTGAATACATCTTCTGAAGTAGTCCTTGGATGTTGAGGAAATATAATTAAAGACAAAATCTCCTGCCAGCATCGAAAACCTCTCCAAAATGGTAGAAGAGAAAAAAAAAAACAGCAACAAAAGCCAAAATTGACAAATGGGATCTAATTAAACTAAAGAACTTCTGCACAGCAAAAGAAACTACCATCAGAGTCAACAGGCAATTTACAGAATGGGAGAAAATTTTGGCAATCTGCTCATCTGACAAAGGGCTAATATCCAGAATCTACAATGAACTCAAACAAATTTTCAAGAAAAAAACAAACAACCCCTTCAAAAAGTGGGCAAAGGATATGAACAGACACTTCTCAAAAGAAGACATTTATTCAGCCAAAAGACAAATGAAAAAATGCTCATCATCACTGGCCATCAGGGAAATGTAAATCAAAACCACAATGAGATATCATCTCACACCAGTTAGAATGGCAATCATTAAAAAGTCAGGAAACAACAGGTACTAGAGAGGATGTGGAGAAATAGGAACACTTTTACACTGTTGGTGGGACTGTAAACTAGTACAACCATTGTGGAAGTCAGTATGGCGATTCCTCAGGGATCTAGAACTAGAAATACCATTTGACCCAGCCATCCCATTACTGGGTATATACCCAAAGGATTATAAATCATGCTGCTATAAAGACACATGCACATGTATGTTTATTGCAGCACTATTCACAATAGCAAAGACTTGGAACCAATCCAAATGTCCTACAATGATAGACTGGATTAAGAAAATGTGGCATATATACGCCATGGAATACTATGCAGCCATAAAAAATGAGTTCATGTCCTTTGTAGGGACATGGATGAAGCTGGAAACCATCATTCTCAGCAAACTATCGCAAGGACAAAAAACCAAACACCGCATGTTCTCACTCATAGGTGGGAATTGAACAATGAGAACACATGGACACAGGAAGGGGAACATCACACACCGGGGCCTGTTGTGGGGTAGGGAGAGGGGGGAGGGATAGCATTAGGAGATAATACCTAATGTTAAGTGAAGAATTAATGGGTGCAGCATACCAACATGGCACATGTATACATATGTAACTAACTTGCACGTTGTGCACATGTACCCTAACACTTAAAGTATAATTAAAAAAAAAGAAAAAAAGCTTTATTATTAAACAAGCATTAAACTGAAATGTGATGTACATCACAGGTAATTCATTAAAGAGACTGCAAAGACTGGAAGAAATCTCATCGTTTTATATAGCTACCCATACAGAACTCAATACAAACATGTTCTCAAGGTAAACAATGACTAGTACTTAAGTAGTAGTACTAGGACCTAACAGAACCTTTTGTTACACATACAGTAAGTCCATACTTAAGGTTGTTGGTATGTTCTTGGAAACTGCAACTTTAAGCAAAAAGACAATTTTGCCATATGTTCATTGATACAAACAAGAGTTAAGTTCCTATGGCGTATTTCTGGTCAGAAAATATCACCAACTTCTAAATAAAGTCCCTAAACACTTCTAATGTTAAACATTGAAATAAATGTGGGCTATACATGCAATTGAGCCTTTATTACAGGAACCATAATACATTTTACTTATTTTTCTTTTTCCTTTTTTTCCTCTATGCATGCTTGCTTGCATACCGTTATTTCAGTAAAGGGTAGTCAAGTAATTTATTAACTTCCTATCCTAACCCCTGCAGGTGCTCACAAGATTAATTAGCTTTTTTTTTTTTTAAGAACAGCAATCTTTAGGTCATGCAGACCTCCTTAATAACATCTAAAAGTTTGATCAGGACAAGGGACACAAACAGCTTTGATTATTGGGGGATCCTACCTCCTGCATACCTACCTTATTCACATAAGCCTCCAGTTATGTTGAAAGGGAGGATAGAATTCTGGAATAGCATACAGTGATCTAGTCACACAAGATATCAGACTCCAAGTGAGAGGAGCCCTCTCTCTTGTGATGTGAAAATTTAGCTACATGATCAGTGAAACAAGAGTTTCTGTTCTACCGGCTGAGCCCAGTCTAACTTTGCCACCTCATACTCATCGGCTGAAAAAATCACCAGCCCCTCTTCCCGTGTAATCAGAAGTCTAGCGTTCAAGTCTTGCAATTTTATGTATACAGCATAGTGGACCAGTGGCCTGATCTACCATCACAATACCTTTCCTGAATTAATTGTCTTAAGGATTTCACTCTGGTTGGTTTCCATGAAACTCTTTTGTGGGCCAACATCTCTTTTGAGTGTGAAACCTGAAGGGAATCTGTCATAGACAAATTAATCCTTATCTGTTTTTTTTTTTAAAAAAAGTTTATCCTTCATGAGATGCACTTTACCCATGGCTAGAGTGCATGCATTTGTGTTCATGATCCATGTTCTGGTAATCAAAATCCTTTGTAACTATTTTGTCTTCATTTAATTCAATGTCTTCATTTTTCATAGTTAATGTGTTATTTCTGTGAGCCATCAATTTGTCAGATGAATTTTGTCAACTTCAGGCACTTGCTTCATGATGCCAGTACAGATCCCATTGAGGCTTATCATATCTCTCTAAAGTGACATGTACACTTCTTACTAGAGTGTCACACTCATTAATCACAATGCATATCTCTTCCCCTGTGGGTAGACTGAAACATCCCTTCTGTTTGTTTATGCCTAGGAGACTTAGTTTTCTTGAGTAGGTTTTTTTTTTGCTTTTTTATTTAAAATGATGGTTTTTACCACCGGCTGCATTTTTACAACACCTGGAAACTGTAAATAAATCCATCAAGGTCCCGCTACACATCAATTAAAATAGAATATCTGGGGATGGGGTGTGTGTTAGTCCATTATTGCATTGCTGTAAAGAAATACCTGAGGCTGGGTAATTACAAAGAAAAGAGGTTTAATTAGCTCGTCGTTCTGCAGGCTGTACGGGATGCATGTCATCAGCCTCTGCCTGGCTGGTGAGGTCTCAGGAAGCTTCCACCCACGGTGAAAGCAGGAGCAACAGAGAGAAGGAGGAGGTGCCAGAATCTTTTATACAACCAGATCTTGTGTGAACTGAGCGAGAACTCATTTATTACCAAGCGGATGGTGCTAAATCATTCATGAGGGATCTGCCCCCACGATTCAATCATCTCCCACCAGGCTCCAACATTGGGAATCATATTTTAAGATGAAATTTTGGGGGAACAAGCATTCAAACCACATCAGGGACCCACTACCAGTGTTTTGTAAAATTCTCCCAGAGATTCTAATGGACAGCCAGAGTTGAGAACCATTGCTTATGCATAGTGCTTTTCAAACACTAAAATAAAATGAATCATTTAGAAATCATATTAAAATGCACATTCCAACTTAGTCTATGTGGGGCCTGAGATATTGTCTTTCTGGTGGGTTATGCTGTTGTGTGAACCACATTTTGAGTAGCAAGGAAGACCTTGGTTTCCTCTCAGTGGGGGAGACACTGAAACATGTTAATATGGTTTGGCTCTGTGTCTCCACCCAAATCTCATATTGAATCGTGACCCCCAGTGTTGGAGTGGGGATGTGGAGAGAGGTGATTGGATCATGGGGGTAGTTTTTAATCGTTTAGCACCATCTCCCTGGTGCTGTCTTGTGATGGAGTTCTCATGAGACCTGGTTGTTGGAAGGTATGTGGCACCTCCCCCCTCACTCTCGCTCCTGCTGGCCATGTAAGACGTGTTTTCTTCCCCTTTGCCTTCTGCCATGATTGCAAGTTTCCTGAGGCCTCGCCAGAAGCAGACACCCGTACAACCCACAAAACCATGAGCCAATTGAACCTCATTTCTTTATAAATTACCCAGTTTCAGATATGTCTTCATAGCAAAGTAGGAATGGACTAATACATATGTCCTTCTAATATGTTGCCTTTCTTAATATTCATCAAGTGCAAATTTTAGGACATTATTTCTCTCTCTCCCTTTAAATAGTAACAATTGTTTTTGAGAGCAGTGTTGGGCTTCCCATCTTTACATATCTGAATGGTAGAGTAAAAAAAAAAATCTTAGGGATGATCTGTTTGGGTAGTTTCAAGTGGTGCTTTCCAGAGCCATGGGGCCTGAGAGGCACACTCAGGAGGTACAGAGGAAAAGTAGGTAGGGGCAGATAATGCTGTAAAGCCTCAACTCTAATCTAATGAGAATATTTCTTTTTTGTTTATTGTATTTTTAGATGTGATTATTTTATTTGAAAAGGAATTTCAATTGGAAAAAAGTAATAAAACCACTCATTTTGTCCAACACTTTCATTGACCAAGAGGTTATAAAGCAGTGTGTTTGATCAGAAAGCCCTGAATAAAATTCTCCTTCTTCCCTCTCCACCCCACCCCACCCCACCCATTTCACTTACTTACACTTTGCATTGAGCTATATTGGCCACCTTGATATCTTAGCCAACCAGCCTGAGCAATCTTTAAGTTTGCCACCTTGAGTTCATAATTCCATTTGAACTCTTTATAGCCATTAAATATTTTTATGTGAAATAAGAGATTTTGTAACCTCTTGTGATATAAGACATTCATTTAACCCTAGAAAAATTTGAGATTTCATTCCACAAGGAACCTAATTGTCACATTCCCTCTTTTACAACAATAGGTGTTAAGAAACTTTGAAGAAAATAGCCCAAAGAGGGTATATACAGAGAAGCTATGTTCTGTTCTATTATTTGGCTAAGTTCTGTTCTAATATTAGCTGGTGTACATAATTTAATCAGCACACACTGACTCCTTAATAATGCCCAGCATGGGGCTGAGTAAGATGGGGAGGGGGAGCTGTCCAAGTGGTATAAACCATAAAAATTGAATTAGTAAGCTTACAATTTTCAATAAACAAACAAGAAAAATGCATAAAATGGTTTAAAAAAGGAAAGTATAATAGAAAAAAATTAAATTCTACCATGTCTAACACATACAATACAAGCTGTAAGAGTTCACAAAATGAAAAATTTATTTTTTCTGGGATTCCCTGGAAAGCCTTCATATATAACTGGGTTTTGAGTGGAGGGGTGATTTATTAGTTCATTTTCATGGTTCTGATAAAGACATACCTGAGACTGGGCTATTTACAAAAGAAAGAGGTTTAATGGACTCACAGTTCCACATGACTGGGAAGGCCTCACAATCATGGTGGAAGGTGAAAGGCAAGTCTCACATGGTGGCAGACAAGAGAGGAGAACGAGAGCCAAGCAAAAGGGATTTCCCTTATAAAACTGTCCGATTTCATGAGACTTATTTCCTACCACGAGAACAGTATGGGGGAAAACCGCCCTCAGGAGTCAGTTGTATCTCCCACTGGGTCCCTCCCATAACACGAGGAATTATGGGAACTACAATTCAAGATGAGGTTTGGGTGGGGACACAGCCAAAACATATCAGATGTGATTAGGTGGAGAGAAAGGGAAAGGCTGCTTTGAAAAAGAAAGGATCTGCATGAATCCATAAAACATGTACTCACTGTACACCCAATTTAAACTCAAAGAAATTGTTATTTTTTTGACTAATATATGTGGACAGTCATTGGTTGGCTGAGAGCTTAAAGGAAAGCAAAGGGACCCTGGGTTAGGGGCTGAATGAGAAATCTAACAGAACTCATAAAATAGGTTAATGAAGGAGGGATAGTGAGTGGAAACCTATTGTCCCTGGAAACAATGTGGGACAACAAAAAGGCAGCCCTGTTTCTTCATTATCTAACTTGGAAACAGAGCTGACCAAAACACCATTATGTGTCTCATGACTGTATTTTTTTACATACTGCTAGATTTTGTTTCCTAATATTTTGTCTAAAATTTTTTGCATCTGCGTTCATGAGAGAGCTCATGATAATTTTTCTCTTAATGTCCCAGTCAGGTTTTGGTAAGAATTTTTTTGGCCTCATAAAATAATTTGAAAAAATATTTATCTGACCCATTTTATGAGATAGTTTGTGTATGATTACTGCTATTTCTTTTTTAAATATTTGGTGGAAATAACAGACCATTCATATTTTTCTATTGAAGAACCCAGGCCATCCGATCTTCTCACTTTCCAGAAAATCTGTTCCATCTATGCTGACTACTTACTTAAGATGTAGTTCAAATTGTTATTTTCTTTTCTGCATATTCTACAAATTGGCAACTGAATACAGAAATCTGACTTCAGCTACTTGTTCCTTTTGGCAAGATTATAAGTGGGGTCTCATTCTTTCATCAGGAGGCATATACTGTCTCTTTTATCTCCTTTTTAATGTTAGCAACCATTGATTCTCAATGCCTAGATTCACTGGAGATTGTAAACAAGTGATAGTCTACTTCTGTCATTATGCTTTGTTAGCTAAAATAACGAGATACTCGCCTCAGTAGTTCAATTCACATAGGAAAGTAAGATAAATGTTTGAGTCTGTTAAGTTATTTACCAGTTTTTCAAGATAATGACTTGTTTTTCTCAAGAGGTGACCAATTAGTTTGATGGTGCTCTTTTAACAATATGTGCTATTTTTTGTTGCATAAATTTTAAGTATAGCTACTAACCTATTGTTTAACTCACACTTTTATTCATGATACCTTTTGTTACATCAAACTTTTAAAAAGTATATGCCAATTATGCTATATTTCTCTAATATCTTTTGGATTATTATCATTATTAAAAAGAACGTGTATATTAACTTTAGCCATCTATAATTTATTTCTTACATAGTATGAGATAGTGTCCAAGTTTATTTTTTCCCTAATTCATAGATTATTATACTAGCACATTTTATTAAATAACTTATCTTTGCCCACTGGGTGTTAAAGTGCCACCTTTGTCATGTGTTAAATCCCCAAATTTATTTCTAGATGCCCTATGGGGTTCCATTGATTTATTTTGTCTTTTTATTCCAATATCATGATGTTTTTTAGCTCAGTGGTTTTATGGTATGTTATTAAATTTTGAAAGACTAATCCTTTAATTATTTTTCTTTTACATAATATTTTTTGCTACTCCTGATGCAGGAACTTTATTGTATTTTTTCCCAGTGTCAACACATTTTTTAAAAAATGAAGTTTTCCCCACCTTCCACTGACAATCCCCATTGTGATTCTCATTGAAATTTTGGCAATTTATGTATTACTTTGGGGAGCATGGTAATTTTATGATATATATTACCCATCATCTAACCACCTGTGATCAGCTCTCTACCTAGCTATCTATTGAAACAACTATTTATTTTGAGATACAATTAAGATGGAAACTGCAACTAGAATGTAAATGAGGAGAAAAATTACAGCAGGATATTTTCTCTTTCTCCCCTTTTACTGTGGGACACACAAGGAAAGAAGCAGCAGGGTGACCCAGTCAAACCTCCAGATAAACACTAATGACAGAAGTCCTAGCAATGATACTAATGGTATTTGCTAATAAGAGAGTTTTTATCTATAGAATTTCAACAGAGTGAATAGAATCTGTTTAGGATTACTTATGATAAATAAGACTAGAAATTATGTAGTTATGGGGCATGGCTCCCTGGAAAATGTCTCGTAAGCTACATTACTATAAGAATATAAAGACGGGAGTGTTGCATGACCAAAATTGCCCCTTTTGTGTCACTAATTTGCTACATGCATTACTTAGAGGAGATCTCACACATTAGTCTGTGTCAGAGTGAGTCTTGATCCAGCTGGAATGTCCTGGGAAGGTTTTGGATTTCCTAGATTTTTTTCCCCCTTTTTTGCTTATGCCTTGTGTTCACTTGCATCTTTGAGATATTAAAAAAGTTTGATACTAAGATCTAGTATTCATATGAGTCTATTTGGCAATGAGATCCTTGTTATCTCAATAATAAAATATTTGAAAAAGCTCCAATAATTAATCATCCTTTTATCTGTGAGCTCTTTACCCTTTGTACATTTTTAATGCAGTATTTATCATATTGCAATAGAGTCAGTTTTTTTTTTTACAGATTTATACAGGAAATGTATTTATTTCTAAATCTCTAACTCTTTACCACAGTACCAGATTCATTGTAAGAAATCGTAGTGAATATTGGATCTTTTTGGATGCTTCTTACCTTTTCTGTGTGTCTTTCCCCCCAGTTTCAATGTGAGTTTTCTCTAATGACCTGCACCTGCAACTCAGTTTTGGGAAACTCCCTTTGGGTGTTCTAACCTGCTTTATCCAAGGAGCTGGAGTTATCTAGCAATTCACCTTCCCTCATCCTGTGGTTCGTAACCAATAACTCACAAGTGGAGAGTAAAAGTCTTTACTGAGGTTCTGAAGTATAATTTACATTCTCCACCTCCCCGCAGGATCAGGTTGAAGCTGAGACTTCATCTGAAATCTAATCCCTACATTACTTAGTTTCCCAGCAGAGATAGGGAAAAAAAACCCTATCTCCATTGCTGATTTCTTCTGAGAGGACTTCCTTTGAGAAGTCATATGCATATGAGTCTTCATCTCAGAGTCTACTTCTAGGAAACCTGACCTAAGAGAATACCCAATTAAATTTTGAGACATGGATGAACGAATGTATAAAAAATTCAGTCCTTAAAGACTTAAATTAATTGTGATCATTCATACTCCCTACAGGTACAGATGACTGGTCTGGTTAAGAATATTTTTTGTTTGTGATTACAAAATAGAAAGCCAAATGATTAGAAGATAAATTGACAACTGATTGGAAAGAAAATCATAAAATAATATTTTTATATTAAATAGATTTAAAGAGACATGTTTGTATAATGGAAAGAGCATGAACTTTGAAGTCAAATACATCTGGGTTTGAATCCTATTTCTGAAGTGTATGAAGTCTTCATATGTTCTAACATATTAAAAAATTAATTGTTTTTCCTAATCATCTATTTATCTATCCATCCATCTATCTGTTAATCTATAACTATCCATTTATTGGCAGAAACCATATCATGAAAAAAAAGACATGTGAAAAAGCTCTAAACTGTTCAGAGAAAACTTGTAGCCTTTGGGGCTAGACTAATTTGGCACGTGGCAAGAAACAAGAGATGAAGCTTTGGGAAGTAAGTCATTGATAGACTGAGAGTCATCTTCCACAGTGAATGCATGCAGACGTTGGACTTCATCATGCAGATGCTGGGGAATTATCATTAGCTATTAAGCAGGAAAAGCAGGAAAAGCAGGAAAAGCAGGAAAATAGTCTGATTGAATATATGTGTTTAAAAGGGATTTGTAGAAGACATTTGGAAGAAAATCAGATGGAAAAACAGACTTAATATGCCTTTGGTAACCTCACATTAAAGGCTTTTTATGTCATAAAACCAACAGATATTTTTTTACTTTGGGAAGGTCTGATCAATCTATATTGTTAAAAATATTTTCTTCTAGAAAAGCTACCAGTAAATATTTGGGAATTTTAGATAAAAACAAATATATGTGAATATACACATATATACACACATATGAGAGAGAGAGGGGACTCTATAATTTTGAATCAACTGGGTTCAATGTAATTTTTTATTAAAACTTGATTTGTCCTGTTACAGGTTTTCTGCTAAACACATTTTAAAATAAAATTCTCCTTTAGTATGTTAGTGTAAATTTGTACCTTTTCATTTCAACAAATTACATAGAATATTAGATTGGATTTCTTGTACTATTATTTTGAAAGCTTTAACATTGAATAATTTTGATTTTCTATATAACAACATTATCAATGAGAAAATATATACATCATCACAAAATCTGTCAAAATTTGTAAACACGTTTCACACTTTAAAAGTAAAATCATTACTTTCTTTCCCAAACCTGTCATGAAAACATTTAAAATTAGTGTACAGAAGAAAAATTTGGCTTATATTGTTCATTTACTTATCCAACAAATATATTTTGAATGCTTATTTTTTGTGGCATTACTGCAGAACTGCCATGATAATTATGTTAACAAAGGATTAAAAACTAACACTCTGTATAGGAGAGAATGAGTCCACTGTATTGTATCTTCTGTATAGAAAGAGTAATCAGTTAGGTCCAGTAAGGGTCTGTCATGCCAGGGTCCCTCAAAGATTCTAGTTATTTAGCAATTTTAGCTGGTTAGGAAAGTTGTAATAAAACACAGAATTCAGTTTGGATATCTCTTAGGAAAGAGCTGCTGTAAGTGGGGAATTTACTTAAAAGGTGGAGGTGAAATCCACAAAGTTCCAAGAGGGAGACATAGAAAGAGAACGGTATGTGTAAATGCCCAAAGGCAGGAACATGGACATTTATTCTTTCAATATGTCCACTTAGTCTTTAAACATAGGTTTGTAACAGCAAGCTTTGTATGAAAGCTATCTGTTTCAATTTGACTCAACAAATGTCTGCTGAGCAGCATCATGCCTAAGAGTACTTCCTACCAGCAGTAAGAACCTCAGTATAAAAAAGGCTGAGTGTGTAGGATCAAATGTAGTAGCTAAGGTTGTATAAAGTGAGGCCAGAAGGATGAGGCCTCATTTTAGCCAGGGAACAGCCATCTGTATTCTATGTGAGAATGATTAGTCAGTGACTGTACATCTTGTCACAAAGAAGGCACACAAAACCAGGTGACAGTATCATCAAAAGAAACATTTTTGGCTTCCTCGTGTCTTCTCCATCCTCAATGTGCCTGTTTCCCTGCGCCTGATCCTGGAGTAGTCACCAAAACAACCAGCAGGTTAAGGAGATGAAAGGAAAAATTAAGAGGCTGATCATGCTTCCTTTCCTGACTGTAGGTTTCTCTGCCTTGAGTGCACTTGGGGTGAGAGGGGAGTGGTTTAATTTAAAAGGGGTTTAAAATTATACTTGACTAAATTAAAATTGTAATGCCCAGAAATATAGGTTATTTATTAACTGCAAATGGCCAGAGAGACTGTGGGACCTCCTAGAGACACTCTCAGGGAAAAGAGAAGAATGAGTACACACGCTGAGTCTGGAGCACACTGGGAAAACAAAACGTTTTGTTTTCACCTTACTGAGCCAGCTCACGGATTAAACTTATTTCATTTTTCTTTAATTGTCACTACTTGGTACAGGCCATGGTAATTACCTGTATATCAAGATGCATTGCAAATTCCAACTGAGAAAAGATTTACTGATGATGGCTGTGCAAAGACAGCATGTGTAATTTTACTTAATCAAACTATCTTCGAAAAGCACCAAAGGACACAAAATACTGTGATTAAATGTGACCATGCTTTTTTTCCTGAACATACCTCAAGCGCAAGAGAAAGCAAGGAGGCTGGGGGGAAGCAAAGCTGCTATATATGAGAATAACAGAATGAGAAGACAGAATGGAATAATAAGAAATTGTACCAATCTCTCACACCCTCACCTTTTAGGGAAATTCTCCACTTACAGCAGCTCTTTCCTAAGAGATATCCAAACTGAATTCTATGTTTTATTACAACTTTCCAAACCAGCTAAAGTTGCTAAATAACTAGAATCTTTGAGGGATGCTGGCATAGACCCTCAATGGACCTAATTAATGACTGTTCCTATATTTCTTAGCTGATTACAGAAAACCATTCAAATGTGATACCAACTTCTTTTCTTATACAAATTTCTCCCTCTTCCTGCCATAAAAAAAATTCCTCCCTCTTGCTTGCAGTCCTGAGTCCAAGTCATTATTTAGCTTGGAATGGCTGTTCCTTCAACTTGCATATATGCCTCTACAACCGCTGCCTTCAACACCTGGGCTCAATGTCTCCTCGTCAGTGAAAATCCTTCTCTGCTTCATGCTGATTTGAATGTTCCATACTCAGCCTCCTCTCTGAGTTATTATTCTCTGTCTAGTTCATTATAGATGCATTTCCCCTATTGCACTACAGCTAATTTTTGACATGCTTGTCTTTTCCTCTAAAGCCCAGAGTTCTTTGAATATAGTTCTGTGTCTTATTTATTTACCTTCAGAATCTGGCATGGTTCCTCACACGTATTAGGTGATCAGAGGTGCTTAGTTAGTTAACGATGCTCACTAGGTAGCTCACTAATGACAGGATAAAGAAGAAATCATACTTGTAGTATAGGCCGTTGTAAAGTATCAACCCTCATTTATTTATTAATTTTTTTCAAGGACTCTCCACAATAGAGACAATGGCATCAAACCTTTCTCCTCCCAGCACTGAAGACTTCCTCTAGGCAGCCCAACCTAGAAGTGGAGCAGTGGCTTAGTAAAGGCATAAAAGACAACTCACAATTGAGTTAGGGTCTATCCCCATTAAGAGGGTAACTACAACAAAAGATGCGGAAGTAACAGTGCTGATAAAATGACTTCCAAGTGCATAACTGAAGACTAACTGCACTGCAAGTTACTCTTCAACCAAGGGAGCAGGAACTTCCTAGGCAAAGTCTAACTTTATAATCAAGAAAACCCTTAATACTTGAAAAATTCCCTTTAGAGGAATGCTATTATTTCCTCTTCTCATTCTTCTCTTACTTAATCTGCAGAATTTATCTTTATCACTGCTTCACTCTACTGTAAAATTAAAACTATTTTTTCCTGAGGATACAGGTGCTTTAACTCAGAGATTTGTGTTGGTAAACTATACCAGCTTGGATGTCTTTGTTGAGTTGAGTCTTAAGGGAGTCCATGCTTGCACAGATCACCAGGCTGTACTCAATGTCACTCTTAATTACACTTTCCTCTACAGCTTATAATTCCCCCACTTAATTATGCAGTTTGAAGAGACTGTGAAGGTTTTCTATAGTTTGTTTTTATTGTATCATTTTATCAGATTTTGAAAGTTATAATATGCTCACAAATTACTTTAAAACACAGGGAAAGGTCCAGTAATTTGGAAATATATCAATATAATCCTAGACCAGTGAAAATTATTCTGTTGATGAAAATATCTTGTTTTCTATTCTAATTGAACAAACCTCAGTATTTGGAGAATTTCATTTAATTTAAATTATTTATGTTACAATTTTAATGTATCTTTTTTTTTCTTTTTCTATCTTAAAAGTCTACCTAGAGTTTAAAGTATGGACAGATTATTAACCCTATCAGTGGGTCACAACCAACTATTCCAATGTCTCTAAGCCTTGATTTATAAACTAAAAGCCTGCCTTCTTCATGATATTTTGCAAATAATGTAGGTAAAAATGCTCTTAATACAAAAAAATGCTGTAGGAAAGTAAATTATGCTTAGTAACATCGTCTTTCTGAACTAACTGAAAACAGTTATTTTCTTTTTTTTTTTATTATTATACTTTAAGTTTTAGGGTACATGTGCACAACATGCAGGTTTGTTACATACGTATACAGGTGCCATGTTGGTGTGCTGAACCCTTTAGCTCGTCATTTACATTGGGTATATCTCCTAATGCTATCCCTCTCCCCTCCCCCTTCCCCCCACCCCACAACAGGCCCTGGTGTGTGATGTTCCCCCTCCTGTGTCCAAGTGTTCTCATCGTTCAATTCCCTCCTATGACTGAGAACATGCAGTGTTTGGTTTTTGTCCTTGTGATAGTTTGCTGAGAATGATAGTTTCCAGCTTCATCCATGTCCCTACAAAGGACATGAACTCATCATTTTTTATGGCTGCATAGTATTCCATGGTGTATATGTGCCACATTTTCTTAATCCAGTCTAACATTGTTGGACATTTGGCTTGGTCCCAAGTCTTTGCTATTGTGAATACTGCCGCAATAAACATACGTGTGCATGTGTCTTTATAGCAGCATGATTTATAATCCTTTGGGTATATACCCAGTAATGGGATGGCTGGGTCAAATGGTATTTCTAGTTCTAGATCCCTGAGGAGTTGCCACACTGACTTCCACAATGGTTGAACTAGTTTACAGTCCCAATCAGTTATTTTCTTAAAATAGAACAGAGAGTCTATACTTGGTGCTCTCTAAACTTCCTTTAAATTTTAATATTCTATGACTCTGTTACTACATTTCAACAAAAAGTGACACTGATTATGTACAACACTGGTAAACATCTGAGACTGAATAATTTGTCCAAAGTCGCATAATTTACCAGTGACAAAACTGGACTTTGAAATAATAGTTTCACCATAATATATTTTGCTCTACACTTGACCTCATATCACTGAGATATTTTCATTCAAATTTCTGTTATTTGAACCATTTTACCCTTTTTTTTCGATTTGCTCTGGATCATGGTGAACAATGACACAATTCTTTTTTTACATTGAAGTCAGTGTTTACATACATGAATCTCACATTTAAAACCATAATTTATGCCCAAAACAATGGCATTTATTTGAAATAACATAATACTTGATCAAAGTTATAGATAATGAATTTTAACAAATTTAATTACTATTAATCATATGATGACATGTTCAATCTTTGAGTTAAAAGTCCATTTCCTAAAGTTGATTTTACCTTGTTTTACTTAGTGTTGAATGATTTCATATTTTCTAATTTTAAAGGCATGATATTTTTTCCTTGAAGAGACTAGGTATTTATTTTGGTATTTTAGATCTCAAGATTAGACTAGCTTATGTATAGTTTTATTTCTGATAATTTCAGTTAATTTTACTTTAATAACTTAAAATTTATATCAAATGCTATCCATGATAGTGTTTGGTAGAGTTATAATACTTAATGGAGATGACTTGTAATTGTCCAGCCTTCCTCAAAATTGTCTTCATAAAGAGTGCTTTACAATATTTGTCTAATAAAATATACATTTTATTACTTTTGAATGTGAGTCACATAATTAGAGTGAAATGCAATATATTTAGTTTAAAAAAATTTATCTGAACATATAAAGCACCATTTCCTTTAAAGAACTGAAATTTCATAAATAGAAAGATTAAACTTTCTCTGAATAATTACAAATGTACTCAAAGAAAACCATAATTGATTTTAAGTGCATGACTGAAAAACATTTACTTATGTTCCAGTGAGCCTATTTTAAATATTGATGGACTTGGACTATCTTTACACTAATTTCTCTTATGTTTGGGCTTAAATAGAAAATTGTTACTGGCTTATGCACATATCAACTCAAATATTTTGAAATTATTTAATACTTATCAACAGCCATAATTTTCTATATGTATCAGACACTGTGTTAGTCTCTCTAAAGAATGTGATATATGTATTATTCATCTTTCATCAAGAAAAATGTGCCATAGAATTGCTAAGTAAATATCCTGTAGTTGTACAGCTAGCAAGTTGCAGTTAAAATTTAATGCTTCAAACATCAGTTTGTGCTCTTTATCTACATTGAACTGCCTTGGATGAGTAATGTTATTTTTACTTTAGAAGATTTGTTGACCTCCAAATAACAATTTTTAAAAGAACTTTTAAATAAATTATTTCCATGGGTTTCAGCATTAGACACCCCTGAATTTCAATACTGATTGAAAACTTATGTTTTGGATGACCTTATTTGGCCTCTGTGGGCTTTATTCTTCTCATATCTGAAATGTGGGTAATAAATATAGACTTTGCAGCTATTGTGGGGATTAAATGCATGAGCATTTGTAAAGCATCACATTATTGGGCACATAGTAAAATTCTAATACAAGGTAATTATTATTGTCTCAGGTTGGCCTTTCAAATCTTCTGTTGACAACATGGCATACTTTTGGAACTTCTTCTATTACATTTTATTGATTATTTTCAAATATACTCTTTCAAAATCAATAACCTTCAATGAATAGAAACTTCTTTAGTACCATTCTAGACTGAAATTCAACTAAAATAATATACTTTATTAATTACTTAGAATATACTGCCTACAGGAATTCAGACTGTCTAAATGGTTTCAATGAGAATCTTTGAAATGACATTAGGATCCTGCATGGTTTCTTTTAAAGATTTTGTTTCCTCCTGGAAGTCAAAAGCATCTCCGGGCTGCTTTGCACATCACAGCAACCTTGGCTATCATTTTGGTTTTTGTCACTTTTATTATTGTCAAAATTCTTCCAAAATCCCTAATGTTTCTTTCCTCAAAATATGTGAAAGAGAAGGGTAGGAATGTGTAAACTGGTCTGCTCTTGTTATGGAAGGTGAGCAGATGCATCAAAACCATCACTAATAATTGGAAATGTGAAAACCAGGCTTCATATTTTTACTAAAAGGTATCCAACTTTTGAGTTTATTCTCATTGGTTTAGTGACTGGGTGGAATAATATCGGATGATATGTGGGAAAATGCTCACATAAGAGCAAAAAGTACTATTTTCACATGGTAAATTATTAGTTACTATCTTCATTACCATCCAAGGATTATCTTGGATAATTATCTTTGGTAATAAAGGATTATCTTCATTATCTTATGGAGAGTTGGGATGAAGTTCCCTGAAGAAGCTATGTGTCCAGGACATATATTGCTTGTGCCTGCTCAGCATAAGCATTAATTTCCAGTTTCCTAGTAGTAATGCCCTCATTTTTCCGATGTGTCTTAAAGGGTCTCCCTGCTTTCATTTTAAGGCTATATGGTTTGTGTGGGAATAGTCTCACTGCCTAAAGGAGAAAATGAAGCTGCAGTTTGGGTTTATCTCCCTAGATAAAATAATCTATACTTGTTTGTATTAGGATTTTGTTTTATTATGTGGAGGAATTTTTGTAATCAAGTGTTTAGGAAGAAGGTTAAGTTTGAATATTGAAAAGCCATGGATAAACTAAAATGTATTGAATTTAGCCTACCCAATATACATTTATCTCCTTTAAATAAAAATATCTGAATGCCTCAGTTTTCTTTTGAGGAATCAATCCTTTATCTGCTCTTGTGGTATGTGTGGGACAGAACTTCTCCCTCTTTCATATGTGGCCATATGATCATTTCCTTAGCATGAGTGGTGAGTTTAGTGATTAGGCATGTAACTCAATTCTAAGACTGTTGTTTGGCTTTTACCATGTTTACCCATGAAGATGTGAGCTTGGGGCTCTTGGTAGCCATCTCACTACCATAAAGAGCCTCACTGAAAAGAAAACAAAATGAGAAGAATGCAGAGTAACTACACAGAGAAAGACGGATCTTTTACATAATTAGAACATCAGCACCATGTAACACATGAAATCATATCCATCCTTGTACTATAGTTATGTGAGCCACTCTTTTATTTTGGATTAAGACCATTTGATCCACATTTCTGTCACTTAGAAAGACTCCTAATACTCAGACTAAGGGCTAAAATGCCCATAAGAAGAAAAAAAGAGATTAACCAAAAGGGTGCTCTGGGAGAAGGGAAAGGTTACTTAGAAAGGCTGCATGTGGCAGAAAATATAGCTGAAGATGAAACTCTGGGGGTGATATGGTAGAACACTGATATCTAATGTTGATTTTGTTATGTTTTACTTTATGGTCTGTGATGTATGCTTTTTTTTCCTTTCTTGACTGTCTGAGTATATGTAATTTTTTTTCTTTTACACTAATACTTGTGGAGTAAATTTATTTGAGGATAAGGAAGAAAGGTACAGAATCTTGCCCCAAGATTAGCCTAAGACAAGGGTCATCTCCAGGGTCTTAGTTATAGCTGGATTACAATCATCTAGACAGAAAATATAACACAGATATTCTTGATTAATCCCATAACCTTTGGATCTTGAGCAAAAGTCTCATTTAATTATGAATAGAGGAAGCTGTCATTAGTGAATATTTTTGCAGTGTTAGATGTTTCTGGAGACTTTTTCCATACATTGCTTTGTTTATTCATCCCAACACCTGTAAAGCAAATTTCATTCTCAAAATTGATCCTTACATGAGACAAATGAGGCTTACAGAGATTACGTCATCTTCCAAGGGAAGTTCAGTTAATATGGGTACATCCAGAAATTTAAATTCTGATAAAAAATATGACTCCATAGTGGGACTCTTCTTGATGGTATGATACTTGGTGGAATAATTGGGGAAAGGTTATGAATTTTAGGATAAAAACAACTGAAATATATAATGTCATTTCATGTATAATTACTTTAAAAATTATCCTAATTTTTACTTCACTTTTACTTTTAAATTGTGCTCATTCACCATTTTGTTTTCATTCCATGACATCACTCTCATTATTTTCCCACTGTTTCTGCATGTGAACACTTGAGAACTCCTTGTTCAACAACTTGAGCTCCTCAGAACAAAGGGCTATAAATCTGACAGGTAATCTATATTTACCAAGGAAAGCCTGTGGAAGAATAAGGCTAAATTCTTTTGTAAATAAATAAATATTTATTTGAAAAATAATATTTGAGAAGTAAAAGTAACCAGAAATATCATAAAAGAAAGCAATAAAGAAGAAAGTGATTATGTTTATTTTTACATTTTTCTTTCAGAGAAGCCATTTTAAGGTATCCAAGGCAAGCCACACTATAGATTAAGCTATAAACTAATCAACCTGTTTTGAGTATGCATATGGTATCCAGGACATCAAATAGAAACAAATATTATTTGAACTTTGTCATAAAATATTCTACATCCATTATTCTCAAGAGAAATTACCTCATTTTATTGATAATAATGCTGAAGTTAGTCATTTTGTATTGGTTATAACCAATTTTTTAAATGAGAAAATACCCGTTAACCACAAGTACCCTAAACATTACTATCTCAAACAGGCCTGGTTGACAGTTCTTTTTTTTGTTTTGTTTTGTTTTGTGACAGCCATTTTATAATTGTGAGGCAAGAAGCCAAATACATTAAGGGTATAATAGTGAAAATATAGAGAAACCTTCGATGAGACTCTTGAATAGCTGCAGCAAATGTGGCAGTCATGATCTAGAAGGTAAACCCTAACTGAGAATCACTTTATTCCCTCATCTCTACAGGAAAGATAGCTTAGCATGTATGCTGAACCAACAGTGGCAAAGTGGTGCATCTGCAAATGTGAGAGGCTGAAAGATACCAGAATAGATGGGGATGTATGCTGTTTTAATGATTACCTTCCTGCTTGCCTCCCCAAACATTTAATAAACTCACAAAATCAATATAAGATATTTTTCAATGTCCAAATAAAGATCGAATATAGGGAAGGTTATGGAGGCTGTATAAATTTTCTGTTGCTTCCATAACAAATTACCATAAACTCTGTGGCTTAAAATGACAAATGTATTCTCTCACAATTATGGAGACCAGAAATTCAACTTGTTGGAAAAACTGCCGTCTCTTCCAAAGGTTCCAGAGGAGATTCTGATCCTTGCTTCTTTAAGTTTCTGGTGGTTGCCAGCATTTCTTAGCTTGAAGTTGCATTACTGCAGTCTTTGCCTCCATTTTCAAAATATCTTATCTGCTTTCTCCTGTGTTTCTGTCCTCTGTGTGTGTCTAGTCTCCATCCAACTCTCACACAGACACTTGTGATGGCTTTAGAGCCCGCTCAGATAATTTAGGATATGCTCCTTCTTTCAAGATCCTTATCTAAATTACTTTTTTTTGCCATATAATGTAATGTTACTCTTTTGTCATATAAAATAACATTCACGGTTCCCAGGAATTAGGACATAAACATCTTTATTTTGGAGGCAGGGGCAGCACCATTCAGCCCACTATAGACCCATAGACAGAGAAGTCAAGAAATAAAGTTCAAAGGGTGAATTGTGTAATAATGCCCAAATGCATATGTTCCTACAAGAGGCAACTTCTGGGCAAAAGAATGCTCTTGAATTCTACAACATACACATATGTAGTCCTGACTGATTATTATGATGGTCAAGAGCATGGTGTTTGAAGTCAGAGTCTTAGTTCTTAGAATTTATCTCTTTCTAGCTCAGTTATTATTGTCAATAATAACAGTTAAAATCTATAAAATATTTGAAGAGATTTATTCTGAGCCAACTATGAGTGACCATGGCCTGTGACACAGCCCTCAAGATGTCCTAAGAACATGTGCCCAATGTGGTTGGGGTACAGTTTGGTTTTATATAATTTAGGGAGGCATGAGACATCTATCAAATACATTTAAGAAATACACTGGTGGCTGGGCATGGCGGCTCACACCTGTAATCCCAGCACTTTGGGAGGCCAAGGCAGGCGGATCACCTGAGGTCGGGAGTCCAAGCCAGCCTGACCAACATGGAGAAACCTCATCTCTACTAAAAATACAAAATTAGCTGGGCATGGTGGCGCATGCCTGTAATCCCAGCTACTCGGGGGCTAAGGCAGGAGAATCGCTTGAACCCAGGAGGTAGAGGTTGCAGTGAGCCAAGATGGCACCATTGCACTCCAGCATGGGCAACAAGGGCGAAAGTCCATCTCAAAAAAAAAGAAAAGAAGAAAGAAATACATTGGTTAGGTTCAGAAAGTCGGGACAACTCAAAGAGAGGGCTTCCAGGCTATAAGTACCTTTAAATATTTTCTGGTTGACAATTGGTTGAGTTTATCTGAAGACCTGGGATCAATGGAAAGAAATGTTCAACTTCAGATAAAGGATTGTGGAGACCACATTTTATTGTGCAGAGGAATCTCTCAGATAGCAGACTTCAGAGAGAGAGCATGGTGTAAAATGTTTCTTATCAGACCTAAAAGGGTGCCTGGTTCTTAGTTGATTATCTCCTGGATCTAGAAAGAAAGGAAAGGAAAGAAAGGGGAAAGGGGATTCTCTATAGGATGTGGATTTTTGCTACAAGAGACTTTTCAGGGCAATTTCAAGGTATGACAAGGAAATACATTTTGGGGCTAAATATTTTTTCCTTGCCTCATAATGTTACGCCAGAGTCAGATTGAAAAGTAAGTCAGGATATGTAGGGTCAAATAAAACTCATCTGATGAGAATGCATGGTTTGTAGGGCATGACTCCCTAGACCCCTTAGGCAGGAATTTGGGCAAGATAAAAAAACAGAGGTTAGTCCTCAGTCCCCCTTCTTGGGCAAAAATCATTCCACAGAATGCCCATGCAGGCCAACAAACAGCAACAGGTCCCACGGTGCTAGGAAGGCCCATTCCTAGAATAGTATGGTTGGTGGTAATAGTTTTAAATATTTGCGATTTGGATCATGGGGAGAGGACACGGTCTGACCTGATGTACTAGCCAATAGTTTAAGGGGTAAGATGAAGTCAGGCCTAGGGTTTAGTCTAAAAAAAATCCCAGATCGTATCTATTTTGCGAGCTATCATGATCCAGGTCTTGAAATGTGCCTTCTTCCTTTTGCTGTATCTGTCATAGCATTTACAAGAGATATATAATGCGAATACAGTGACAAATACTATGAAGATAGCAAAGATTAGGCACCCAAGAAGGTAAGAGGTAGAGTCAGAGGGCAGTAAACAACCTAAATAGCCAAAAAACCCACTGCATGCATCATCATACTCTTTGATCACACTCATAATGTGTTTATCCTTCTTATCAAGGGTCATTTGAACTTTACCATAAATCTTATTTGAGGATTGCAGGGCTGGCAGTTAATCAGAATCCAATAACTTTAATCTCTCTTCTGGCCAGTTTATCTCCATAGGTATAACACCCTGAGGAGGGTATAAATCAAATGTGAGGAATGCCTGTTCCTCCATGTCTAAATTGTTATGAAAATTGTTAACAGTGGACAAATCTATTTTTCCCACCACTTTTGTATTGCAGCATATGCTGATACTTGGGAGAGAAAAGGAGGTTTTTTTTTCACAGGGGAAGTCATAGAATTCTACAGTGTCATTTTGTTGTCCCTCCCAACAGAAGTAGCCCTTCCCTATATACCAGATACTATATTCCATGAGGGTGGATATTAGAGGCCAAGTTTGGGAAAAATCAGGATTCCAAATGGTTTGAAGGCATAGCCATTCTCTTTTTCTGTTTTCACAATCTGAAAGGGAGATGGTATGCCATGTGTTATTACCAGCTAAAATAGCACACGTGTTTCCCAGGGGGAATAGTCTTGTATTGTTTACAATAGTCCCAATGCCTGCCAGTTGGATGGCAGAGTACCTTTAAGCCTCATTTAACTTCAGTACCTGTGCTCTAAGAATACAATTTTTAAGGTCACATTTACCATCCAAAAATCTCCATAAGTTTGGGGGGACATATAGTTTCCACAGGTGTTTGGATTGTGCCTCAGCACTTAGGATTGTAGGCCATTGCTCCATAGCCACCTCAGATGCCATTTGTAATAAAATGAGCCCCTGTTGAGTAAGAGTACATGCTTGTTCCCATCTTTGGTTTTGGGAGTATGTTTTTATGGTTCGTCTGGTTTCTTCTGTCCATTTGATGAGTGCTGCATTATCTTTTTAAAGCAGCTTCCCATCCTTTTCCCTCTTCCTGGAATAGTATTACTTCTAAGTGGCTTATTTTTGATAGGGAATTTTTTTCTAAAGAACATCTTTCTTCATTAGTCATAAATTCAGCTTGCCCCAGTATGCCTAGCCCAGCTCCAACTCCTCCAGTGAGGTCACGCTTTAGTTTTTTGGATGGCCAATTTTGAGGCATCCACCAGAAATGCTGTTGTCATTGTATACTGATGGCATTTGTACAATTTGGATAAATGGAGTCAATCCAGAACTGCTGATTGTTAGGTGAGTGGAGGTTACACCTAAGTATACCCTTGTCTTGGTATTCCATAAGGCTTCTTTATAGGGACTGCTGATTGAATTCTTCCAATATCTGTGGAAGAGCTTGCCCTTCCACAGAGGAGTGGAAGTCCTCCTCTGTGGAGGAGGTCTGGTACCTTAGATAAAAAAGGCTCTAATTCTTCCTGTCCAGAATCTTGATTAACTTTCACAAGCATATTACATGTGGACTTTTGTAAGTCTTCTGTGTCTTCCAAGTTGAGAATCATTTCTCCCTTTTGTGAAAATGAGATGTAAGCATTAAGGGTCTCTAGGAAATCCTGTCCCAGCAGGTGTATGGGGGCACTATCTACTATAAGAAAAAAGTGATGCCCCACTAGTTACCCTAATTGAAATTGAAGAGGATTTGATTTAAAGGCTGTAACAGCAGATTTTTAAACCCCTACCATTTGGACTTTTTCTTTACTCCGAGGGAGAGGGTTTTTAATCAAGTTGGAGTTGAGAGGACTGACAGTGTAGTGCCAGTGTCGATAAGGGCTTTGGTGTTTTCCCAATTTATGGATATTTCTACTCCCAAAGCATTAGTTAGAAGCAGGGGGAAAGCCCTCTCTATTCCCTCGGAACATCCCGTTTCTAATTTTTGAGTTGTTCTGGTGTCTTCATCCGGGGCCCTTTGCCTCATTTATGTAAGCACCCATTTAAGTTTTTTGCATTCTTTTTTAAAATGTCCTTTCTTTTTGCAATGGTGGCAAATTGCTTCTTCTTGGGGTCACTTAGATCTCTAGGGACCATGGGACCCTTGCAAACTCCCAACTTGGTTACTAAGCTGTTTTAGTTGTAAACTCATAATTTTAGAGACTGTTTTCTTTCTTAATGACTATTTGTGACAACTGGTCAGCTAGAGTGACTAGGTGGTTAGTGGGCAAGGAAGCCCAAGCCACATTATTCCTCCTTATTAGGCTTGCTAACTCCTTATATAAACCTTGAATAAACCCAGAATTTAGTAAAGTGTCACTTCCACTGTGCTTAACGTTTTCAGGAGGTATTCCTGAAAACTGAATGTCTTTTAACACCTGATATAAGAGTCAGGTAGGATTTCGTTTGAGCATATTTTGCGTTGTTGTACCTTTGCCCAATCTATAACCTTGGGTAATATCTGTGGTAGTTTCACAGAGGTGATTGCAAAGCTCTCTGCATTTTTCTCTTTCAGTTGCATCTATTTTGTCAAAATCTTCTAAAGATCTAATTGTCACGCATGTCGGTGTGAAGAGACCACCAAACAGGCTTTGTGTGAGCAATAAAGCTTTCTGATCACCTGGGTGCAGGTGGGCTGAGTCCAAAAAAGGAGTCAGCAAAGGGAGACAGGGGTGGGGCAGCTTTATAGGATTTGAGTAGTTAGTGGAAAATTACAGTCAAAGGGGGTTGTTCTCTTGCGGGCAGGGGCAGAGGACACAAGGTGCTCAGTGGGGGAGCTTCTGAGCCAGGAGAAGGAATTTCACAAGGTAATGTCATCAGTTAAGACAGGAACCAGCCATTTTTGCTTCTTTTGTGATTCTTCAGTTGCTTCAGGCCATCTGTACGTATACGTGCAGGCTTGGGCTCAGAGGCCTGACACGAATCTGTTTCCAGCCTTTAGAATATTAAAGGCTGCTACTCTAAACCATTTTTCAGCTTTGTTTTTGGGGATCAGTAACTCAATCAGCTGATATAGGTGAGAGAACTCTGGATCATAAGTCTGAAATGTTAATTGGAATTCCTTAGCAAACCCAAAGGGATCTTAAGTCGGATTGAGGAATCTAGATACCAGGGTCTTCAACTCTGACTTGGTATAGGGGGTATATATTATGTTAGGATCCTCTGTGCCTTTGGTTTTTACTCTAAAAAGGACCAACTACTATTTTATTTTCTCCAGCTATTTCTGATCCCCCTGTGGCTTGAGGAAAGGGAGTAGGGGAAGGAGGAGGAAAAAATGAAATTGTCCAGACAAGGAAGTTCAGAGAGCAGAGGGTCAGGAGAAGCAGCAGAGGAGACAGTTTCTGGAGCCTTCCTGATTTCAGAAGTGGTTCTACTGATTTCTTTAACTCTGAGACAATTTCAATTTTTTTTTTTACTAACTTCCTGGAGGGAGGCGAGTTTATCGTTCTCTCTTTTTGATGATTCTAGATGCCAGCTAAACTATGATTCTCATTCATTTTCTTTGATTTGGTAGCCTAATTTTTCTAATCTAGTGATATATATATGATATACATGGTCAAATAAAACCCATATGATGAGAATTTATGGTTTATAGGGCATGACTCCCTAGAACCCTTAGGTAGGAATTTGGGCAAAATAAAATATCAAGCTTAGTGCTCATGATAAAGGGCAAGGTACCCATTTTCATAATTTTCCAGTCTTAATCTATAAATAGATATAATAATGACTAACTCTTAAGGTTGTTGTGAATATTAAGACAATGTAAGGAAATAACATGGAAATTAGCATATCATAAGCCTCAATAGTTGGTAGACTTTGTTACTGTTATGCATACATAAGCAGATAAAAAGGCTTTATAAGAATGATTTGTAGCTGTTAAACTAATAGCTGGGATGGCAACAATATTCTATTTTTATTTAAATTAAACCAATTCTTCTTAATTCTTAATTAGGTCAATAAAATATCAGCTGGACAATCTCTGGGAAGTCTTTGCTATTTGAGTGAGTTGAACAGATGTTGCTGACCTATCAACTTACTCTTTCTTTCATGGTAGCCACCTTGTAACCATGAAACAATAAGTTTGAAAACGAAAAACAAAAAAAACAGTTTTCCTCCTGGGAAAATTTACAAGTCACTGGGTCAGGAAATCAGCATTTCAATATCTACTCCCCACTCCACACATGCACAAATAAACAACAACTGCTGTGAAGAGAGTAAGGATAGGAGCATGAATCAATCCCTACCTCTAGAGTGTGAAAATACTGTGCTCCTTATCTCTGTTAGATAACATTAAAGAGTTAATTTATTGCAAAAAAATAATAATGAGAATAATGCTGTGTGCCTAAAGGAGGGCAGTTTGGTTTGCAAATGATACTCTGGAAAGACATAGAAAACATAAGTCCTAGTGACAAGACAGCACAGGATTGCATGAAGTTAACATTTGGGAGGCTGATGACCTATTTTGACAGGATATGTTCACATGCAAGAAAATATGTTTCTACCATAGACCAAAATAAAAATAAGAATACAAGCTTTTTCACTGTCACTTGAATAGTGTAACTTGTTTGAACATATTAACATAACACTGTCTCAAAGCATTTTTTTGTTATCCTTAAAGTGGATTATCTTGCTAGTGTACATATTAATGACGCTGATAATACTGAAGAGTTTTACCAAGACAGAAAATTGGGAAAAGATCTCCTTGAATACATTTGACTTAGAAATTTAGGAATATGGAGTATAATAATTTATAAAATTATTACATATTTTAGGTAAATTTCTATGAATGCAAGAAAGAGACATGTATTTAAACTAGAAAAATACGTCCCAAGAATATTACTTTAACAGTTCCTAATGTGCTTGGTAGATGTCTTTGGAATAGAACGAAGTTATTTCAGGAAGTGAGTTTGAACAGGTGTTGGTAAAGCTGAGGAACGTACAATCCTGTAGCCATCAAGGCATACATACAGATGCTTCTTTGGTGGCTTACAAAATTTTGCTTTTATGTTGATATCAGGAATGTTCCACTTGTGGATTTCAATGTGTGAAAACTAAATGACCCACTAGTTGCCACTCAGTGGAATATAGCTCAGCAAGCCCAAATGAATGCTTCCAAATTAATCAGGTAGATTTGATTCCAGTGGAGAGGAAATTAAGAGTATATGATATCATTATAAAACAATAAAACCATTTCGCCTGTGAGAATTATAAGCTCAAGTGAGTTATTTTAAATATCATGTATTATATCATTGAAATCAAATTCTGTTTGTAAAATTATATCAACGTTTAGTTGTCCATAAATAACTCCAAAATTGAAAATGTGCCTATTTAGATGTCAACTGCCTCTCATGTAAAAGTACTTTTAAATTCATTTTCTTTTATAATTTTCTTAGTTTTTGTCAGAGGTAAAATGTCTATATGGAAAAAAATTGGTCTAAACTATGCTTTTAAAGGATATGTGAGCATAGTCTGACAATAGTTATGCATTGTTCATCATTGTGCTCTCTCTCCTGCAATTTTGATGAGAGAACACATCATTTGATTCATTTTCTTGGTAACTCTGCTGCTAGTGGCTGTTCGTAAGAGAAACTGAAAATTAATAATTAGTTTTGATATTTGGAAATTTAAGGGTGGTCCAGTTATTTGGAAGAATAAACAAGATTGATAGACCACTAGCTAGATTAACAAAGAAAAACGTAGAGAAGATCCAAATAAGCACAATCAGAAACGACAAAGGTGATATCACAATTTATCCTACAGAAATATAAAAGATCCTCAGAGACTACTATGAACATCTCTATGCACACAAACTAGAACATTTAGAGGAAATGGATACATTTCTGGAAACATGCAATGCCCCAAGATTGAACCAGGAAGAAACAGAAATCCTAAACAGATAAATGGTGAGTAATGAAATTGAATCATTAATAAAAATTCTGCTAATCAAAAATAGCCCTGGACCAGAAGGATTCACAGCCAAATTCTACTAGACATACAAAAAAGAGCTGGTACCAATCCTATTGAAAATATTTCAAAAAATACAGCAGGAAGGACAACTCCCTAACTCATTCTATGAAACCGGTTCATCCTGACTCCAAAATCTGGCAAAGACACAGAAACAACAACAACAAAGAAAACTGCAGGCCAATATCCCTCATGAATACAATACACAAAAATCCTCAACAAGATTTTAGCAAACCAGATTCAGCAGCACTTCAAAAGTTAATTCATGAGGAGGTCAGAGCCAAGATGGCCGAATAGGAACAGCTCTGGTCTACAGCTCCCAGCGTGAGTGAAGCAGAAGACGGGTGATTTCTGCATTTCCATCTGAGGTACCGGGTTCATCTCACTAGGGAGTGCCAGACAGTGGGCACAGGACAGTGGGTGCAGCACACCGTGCACGAGCCAAAGCAGGGCGAGGCATTGCCTTGCTCAGGAAGCACAAGGGGTCAGGGAGTTCCCTTTCCTAGTCAAAGAAAGGGGTGACAGACGGCACCTGGAAAATCGGGTCACTCCCGCCCTAATTCTGCGCTTTTCTAACGGGCTTAAAAAACGGCGCACCAGGAGATTATATCCCGCACATGGCTCGGAGGGTCCTATGCCCACAGAGTCTCACTGATTGCTAGCACAGCAGTCTGAGATCAAACTGCAAGGCGGCAGCGAGGCTGGGGGAGGGGTGCTCGCCGTTCTCCAGGCTTGCTTAGGTAAACAAAGCAGCCGGGAAGCTCCAACTGGGTGGAGCCCACCACAGCTCAGGGAGGCCTGCCTGCCTCTGTAGGCTCCACCTCTGGGGGCAGGGCACAGACAAACAAAAAGACAGCAGTAACCTCTGCAGACTTAAATGTCCCTGTCTGACAGCTTTGAAGAGAGCAGTGGTTCTCCCAGCATGCAGCTGGAGATCTGAGAACGGGCAGACTGCCTCCTTAAGTGGGTCCCTGACCACTGACCCACAAGCAGCCTAACTGGGAGGCACCCCCCAGTAGGGGCAGACTGACACCTCACACGGCTGGGTACTCCTCTGAGACAAAACTTCCAGAGGAAAGATGAGACAGCAGCATTCCTGGTTCACGAAAATCCACTGTTCTGCAGCCACTGCTGCTGGTACCCAGGCAAACAGGGTCTGGAGTGGACCTCTAGCAAACTCCAACAGACCTGCTGCTGAGGGTCCTGTCTGTTAGAAGGAAAACTAACAAACAGAAAGGACAACCACTCCAAAAACCCATCTGTACATCACCATCATCAAAGACCAAAAGTAGATAAAACCACAAAGATGGGGAAAAAAACAGAGCAGAAAAACTGCAAACTCTAAAAAGCAGAGCACCTCTCCTCCTCCAAAGGAACACAGTTCCTCACCAGCAATGAAACAAAGCTGGATAGAGAATGACTTTGACGAGTTGAGAGAAGAAGGCTTCAGATGATCAAACTACTTCGAGCTACAGGAGGAAATTAAAACCAAAGGCAAAGAAGTTAAAAACTTTGAAAAAAATTTAGATGAATGTATAACTAGAATAACCAATACAGAGAAGTGCTTAAAGGAGCTGATGGAGCTGAAAGCCAAAGAACTACATGAAGAATGCAGAAGCCTCAGGAGCGGATGTGATCAACTGGAAGAAAGGGTATCAGTGACGGAAGATAAAATGAATGAAATGAAGCGAGAAGGGAAGTTCAGAGAAAAAAGAATAAAAAGAAATGAACAAAGCCTCCAAGAAATATGGGACTATGTGAAAAGACCAAATCTACATCTGATTGGTGTACCTGAAACTGACGGGGAGAATGGAACCAAGTTGGAAAACACTCTGCAGGATATTATCCAGGAGAATTTCCCTAATCTAGCAAGGCAGGCCAACATTCAGATTCAGGAAATACAGAGAATGCCACAAAGATACTCCTCAAGAAGAGCAACTCCAAGACACATAATTGTCTGATTCACCAAAGTTGAAATGAAGGAAAAAATGTTAAGGGCAGCCAGAGAGAAAGGTCGGGTTACCCACAAAGGGAAGCCCATCAGACTAACAGCGGATCTTTCGGCAGAAACTCTACAAGCCAGAAGAGAGTGGGGGCCAATATTCAACATTCTTAAAGAAAAGAATTTTCAACCCAGAATTTCATATCCAGCCAAACTAAGCTTCATAAGTGAAGGAGAAATAAAATCCTTTATAGACAAGCAAATGCTGAGAGATTTTGTCACCACCAGGCTTGCCTTACAAGAGCTCCTGAAGGAAGCACTAAACATGGAAAGGAACAACTGGTACCAGCCGCTGCAAAATCATGCCAAAATGTAAAGACCATCGAGACTAGGAAGAAACTGCATCAACTAACGAGCAAAATAACCAGCTAACATCATAGTGACAGGATCAAATTCACACATAACAATATTAACTTTAAATGTAAATGGACTAAATGCCCCAATTAAAAGACACAGAGTGGCAAATTGGATAAAGAGTCAAGAGTCAACAGTGTGCTGTATTCAGGAGACTGATCTCACATGCAGAGACACACATAGGCTCAAAATAAAGGGATGGAGGAAGATCTACCAAGCAAATGGAAAGCAAAAAAAGCATGGGTTGCAATCCTAGTCTCTGATACAACAGACTTTAAACCAACAAAGATCAAAAGAGACAAATAAGGCCATTACATAATGGTAAAGAGATCAATTCAACAAGAAGAGCTAACTATCCTAAATATATATGCACCCAATACAGGAGCACCTAGATTCATAAAGCAAGTCCTGAGTGACCTACAAAGAGACTTAGATTCCCACACAATAATAATGGGAGACTTTAACACCCCACTGTCAACATTAGACAGATCAACGAGACAGAAAGTTAACAAGGATACCCAGGAATTGAACTCAGCTCTGCACCAAGTGGACCTAATAGACATATACAGAACTCTCCACCCCAAATCAACAGAATATACGTCTTTTTCAGCACCACACCACACCTATTCCAAAATTGACCACATAGTTGGAAGTAAAGCTCTCCTCAGCAAATGTAAAAGAACAGAAATTATAACAAACTGTCTCTCAGACCACAGTGCAATCAAACTAGAACTCAGGATTAAGAAACTCACTCAAAACCGCTCAACTACATGGAAACTGAACAACCTGCTCCTGAATGACTACTGGGTAAATAACGAAATGAAGGCAGAAATAAAGATGTTCTTTGAAACCAGCGAGAACAAAGACACAGCATACCAGAATCTCTGGGACACATTCAAAGCAATGTGTAGAGGGAAATTTATAGCACTAAATGCCCACAAGAGAAAGCAGGAAAGATCCAAAATTGACACCCTAACATCACAATTAAAAGAACTAGAAAAGCAAGAGCAAACACATTCAAAAGCTAGCAGAAGGCAAGAAATAACTAAGATCAGAGCAGAACTGAAGGAAATAGAGACACAAAAAACCCTTCAAAAATTAATGAATCCAGGAGCTGGTTTTTTGAAAGGATCAGCAAAATTAATAGACCACTAGCAAGACTAATAAAGAAGAAAAGAGAGAAGAATCAAATAGACGCAATAAAAAATGATAAAGGGGATACTACCACCGATCCCACAGAAATACAAACTACGATCAGAGAATACTACAAATACCTCTACGCAAATAAACTAGAAAATCTAGAAGAAATGGATAAATGCCTCGAAACATACACCCTCCCCAGACTAAACCAGGAAGAAGTTGAATCTCTGAATAGACCAATAACAGGCTCTGAATTTGTGGCAATAATCAATAGCTTACCAACTAAAAAGAGACCAGGACCAGATGGATTCACAGCCGAATTCTACCAGAGGTACAAGGAGGAACTGGTACCATTCGTTATGAAACTATTCCAATCAATAGAAAAAGAGGGAATCCTCCCTAACTCATTTTATGAGGCCAGCAGCATCCTGATACCAAAGCCGGGCAGAGACACAACCAAAAAAGAGAATTTTAGACCAATATACTTGATGAACATTGATGCAAAAATCCTCAATAAAATACGGGCAAACCGAATCCAACAGCACATCAAAAAGCTTCTCCACCATGATCAAGTGGGCTTCATCCCTGGGATGCAAGGCTGGTTCAATATATGCAAATCAATAAACGTAATCCAGCGTATAAACAGAACCAAAGACAAAAAAAAAAACATGATTATCTCAATAGATGCAGAAAAGGCCTTTGACAAAATTCAACAACACTTCATGCTAAAAACTCTCAATGAATTAGGTATTGAAGGGACGTATCTCAAAATAATAAGAGCTATCTATGACAAACCCACAGCCAATATCATACTGAATGGGCAAACACTGGAAGCATTCCCTTTGAAAACGGGCAGAAGACAGGGATGCCCTCTCTCACCACTCCTATTCCACATAGTGTTGGAAGTTCTGGCCAGGGCAATTAGGCAGGAGAAGGAAATAAAGGGTATTCAATTAGGAAAAGAGGAAGTCAAATTGTCCCTGTTTGCAGATGACATGATTGTATATCTAGAAAACCCCATCGTCTCAGCCCAAAATCTCCTTAAGCTGATAAGCAACTTCAGCAAAGTCTCAGCATACAAAATCAATGTACAAAAAACACAAGCATTCTTATACACCGATAACAGACAAACAGAGAGCCAAATCATGAGTGAACTCCCATTCACAATTGCTTCAAAGAGAATAAAATACTTAAGAATCCAACTTACAAGAGAGGTGAAGGACCTCTTCAAAGAGAACTACAAACCACTGCTCAATGAAATAAAAGAGGATTCAAAGAAATGGAAGAACATTCCATGCTCATGGGTAGGAAGAATCAATATCATGAAAAAGGCCATACTGCCCAAGGTAATTTATAGATTCAATGCCATCCCCATCAAGCTACCAATGACTTTCTTCACAGAATTGGAAAAAACTACTTGAAAGTTCTTATGGAACCAAAAAAGAGCCTGCATCACCAAGTCAATCCTAAGCCAAAAGAAGAAAGCTTTTGGCATCACGCTCCCTGACTTCAAACTATACTACAAGGCTACAGTAACCAAAACAGCATGGTACTGGTACCAAAACAGAGATATAGATCAATGGAACAGAACAGAGCCCTCAGAAATAACGCCACATATCTACAACTATCTGATCTTTGACAAACCTGAGAAAAGCAATGGGGAAAGGATTCCCTATTTAATAAATGGTGCTGGGAAAACTGGCTAGCCATATGGAGAAAGCTGAAACTGGATCCCTTCCTTACACCTTATACAATAATTAATTCAAGATCTATTAAAAACCTAAACGTTAGACCTAAAACCATAAAAACCCTAGAAGAAAACCTAGGCATTACCATTCAGGACATAGGCACGGGCATGGACTTCATGTCTAAAACACCGAAAGCAATGGCAAAAAAGCCAAAATTGACAAATGGGATCTCATTAAACTAAAGAGCTTCCGCACAGCAAAAGAAACTACCATGGGAGCGAACAGGGAACCTACAAAATGGGAGAAAATTTTCGCAACCTACTCATCTGACAAAGGGCTAATATCCAGAATCTACAATGAACTCAAATAAATTTACAAGAAAAAAACAAACAACCCCATCAAAAAGTGGGCAAAGGACATGAACAGACACTTCTCAAAACAAAACATTTATGCAGCCAAAAAACACATGAAAAAATGCTCACCATCACTGCCATCAGAGAAATGCAAATCAAAACCACAATGAGATACCATCTCATACCAGATAGAATGGCGATCATTAAAAAGTCAGGAAACAACTGGTGCTGGAGAGAATGTGGAGAAATAGGAACACTTTTACACTGTTGGTGGGACTGTAAACTAGTTCAACCATTTTGGAAGTCAATGTGGCAATTCCTCAGGGATCTAGAACTAGAAATACCATTTGACCCAGCCATCCCATTACTGGGTATATACCAAAAGGACTATAAATCATGCTGCTATAAAGACACATGCACACATATGTTTATTGCAGCACTATTCACAATAGCAAAGACTTGGAACCAACCCAAATGTCCAACAATGATAGACTGGATTAAGAAAATGTGGCACATATACTCCATGGAATACTATGCAGTCATAAAAAATGATGAGTTCATGTCCTTTGTAGGGTCATGGATGAAATTGGAAATCATCATTCTCAGTAAACTCTTGCAAGAACAAAAAACCAAACACTGCATGTTCTCACTCATAGGTGGGAATTGAACAATGAGAACACATGGACTCAGGAAGGGGAACATCACATTCTGGGGACTGTTGTGGGGTGGGGGATGGGAGAGGGATAGCATTAGGAGATATACCTAATGCTAAATGACGAGTTAATGGGTGCAGCACACCACCATGGCACATGTATACATATGTAACTAACCTGCACATTGTGTACATGTACCCTAAAACTTAAAGTATAATAATATAAAAAAAAAAGTTAATTGATCCCAATCAAGTGGACTTTATTTCTGGGCTTCAAGGCCCAGAAATATGCAATTAATAAATGTAATTCACCACATAAATATAGTTAAAAACAAAAACTATATGATCACCTCAATAGACACAGAAAAAGAATTTGATAAAATCCAACATCCCTTCATGACAAAAACCCTCAACCAACTAGGCATTGAAAGAATAGGACACAAAATAATAAGAGCCATCTATGACAAACCCACAGACCACATCATACTGAATGGCAAAAGCTGGTAGCATTTTCTGTAAAGAGTGGAACAAGACAAGGGTGTCCACTCTCACCACTCCTACTCAACATACTACTGGAAGTCTCAGATATAGCAATCAGGCAAAAGAAAGAAATAAAAGGCATCCAAATAGGAAAAGAAGTCAAATTATCTCTTTTCACTGATGGTATGATCCTATACTTAGAAAACCCTAAGCATTACACTGAAAGACTTTTAGACCTAATAAACAACTTCAGCAAAGTTTCAGGATACAAAATCAATATTCAAAAATTAGTAAACATTTCTATCCACCAATAATGTTTAAGCTTGGAGCCAAATCAAGAACATGGCCACATATACAATAGATACACACACACACACACACACACACACACACACACACACAATACCTAGGACTATACCTGACCAAGAAGGTGAAAGATCTCTACAAGGAGAGCTACAAAACACTGCAAAAGAAATCACAGATAACACAAACAAATGGAAAAATGTTCCATAATGATGGATTAGAAGATTCAATATGGTTAAAATGGACATACTGCCCAAAGCAATCTGTAGATGTAATGCTATTGCTATCAAATTACCATTGTCGTTTTTCACTAAATTAGGAAAAACTACTTTTAAATTCACATAGAACCATAAAAGAGCCCAAATAGCCAAAGAAATTTTAAGCAAAAAATAACAAAGCCTGAGGTATCACATTCCCCTACTTCAAGCTATACTACAAGGATACAGTAAACAAAACAGTACTGATACAAAAATAGACACATAGACCAATGGAACAGAATAGAGACCTATGATGGTTAATAATGAGTGTCAACTGATTGGTTGAAGAATGGAAAGTATTGTTCCTGGGTGTGTCTGTGGGGCTGTCATCAAAGGAAATTAACATTTGTGTCAGTGACCTGGGAGATACAGACCCACCCTCAATCTGAGTGGGCACCATCTAATCAGCTGAAGCACAGCTAGAATAAAGCAGGCAAGAGAAACTGGAAGACTAGACTGGCTGAGTCTTCTGGCCTTCATCTTTCTCCTGTGCTGGATGCTTCCTCCTCTCCAACATTGGACTCCAAGTTCTTCAGCTTTTGGATTCTTGGACTTACACCAGTGGTTTGCCAGAGGCTCTCGGGCCTTTGGCCACAGACTGAAGGCTGCGATGTCGGCGTCCCTAAATTTGAAGTTATAGGACTCAGACTGACTCTTGCTCCTCAGCTTGCAGACGGCCTATCATGGGACTTTGCCTTGTGATGGTGTGAGTCGATACTCCTTAACAAACTCCCTTTCATATATATATATTTATATATATATATAACATATATATTTCATATATATATAACATATATATTTCATATATATATAACATATATATGTTATATATATAACATATATATGTTATATATAACATATATTATATATGTATATATATATGAAATATATATATGAGATATATATGAAATATATATAAAATATATATTACTCCTGTCCCTCTAGAGAAACCTAATACAAGACCCCTGAAATAAAGCTTCACACCTAAAACAACTGATCCTTGATAAAGGTAACAAAGATAAACAGTGGAGAAAGGATACTCTATTCAATAAATGGTGCTGGGAAAACTGGCTAACCATATGCAGAAGAATAAAACAGGACCCTTACCTCGTATCATTCACAAAAATTAACTCATGGTGGATTAAAGACTTAAATGTAATAACTCAAATCATAAAAATCCTAGAGGAAAAGCTAGAAAATAGTCTTGTGGACCTTGTCCTAGGCAAAAAATTGTATGTCTAAGTCCTCCAGAGCAAATGCAACCAAAAGAAAAATTAACAATTGGGACCCAGTTAAACTGATGACCTTCTGCATAACAAAAGAAAGTATCAACAGAGTAAACAGACAACCTACAGAATGGGAGAAAATATTTGTGCAAACTATGCATCTAATGAAGGACTAATATCCAGAATCTACAAGAAATGTAAACATATCAACAAGAATAAAAACAAATAACCCCATTAAAAAGTGGGCAAAGGCATGAACATGCTTCTTAAAAGAAGCATGAAAGATGCTTCTCAAAAGAAGACACACAAATAGCAAAGAAACGTATGAAAAAATGCTAACCATTATAAATCATCAGAGAGATGCAAATCAAAAAGATGATGAAATACCATCTCACACCAGTTTACAGAATAGAACGACTATTATTAAAAAGTCAGAGCATAACAGATGTTGTTGAGATTGTGGAGAAAAGGGAACACTTATACACTGTTGTTAGGAATGCAAATTAGTTCAACTCTGTGGAAAACAGTTCGGAAAGTGCTCAAAGAATTAAAAACAGAGCTACCATTGGACCTAACAATCCCATTACTGGGATACCCAAACAGAAATAAATCTTTCTACCAAAAAGACACCTGCACTCATATGTCTATTGCAGGACTATTTACAACAGCAAAGACATAGAATCATCCCAGGTTCCCAACAGTGGTAGACTGAATAAAGAAAATGGTGCTACAAATGCAACACAGAATACTATGCAGCCATAAAAGAGAAATAAATCATGTCTCTTGCAGCAATGCAGATGCAGCAGGAGGCCATTACCCTAAGCAAATTAACACAGAAACGGAAAACCAAATACCACATATTCTTGCTTACAAGTGGTAACAAAACTTTGGGTACTCACGTATATAAAGATGGCAGCAACAAACACTGGAGATTCTCAAAGAAGGGAGGGAGGGAGGGGGTGAGGGTTGAAAAATTACATATCAAGTACTGTGTTCACTACTTAGATGACTTCCAGTAATAGAAGCCCAAACCTCAGCATCATACAATATACCCATGTAACAAACCAGCACATGTGCCCCTGAACTTAAAATAAAATAAAAATGTTAAAAACAGAACCTCCATTTAGAAGTATGACTGAATGAGCACAGACTTTGGAACTGTATGGACATGTGACCAATGCAGAGCTTCATCAGAGTTTGGGCATACAATCTTAGATAAGTCACTTGGCATCTCTTGAGTTCTACTTTTAACACCAATAAAATGAGGATAAACAACACATATGTGAGAGTTTGAAGTCAAACAAAAATTATATAAAATTTGGTACATAAGGCTCAATAAGAGACTGAGGTTTTGTTGTTGTTTGTTTGCTATGGTTTACGTGGTCAATTTAAAACAGTCATCTAAATCAGCAGTACCCAACCTTTTTGGCACCAGGGACCAGTTTCATGGAAGACAATTTTTCCATTGACCAGGGGTGGGGGATGGTTTCAGGATGTTTCAAGTGTATTACATTTATTGTGCACTTTATTTCTATTATTGTTACATTGTAATATATAATTAAATAATTATAGAATCAGTGGGAGCCCTGAGCTTGTTTTCCTGCAAGTAGACAGTTCCATCTGGGGGTGATGGAAGACAGTGGCAAATCATCAGGCATTAGATTCTCATAAGGAGCATGCAACCTAGATCCCTTACATGCTCAGTTCACAATAGAGTTCATGCTATGTATGAGAATCTAATATTGTGGGTGATTTGAGAGGAGGTGGGGCTCAGGTGGTAAAGTGAGCAATGGGGAATGGCTGTAAACACAGATGAAGCTTCACTTGCTAGCCTGTCACTCACCTTCTGCTGTGTAGCCCAGTTCCTAACAGGCCACGGACCTCCGTGGCCCAGGGGTGGGGGATCCCTAATCTAAGCAGTACTGACTTTTATCTACATAGTACTGAGCCTCTTAAAAATAAGTAACAGATACTAGACAGGTATGAACCATGTTTCCTGTTGGTAAATAAGGTACATTTCTAATCTATTTACATATGGTATTTCATTAAATTTCAAAACGATCCTATTATATCTATTTTACGTTTAGAAACTGAGCTGGGATGCAAAGAAGACCATCTCAGCACTTAACAAACATTTTAAATTACTGCCCTATTTTAATATTAGTATTTCTATGCTTCAGCTTCTGTGTCTACCTGAAAAGGTGCTTAGTGATAATGCCTACCTCATACCATGTAAGGATTATGATGCAATGCCTATAAAGACCATAGGACAGTGCCTGGCTCATTATAAAAACTCATTAAATGTTGACATGGTTATAGTTTGGCTCTACTGCTCACTTGTTTTGTGACTTTGGACAATCTTCTTAACATGTATAAGGTCAGTTCTTCATCAAAATGGGCATACTAATGGCTAATACATGGTGATGCTGTGAAGACTTAAGGAACATCGACGGTTCATAGCTCTTGTTAAGAGTGGTGCCACTAAGGATTTTTGGCTTGATTTCCTTAATCCAGCTAGCTTAAATAATAAAACTATTTGGCTTTGTCTGAAAATTTGTATATGGAATAAATGTCTAATGACTATAATTTTAAAATAAGTACTCTTCTGTTGTGATACTTAAAAAATAGTTTTTCAAATAGAGATTCCAAATTTTTAGAGATATGCTTTTAGAAAATTGAAATCAGTATTAAGAAACTAATAGAAAAAAATGCTGGTAATATAGTCCCTGGCAAAGTTCTTTATCTGAAATTCACTCACTATCATTATGCTTTGGCAATAAGTAAAGTATCATTGTGAGTTCTTCAGTAAGAAAAATATATTTGCTTACAAGAAATATTTAATAGAAAACCAAGAATTCTGATTGAACAAGTGTTTTATTTATTTTATTCCAGTCCACAATCACAGATCATAATGTTTTATCCAAGAGGCAATGCAGATATTAGAGTAACAAGTTCATAAGTTACAACACTTGTTCTGACATTCAATTTACTCAAAATCAATGATTATTCACTTACATCTCTGAGGCAATATGCTAAGTGCTAAAGATACAAAGATTTAAAAGCAGATTATTTTTCTTCAAAAGCCCACAGTATAAAAAAGGAAAGCAATAAATGAAAAAAAGCATTTTATATATATTAAGCAATGATACATAGTCCATTATTAGTCCACTCTCATTCCTGCAGGATTGAGATTTTCACCATTATTAATTTTTTCCATTTTAACCTTAATTAGTATTTTTATGCTACATATATGTCATCTTCTGTAACAATGACTCTGTAACTGGTGAAAGCTTACACAAAGTCACTACTCAGGGCTAATTTATCAGGTAAAGAAACTTTCTTGACTTTTTTTTTTATTCAATATTTTTAAATTTGGCTTTTCCTACCTGAATATGTGGTATGTGCAATTGCAGACATAATTATATGAAGAGCAAGCAGTTTCAAATGCTTTATGTGACTCATTTAAGAACAATTTTGCAAATAGGTACTATTATCACCCCATTTTACAAATGAGGACACTGATGCACAGAAGGTTTAATTACCTTGCCCATAATCATGCAACTGATAACAAGCAATGAATCCTTGATTGGAACCTCTCTTCCTGCTCTGGTATCTTTTGTTTTAACTGCCACACTACCATACCTGTGGGCCATGTGAGGCATTAGCCACTGGAAAGACCACGATTATCCTCTTTCTATATTATAATCAGCAACTATAAAACATAAAACATTACTATTCTGAAATTCATGCAGCTTCTTATAGTCTTCAAATTGTAACTTTCTATGTAAATTCATTCAAGCTGAATTTTTGGATTTTTTAATGTATGTATTTTTAATGTCTTGTTTGCTGAATTGAACATATGTTTAATGTGTATGTGGTATAATCCATGCTCCACTAACCACCATCATTCACTATCCAGAGAAAAGAAATGCACTACAGCACAATCCCTAAGCATGAGAGAAGTACAAGCGACCACCAGGTGCAGCGGCTGTCGCTGGATGCTTGGTAAATGTTACCTAAGAGAGAAGGCAGATTCAAACTAGAATTCCTTAACTAGTTATAACGCAAGCCAGGCAGAGATATCATTGAATGAAAGAACCTATTAAAAAGTATAGAAAATATTTTTCCTTACAAAAATGTACACTTCAAACAAATCAAATAACTGAGTTTTTAAAAAAGAAGATGAAGTGTATTCTTTTTATATTTCTCCCATAAAAAAAAAAGATCACAAACAGTGGCACTTAGTTGGCACAATTCCTCTCCATCTGTGGACCTATAAACCAAACAAGCAGGTTACCTGCTTCTAAAATACAATAGTAGGGCCGGCATAGGATAACATTTACAGGCATTCCTGCTCAAAAGGAGAGAAAATGGAAGGAAAAATAGGAGTCACCAATCCCAAATATTTTTTTAAATCCAGTGATGCAGATTCCATTAGGTTCTAAGCCCTAGGAATAATTTTCTGTGGCTTGTGGTTTTGACTCCCTCTGAGCTCTTGGCTCCGCCCTCTAAGCTCTTAGCTCTTTTATGTGGGCTCATGGCTTTGCCTTTTGAGTTTTCAACTCTGTCCTTATTGTCATCTTCCCTTATTCATGAAACATATCACCTTTTACAGTTGAAGAGTTTTATCAGCTTGTTTTTTGCCTATAGAATTTTGGGGATTTTAGAGCCTTCTTTCATGTCATCCCCTCTCAGTCATTTTTAGTTGAATCAGGTAATGTTTTCTGCTGATATAACATTCTCAAAAACTTGGTGGGTCTCCTATGTAGGCCACAGATTAAATTCTATTAGACAAGAGGATCCTCAACAGATTTTTCAAAGATAATCCCATTTCCATTTTTGGCTTCTGCTGAGATGGCTAAGGGTATCTATGAGTCACATGCTTACTCTCTGAATACTCTGATCTTTTGTTTTTCTGAAATTTAGCAAAAGATTATCCAAACATACCCTGGATTTTTTTCATATAGCATACTTTTCTGACAATGACTCTCTTAATTTCATTTTTTGCAATCCAAATAGTCTTAGAAGTTCTCAAACTATCAAAACATGTTTTCTTTTATTAAAGACCATTCTTCCCTTAATTTATTTCCTCTTGAATTTTACTGTAATCAACAAGAAGCAACCAAGCCATGCCTACAATATTTTGCTCAAAAATTTTCTCAGCTAAATATCCAAGTTCTAATTTCCACAAAATGACAAGACCTAATTCTATGAAACCTCTGCCACTACATAACAAGGCTCTCCTTTCCTCAAATTTCCCTAACATGTCCCTCATTTCCTTCTGAGTCTGTACAAGCAGTGCCTTAAACATCCACTTTTCTACTAAGAGTCTTTTCATGACAATGTAGGTATTCTCTAAAGTGATAAATATTTCTCTCTCTCCTGGCTCTTATTTCCTTCTCAGTTTTCACTAACAGAATTGCTAATATCCATATTTTTACCAACAGCCCGTTCAAAAAGATCTAGGCTTAGTCTATCAGGATCCTCAGAATTCTTCCAACCCCTCTTCATTGCCATATTTCAAGCCACTTACACCTACTTATTGTCACTGTGGCTTCTCACTTCCAGGCACCAGGGTCTGTATTCATTTTCTATTATGGCCACAACAAATTACCACAAACTTAGTGTGTCAAAACAACACAAATATATATTCTTACAATCCCATAGGTTATAAGTCCAACATAGGCCTTACTGGGCTAAAATCAAGTCATCATCAGGGCTGTATTTCTTTCTGGAAGCTCTAGAGGAAAAACGCATTTCCTTGCCTTTTCCATCTCTAGAGGCCACTCACATTCCTTGAGTCATGTCCCTTTCCCACACATTCAAAGACAGGTTTCAATTTTTCTCAAATTGTGCCACTCTGATCTCTGTTATAGTCAGAGTTTCTTTTGCCTCTCCCTTCTGTATCTTTCTTCTGCTTAGAAGTACCCTTATGATTATGTTGGGTCTACCTAAATAATCCAGAATGATTTTTTCATTTCTAGATTCTTAGCTTAAGTACATCTGCAAAGTTTCTTTTGTCAAATACAGTAACATACTTAGAAATGCCAGGGATTTAGACATAGATATCTTGGAAGGGAGGAAACTATTATTTTACCTACCACAGAAAGCAAATGTCTTGTGTAAAGACTTGAAAGTACTTTCTAAAATCAAAATTAAAAAAGATTTCAAAAATAAAAAATAGTATATTTGATAATGTAAAAATGTAAACAATCTGTTCTCTCTTTTTTCTATAGTAGTAGAATTTAGACTGGGCACATGGCTGCTTACCTGAAGACTACATTTCCCAGCTGTGCTTGAAGATTGGCATGGCTATGTGAGTAAATTTCACTAACTGTATATGAACAACAGTGATTTGTATACTTTCCAGGTTTTCCACAATTTAAAGACCCACTACCTGCCCTAGAGCTCTTCCTTTCCCTCCCCATGTTCGTATACATGGATGTGCCTATTGGTTAGTTGTGACCATGGAGACAAGAACAAAACTCTGTGGAGAAATTAACTAGTTTTCCATAATTATTCAGATAGTAAATATTTTAGGCTTTGTCAACTGGATGGTCTCTGTGTCAATTACTCAGATCTTCTATTCTAGCACAAAAGCAGCTATAGACAATCTATAAATAAAATGGGCAGAGCTGTGTTCTAATAAGATTGTACTTGCCAAAATGCAGTGGAGGGCCAGATTTGAGGGTAGTTTGCTGATTCCTGCTCTTTAGCAGTCAGAAGGAAGTAATCTGCGTTTCTAAATAAAGGCTATGCTAAACTAGACCACTCCCATCAGGTATAATTTTATGAGAGAGATATAATTATCTATCTTCTTTAAGTCACTTAAAAAAAAAAAAAAACTCTTTCAAGGCTGAGGTCTTTACCCTCATATCTGTATGCATACATGTGCACACAGGTGCATGTTGAATAAGGGAAAATGTAGCTATCTGCCTGCTAGTCAAAGGTTAATATCTTGAATTAGAGAGTGTGTTTACAAGTTGCTAAGAAAAATAAATGGAGATGAGGGCAAAAACCATGAAGAGGGAATTGACTAAGGTGGAAATGCAAATGAATACAAGTGAAGACAAATGAATACAAATGAATCAAATTAAATGTAGATTATTTTTTAATGTTCAATTGTGTAGCAATACACATGGGGATACAAGTTCTTTCTTATCAAATTGGCAAAACAACTAGTTTTATGGAATGCGTAGTATTTGAGAGTGAGTGAACAAAGTTTTACATCACTAAGTGAGGTATTAAATGTTAAAAATCTTTCCAAGAAATATTTGACAATCTGCATTAAAACAGTAAGAAATGTACATGCATTTTTGGCCAAGTAATTGAATTTCTTGGAAGTCTGTTCTAAGATGTGTCGTGGGAAGACAGGGACCCCAAACGGAGTGACTGGCTGAAGCCATGGCAGAAGAATGTGGATTGTGAAGATTTCATGGACATTTATTAGTTCCCCAAATTAATACTTTTGTAATTTCTTATGCCTGTCTTTACTGCAATCTCTAAACATAAATTGTAAAGATTTCATGGACACTTATCACTTCCCCAATCAATACCCTTGTGATTTCCTATGCCTGTCTTTACTTTAATCTCTTAATCTTGTCAGCTGAGGAGGATGTATATTGCCTCAGGACCCTGTAATAATTGCATTAACTGCACAAATTGTACAGCATGTGTGTTTGAGCAATATGAAATGTGAGCAGCTTGGAAAAAGAACAGGATAACAGCAATAGTTCAGGGAATAAGAGAGATAACCTTAAACTCTGACCACCGGTGAGCCAGGCAGAACAGAGCCATATTTCTCTTCTTTCAAAAGCAAATGGGAGAAATATCGCTGAATTCTTTTTCTCAGCATGGAACATCCCTGAGAAAGAGAATACGTGTCTGGAGGTATAGGCGTATAAACAGCCCCCCCAGGTGCGCCTGTCTCTGAAGGTCGAGACTGCAGAGGTGAAATAGACTCCAGTCTCCCATAGCGCTCCCAGGCTTATTAGGAAGAGGAAATTCCTGCCTAATAAATTTTGGTCAGACCGGTTGATCTCAAAACCCTGTCTCCTGATAAGATGTTATCAATGACAATGGTGCCCAAAACTTCATTAGCAATTTTAATTTCACCCCATCCTGTGGTCCTGTGATCTCACCCTGCCTCCACTTGCCTTGTGATATTCTATTACCTTGTAAAGTACTTGATGTCTGTGACCCACACCTATTCGCACACTCCCTCCCCTTTTGAAACTCCCTAATAAAAACTTGCTGGTTTTTGCAGCTTGTGGGGCATCATGGAACCTACGGATGCCCAGCTTTAAAATTTCTCTATTTTGTACTCTGTCCCTTTATTTCTCAAGCTGGCCGACGCTTAAGGAAAATAGAAAAGAACCTACATGAATATCGGGGCAGGTTCCCAGATAAAGACGATTATAAATATGCCCAGTATTTTACAAGGTGTAAATAACTGTATCATTTTATAAAATGTAAGAAATAATTTATATTTCCAGGTACAGGGAAGAAACTCAATAAATAATGGAAGTGGAATGAAAATAAAATATTTTGATGACTACTAAACAACATAAAACATGTCCTTGATACACTAAGTTACATAAAAAGGTAATAAAGTATATGCCTCAGAATAATAGTGAAAGAAAGCATGTACCCTTGCCCCCAAATGACAGCAAGAATGATTATCAGTGACAGCAGAATAAAGAATGATTTTATTTTATTTTATTTTATTTTACTTTATTTTATTTTATTTTATTTCATCTGCTTTTGTATATTACTTAATGTTTCTATTATGTTCTGAATTATTTCAATATTTAAAAATAAAATAACATATTCATAAATAAATTTAATGAAAATTAAAAACTGGTAATATTTGCAACCAGTTAATTTGCTCAAATATTTATCATGTGCCCATTATGAGCCACACACTCTCTTAGACACTGAATGATACAATGATAAACAAGACAAAAATCCTTGCCTTTATGGATTTTGCTTCTTGGTAGGGAATAGATATTAAACAAGTAATTCAATAAATTTTGAAGATTATTGCAGATAATTAGAAGAGCTATGCAGGAAATAGGCAAGGCTCAGGTGGGGTTTCAGTTGAACACTGAAGGCTAAGGGGGAGCCGATATGTGAAGGTAAAGGGGGAGGACGTTCCTGGCAGGAAGAACACAGGTGCACAACACAGAAGCAGCAAAGGGCTTGGCCGATGTCAGAGGAAGAGACAGACAGTCTGTGTGAATGATGAGTATTGAGTTCAAGATGAGGTTAAGAGGTAGGCAAGGGCAGAAAAAGTAAATGTATGTAAGCCTAGGAGTTTGTTTCTTTCCTAATTCGAAAGGAAACTATTGATGGCTTTGAAATGAGAAAGTGACATCTAACTTGTTTTTTAAAAAGATTGTTCTGCCTTTTATTGAAGATGCTATGCCTTAAATACAAAAATGTGTAGCAATGAATAGAAATACAAAAGGAAACAAAAAATACACAGGGAAAATGGCCAAAGAATAGGAAGAGGAAGAAATATAAATTAGTAAGAAATAGAGCAATGTTCAACTACACTAGTAATCAAAACAACAAATTTAACTGATTTTTCACATATAAAAGTAGCAAAGTTGAAGAAAAACTTAACATGTTAAGGATACTGTGAGATGATCAGCCACAAAATTGGAATTTTATATTAATAGTTTTAAAAATAACAAGGTACATATCAAAAGTATTACAAAAATGCTCTTTCTAGTAATTTTCCTGCTAGGAATCTACTTTAGGAAATAATCACTATTGGCAAATTTTATATACAGGGTGCTGAAGTAAGCGTTAGTTAAAATATGTGTTTTCAGTGTGTTTTTTTTCTTCTTGCTAGAGGGATTATGTGTAATTTTATTCTCTTCTTTGTACTATTCTGTGTTTCTCACAAATTCTACAAGTAGCCCAGGTATTATTTTACAATCAGAAAAATGGTGATTGAAGAAGTGGTTAAGAGGTAGTCCAAAATAAGTTCATCATAACACACAGATGATATGATATAGAAGGAAAAAAATAACGTTTTGGAATTATATGTTTCTGAGTTACAAACTTGTTTGTACTACTTTCAAGCTTCATGACTTTGGGTAAACCAGCTTCTCTTAGACTTGGTACTCTCATCTGTAAAATGGGAATAATACATACCTTGGAGTGCTCTAGTGAGGGTTATCAAACATGTAAAATATAACCTAGCATGGGCTTGATACTATTATAACTACTACTCCTATTAATACTTCTCACTATCATCGAGACAGCAACAATCATTTAGCCTTTGCTAAGTTATAGTTTCTCTGCTTTTTATTATACAAACTTCCCCCCATCATTTAATACTCACAGCAGACCAGGAGGAAGGAGCTATTGTTATTCCCATATTACAGATAAGAAAATTCAGGCATAGGAAATTTGTTTGTACAAAGCACTAAGCTATTAGGTAGCAAATCATATATGACTATATAACCTAAATCTTAGTGACTGTGCATGTTCAAGACATTTTAGCTTTCTTTATCTGTTATTTTGTTGTTTCAATTCATAGAAAAGCTCTCCTTTGTCTGTAACAGGTATACTAGAATCTGTATGCAAAATTCTACTTGTTCAGAATTAGACATTCCTCTTAAGCAACATGACAGATGGTTTTTGCCTGTGGCAATTATCTAGCATATATATATTTACTGCCTATTACTGTGATCCACACTGTAGGGGATCTAAAGATGAGAAAGGCCTAATTCATCATGCCCTTAAGAAATTTATATTCTAGTTGCAAGCACAAGACAAAGCAATTACAAGTTAGGTTGTCATATATAAGAGGTACATAGTACTTAGAAAAGAGTAACAATTTCTGCTGTAAGAATGCAGACTTGTGAGAGAGGTGGCTTTTTAACAGATCTTGGACAAAATATAGACAGTCAAATAAGGGAGTAAAGCAGTGAATAATTAACAAATGAGGAAAAACACAACAATCTAGGCTGACCATTTCTGACTTGAGTTTTGAAAACAATTTGTGTCAAATATATAATCAGGAGATGAGGGCCAGTCCATGGTGGGCTTTTAAAATGCACATCTTTTAAGAGGCAGAGAGCCTATTACAAAAAGAGAGAGAGCTATTATAAGAAATATAATAGATAGACTCCCAGAGACTTACTTATATTTGTCAAACTATTTATTAATGAAAGAAAGCAAAGTAGTCCTCCAGTTCAGGAACATGCCTTTGCCAACTTTAGAAATAATTAAAAGATGCAAGACTGAACATCAGGATAAGATGCAGTAAGGAGAGTTTTGTGACCATTAGGGAAGATGAAACAGGGAATAGAAGGTGATAAAAGCAGGCAGATGAATGGGAGGACCTGCAATTTAGTGATAATGAGTTTCAAGTGCTGACAGAATGTGATCTGTGTGAGGAGGCCCATAAGAAAGTGATAGTCTATATCAAAATAATCTTCTATGCCTGAGTACACTGACTGTAAATAGTATTTTAGTAAATCAAGATAAAATAATATATGGTCAAATTCTATACCTACAACTTTTAAGAGTTGCCCTTCATAATTGTAGGAAATAACACTTGTATATTCAAATAACACATGGCTCAATTCAACTAAAAACTCAACAATTGGCTGGGTGTGGTGGCTCACACCTATGGTCCCAGCACTTTGGGAGGCCGAGGTGAGTAGATCACCCGAAATCAAGAGTTCAAGACCAGCCTGGCCAACGTGGCGAAACCCCGTCTCTACTAAAAATATGCAAAAATTAGGCCAGGTGCAGTGACTCATGCCTGTAATCCCAGCACTTTGGGAGGCCCAGGCGGGCTGATCACGCAGTCAGGAGATCGAGACCATCCTGGCTAACATGGTGAAACCCTGTCTCTACTAAAAATACAAAAAAATTAGCCAGGCGTGGTGGCGGGCGCCTGTAGTCCCAGCTACTTGGGAGGCTGAGGCAGGAGAATGGCGTGAACCTGGGAGGTGGAGATTGCAGTGAGCCGAGATCATGCCACTGCACTCCAGCCTGGGCGACAGAGTGAGACTCCGTCTCAAAAAAAAAAAAAAAAAAAGCTAAAATTAGCCAGGTGCAGTGGTGCGCACCTGTAATCCCAGCTACTGGGGAGGCTGAGGCAGAATTCCTTAAACCTGGGAGGTGGAGGTTGCATTCAGCCGAGATCACACCACTGCACTCCAGCCTAGGCAACAGAGAGAGACTTCGTAAAAAAAAAAACCCAAAAAAACAAAAACAAACAAATAAGCAAAAAACTCTACAATTATTTCTCAAAAGACTAGAATGTGGAAAAGTTTTATTCCATTTAGTGTTGCTATAACGGAATTCTGAGGTTTTGTAATTTACAAAGAAAAGAGGTTTATTTGGCTCACAATTGTGGTGACTGGAAAGTTTAAGAGCATGGCACTGGCATCTGCTTGGCTTCTGGTGAGGGCCATGTCCTACGTTACAACGTGGCAGAGAAGCAGAAAAGTGAGCAGGCATGTCCAAAGAGACAAAACATGAGAAGAATCTTGCTTTACAACAACCCACTTTTGCCATAATGAATCCAGTTTCAGAACAGTGAGAACTCATTCCTGTGAAATGACATTAACCTATTAATGAGGGTGGTGCCCCCATGATCTGATCACCTCCCTCTAGGTTCCAGCTTCCCACACTGCCACACTGGGAATCAAATTTTACCATGAGTTTTGATGGAGACAAACCACATCCAAACCATAGCAAATGCTTTTAGTTTGAACCACAAAAATGACTGAAAAAAGTAAAATAGCTTCACTTCTAGAAATTTATTTTTATTTGCCAAACTGTTTATTTTGTTATAATTTCCAATTTTCTAGAGATTTACCTCATCCTAGAATAAAAGGTAACATTGACAACCATTATCATTAGATAATTCTAACATAGCTGAAACCAGGGGTTGTTAATTCATTTTTAAACAATAATACTAGTTTACTAAACCCAGGGTGCTGGATTTGAATGTGCTCAGTAGAAGATTTGAAATAATTGTTCTTGCTCTCTATGTGAGAGTCATGATAATTGTTAAACATCTATGATTAAACACTTCAAAGAAAGGTGCCGTTTTTCTGCTAACTGCTGCATTATTAAAGGGTTTGCTTCTTTACATCAGAGATTCTGTTAGAAAAAGGGGTTAAGTTGGGGTCCTCAATCAGCTCTGTAACAAATGTGTGTTCAACTAGGGCATAAACTTCACTTATGAAAATATGAAAAAGCCAACAAAAACTCCTTTGTACTCTTTTCAAAAAAGCAACTTTTAAATATAAAGAAATATGTGTCCCTTTATTTGCTACTACAGTTCTAACACACAGGAAGTGAGGGCCTCTGTGATGTAATTACCCATGGACCTATAATATCTTGCCTTTGTAGATTAACCGAAATGAAGTAATGGAAATGAGAAAAACAACAGCAGAGAATTTCATGTGATCGAATGTATTTCTTAGAAAACCAAGTACAGTTTATAAACATAAGCAGAGTAATAGTCTTGTAATCTAAAATTTTAAATCCAAAATCAAAGGAGAAATTGATAAAATCTAGTTTCATGCAAAGCACTGCTCATCATCACCATTTGGGGAAAATACACACACACATGCACGCACGCGTGCAGGCTTGATTTGACGCATACACAAATGGTTAAGTTTGGAAAGATGAGGCTTTGTAAACTGTTCTCTAGAAATATATTTATTCATGCAAACATGTCTAAGTCACTCTACGTATTTTTATACAACATAAGATTGTTTATGATCTTATGACCATTTTTGTTTATTTTTAATTTTTTTGCCAGAGAGGGCTTTCAGTAAATGTTTTATTTAGAACATTCTTTGAAAAATTTGAAGTGCAAAGCCACAAAAAGCAATGGATTTAAATATATAATGCGTAGTAGAGTTAGGATTATCACACTAGCTCTTTTTAAATCTCACTGCTGTTAGTAGTTTCTTTTAATTCTTCCATCACTAATTCCTGTTGGGGTTTTTCAGCACTTTTCCTATAAAGCAAGGTTTCCCCATGAGGGTTTTGAAATGTAGATTCCTGGACAAGCTGATTAGATGTGTTTATGAGCACATGGCTTTTAGCTTTTAGGGCATAAGCTTCCATAGGCTTTGCTCTTTTTTGGCAGAGCTGGAGCTGGAAAGCTTCTTGGAAACCACGGCGGAAATTCTCGTTGAAGAAACCATAAATGATGGGATTGACACTGCTGTTGCCGAATGCCAGCCAGTGTGCAAAAGGGTAGATGTAGATGTTGATGATCTGCAGTTCATTTGGAGAAAGGTCAGCGTAGTCTGAGAGCATCATTAGAGTCCACAGGGGCAGCCATGAGAGAATAAAAAGCAGGGCCACAATCAGGAGCATCTTAATGATCTTCTGCTTCTTCCTGGACACCACGTGCCACTGCTCCTGGTTCTTCCTGCCTGTGTGAGGAACTGCAGCCCTGAAGAGTGAAATTCCAATCCTTCCATACATGATGACAATGAGGGAGAGGGGAGCCAGGTAGATGTTGGCAAACAGCACAGTGGTGTAGATCTTCCTCATTTCCTGATTTGGCCAGTCTTCCCGGCACCAGTAGACTGGACTGGTTTTATTCTGGGAGTTGAGTCTCACTCGGTAATATTTTTCTTCTTGCACATGTAACATTACTGCAGATGGAGACATAATGGTGATGGCTAGGACCCAGATGATCATAATAATGACAAACGCTGTCTTGATAGTGAGCTTTGGTTTAAAAGGGTAGACCACACACTGGAACCTGCAATTAAACACAAATATAAATGAGGCACTGCTTCATCACTTCTGACCAAGTCATACACCAAATTTATTTATGTAGTTACAGGCCTCTCACCCTACAGTCTCCTCAAAAATATAGAAAGTTACCATTTGTAGTAGAAAGGCATGCATTGTCATTTTCTGTAATTGATATGAGATAAATTTTAATTCAAAATTTGAACAAATGGAGTATAGCAGACACTATTAATAATAAAAAGTAATAATGAACATGAATGCCTAAAACCGTTTCAGACTCTGTTCCATTAATTTGCATGGACCGTCTCTTTAAGCCTCCTTGCTTAAAAGATAGCAAAACAGACTTGGAAATGTAAAAATCTTACCAATAATTACACAGGATTTTAACACAAGTAGTTTGGCTTCAGAGCTCAAACTCAACCTCTACATCGTCCTCTTTAGATGGGTAGCTCTTAGGCTGTGGTAGACTGCTGATCTGTAGCAATCAATCAACCTTTTATCCCTCAGGCTCTTGTGTGGTCCCCTACGCATTATCTGTGTAACTTGCTTTGACCAATAGGATATTAGCAAACATGATGCAAGCAGAAGCTTTTTATACACTTGCATGTGGGGCAGGTCCTTCTGGAATGCTTCCTCTTAAAATCCAGACTTCAATTTCCAAGAAGCTTGAATTAGATGAAAGGCATGTAGAGAAAGATTCCGGGAGATAAGAGCTTAGCCATTTTGGATGTTCCAGCCCCAGTTTAGCTCCCAGATTAATGCTGCAACATGAGTGATTCCAGTTATAACACATGGAGCAGGAGGATGAACAAAGAGGTGCCCAATTAACCCACAAAATCATGAGATGTAATAAACCAATATTGTTTGAAGCCACTAAATGTTTTGCTGATTTGCTTTACAGCTGTAAAAATCTGAGAGTATTCATTATGAGTTCTGATTATGAGCCTTCCTAACATTCTATGTCCTCTGGTGAGTACAAAAATTCAGCATCAGTATGTAGAGTAAGCCTGATTCATTTTACTATGATTTTGATATTGTGGATCTTGTTATTATTATTGAATTTCATTATGTTAATCAAAAGATAATCACACTATTATGCAACTGTGTAACATTTTATATTTTTTCAAAGTAACTATTACCTATTTAATCTTCTTTGATTTTTATGACTCCATAAAACTGAAATGTTATGAAAATTGTTACATTCCAGATCTGTAGATAAGAAAATGTAGAGCTTTAAGTGGCTGAGCAGCAACTCCAAATTAACTTATCTAACTTATCTTCATAGAATGACTAGTTAGCCTGGGCTTTGACTGCTCTGTTGTCATTCTTTATAACTCCTTCATGTGTAAGATCTTCTCTCTTCAACTTCAAGCGTTCTTCCAGTCTTCTAATCCAAGAATTCTCCCATTCACCTGCCGTGAAATTATGGGTAATTTCATAGACACAAACGTATGTATTTTGCTCTTTTTGAATACCTACTAATAGGGTTTTGGATATTATTGTTCAATTTACTTATTAAACAAATATATAAGTACATATATTTATATAGGAGATAAATTTTAACTCAAAATTTGAATAAATGGAGTATAGCAGACACTATTAACAATAAAAGTAATAATGAACAAATATAAAAGTACATATGCTTATCTGTACATATATGTATTTATATATTTGTATTTATAACAAATATATGTATTTATATATTTATATTTATAACAATATATGTACTTACATATTTGTTTAATAAATGTACATATATGAGTATATATACTTATATATTTGTAAACATACATATATATGTGTTTGTGTGTATATATTCAGGAAGGCAAAGATGAATAAGATAGAGAATAGTCCCTGCTGAGAAAGTCAATGGAAATATAAAAATATTAAAAACTGTATAATAATTACTAAAATTCTGCTAAAAAGTTTGGACTTCATTTAAAGAGCAATGGGGATTCATTGAAGGATTTACATTGTAAAAGGCAGGATCATTTTTACAATTTAAGAAGCTTATTTGGGCTGCTATGAGAAGAAAATAAATTGGAGGTTGGCTTCCTGAGCCCGAAGGCCAGTTAGAAAACAATCTCAGTATTCCAAGTGGCAAAGGGCAGTGGCCTGGTTCAGAACTAGTTAGCACTCAGAAATAATAGAATTTGGAGAGTGCCAGCAAAGTTGACAGAAAGAAGATTCAAGGATAAAGCTCAGGTTTTTTGTTTGAATTGAGTGAGTGGTCCTGCCTTTCACTGATTTGGGGAGCATGAAAAAAACAGCTGCCTTTTATTTTGTTTGTGTATGGTGTGGGGCTTGGAATAATGAGTTCAGCTCTGGGCATGTTTAATTTAAGGTGCCTTTTGTTGAATGTGCAGTTGAAGTTGTACAGTAGGTGCTTTGGAACGTAACTGTAAAATTCAGGCAAAGGATTCAGTCAGGAGAAATCAGCTTGGGAATTTTTTTAGTTTGGCTTCCTGCAAAAGCTAGCCCTGAAAAAAAAAGCATTTGAGTGCAAGTGCAAGAAATAAAGATGTGGCAGTTTTAAAACATTTCCAAGTTCTTTGACATTGCTTCCAAATTCTATTCCTTTTTCCTTGGCTAAGGATTGATGACTCAGTCTCATGAATAGAATGCAACAAAAATGATACCACATCATGATTTTTGCTGGTACTCTCTTCTGGGACACAAACCGTCAGAGCCCTGAACTGACATATAAGAAGTCCAGGTACCTTCAAGTAGCCTTGCTGGAGAGCCCATTTGGAGAGACCAATAGAGACAAAGCTCTCTTAGGCCCCCACATATTCAAGTTCTCCCTGGACTAGGTACCAACAGGAGAGTGAAAGAAGGTTCAGCCCTAACCTTGAAGCTGCTCCACCTGACATCAAGTAGAACAGAGACAAGCTGTACTTTCTAAATCTGTACATATCACAGATTCATGACATAATAAATATTGCTGTCATTTTAACTCACTAAGTGGTTTGATTTGGGGGTGGTTCATTATATATCAATAGATAACTGAAAGTATAGAGAAGTCATTCATTAATGGGAAGGTAGGTAACGAGGGATGTGAATCAAACCATTTGTTGCAGAATTATTCAACCCAAGGGGAGAGAATGGTGAGTACATCAACTCTCATGAGATTTTAGTTGAGGGCTACTTCTAGGGGTATTAATTATCTGACATTTCTTGTCTGTTCTGCTTAGGAACTAAGACTTTGCACAATTTGGATTTGAGATACAGAGATGAAGATACTGGCAGTTGGATGTAAGACAGAACCCACTGAAAGTTTAAGAGATCTGGCAGAGCACTGACAGTCTCTGCTACAAAAGTGTGATGGCTAATTTAATCTATCGACTTGACTGGGCCAAGGGGTGCTGAGATTGAATCTTATTTCTGGATGCGCCTATAAAAGTGTTTCTGGATAAGATTAGCATCTTAGTCAGTGGATTCGGTAAAGTGGATTGCCCTCCCAGTGTGGGTAGGCATCATCCAGTCATCTGAGGGCCTGAATAGAACAAGAAGTAGAGGAAGGAGGAATTTGCCCCCTTTTTTCCCTGACTCATTGCTTGAGCTAGGACATCTCATATCATATTCTCCTGCCCACAGGATGCAATTTACACAAATGGCCAATTGCACAATTGGCTATCCCTAGTTCTCAGGCTTTGGGACTTGGACTGAATAATATCACTGGCTTTCTGAGGTCTCCAATTTACAGGCAGCATATTCTGAGATTTCTCAGTTTTCATAATTATGAGTCAATTTCTCGTAATAAATCTCTCTCTTTGTGGACAAATGTACCACTTCACCTGCCTTGTTCCAGCTGAACTACCTCTCTACATTTCTCTGAACAAGTGCCTCCTATTTCAATGCCATAAGTATATACTTGTCTTAAGGGATGCCCTTTTCCCAGTTTCTTCTAAGGGTAAATTTCTGACTTCTCCAGGAATCAGAAGGTCTCACTTCTTTTGTGAATCCACTACTCCCTGTCCTAATAGGTAGAATTGATTATTATCTCTTTTGCATAGCTGTCAAACACTGGTCACCTATTAGAAAGCATTATTTGTAAATATTTGTTAATGACTTTGCCTGCTCCGCCAGATTGTAGCCTTCCTGAGGCAGCACTTCTAATTTGTTTTAGATGTTACCAACCCAGCCCAGTATCTGGCACATCATAAATGCTCAACAACATGTGTGAATGAATGAATGGATGAATGATTTTCAATCTTAAAATCTAGATAAAATTTCAGATTTTAGCTCATTTGCATTTCTGCTGTTAGAAACGTCTATATTGTAGTGTGAAAAATAGGGAAATTTTACCATCTCCAATTATTTATTTTTAAAGTATGGAAAATTCAATAGTTTCATTTTCTTATTACTGAAACTTTAGTAGGTATGTTGCTTTTAAAGAGGTAGATATTCTCAGGTTCCGTTCCAAAATGGCCGGATAGGAACAGCTGTGGTCTGCAGCTCCCAGCATGATAGATGCAGAAGATGGGTTATTTCTGCATTTCCACCTGAGGTACCTGGTTCATCTCACTGGGACTGGTTGGACAGTGGGTGCAGCCCACGGAGGGTGAGCCAAAGCAGGACGGGGCATCACCTTAGCTGGGAAGCAAAAGGGGTTGGGGAATTTCCCTTTCCTAGCCAAGGGAAGCCATGACAGACTGTACCTGGAAAATCGGGACACTCTCGCCAATGACAGGATCAAATTCAAATATAACGCTATTAACCTTAAATGTAAATGCGATAAATGCCCCAATTAAAAGACACAGACTGGCAAATTGGATAGAGTCAAGACCCATCACTGTGCCGTATTCAGGAGACCCATCTCACATGCAGAGACACATATAGAATCAAAAGAAAGGGATGGAGGAAGATCTACCAAGTAAATGGAAAGCAAAAAAAGGCAGGGGTTGCAACCCTAGTCTCTGATAAAACAGACGTTAAACTGACAAAGATCAAAAGAGACAAAGAAGGCCATTGCATAATGGTAAAGGGATCAATTCAACAATAAGAAATAACGATCCTAAATATATATGCACCCAATACAGGAGCACCCAGATTCATAAAGCAAGTCCTTAGAGACCTACAAATAGACTTAGACTCCCACACAATAATAATGGGAGACTTTAACACCCCACTGTCAATATTAGACAGATCAATGAGACAGAATGTTAACAATGATATCCAGGACTTGAACTCAGCTCGCAACAAGTGGACCTAATAGATGCCTACCGAACTCTCCACCCCAAATCAACAGCATATACATTCTTCTCAGCACCACATCACACTTACTCCAAAACTGACCACATAGTTGGAAGTAAAGCACTCCTCAGCAAATGTAAAAGAACAGAAATCACAACAAACTGTCACTCAGACCACAGTGCAATCAAATTAGAACTCAGGATTAAGAAACCCACTCAAAACAGCACAACTATATGGAAGCTGAACAACCTGCTCCTGAATGACTACTGGGTAAATAATGAAATGAAGGCAGAAATAAAGATGTTCTTTGAAATCAATGAGGACAAAGACACAACATACCAGAATCTCTGGGACACATTTAAAGCAGTGTGTAGAGGGAAATTTATAGCACTAAATGCCTACAAGAGAAAGCAGGAAAGATCTAAAATCCACACCCTAACATCACAATTAAAAGAACTAGAGGAGCAAGAGCAAACAAATTCAAAAGCTAACAGAAGGCAAGAACTAACTAAGATCAGAGCAGAACTGAAGGAGATAGAGACACAAAAAACCCTTAAAAAAATTAATGAATCCAGGAGCTGGTTTTTTTTTAAAGATCAACAAAATTGATAGACTACTAGCAACACTAATAAAGGAGAAAAGAGAGAAGAATCAAATAGACGCAATAAAAATGATAAAGGGGATATCACCACTGATCCCACAGAAATACAAACTACTATCAGAGAATACTATAAACACCTCTATGCAAATAAACTAGAAAATCTAAAAGAAATGGATAAATTCCTGGACACGTACACCCTTCCAAGACTAAACCAAGAAGTTGAATCTCTGAACAGACCAATAACAGGCTCTGAAATTGAGGCAATAATTAATAGCTTACCAACCAAAAAAAGTCCAGGACGAGACGAATTCACAGCTGAATTCTACCAGAGGTACAAAGAGGAGCTGGTACTATACCTTCTGAAACTATTCCAATCAATAGAAAAAGAGGGAATCCTCTTTAACTCATTTTATGAGGCCAGCATCATCCTGATACCAAAGCCTGGTAGAGACACCCCCCAAAAAAAAGAGAATTTTAGACCAATATCCCTGATGAACATCGATCCGGAAATCCTCAATGAAATACTGGCAAATAGAATCCAGCAGCACATCAAAAAACTTATCCACCATGATCAAGTCTGCTTCATCCCTGTGATGCAAGGCTGGTTCAACATATGCAAATCAATAAATGTAAGCCATCACATGAACAGAACCAATGACAAACACCACATGATTATCTCAATAAATGCAGAAAAGGCCTTTGACAAAATTCAACAGCCCTTCATGCTAAAAACTCTCAATAATCTAGGTATTGATGGAATGTATCTCAAAATAATAAGAGCTATTTTTTGACAAACCCACAGCCAACATTATACTGAATGGGCAAAAACTGAAAGCATTCCCTTTGAAAACTGGCACAAGTCAGGGTCGACCTCTCTCACCACTCCTATTCAACATAGTGTTGGAAGTTCTGGCCAAGGCAATCAGGCAACAGAAAGCAATAAAGTGTATTCAATTAGGAAAGGAGGAAGTCAAATTGTTCCTCTTTGCAGATGACGTCATTGTATATTTAGAAAACCCCATAATCTCAGCCCAAAATCTCCTTAAGCTGATAAGCAACTTCAGCAAAGTCTCAGGATACAAAATCAATGTGCAAAAATCACAAGCATTCCTATACACCAATAACAGACAAACAGAGAGCCAAATCATGAGTGAACTCCCATTCACAATTGCTACAAAGAGAATAAAATACCTAGGAATCCAACTTACAAGGGATGTGAAGGACCTCTTCAAGGAGAACTACAAACCACTGCTCAACGAAATAAAAGAGGACACAAACAAACGGAAGAACATTCATGCTCATGGATAGAAAGAATCAATATCGTGAAAATGACCATACTGCCCAAGGTAATTTATAGATTCAATGCCATCTCCATCAAGCTACCATTGACTTTCTTCACAGAATTGGAAAAATCTACTTTAAAGTTCATATGGAACTAAAAAAGAGCCCGCATTGCCAAGATAATCCTAAGCCAAAAGAACCAAGCTGTAGGCATCATGCTACCCAACTTCAAACTATACTACAAGGCTACAGTAACCAAAACAGCATGGTAGTGGTATCAAAACAGAGAGATAGACCAATGGAACAGAACAGAGGCCTCAGAAATAACACCACACATCTACATCCATCTGATTTTTGACAAACCTGACGAAAACAAGCAATGGGAAAGGATTCCCCATTTAATAAACGGTGCTGGGAAAACTGTCTAGCCATATGTGGAAAGCTGAAACTGGATCCTTTCCTTATACCTCACACAAAAATTAATTCAAGATGGATTAAAGACTTAAATGTTAGACCTGAAACCATAAAAAACCTAGAAGAAAACCTAAGCAATACCATTCAGGACATAGGAATGGGCAAGGACTTCATGACTAAAACAACAAAAGCAATGGCAACAAAAGCCAAAATAGACAAATGGGATCTAATTAAGCTAAAGAATTTCTGCACAGCAAAAGAAACTACCATCAGAGTGAACAGACAACCTACAGAATGGGAGAAAATTTTTGCAATCTACCCTTCTGACAAAGGGCTAATATCCAGAATCTACAAAGAACTTAAACAAATTTACAAGAAAAAAACAACCCCATCAAAAAGTGGGCAAAGTATATGAACAGACACCTCTCAAAAGAAGACATTTGTGCAGCCAACAGATATATGAAAAAATGCTCATCATCACTGGTCATCAGAGAAATGCAAATCACAACCACAATGAGATACCATCTCACACCAGTTAGAAAGGTCATCATTAAAAAGTCAGGAAACAACAGATGCTGGAGAGGGTGTGCAGAAATTGGAACACTTTTACACTGTTGGTAGGAGTGTAAACTAGTTCAGTCACTGGGGAAGACAGTGTGACGATTCCTCAAGGACCTAGAATTAGAAATACCATTTGACCCAGCAATCCCATTACTAGGTATATACCCAAAGGATTATAAAGCATGCTACTATAAAGACACATGCACACGTATGTTTATTGTGGCACTATTCACAATAGCAAAGACTTGGAACCAACCAAAATATCCTTCAATGATATACTGGATTAAGAAAATTGTGGCACATATACACCATGGAATACTATGCAGCCATAAAAAGGATGAGTTCATGTCCTTTACAGGGACATGGATGCAGCTGGAAACCATCATTCTCAGCTAACTATCACAAGGACAGAAAACCAAACACCACATGTTCTCACTCATAGGTGGGAATAGAACAATGAGAACACTTGGACACACGGCAGGGAACATCACACACTGGGGCCTGCATTGGGTGGGGGGGCAGGGGCAGGGATAACATTAGGAGAAATACCTAATGTAAATGACGAGTTGATGGGTGCAGCACACCAACATGGCACATGTATACATATGGAAGAAACCTGCACGTTGTGCACATGTACCCTAGAACTTAAAGTATAATAATTTAAAAAAAGAGGTAGATATTGTGAATACAATTTGAAAAGATATGTCCAAATTTAGTAGGTTATATATTTTTCTGGTATACTAGTTGCAGACATGCCAATTTTTCTGGATTCAGAGTTTGGTGCAGACTTACCTATCTACAGCAATTGCAACTAACGTAAAGACTGAAGCTGCGACAGATATTCCCTGGACCAATCCACTGATCTTGCACATCGTGTTTCCAAATGGCCATCCTGAAAGGAAAATGAAACAGTCTTTCAAAAGATCATATTTTCAAAATCTCACTGAAAATGAAAATAGAAAGTTGTGGAAACGAGACTAATGTAACTGTTTTCTACATGATAGGCAGAGAAAAATCAATGTTTCTCAGTATTTCCCCTAATATCTCCAGAGCTCTGCTTTTCAGTACACTAACAATAATGTCAAAACTTACATAGTAGTTATCACATTCCAGGCACTATAAGTGGTCTCTGTCTATTAACATATCTAATCCTCACAACAGGCTTTTGAAGGCTTTGTTATTTTCCTCACAATATAGACGAGGTAACAAATAAACAAATATTACATACTTTGCCACGGCTAGTTAGGAGCATTTTAAGAATTTGAACCTGGGAAGTAAGACTCCAGAGTCTAAACCATTGACTCTGATGCAATAATGCCCTTTAAATGAATAAACAGTCAGAACGTCGGTTTTCTAGTTTGGAAAGGCACCCCAAAATTATGAGGAATCAGGAGTTACATACAGAATAAAATGTTTTTATTAATATAGACTGAAATGAGACAATTAACCCCAGAGACACATCCAGAATAAAGAGCACTTTGCATGAACAAAAGTATTACTTTCCTACTAAACCTTAGCTACTGTAAAGTTTATAAAAGAAAATAATAAAATTATTGTAGTAGTTTGCTATTCTAAACACCCATCTGCTATTACAGAAAAGGAACAATATTCTTCTCCTAGCAAATATTCTCATTTCTCAAAAGATGAATATTATGCATTTCTCAGAGTTTTGAAATTTATTTTTTTAATTTTTCTGCAATTTATTTTCTGAAACAAAATATTCTTACACATAAAGTATTTTTAAATAACCTAAATAATTCAAGTATATCTTTTAAAAGTCACCTATCCAGATCATATTATAATAAATGCTTGAGTGACTCTAGTGAGTGGAAACTAAAAGAGAATGTCTTTTTCAGTTCTAAAATGTGTTAGCTTATGATAGTATTATTTGTCAACAAAAATGCAAAAAACTGTGTCTAGCCGTTGGTTGAAAATGGAATATTAAGCATATATTTTACCTTATCTCCCTCACACAATTCCACTGAAATGATAGGTGTAGGATAAAAGAGCATAAATCCTTAGAAATTAAAGTGCCAGATACTACTAAATGTGAGATTGAGAAAACAACATGATTGGTGGAAATTATATATAAATCCAATTAGATGCCACTGGCTTTTTCCTCATGTTGATAGAAGAATGGAGGTTTACTCTCTGAGGAGGCAGAACCATAAGTACTCTAAACCCCGAGTCACCAGGTGCGGGGGTAATGAGTGCCACTGTGATGCAGAAGGATTAAGCGAAAGTATACCGCTGCACTGCATGGCAATGTGGAATGTAACAGCCAGCCCTACATTCCTACGGCAGTATGTTAGAAAATCTCCTTCTGGAAAAAGTGACCTGTTCAATAACACTGATATGCAGATTTTTACAGTTGGGAATTTCCCAATGAATAGTCCAGACTAATGAAGTGGACAGTAGTCCTAACCTTATCCTCCAGGCATGCAGAACTTCCAGGCAGCCACGCTATGCCTCACTCTGAAACACAGAAGCTAAGAAGCAGTTAACTAGATCTAGTCTTTTTTTTTCTGGTGGTGTTTTGTTTTGTTTTGGTTTGTTTGTTTCTTTGTTTTGAGACAGGGTGGAGTGCAGTGGCGTGATCATGGTTCACTGTAGCCTTAACCCCTCTGCTCCTACCACCACTGTGTCCCCAGGCTCAAGCCATCCTCCTACCTCAAGCTCCTGAGTAGCTGGGAATACAGGTGCAGTCCACCACACCAGTTATTTTAAAAAAAATTTTTAGTAGAGATGGGGTCTCATTATGTTGCCTAGGCTGGTTTTGAACTCCTAGGCTCAAGTAATCCTCTCATCTTGGCCTCCCCAAGTGTTGAAATTACAGGCATGAGCCACTGCACCTAGCCTTAGAGCTAGTATATGATAGCACAACAGAGTGACTACAGTCAAGAATAATTTATTGTATATTTAGCAATAACTAAGAGTAGAATTGAAATGTTCTTAACATAAAGAAATGATAAATGCTTGAGGTGATGGATATCCCAAATGCCCTAATATGATTATTACCCTAATATGATTATTACACATTATATGCCTATATCAAAACATCATATGTACCCCATAAATATACACATATGTACCCATATTAACTAAAAAAAAAACAAATTAAAACAATTTTTAAATGCAATGAAAAATAAGCAGTTAACACTAGGGAAACCTCAAACATAAAAGAAAAAGACTAACACACATAGGAAGAAAAATACTTATAGGAAAACCAAATTGAGTCAGACATATGAAAAATAGAAAACAGAAAAAACTATTACTAATAACACCAGAGATATAATGCACTTTGTCCGTGAAACATGTACATGATACTGCTTGTATCATGATACTGTTGTATCATGGTGGGAACTACAGAAATATGCAGAAAATAAAAATAACTCAAAATATTTAAGATAACGGTAACAGTATTGAGGAGTTCAACATAAAGTTTAAAAGAGAAAGTTGAGACAATCCTTGAAAATAGAAGAATGAGGGGCAAAAAATTAAAGTAAAAAGATGAAAAAAATTAAAAGAGCAATCCAGAATCTCTAATATCTGATTAATATGAGTAGAAGAAAGAAAAACAGAAAAGAACTCCACAAGAAAATTCCCTAAGATTAAAGGCCACTCATTTTCAGATTGCAAAGCCCGAATTTATATCCAGCACAATAAATACAAAATAAAAAGGCTTACTTCAAAGCATAGTTTCATGGAATTGAGAACATTAGGGATAAAGGGAAGTTCTAAAAGATTTCCATAAGAAAAACAAAATACAAATCATGGGCAAAAGAAGAAAGAATTAAATATCATGTTTTTTCAGCAGTAATACCATATTTTATAGCAGTAGCAATAGAGTAATTCCTTTGAAATTCTGACAGAAGAAATTTCCAACCTAGACTTCTTCATACAGCTAACTAATTAAGTGTGAGGGCAGAATAAAGATACTTGCAGACAAATAAGAGCTCAAACGTTTCATCTCAATAAACCATTTCTCAGAAAGGAATAAACCAAAAAAAGAAGGGGACATGGCATCCAGAAAATGGGGTTGTACACAAAGAGAGGTGAAGAGAGTTGTTAGGGTATCAGTGAAGGGGTATCCCAGAGCAGGAGCTGCTCTGCCCTGGGAGTAACGTGTTCCTATAAAGAGAACAGAAAACACCGGGAAACGTACCTGCACGTATATTTATAGATACCTGATATGTTTAAAGGTATTGACAAGAGAGTAACACCTCTGGAAGAGAATTTGAGGATACATTACTAATGAGTACACACCCAAACTAAGCAAATCAAAATATACCCTTAATAAATCTAGGAAAATGAAAAACATTTTATAAGAGAGAAATTGATACAGCACTTTCCAAGGCTCAGCACGGATAAGATATATGTAAAATAAGAATGTATATTCTGTATGTTGATTCAAACAAAAATTGTGATATAATTATACCAGGAGAATGTGAGAAGGTGAAGTGTATGAATGTATGTTTGTGCTGATGTGGTGAAAGTTGATGACAACTCAATTTACATCTATGAGAGTTTGAAGGAAAAATATTGAAAACATGTTATTTAGAAATATAGTAGTAATTACAAAAAAAAAGCAAAAATTGCTGAAGGTGGCTGCCTCCTGAGAAGGCAAACAAAGAGCTAAAGATGGGTAATTTTTATTTTTTATTTTTGGAGACAGTCTCTCTCTCTGTCACCCAGGCTGGAGTGCAGTGGCACGATCTCGGCTCACTGCAACCTCACCTCCAGGGTTCAAGTGATTATCATGCTTCAGCTTCCTGAGTGGCTGGAATTACAGGTGCACGCCACCATACCAGGCTAATTTTTGTATTTTTCATAGAGATGGGGTTTCACCATGTTGGCCAGGCTGGTCTTGAATTCCTGGCCTCAAGTGATCTGTCTGCCTTGGCCTCCCAAAATGCTGGGATTACAGGTGTGAGCCACTCTGCCTGGCCAAGGATGGGTAATTTGTATGCAAGAACTTTAAACTAATTAATGTAATTTAAAATATGTATGGGACAAAATATTGAGAGCACTTTTTATTGGCAAAATAACTTTCCTAAAAGTCTCAGGGTAAAAAAAAATCAATGTACAAAAATCACTGGCATTCCTATACATCCACAACAGTCAAGCCGAGAGCCAAATCAGGAACTCAATCTCATTCAAAATTTCCACAAACAGAATAAAATATCTAGGAATACAGCTAACTACGGAGGTGAAAGATTTCTACAAGGAGAACTACAAAACACTGTTCAAAGAAATCCATGATGACACAAACAAATAGAAAAACACTCCATGCCCACGGATAGGAAGAATCAATATCATGAAAATGGCCATACTGCCCAAAGCAATTTATAGATTCCATGCTATCCCTATTAAATCACCAATGACATTCTTTACAGAACTAGAAAAATTATTTTAAAATTCATATGGAAGCAAAAAAGAGCCTGAATAGCTAAAGCAATCCTAAGTAAAAAGAACAAAGCTGGAGGCATTATGCTACCCAACTTCAAACTATACCACAAGGCTATGGTAATGAAAATAGCATGGTACTAGTACAAAAATAGACACATAGACCAATGGAACAGAATAGAGAACCCAGAAACAAATCCATGCACCTACAAATATCTAACCTTCAACAAAGCTAACAAAAACAATGGGCAAGTAATGGGGAAAGGACTCCCTATTTAATAAATCATGCTGGGATAACTGGCTAGCCATGTGCAGAAGATTGAAACCACACCCCTTCCTTATACCATGTACAAAATTTAACTCAAGATGGATTAAGGACTTAAAGGTAAAACCCAAAACTATGAAAACTCTGGAAGACAACTAGGCAATACCATTCTGGACATAGGAACAGGCAAAAATTTCACTAGGAAGACACCAAAAGCAATCACAACAAAGGCAAAAATTTACAAATGGAATCTATTAATAATTAAACTAAAGAGCTTCCACATGACAAAAGAAAATATCAACAGAGTAAAGAGACAACCTACATACTGAGAGAAAATTTTTGCAAACTTTGCATTTGACTAAGGTCTAATATCCAGCATCTAAAAGGAACTTAAACAAATTTACAAAAAATAAACAACCCCATTAAAAAGTGGGCAAAGGACATGAACAGATATTTTTCAAAAGAAGACATACATGTGGCCAACAAACATATGAAAAAAAGCTCAACATCACTGAATATTAGAGAAATGTAAATAAAAACCACAATGGGATATCATCCCACACCAGTCAGAGTGGCTACTATTAAAAAGTCAAAAAGTAACAGATGTTGGCAAAATTGTGGAGAAAAATAAACACTTTCACACTGTTGGTGCAAATGTAAATGAGTTCAACCATTCTGGAGGACAATGTGGCAATGCCTCAAAGACCTAAAGACAGAACTACCATTCAACCCAGCAATCCCAATACTAGGTATATACCCAGAGGAATATAAATTGTTCTATTATAAAGACACATGTATGTGTATGTTCACTGCAGCACTATTCACGATAGCAAAGACATGGAATCAATCTAAATACCCATCAATGGTAGATGAATAAAGAAAATGTGGTAGATATACACCATGGAATACTATGTAGCCATAAGAAAGAATGAGCTCATGTCCTTTGACGGAACATGGATGGAGCTGGAGGCCATTATCTGCAGCAAACTAATGCAGGAACAGGAAACCCAATACTACATGTTACTATTTATATGTGGGAGCTAATGATGAGATAGAGGGGAACGACACGTACTGGGGCCTATCAGAGGGTAGAGGGAGTAAGGACGAAGAGACTCAGGAAAAAAAAAAAACCAATGGGTACTAGGCTTAATACCTGGGTGACAAAATAATCTGTACAACAAACCCCCATGACACAAGTTTACCTGTGTAATAAACTTGTACATGTACCCCTGAATTAAAAATAGAAGTTAAATTAAAAAAAAACTTGTCTGGGAGTGATAACAATAATTATCAATTTGTACACCCTCTTTTTTTTTTAACATTTATTGTACTTTTATTTCAATGCTCAATTTACAGAAAAATCCTATAATACCCCTTTGAATTTAGTAAATATGTTCACACATACAGTTTTTGCAAGATTAGTTTTTAGAATCCTTCCATCATTTGTTTAAACCTTCAGCTTTATCTTATCTAATTCAAAACAATCCTTCAACCCTAGGCAAAAATTTACATTTCCATGCTTTTTTATAATCTTTTAGTAAAATCACATTTTACTGTTCTTACAAATCACCCATGTAAATCTATTTCCAGTAGTCTGAATTACATGTTATAATGTTATATAATGTTATAATGTTAAATGTTATAACTCCTAGCAATTTTTTTTTATTACACTTTAAGTTTTAGGGTACATGTGCACATTGTGCAGGTTAGTTACATATGTATACATGTGCCATGCTGGTGCGCTGCACCCACTAACTCGTCATCTAGCATTAGGTATATCTCCTAGTGCTATCCCTCCCCCCTCCCCCCACCCCACAACAGTCCCCAGAGTGTGATATTCCCCTTCCTGTGTCCATGTGATCTCATTGTTCAATTCCCACCTATGAGTGAGAATATGCGGTGTACACCCTCTTTTTGTTTAGCACAGTATCTTGATAATGTAACTGATATGGACAGGAGGCAAGGAAATACTAGTTAGAAAAGGGCGCAGTCCCTGGCAAGGACTCCACCTTCAAGCTTGGACCTTGGGCTCTAAGTGAGAACATGCAATCCTGTTTTCCCACCTGAAATTTGCCTTTTTCAAAACCATCCTGCCCTGCCACGCCCCGCATCCTATACCTATAAAAACCCCAGGTTCCAATGGCACAGCAGCAGAGTGGTGCGGCAGAGAAGGAGAGAAGACAAGAAGCATCTGAACATCGAGAAAAAAAACAGCTGGGCATTGGAGACTATGGTTGGAGAGGAGTTCAACCAGGGACCATCAATCATCTTCCCACTCCATCCCCGTTCCAGCTCTCTATCCTGCTGAGAGCCACTTCCACCGCTCAATAAAATCCTCCACATTCACCACACTTCAATTCGTTCATGCGACCTGATTCTTCCTGAATGCCAGACAGGAACTCAGGTACCAAGAGGACAGGTGCAAAATGCTGTCACCCTGACCCTCCACTGAGCTGGTTAACACTTAGCTGTCTGCTTTCTGGGGCTCCAGGGGTCACAGGCAACCTCTAGACACAGCCCTGGGGCTGGTACAGGATTAGTTACTGCTGGCACCCAAAAGCACTTGCCCTAGCTCCTGCACCCTCTCACCTGCATGCTCCCCCTCCCACAAGGGGCTTGAGAGTTGCAGGTGGAGTAAGGGAGCCGCCCCTTCACCAGTCCCAAGCAGGGGTCAAGGGAAGGGTCCTTTCATCACAACCTCAATAAAATTTTTTTTTAATGATAAACATCACAAAAACTCAGATCTATGCAGTAAGGTAAAGTACTTCTGTGGGCCCAGAAGTACTTTAGGGTGCTACCCTAAGCTTTACAATGTAAACTTATGTTGCACACATAAACTACCACTTTTTGAAAAATCATTAATATTGTTGCATCTTCTCTCAAAAACTGTTGGAAATCTCTCTAGCTAACCACATGAGGGCCTAAATTTCTACTTATGTCAGACTGAAGACATAATCATATCAGATGTGTCAGTTCTTTGGACCTTACAGTTCATAGTGATATTTCTATCATCTTACATGTGCCCTGAACTTTATTAAGAAAATACAAAGGTTTCAGGTAAGACATAATTGTGGGGAAAAGCAAGAGAGATCAGATTGTTACTGTGTCTGTGTAGAAAGAAGTAGACATAGGAGACTCCATTTTGTTAGGTACTAAGAAAAATTCTTCTGCCTTGAGATTCTGTTAATCTATGACCTTACCCCCAACCCCGTGCTCTCTGAAACATGTGCTGTGTCAACTCAGAGTTGAATGGATTAAGGGCGGTGCAGGATGTGCTTTGTTAAACAGATGCTTGAGGGCAGCATGCTCCTTAAGAGTCATCACCACTCCCTAATCTCAAGTACCCAGGGACACAAAAACTGCGGAAGGCCGCAGGGACCTCTGCCTAGGAAAGCCAGGTATTGTCCAAGGTTTCTCCCCATGTGATAGTCTGAAATATGGCCTCGTGGGAAGGGAAAGACCTGACCGTCCCCCAGCCCGACACCCGTAAAGGGTCTGTGCTGAGGAGGATTAGTAAAAGAGGAAGGAATGCCTCTTGCAGTTGAGACAAGAGGAAGGCATCTGTCTCCTGCCTGTCCCTGGGCAATGGAATGTCTCGGTATAAAACCCGATTGTATGCTCCATCTACTGAGATAGGGAAAAACCGCCTTAGGGCTGGAGGTGGGACCTGCGGGCAGCAATACTGCTTTGTAAAGCACTGAGATGTTTATGTGTATGCATATCTAAAAGCACAGCACTTAATCCTTTACATTGTCTATGATGCCAAGACCTTTGTTCACGTGTTTGTCTGCTGACCCTCTCCCCACAATTGTCTTGTGACCCTGACACATCCCCCTCTTTGAGAAACACCCACAGATGATCAATAAATACTAAGGGAACTCAGAGGCTGGCGGGATCCTCCATATGCTGAACGCTGGTTCCCCGGGTCCCCTTATTTCTTTCTCTATACTTTGTCTCTGTGTCTTTTTCTTTTCCAAATCTCTCGTCCCACCTTACGAGAAACACCCACAGGTGTGTAGGGGCAACCCACCCCTACACATAATAAATCTTATTTTCTCATGACCTCCAGTGAATACTCTATAAAAATAGCAGCCTCCACTTTCTGTTTCTATTATATCACTTTTACTTTCCTTCAGAATCCTTCTCATTCTCTAATATAATTATTTATTGTCCATCTAGTCCTTCAGAATGCAGATCCAATGAGGGCAGGTGCCTGGATCAGTTCCTGGAATTCCATAAATATATGTAAATAAATGAATGAATGAACAGCCCTGCCAATGGCTGCTGAAATATGGGACAAATATTTCATATTATCTTCAAACTGCACAAAAGCCAACATACCTGCTATAATATTGTCCAGCAGTGTTATAGGCATGCAGAATATGCCAACTAGTAAATCACTTATGGCCAGGTTTAAGATGAAGAGATTAGTGACTGTGTGCATATGTTTGTTCCTCATTACAATAAAGCAAACCACAGTATTTCCCATCATGCACAAAAAGAAGATCAGAAAGTAGGAAATAATGAAGATTGCTGCCACTTGAGGCTGGTGAAGATAGTAGTTCACATAGGTAATATTAATATCTGAGTACAGATGATGCTTTGTGTCATTGACATTCCAGATGGGATGCCAGTTTTCTGAAGAGTTTGTGTCCCATTTCTCATTCATGATGAACCTTAATAAAGAAGAGACAGAAAAGAAAAACATAATTAGGAACCAGTAAAGCATAAATTCTGTGCCTGAGTTTAAGAGGAACACTTGTAAAATGCCATGGAATTTTTGTGGTCTTTCTATAATAATCTATAAGTTTTACATAAAACTGAATTATAAATAAGGCACTGAAATTATTAGGATTTTAACCAAGAGCATTTGAAAATTCCAATTTGTGCCATAAGTAATGGTTATTATTATATTTTATTTCTAATACACTCTATATTTCACTTCTTTTGGCATGCACTCTATCCATTTCCCTTGCCTTCCAAAACTCTCCTTCCCTCTACCTCCAGGTATCATATTCTGTCAAGACTCACTTATTAATTTAAAGCTAACTCACATGCCTCTAGCTTTCCTGATAATCTGAAGAAGATACGAGGTCTACATTTTTGAAACTCCTAAAGAAATAACTTCTTGTATTTGCCATATTCTGCTCTGACTCAATTAATTTAATATTATTAATTTGTTTTGCAGGGGTTTCACTCTGTCACCTGGATGGGAGTGCAGTGGCACCATCTCAGCTCACTATAGCCTTGATCTCTCAGGTTCAAGTGATCCTCCTGCCTCACCCCCCAAGTAGCTGAGACCACAGGTGCACGCCATCATGACCAGCTAATTTTTGTATTTCTAGTAGAGATGGAGTTTTGCCACGTTGCCCAGTCTGGTCTTGAACTCCTGAGTTCGAGTGATCCACCCACCTTAGCCTCCCAAAATGCTAGGATTACAGGCATGAGCCACCGTGCGTGGCCTGAATATTATTTTTTTATATTTCTGTATGCAGACACAGCCACCATATTGTGAGTCTCTTAATATAGGGCTAGGTTACTTGTCTTGGTTTCACTTAGCATAATTCTGTTCTTACACAATGTATCAAGAAATTATTGGGCCGGGCGCGGTGGCTCACGCCTGTAATCCCAGCACTTTGGGAGGCCGAGGCGGGCGGATCACGAGGTCAGGAGATCGAGACCATCCTGGCTAACACGGTGAAACCCCGTCTCTACTAAAAATACAAAAAATTAGCCGGGCGTGGTGGCGGGCGCCTGTGGTCCCAGCTACTCGGGAGGCTGAGGCAGGAGAATGGCGTGAACCCGGGAGGCGGAGCTTGCAGTGAGCCGAGATCGCGCCACTGCACTCCAGCCTGGGCGACAGAGCGAGACTCCGTCTCAAAAAAAAAAAAAAAAAAAAAGAAAAGAAATTATTTAGAATCTGTATGACTTTTTTTTTTTTTTTTTTTTTTTTTTTTGAGATGGAGTCTAGCTCTGTCACCCAGGCTGGAGTGCAGTGGCGCGATCTCGGCTCACTGCAAGCTCCACCTCCCGGGTTCACGCCATTCTCCCGCCTCACCCTCCCGAGTAGCTGGGACTACAGGCACCCGCCACCACGCCCAGCGAATTTTTTTTGTATTTTTAGTAGAGACGGGGTTTCACTGTGTTAACCAGGATGGTCTGGATCTCCTGACCTCGTGATCTGCCTGCCTCAGCCTCCCAAAGTGCTGGGATTACAGGCGTGAGCCACCGCACCCGGCCTATATGTCTTAATGTAGACAGCTTCCCCACAACTACTCCTAGGTATGGTGATTCACTAGAAAGACTTGCAGGACCCAGCATATAATGCATTCACACTAATATTTATTAAAGTGAAGGATGCAAAACAAAATCAGGAATGGAAAATGTACATGGGGTGAAGACTGCAGGAAATTAGGCATAGGCCCCATGCACTTAATCTCAGTGGACTCACATAGAACATGCCTAATTCCTCCAGTAACAAATTGTGAAAACACATGTAAAGTATTGTCAACCAGAGAAGCTCACTAGAGACTCAACACCCAGGGTTTTTCTTGGAGGATGATCAAGTGGGGATCTTCTTCCTAGCATATATCAAAATTCCAGACTCCCAGATAGAAAGTAGATATTCAGCATAAACCATGTTGTTTGTACAAACAGTCTAGGCATAGTGAGCCACTCATCATTTAAGTAAACCTGTGTATCAGTATAGGAAGTGTTTATTATTTAAGTTCCCAGACTCCAACCAAGAGCCAACTTAGCAAGCAGGCTTTTCTAAGGGTAGCAGCCTCAGGCCTGCTTGTTATCTCTTTTCTGCACACCTTGTTAATTAATTGAACAGAAGGTTATATCTGCCCATAAATGAAAATGAATTTGACAGTGGGCTTATAAAATTGACCTCCCCACACTGTTGGTGTGTTCCAGCAAAGAATTATAAATGACTGCTTAAAGCAGTGGACAAAAATTTGAAACAGGATAGTTACATAGTCTGAAATTATCTACCCACAAGATACTTTATTAATTTCAAAGTTAAAATTGTAACTTTTCAGTGAAAAAACTGGGCAGATTCTACCGTAGTTAAATGATCCAAGATAACGTTTTGGATAATGAGATGCAAGTATATCATATGCTCCTTGATGTAATGCATGAGAATTCAACATCAGTTTAGCAATATTTTTGTCAAAAATGCATAATCTTATCCTGAGGAAATATTAGAAAATTTCTAAATTAGAAAAATTCCATAAATGTAAAATATTTCAATATTAATCTACCTCAGAAATGAATGAATGCTTATTGTCCTTAGCTATAAAATTTAAACTTCCTACCACCTATGGTCAGCAGCATAATGGCTTCCCAAGTGTCTCTGTCCAAATCTCCAGAACTTCTGAATAGGTTAGGTTACATGACAGAGGGGAATTAAGGTTGCTAGTTAGCTTATATTAAAATAGGATATCCTGGTTATATAGGTGGGCTTAATGTAATCGTGAGAGTCCTTAAAAGTGGAAGAGACAAAGAAGCATCAGTATTAGAGCTCTTCCAGGTGAGACCAACTTGATGGGCCTTTGCTGGCTTTAAAGATTAAAAGGACCATGAGCCAAGGAATGCAGACAACGTGTAGTAGCTGGAAAAGAAAAGCAAGAAGTCAGATTCTTCTGTAGAGCCTTAAGAAAAAAAACGCAGCCTTGCCAATATCTTGATTTTAGCCTAGTGGAAACCATTCCAGACTTCTGGCCTTCAGAACTACAAGATAACAAATGTGTGCTATTTTAGACACTAAGTGTGACAACTTGGTACCGCACTAATAGGAAATCAATAGACCACCTATACTTCCCAATTTTTGTAGTATTACCTGAGATCTTTTCCTTGGACTTTCTATATACATAGTTGAGAGGTTGGAGGTTTTCTTTTCCACAATGGTTGAACTAATTTAAACTTCCACAACAGTGTAAAAGCATTCCCTTTTCTCCACATGTTCTCCAGCATCTGTTGTTTCCTGACTTTTTAATGATTGCAATTCTAACTGGCGTGAGATGGTATCTCATTGTAGTTTTGATTTGCATTTCTCTAATGACCAGTGATGATGAGCTTTTTTTCCATATGTTTGTTAGCCTCATAAATGTCCTCTTTTGAGAAGTGTCTGTTCGTATCCTTCACCCACTTTTTGATGGGGTTGTTTTTTCTGGTAAATTTGTTTAAATTCCTTGTAGATTCTGGATATTAGCCCTTTGTCAGATGGATAGATGGATAGATTGCAAAAATTTTCTCCCATTTTGTAGGTTGCCTGTTCACTCTGATGATAGTTTCTTTTGCTGCACAGAAGCTCTTTAGTTTCATTGGATCTCATTTGTCAATTTTGGCTTTTATTGCCATTGTTTTTGGTGTTTTAGTCATGAAGTCCTTGCCCATGCCTATGTCCTGAATGGTATTGCCTAGGTTTTCTTCTAGGGTTTTTATGGTTTTAGGTCTTACATTTAGTCTTTAATCCGTCTTGGTTAATTTTTGTGTAAGGTGTAAGGAAGGGGTCCAGTTTCAGCCTTCTACATATGGCTAGCCAGTTTTCCCAGCACCATTTATTAAGTAGGGAATCCTTTCCCCATTTCTTGTTTTTGTCAGGTTTGTCAAAGATCAGATGGTTGTAGATATGTGGCATTATTTCTGAGGCCTCTATTCTGTTCCACGGTCTATATATCTGTTTTGGTACTGGTACCATGCTGTTTACTGGTACCAAACCGTACTGTAACTGTACAGTTACAGTAGCCTTGTAGTACAGTTTGAAGTCAGGTAGCCTGATGCCTCCAGCTTTGTTCTTTTTGCTTAGAATTGTCTTGGCTATATGGGCTCTTTTTTGGTTCCATATGAAATTTACAGTAGTTTTTCTAATTCTGTGAAGAAAGTCAGTCGTAGCTTGATGGGGATAGCATTGACTCTATAAAATACTTTTGTCAGGAAGGCCATTTTTCATGATATTGATTCTTCCTATCCATGGGCATTGCTTGTGTCCTCTCTTAGTTCCTTGAGCAGTGGTTTGTAGTTCTCCTTGAAGAGGTCCTTCACATACCTTGTAAGTTGTATTCCTAGGTATTTTATTCTTTTTGTAGCAATTGTGAATGGGAGTTCACTCATGATTTGGCTCTATTTTTCTATTACTGGTATATAGGAATGTTTGTGATTTTTGCACATTGATTTGGTATCCTGAGACTTTGCTGAAGTTGCTTATCAGCTTAAGGAGATTTTGGGCTGAGACGATGGGGTTTTCTAAATATACAATCATATCATCTGCAAACAGGAACAATTTGACTTCCTCCTTTCCTAATTGAATACACCTTATTGCTTTCTGTTGCCTGATTGCCTTGGCCAGAACTTCCAACACTATGTTGAATAGGAGTGGTGAGAGAGGTCATCCCTGACTTGTGCCAGTTTTCAAAGGCAATGCTTCCAGTTTTTGCCTATTCAGTATGATATTTGCTGTGGATTTGTCATAAATAGCTCTTATTATTTTAAGATACATTCCATCAATATCTAGTTTATTGAGAGTTTTTAGCATGAAGGGCTGTTGAATTTTGTCAAAGGCCTTTTCTGCATCTATTGAGATAATCATGTGGTTTTTGTGATTGGTTCTGTTTATGTGATGGATTACGTTGATTGATTTACATATTTTGAACCAGCCTTGCATCCCAAGGATGAAGTCAACTTGATCATGGTGGTAAACTTTTTGATGTGCTGCCTCATTTGGTTTGCCAGTATTTTATCGAGGATTTTTGCATCAATGTTCATCAGAGATATTGGCCTGAAATTTTCTTTTTTGTTGTGTCTCTGCCAGGTTTTGGTATCCTGATGATGCTGGCCTCATTCCATGAGTTAGGGAGGAGTCCCTCTTTTTCTATTGTTTGGAAGAGTTTCAGAAGTAACGGTACCAGCTCCTCTTTGTACCTCTGGTAGAATTCGGCTGTGAATCCATCTGGTTCTGGGCTTTTTTTGGTTGTTAGGCTATTAATTACTGCCTCAGTTTCAGAACTTGTTATTGGTCTGTTCAGGGATTCAACTTCTTCCTGGTTTAGTCTTGGGAGGGTGTATGTGTCCAGGAATGTATCCATTTCTTCTAGATTTTCTAGTTTATTTGCACAGAGGTGTTTATAGTATTCTGATGGTAGTTTATATTTCTGTGGGATCAGTGATGATAATCAGTGATGATATCCCCTTTATAATTTTTTATTGTGTCTATTTGATTCTTCTCTCTTTTCTTCTTTATTAATGTGCCTAGTGGTCTACATATTTTGTTAATCTTTTCAAAAAAACCAGCTCCTGGATTCATTGATATTTTCAAGCGTTTTTCATGTCTCTATCTCCTTCAGCTCTGCTCTGATCTTAGTTATTTCTTGTCTTCTGCTAGCTTTTGAATTTGTTTGCTCTTGCTTCTCTAGTTCTTTTAATTGTGATGTTAGGGTGTCAATTTTAGATCTTTCCTGCTTTCTCTTATGGGCACTAAATGCACACAGGAGAAAGCAGGAAGATCTATTAATTGTGTCCTAGAGATTCTGGTACATGGTGTCTTTGTTCTCATTGGTTTCAAAGAACTTACTTATTTCTGCCTTAATTTCAATTTTTAACCAGTAGTCATTTGGGAGCAGAATGTTCGGTTTCTATGTAGTTGTGCAGTTTTGAGTGAGTTTCTTAATCCTGAGTTCTAATTTGACTGCACTGTGGTCTGAGAGACTGTTTGTTATGATTTCTGTTCTTTTGCATTTGCTGAGGAGTATTTTACTTCCAATTATGTGGTCAATTTTAGAATAAGTGTGACGTGGTGCTGAGAAGAACGTATAGTCTCTTTATTTGGGCTGGAGAGTTCTGTAGATGTCTGTTAGGTCTGCTTGGTCCAGAGCTGAGTTCAAGTCCTGAATATTTTTGTTAACTTCTGTCTCATCAGTCTGTCTAATATTGACAGTGGGGTGTTAAAGTCTCCCACTACTATTGCGTGGGAGTCTAAGTCTCTTTGTAGGTGTCTAAGAACTTGTTTTATGAATCTGGGTGCTCCTGTATGGGTGCATATAAATTTAAGTTAGTTAGCTCTTCTGGTTGCATTGATCCCTTTACCATTATGTAATGCTTTTCCTTATCTTTTTTGATCTTTGTCAGTTTAAAGTCTGTTTTATCAGACACTAGGATTGCAACCCCTGCTTTTTTTTTTGCTTTTCATTTGCCTGGTAAATATTCCTCCATCCCTTTATTTTGAGCCTATTTGTTTCTTTGCAAGTGAGATGGGTCTCCTGAATACAGCACACCAGTGGATTTTGACTCTTTATCCGATTTGCCAGTGTGTGTCTTTTACTTGGGGCATTTAGCCCATTTACATTTAAGGTTAATATTGATATGTGTGAATTTTATCCTCTCATTATGATGCTAGCTGGTAATTTTGCCTGTTAGTTGATACAGTTTCTTCATAGCGTTGATGGTCTTTACAATTTGGTATGTTTTTGCAGTGGCTGGTACCGGTTTTTCCTTTCCATGTTTAGTGCTTCCTTCAGGAGCTCTTGTAAGGCAGGCCTGGTGGTGACAAAATCTCTCAGCATTTGCTTCTCTGTAAAGGATTTTATTTCTCCTTCACTTATGAAGCTTAGTTTGGCTAGATATGAAATTCTGGGTTGAAAATTCTTTTCTTTAAGAATGTTGAATATTGGCCCCTACTCTCTTCTTGCTTGTAGGGTTTCTGCAGAGAGATTGGCTGTTAATCTGACTGGCTTCCCTTTGTGGGTAATGCAACCTTTCTCTCTGGTTGCCCTTAAGATTTTTTCCTTCATTTCAACCTCAGTGAATCTGATGATTATGTTTCTTGGTGTTTCTCTTCTCAGGGAGTATCTTTGTGGTGTTCTCTGTATTTCCTGAATTTGAATGTCAGCCTTTCTTGCTAGGTTGGGGAAGTTCTCCTGGATAATATCCTGAAAAGTGTTTTCCCACTTGGTTCTATTCTCCCTGTCACTTTCAGGTACACCAGTCAAACAAAGGTTTGGTCTTTTCACATTGTACCATATTTCTTGGAGGCTTTGTTTGTTCCTTTTCATTCTTTTTTCTCTAGTCTTGTCTTCACGCTTTATTTCATTAAGTTGATCATCAATCTCTGATATCCTTTCTTCCGCTTGATCGATTTGGCTATTGATAGTTGTTTATGTTTCATGAAGTTCTCGTGCTGTGTTTTTCAGCTCCGTCAGGTCATTTATGTTCTTCTCTAAACTGGTTATTCTAGTTAGCAATTCCTCTAACCTTTTTTCAAGGTTCTTAGCTTCCTTGCATTGGGTTAGAACATGCTCCTTTAGCTTGGAAGAGTTTGTTATTACCCACCTTCTGAAGCCCACTTCTGTCAATTTGTCAAACTCATTCTCCATCCAGTTTTGTTCCTTTGCTGGCAAGGAGTTGTGGTCCTTTGGAGGAGAAAAGGCATTCTGGTTTTTGGAATTTTTGTGCTGGTTTCTCCTCATTTTCATGTATTTATCTACCTTTGGTCTTTGATGTTGGTGACCTATGGATGGGGTTTTGGTGTGGACTTCCTTTTTGTTGATGTTGATGCTATTCCTTTCTGTTTGTTAGTTTTCCTTCTAACAGTCAGGCCCCTCTGCTGCAGGTCTACTAGAGTTTGCTGGAGGTTCACTCCAGACCCTATTTGCCTGGGTATCACCAGCAGAGGCTGCAGAACAGCAAAGATTACTGCCTGTTCCTTCCTCTGGAAGCTTTGTCCCAGAGGGGCCCCTGCCAGATGCCAGCCAGAGCTCTCCTGTTTGAGGTGTCTGTCAACCCTTGCTGGGAGGTGTCTCCCAGTCAGGGGACTCAGGGGTCAGGGACCCACTTGAGGAGGCAGTCTGGCCCTTAGCAGAGCTGGAGCACTGTGCTGGGAGATCTGCTGCTCTTTTCAGAGCCAGCAGGCAGGAATGTTTAAGTTTGTTGAAGTTGCACCCACAGCCGCTCTTCCCCCAGGTGCTCTGTCCCAGGGAGATTTTATCTATAAGCCCCTGTTTGGGCTGCTGCCTTTCTTTCAGAGATGCCCTGCCCAGAGAGGAGGAATCTAGAGAGGTAGTCTGGCTACTGTGGCTTTGCCACCCAGTTTGAACTTCCTGGAGGCTTTGTTTACACTGGGAGAGGAAAACTGCCTACTCAAGCCTCAGTAATGGTGGACGTCCCTCCCCCCACTAAGCTGGAGCCTCCCAGGTCTACTTCAGACTGCTGTGCTGACAGTGAGAAATTCAAGCCAGTGGATCTTAGCTTGCTGGGCTCCGTGGGGGTGGGACCACTGAGCCAGACCACTTGGCTCCCTGATTTCAGCCCTCTCTCCAGGGGATTGAAGGGTTCTGTCTCACTCGGGCTCCTGGTGCCACTGGGGTATGAAAAAAAGAAAAACTGCAGCTAGCTGGGTGTCTGCCCAAATGATCCCCAGTTTTATGCTTGAAACCCAGGGCCCTAGTGGCATAGGCACCTGAGGGAATCTCCTGGTCTGCAGGTTGCAAAGACCATGGGAAAAGTGTAGTATTTGGGCCAGAATGCACCATTCCTTAAGGCACAATCTCTCAGGGCTTCCCTTGGCTAGGAGAGGGATTTCCCAAACCCCTTGCACTTCCCTGGTGGGGTGATGCCCCACCCTGCTTCAGCTCACCCTCCGTGGGCTGCACCCACTGTCTAACCAGTCCCAATGAGATGAACTGGGTACCTCAGTTGGAAATCCAGAAATCACCTGCCTTCTGTGTTGATCTCGCTGGGAGCTGCAGACCAGAGCTGTTTCTATTAGGCCATCTTGCCAGCTACATTTAGATTTTTCAATGCTTATTTCAATATTTCAATAAGGCAGCTTCTCTATGTATTAAATTGTTATATTGCATTTAATAGTATTATAAATAATTACAGTGTATATATAACTACAAAGCTTCTCAAGAAGTTTCCGAATTATTGTATCTGCTGTGTTAGTACATATATGAGACCAACTCCTCATCCCTTTGACAGGAATAACAATCTATGTACAACATATTTAGATCCCACTATTTTTTGCCCATATCCTTGCAGACTTGCTCCATTATCTATTGGAAATTTTGGTACAAAAAAATTTGAATCCAACCCAATATATTTGTTTTCTTACAGGTGCTATGCATTTTTATATATTGTATAGAAGAGATTTTTTAATCCTCAAATTTTTTTAGCTATACCAGCATATATTTTTTCTACCGATTATTTTTTTTCTGAAGGAAAACAAATCCTGTTCAATTCTCATCTCAGTACTTCCTTCATGTCAGAAGTCATTAACTGTTCCACTATTATATTCTCTATCATGGATACCTATTTTCCATATGCTTATATGCTATATCCTATCTTTCAAAAATTATTGGTTTATAAAAATATTTATTTTTCTGTTGAAGATTTTTGCTGCCTTTACCAACCCCATTTCCATTTTGTTATGCCATTTTATACTGTATTATAAAGTATATTCTGTGAAAGTAGAGACCAGTTCACAGTTGAATTCTCAGTACCTAAAAGCATGGTTGAACCAATAATTGGTGCTCAATAAGTATTTGTTAAATGTATTAATTAATCTCATCATATAATTTTTGTTTCATAGATTGTAGGTTTTTTTCTTTTGTAATTTCTTGGTTGTTAAGCATTTGCTGTCTCAAATTTTCTTCTTTTAAAGGTACGTGCATGTCTTCTTGTAATAACATAGAGTTTAAAAACAGGCTCTGGAGTCTAATTGCCTGCACTCAAATCCCACATCTTGTTTTCTATTGATATTTACTGGAAGATAGATTCATGATTAATACCTGCGTGACTTTGAGTAAATTATTTAATCCCTTTGTGATTCAGACTCCTTATCAAAAAAGTAAAAATAATAATTATACAAACTTCATAGTGTTGTTGTTAGGTTTTCATTGGATAATTGTAGTTAAAATTTATTGTATGCTTACCATATGTCAGACTCAGTGCTAAGCATTTTTATATGCATTGGTTTATTATAGTCTTATGGTAGGACAGTCAAATAGGAAACTGAAGCAATGACCAAATTAACTAATCCGCTAAATGTCACACCATCAGTAAAAAGCAGAAGTGGGATTTTATTCCGTGCAGCTCTTCTCCAGAGCACATATTTTCAACCTTACAATATAATTTATATAAAGCACATAAGAGGGTACATAATTCAGAATAAGCACTCTGTGAACATTTGATATTATTTTCCTTTCCTTCCTCCATATGTTTTTCACTTTCGCCCTTCCCCCTTCCTTCCTTTTTTCCTTTCTTCCTCCCTTTTGGCTTTAAAACCATTTTTAATATATCTCAGGTTACTTTTTTGTTACCTTACTCATATTGTGTTTAGGGCTAGTGCTACCAGAACACAAGCAAAGTATGTGTGGTGTACTTTTTATTTGTTCCTTTTTTATTCATTAATGTTAACATCATTCCTTCAGAAAGTTATCTCAAGGACTGGGTACCGAAATTGTTTACATTTTCTTTCATTATTGGATTCCTGAAGCAGGTGGTAAAGGGCCAGAATCACATGGACATTCCATCAGGGAAACAGTTCACTGTACTCTTTCTTGGAAGTGAGGGAACATCTTCTGTTCATTCATTCATTGACTGATTTAACAAATATTGACTGTGTTGACAACATGCTAGGTACTGTTCTAAGAACTGGGGAACAATGAAGTAGACCATGTCGCAGCTTTCGTGGTAATGAGGAATACAAATACTGGTGTTCTGGAGTGAGCTTACAGTGAGAGCCAATTGTGCACATCTCTGCCCAAAGGCACATTCAGTAATGTTATGGTTGCTGCTTGAAGTTGACTGTGATTGATATATTTACACCATGAGAACTGGCAAACTCTAAAGATGAAACCTCTTTATTTTTAAAAATTGATTATTAAACATGTATTCATATGCCAACAGATTAAACCAAAGCATCAAAAGCAGAAATTAAATGTAAAAATGAGGATAATTAGGAAGGTTAAAAAGAAAAGGAATTAAGTGACTACTGTAAGGGATAATTGGAAGGACAGCCGAGAAAGGAATGAGGCCAGTAGACCCAAGTTCATGCAAGCTGATTTACTGTCAGTCCTGCCGGGCTACAACCTGACAAAAGCAGAGGAGGGAGCCTGGCTTACAGGCTATAGCAAGGTTTTATAGGGCATAGAACTGGGTCAGGGTGAAGGAAAAAGAAAAGGGTGGGGGGTCCTTTGTGCCAGGTGTCTGACCACTTCCTGGAGATGTTTTTCTTGCCAGTTCTGTTGTGTAAGGTAGACGTCTTGACCCCATCCTGGAACAGCTGGCCTCTGGTCAGACAGATACAGGCAGGTTTGGGGTAGGGGGTTTTACTTTTGGCCTTTGGGGCTTAGGTCTATAGGAGGGGGAAACTGTCCAGTTGGGTGGACCCTAACAACTACAACTAAACTGAAAAGAAGATACAACACAAACAAAAGAAGTACAGTAAATGAGGCAATGTAGAAGACCAGAGTGACAGTATAATATAAAATTATAAATATGCCTGAACAAAAGATTTAATCAAACGAATGCCCATAAAAGAAATAAGCCCATTAATTAAATGACTGTTATACTTTTACACCTCAAGTGAACTGTTTATAGGTTTCCCTCTTAATTTTATAGTGTCAGTGAAGTATTTTTCTTCTTGCTTTTTATTTCAAAAGTACTATTTTTTTCTTTTTTAACTTCAACTTTTATTTTAGGTTCAGGGGTACGTGTGCAGATTTGTTGCATGGGTATATTGTGTGATGGTGAGGTTCGGGGTACGAATGATCCCATCACCCAGGTAGTGAGCATAGTACACAATAGGTAGTTTTTCACCCTTTATCCCCTTCCTTCCCTTCCCATCTAGTAGTCCCCAGTGTCCATTGTCCCCATCTTTATATCCATGTGTAGTCAAATTTAAGTTCACTAGCTTTCTTACTATGATAAAATTATGAAAGAAAGCAGATTATAGTTAAATAATCACCTTAACAGTGGAATTCTACTTAATAGTATAGTAAATTTCAAATATAATCTAGTGAAATAAACATGTCTACAAATAAAAATATATACACAAGCATATTCACACAGCTTGTTACAGAAAAAAATTTCTTTAGTACAAACATTAAAGTTTGATATTTGCATGCTGCAATCTATGCAATAGTTTCAAAACAATAAACATATGCAGTGGAAAAACATATTGCTAGGGATATCCTACTCTGGCATCCTTTCATTCTTATTTTAATAAATGTATAAATCAATGTGTAAAAATGACTAATTTTTAATTTTAATTCTAATGTGTGTATTAGAATACTACAGTTTCATTGCCCATACAATCCAAGAGATATTAATATTGTCCCAAACTAGAATGATCAATTTTAATGACTTGTTCGAAAGTGAGAACCACTTTAATGCAACAATACCTTTTATGAAGTCTAAATTAAAAGTTCTAAAGAAAATAGTGAAGACTATTAATAAACAATCTATAGATACATTGGAAAACAAAAGAAGAGTGCTCTTAAAGGACCAGAACACAAAAGGCTGTTAAGGTTGAATAAAGAGAAACAAGACTGCAGGAAATTCTAGGTTAAAACTCATCTAAGAAAGAACTTTCATGAAAATGGAGGCTTTAGAGATGGCTCCAAGATCAGAATTACAATATACAGAAATAGGAGACAACCCAGGGGAGTTATTTGAGGTAAACTTGGAAGCTGATTTTGGATCAGCTGAACCCAATAGTACCCACTACACCTCTGCCTATAAGACCAAGGACACACATGCTCAGACTTGGTCTAAGACCTTGTTTAGACGCAGTTATTCCCATGCCCTCCCAGTCACAGCGAACATATTTCTAATAATCAAACCTCACATCCATCCCACTGGCAAAAATTTAAAAGATTAATGATATCTGATGTTGGCTGACAACAGATGCAGGGAAGCAAATATTTTCATACAGTGTTAGGGATACAATGATAAGACTTATTGAAAGTGAATTTGGGAATGCCAGTCAAATCAAAATGTGCATTATGTTCCACTTGACCTTTTCATTTCTACAAATATAATTTATTGAAATAAATACATCCATGAGTAAAAAGCCATGAAAGCATTATATTCATTGTAACTTTGTTATAGGAAAAGTTTAGAAACAACATATTGGCCATGAACAGACAAAAATTTAAGTGAATTATAGCAATATTAATAATCAAATGTGCAATATGATAACATCTTAATAATGGCAAAATATATCCAATGCTTGACCTCTGCCAGGGTCTGTTATAAACTTTATCCCTATTAATTCACTTAATCCTCTGGGAAAATACTATGATTATCACTGTTCCCATTTTTAGGTGAAGAAACTGGGGAAAAAGCAAGTAACTGGCACAAGGTCATCAGCAGGGAAGTAGCAAGGTCAAGATTTAAAGTCAGATAGTCTGACTTCAGAGACTTTATGGTAACCTTTGTGCTATAATAAAATAAAGCCATTACAATCAATAGGAAGAGTCTAATTATTCTGACACATAATGGTCTATAACATGTTGTTCATGTCAAAAGCAAAACTCTAATAGAAAAATATCTATTAGTAGGGGTGACTTCTGGGGTCAGGAGAAGATTGTGTTATAAGGTGATGAAAAAGCTTTTACATTTTACTACTTTTTATTGCTTGAATCTTTTTACAGCACAAATATATTCATGTTGTACTCAAATAATTAATATAAACAAAGAACGACAGGATCTATGCATTATTTACATTTGCCAAATCCTAAGAAAACTTTTGAAAGCCACATGCTTAGAAAGCTTCATATTTTCACATAACAGACAGAAGTTAGACCCCATTCTATAATTTAAGAGATTACTATCTACACATGTGTATATGTGATTATCTAGATATGAATTCTTATAGGGGTACCAATCAACAATTTCAAATAACACATTTTTAATTATAAAATTATATCATGGTGATTACTTGCCCCTGGATGGAAGTAGTCACAGGAAACAAGCATGAGGGGAGGCTTCTGGGCAGCTGGAATAGGGATATTTCTTGATCTGTGTGCTGGTTACAAGCATATATTCAGTTTTTAAAAATTCAATGAATTTTATATTTATGCACACTTTTTTGAACAGGAAGGAGTTAAAGCTGCTGACTGGCTATTCATTTCTGACCCTGGGAGAAAATAAGAGGGCAAGTGACCCAATATAATCTCCTTGTCAACATGATAACTGAAGCTCTGGGCAAATAGTCTATTCATATTTCTAGAAAAGTCCTTATCTATGAAAAGTTCTTAACAGAATGTCCCTGGTAAAGGATTGCCTGTAGAAAACATTAATAAATTAAGACCCTAAGGATTTATAATACTTGGCTCCCTGGAAAATGTCCCTTAAACTGAGGTATAAGGTGGCAATATTTTATAGACTAAATATTCCTCTGCTGTGTGAGTCAACCAAGCAAAACTCCACCAGGAGACCTCATCTTCTATTCGAACCTGAGACTACATCTCAAACATGGAAAGTGCCAGGGAACTGGTCTACTCGCAGACAACCCCCCAGGGCTGTCTGAGCCTCTTGGTTGCCTGTATTCTTGAAATTATTAGTACATTTCAGAACTGGTAAAGCTTTTGAACCATGTTTCTTTGCCAGTCTGAGACTTTGTGTTAGCACAGATTGGCAGTGCAAGCAGAACTATGCTTTAATCTCATAAATCTTAATGGGCTGGGTCATTTTTAGCAATAAAAAGTATATAAAAAATATAGTGAAGATCTAATTACAAGTTGAGTCCTACCCATTGATGATAGGACATTGATGATAGCAAATCTTTGATGCAATGGAATGTGGAGGAAGTACACTTAGATATGAGGGAAATGGCTAAATGGATTGATGAAGGGTGGCTGGAAGAGGGGAAGATAGAACAATTTCTATCCCCTGGCTAGTGCTAGTGGTGCTGATAAAGTAAGACCTATAAGTTCCCTTCAAGCAAAGAACAATAAAATCTATGTATTGCTTATAATTACCCAATCCTAAGAAAAAAAATTTCCAAATTCTACTATTCTTTGCTGTGAGCCTTTTCTTTCCTGTCATGGAAGGCATACTTGTACTTATATGACTACTTGGAATGATGTCCCACTTCTTCACAAAGTAGCATAAACAAGGCCATTGATTACTCAAAAAATACACAAATAACTGGAGGTTAAGATCAGGTGACTACTAAATCCCAAGGATATTCTGTGTAAATTTTCAAATGTTTTACATAAAAATACCAGTAGAAGCCAGGTAAATCATTACTTGCAGGGCTTCTTCACCTGTCTAGGAAATTTCACTAATTTTAGAGCTATGTAAGTTGAAGGCTAATCCCCAGTGTCTGAAAACTTCTGTAAGCAGGTATTTTCATGTGGTATAATAATTAATCTATATAACCGGTAAAAGTAGAAGCATAGCAACCCTCTCCTGAGAGGGGTAAATTCCCTATCCCCTCCCCTGTGAGATAGGTAATTTCCTATCTCACAATGTGACTCATTGTGAGACACATGAGACACATGACTCACAGATGTCACAATATGACTCACAACATGACTCATTGTGAGACATATGAGACATATGACTCACAAGTGTCATATGTCTTTTCATGCTTCAGGCATGGTGTGAATGACCAACACCAACCTGTCTATTTGATGATCAGAAAGACGCAATCAATTTAATGTTTCTGGCACAGATAATGAAACACGTGCTACTTTGGAGAGCTTCTGTCTCCTGTTCTCCTTATGTAATGGGAAACCAAGGGAATATTTAGGAGATGATGATGAACCTGCCAGCTCAGGTAATGCAGAGGGGGCTGCATGATGATAAAAAGATCTATGCACACAAAAGAAAGGACCATGAAGAGAAAAAGGAAATAAGAATCCCCTCAACTTAGTGGAGCTCTTTAGATGGTTTATAAAAAGCAGTGTAAAAAGAGAGAGAAAGAATCTTACTGTTTCTACTAAGAAGTTAGAACAACAGTATCCACATTTGGAAGGTGGGGAGCTGCTCTGATCCTCCCTCCCACTTCTTAAAGTGTCACTGCAAGTTCACTCAAATTATTATAGTCTAGAAAAATCAAATCAACTGATGAGAATCAAGATTCAAAATGGAAAGTACTTAAACAGCAGCCTGAATGTGTTTCCATAGATAAAGTCATTGAGTCTGAAAAAGGTTGGCTGAGAGACTGAGATATTCTTATCCTACCCCAAACAAGCAATCATAGGCCTTTTGCAAATATTTGGTAAAAATCCAGCAAATCCTGGTAAAAAAGCCAGGAACTGGTAGGCAAAGCCTCTAAAATGACTAGATAGAGGTTTTCAATGTTCAGTAGCACTTATGATAAATCAAGGCAGTGCTATGAAAGACCCAAAGCTGAAACTAGCAGGATTTGGAGATGCCATGTTGGGGGGACTAGCATCAGAATAAGTTTAGGAGTGAAGAATATGACTGGGGAGACTTTTCACTGGTTAATGGCCTTTAGCTGAATGCATAATTGGGATAGATATTATGTGCTAATAGAGAATGTTCCCTTTTTCCGTTTTTGTTGGGGAAGTATATTGCCTAATCACCCTTCCTGGAGTTTTAACTGGCCATGCTGAACGGTGACTTTTGGAATTTCCTATGTTGTCCTAGAATAAATTGTAAACAATACAGAATTCCAGGAACGTACAAGAGATTATTGCCCTGATTAAGGGAATACTTGAGGTATGATTATTGGTTCCCATTAGCTTCCCCATTAACAGAGCTGTCTGGCCAGTCCCTGAAGGTTAACTGTAGATTATCAAGCATTCAACAAGTAGTTGTCCTAATTGCTTCAACTGTACCTGATGTGGTAAACACTGTATAGGATGCACAACAAGCCAAGGAGGATGGCTATGTCATTAGAAACTTGCCTAGTGCTTTCTTCTCCATCTCAATTTCCAGGAACAGCCAGGTACAATATGCATTCTCACAGAATAGGACTCAGTATACATTTACTATATTGCCAGAAGTATGTTTGAATTTGCCTGCACAATTGATAATTTCATGAAGTGGGACCTGGACTTAACAAATATGCAAAGCAAGTTAGTAAATTGATTATATTATAAAAGCTTCTCCTCTCATAAGAATTAAAGAGGAGTTAAGGACTGTGGTGACTCACATGACAAATAGAGCCAGGCTGATGAGCTCAGATAATATCCATAGCCCTTGGAATTACATTGACTGGAGCAACTAGAGACATTTTTTGAAACCATAAAAAATTATCGCTTACAGAATCTGCAAATGAGTAAGAGACCTAGAGATAAATAGAGCTTACTTAGGCTTTTGCAGTTTTTTGTTTTTGTTTTCTTCAATCTAAGAATGCTATTGACCTCTGTTCACAAAGTCACCAGAAAGATAACTGAATTTGAGTAGAGGCTCTGAGCAGAAGAAATTGCTAAAGGATTTTTGGAGGGTGGTGATGCAGGAAGGTCTATTAGGATTGTATGATTTGACTGCACAGATAATATTAGATGCACCCGAAACCAGAACATACACAGACTAGAGCTATCTGCAGAAATGAAAGAGTTCAGTGAAGACCTCTTATTTTTTGAGAACAAATGTTAGGCAAAATAGCTATTCCTAATAAACCATTTAAAAGACAATTGATTGCTTCTTACTGAGTGGTGGTCATCAAAACTGTGCCCTAACAGAAGGGCATCAGATAACTCCAAAGCTAGGGAAACCAACTTTGTCTTGGATGATGTCAGAAACATTCATATAGGGATCAAACAGCACAGCCAAAGTTCACTCAGAAATTAGAAATGGGATGTTAAAAAGCATACTTTGGGAAGTGGGCAAGTACACAGAAGGGAATCACTGCATACAGGAGCAGTGTATTAGTCTGTTCTCACACTGCTAATAAAGACATATTTGAGACTGGGTAATTTATAAAGGAAAGAGGTTTAATTGACTGACAGTTCAGAATGGCTGAGAAGGCCTCAGGAAACTTACAATCATCGCAAAAGGGGAAGCAAACATGTCTTTCTTCACATGGTAGCAGCAAGAGAAGTGCTGAGCAAAAAGGGAAAAGCCCCTTATAAAACCATCATATCTCATGAGTACTCTCTATCATGAGAGCAGCAGCATGGGGGTAACCACCCCTATGATTCAAGTATCTCCCACTGGGCACCTCCCATGACTTGTGGGGACTATAGAAACTACAACTCAAGATGAGATTTAGGTGAGGACACAGTCAAACCATATCAAGCAGGTTGCCTCACTGACTATAGAGCCGATCAAATAAAGCCCTCAGCAGACTTTTCCAGGTTAATTGCTGCATGTTCTGTGTCTTGCGAATTGCTCCCCATGAAGCAAAGTAAGTTGTCTGGTTCACTGATGAGAGTTTCTGGATTATGTCACTTGTTTGGAAAACAACGGCAATACACCCTGCAGATGGGGAAAGCTTAATGGAAGAAGACAAGGGCACACCTGCACATTGGACAGAGATGAAAGCAGTTCAAAGACTTTTCACTTATAGCCAATGGCCTTGTTGTTGTTGTCAAGGGAATGGGCATTCATTAAAAAACAACAACAACAACAACAACAAATTTCATGGAATTTAGGGAAGAATTCAAGTGTGTCATGTACATAACTACCAGAAATAACTAGTTGTTGACTCAGAAGAGATTTGGAATAAGGCAGATGCTTTAGTCAGATTTCCAGAATTATTATCTGCTTCTTGAAGTGAGCAGGCACTGGGTTCTCAGGCCATGCACTGGCTAATGAGATAAGAAACTGCACCCCACAGTCAGTCAACAGAGAAAATCATTTAAAAATGTCTGTGGAAATCCTACTATTTCTCACGACATGGATGAATGTGCAAGACATTACCGTTAAGTGAAATAAACCAGCAACAGAAGGACAAATACTACATGATTCCACTCATATGAGGTATGAGAAACTCTTAGAAGCAGAAAATAGAATGGTGGTTACCAAAAGTTAAAAGGAGGGAAAAATGGGAGTTCTTCAATTGGAATAAAGTTTCAGTTATGCAAAATAAATAAGCTCAAGAATAACACTGTTGGACATCTCTCTCAGATCTGGGTGCTGACTAATGGCCAATATTGAAAGAAAATCCTTGGACTTCTTTTCTCTGAAAAAGGAATATTGGGTTCTTAGTAATCTGTAATCTAAAGAAAAGAAGAGACACATTGCCCTGATTGATACTGTAAGTTTTACTAATGTATGGTGTGTCAAACACTACATCAATCTCTCTATCATAGCTACAAGGTGTATTAGAGGGTTTGTAATTTATTAATATAAGTAAGTGAAAACTAGACTTATGCAAATGATGCTTCCCAGGAAAAGGAAACACTTTGAGAGGTTGGATTGAATCCTCCCATTGATTAAAAACATGTTAAAATGGATTGTCCAGAGAAGAAAGTGAATTTGACCTTATAAACATTGCATTGTTCAATTAAGTGTCTCCATCAAATCATATAAAATGTGCAATTGAAGATAAACACTAATTAAATGGAATAAATGTATCAAAAGACTTTTAAATAAATATTTTCACTATGGATATATTTTATTCATAGTCCCTATTAGGTAGTTAAAATCTTGTTGATTTGAACAAGATCTATAAAATATAATATGCATAAAAATAAACTTTCATAACCTTATATCCAGAAATACACATATATAATATTTTAGTCTATTTCCTCCAATTCTTTTGGGGTTTTTTAAGGTATTAGATGCCTTAATTCTTTGTTAAAATATAGTAAAACAAATAATAATAACTAGAGAAATGTGTGGCAAGAAGATATTAACTGAGTTCAGACAGTGAATTGGTAGATGCTGTTAAAGCAACTGGCCAGAAATCTATTTCTCCCCCAATACCAGGAGATTGCACCCAGGGGAAATGAAAAGAAGACTGATGATTGAAATGAATGTTCTTGTGAACATAATAATTGAACCACAAGGTAGACTAATGATATTTACTAGGATAAGCCTTCTTTATTTAATTCTTTAATAGGCTATCCCTAAGTATTGCTTATAAATAAATACAGAACATATGAATTTATGAGGCATGACTCCCTGGAAACTGTCATACAAACTGTATAAAATAGAGATATTTTATAGACTGAACCCTCACTCTGCTGTGGTATATAACACTGCAAAACCCTCCTTGGAGGCCTCATCACTTGCTCTGGGCCAGAAGTGAGCATCTAATGTAGGAAGGAGGGTCCTAAGTCACCACTCTCAATGTCCCAGACCTTCTTTGATTAAGTTCATTGATCGCCTATATTCATGAAATTGTTAGTAAGGCATGGTGGTAATAAGTAAGATCTCTGTTTTTAGAAAAGAAATTCAGATTTGATATATAAAATACAATATGCATAAAAATAACTTTCACAACTTTATATCCAGAAATACACATAAATAATATTTTAGTCTATTTCATACAATTCTTTTGACTGTATTTTTTGACATACAAGTCCAGGAGAGGAAAATAATATTATTTTCAAGGAGGTAACTCATTGTATTGGGAGTGAGAACTGTTTCACTTAGGAAAACATTTTGAGGAGTTCTTTTCATGTAAGAAGGAAACCACTCCCATTCTACCTTACCCTCTAGGGCATACTTATGATGAGTAGAAGAAACAAAATGCAAGCTGAGTACCTTATGAAACATAAACTCTGTACCAGGCACTAAGCTAATTGCTTTATACATGTCAGTCCATTTAATTTTCCCAGTAATCCTGTGAGGTAGCTACTCATAGTATCCCAATTTAAGGGAAAAGGAAAGAAAGATAGGAAGATGCTAAGTAACCTGACCCAGGCCCCATAACTAATACTGGAAAAGTTGGGAAACATATAGGATGATCTCCCAGGATTGTGAAGGTCAGCAACACAGCCGGGAATTGGGCAACTTGAGGGTTGAAAACTAACCAGAATGAAGTTCAGTGAGGTGAATATGGCCAAGGAATTTCTAAAATCTAGTGTGCCTTATATTTAATTTTATGCTAACTTTTATAATACACAAAAAAGTACTCCCCCACCCTGCCTATAACCCCAAGTTGTGAGCAGGAGTCTATTAAATATAACTCCCTTTGTGAGAGATATTTTTTAAATATCAAGGTAGAGGACTTGTATTGTAATGTTTGAATTAGTGCTGGGCAGAGAGAAATAAACAGCTATAAGTGATGAGGCAGGAACAGGAATAAAATCATCTATATCCAGGAAAATCCTGGGCACACTGTGGTGGGGGAGATAGGTAGATATTGGATTCTCTAAAATACAAGAAATGGGGACAACTTTATTTTTATATAGCAGCTGCATTGATCAAGCATGACGTGATATTCAATGTGAAAGCAACTATATTTGTATGCTGCTAACCTTTTAAGTCTAATATTTGAAGCTAAATTTCTCCCTTTCCTTTGGGTGAAATTTGGATGGAATAAATCGTACTAGTTTTCTAATTGATTTCTAATAATAAAAATGGTATAGTAATGAATTTGTTCAGCCTAATAATAAATAAAATGTAAAATTTCCAACAAGGATGCCCCGTTGGCTTCTTTTCTCTTTCCTGACTTACTCTGCAGTATCTTCATCTCCAGCTTGTCATTCTCAGCTCCCATCCTCACCAGGATTGTGGGTGAGCAAGTTTAGAGTGGCAGAAAGAGGCAGGGAAAGTCCTACTTCTCTTTTTCGGGTTGTCATGAGGTGTTCCTGGGAATGGACAGAGTTTTAAGCTGACCCTTACTTTTCTGAGTGTTATTATAGCTCTTTGGAGATACCAACTTATTGCTGTGAATTTCTTAACAAGCGTTCTCTTCATGCGGGGCAATTCATCTCTGGCTGCTGCTGGCTCTTTCCTTGGCCGTGAGAAATCTGACAATTCACCTCACTATAGAGTACCAAAGTTAACTCTCACTCACATGTGTCGCTCATCCCTAGCTTCGCCATTAACACTAATGCATCTTTTGTCCAGAAAGACTCTAGGAGTGTCAGTTGGCGAGTGACACCAACTCTCCTTCCCTCTGCTGTCATAAACCAGCCAACCAGATCCTTCCATGTTAGATGTCTCAGGTGTGTCTGTAAGGCAGACGCAAGTCCACTGTGTTCTCCAAAGTATTCGGCTTGTATATTAAACTCTTTGCACATCTCCTTTAATCCCCTTTCCTAAAGCATGATTTGAAGGGCAAGCACACTGACCCCTCCATCTTACAAGTGTGTAGGACTCATTACACATCAACAAACTGTTCTCTCTAATCCTGGGTCTTTTTATCTTCACAGGCTAAGTGTTCCTAATAAGGGTTAATGACTCCTCTTTACAATTTCTGTATGGTGGTCTCAATAATAGTCTTGGGGCTTTAGCTGAAACTAAAACCAGGGTAGTTCGATAGTGTTATAACATCCTGTTACATAATTATTAGGAGGATAAACCCCAAACGCAAGAGTATCTAGGAATAGTCTAGCATGTGACATTCATTATATTTAAGGTTTTGAAATTGGAATTGTACTGAAAAATAGTTTTTTTTTCCTTGATGTCATTTAAGGTTATATTGTATTTGTTCATATAAATAAATAGTCTCTTCAAAGTTCACAGCAAGATATGCTCTTTTCAAGAATGATTTTTCAATGGTGACTCTTGATCTGTTATAAGATGTAGCACAATTAATTTAACCTATAACCTGGTGTTAGTCAATTATAAAATTTCCACTCCTTTTTGTATTAAGGTGATATTTTGATGTTTTATCTTTCCTTACATTTATTAGTACTCTCTAGAATACTCTTAGATTGAGAATTAATATATTTTTAAAATGATCATTTTTCTGCTCTTAACAAATACTGATAATTTTCTCCTAGAATGTTGGTCTTGCTTCATAGTTATTCCAGAGTGCATAGAAATTTCCAGCTAGCAATAAGCCATTAATTTGTTTTGGGTTTTAAAACGTTCATATTTTTGTAGTAAAATAGGTTATTTCCTTTGTATTTCTTCTAAGATATTCTTTCTGGCACCATATAAATATTCACATATATTTTATACTATTTGAAATATTTTTCATGTTTTATAACTCTCTCTACATATTGTAAATTATTCATTTAAAAATCCCTATTCAAATGAAACTGACACTTCATTTTTATTGGCTACTTTCTCCTTAATTTATGAACACCTAAATTTACTTCTCAAAGTGTATATATTACATTGAAAAATCAAAGTTGGTAAATATATCAAGCATACATACATCCCTAGAAAATATTAAATATGCATTATACCACTTAGATTGTCGTTACTTCCTACATTTTTAAAATTTGATAGAAAATTTGTCATACTGTTGTTTACAATTCTTTATGTACATATGTTTCTATAGTTAATTCTTAAATATTTGGATTGTGGAAAGATAACAGGTTTCTCAATTTCCTATGGCACCTAACAATACCCTATGAGTGTATACTTCATATTAATGTATATGAATGTATATTTCATACTAATTCTCCTGTAACTTAAATATTCCTTTGATATTAATAGTCACTTCTGGTTTAATGCCTGCAACAATATTGAAGGAAGAATTGATTTCCAGGAGTTAATGACACCTATATCTTTTGGAAAGACCTCATTAAGAGAAGCATAAGGAAAGTACCAGGGGTAGAAGTTAGTTCTGAGTCCTTTATAACATGGGACATAACGGGCTTTAAGCATTCTGAGCCCACCTTTATTCCACCCTTAGCTATATATGCTTTGGGGTTTATGAGGTTTGACTCTTGAACAATGTTAGTGGAAATTAGGCACGGGGTATTTAAGCTAGGTAGTTTGCCATTCTTCAGAAATGTACAAAAACATTTCACGTTCTCAACCAGGAAGTTCACTATACATTATCTTGTAAGCATTTGTGAAAAAAATGATAGTTGGAATATGGTTGCTCTGGCAGCTTCAAGAAATTGAGGCCCTCCTACTTATTATGAGGCAAAGTCCCATGCCTGAGAGAAAATGAATAAATGCCAAAAATAACAGGATGATAATCGACATCATCATCAAGGAGAGCTTACATCTGATGGGGCACCCAAAGAGCTTTTATTATCATGGTAGCTTCTCTATTTCTTGTGAAAGAATGTTCTTTCATCTGCAGAAATCGAAAGACCTAAATATGGCTGAGGGATCACATGGATGTAGCTGAGATCCCACTGGGCAGGGGATGGTGAACCTTGCCATTTGCCTCCATATGTTTTTCACAATTTCTGGACTTCTTCATTTTGCTAGGGAACTACAGCTAAACTGCTCATTAAATATTCCACCAAGAATGCTAATCTTCAAAAACTGTTACCAGCTTTTGAAATAATCACTGATTTTTTTAGAACAATTTCAGAAATTTGCCGGTTCTGTTTCTTGGAGGACTGAGGAGGAGATCAACACTTGTTATTTATAATAGTTTGGGATTAGACTCACTTTAATTTCTTATATAAAACGAGATGTATTTCTTAAATGATTTTTGATAAAATGTATTTGGAAGGCATTTTTTGTTTCTGATAAAGACAACATAAATCATTAATGGGTAACATTTTCTATTAGTTCAACTTTGAAATGATATGGCATAACTAATTTAGTGTCTTTTTTATTTCCATAAAGGAAAGTTTATTGCCTTCACAGATTTTTTTTGATGATATACAATTATTAGATTTTAAATTAGCAATATTGGACTCCAATGAAGTGAGCCCTCTAATCTTCAAGAATTAGTCAAGGACAATGGGCCTTGGCTTAATTCGTTTGTGCTGCTATAACAAAATGCCTGAAACCGAGTAAAATATAAAAAAAAAGAAATTTATTCCCTCAGAGTTCTGGAGGCTGGAAAGTCCAAGATCAAGGCATTGGCAACTGGTAAGGGCCTTCTTCCCGTGTCATCACAAGGCAGGAGGTCAAAGTGCACAAGAGAGCAAATCCTCTTTTGACAGCCATTTATATCCTGCCCTCAAGACCTAAACACCTCCCATTTGGCTCCTCCTGCCAATGCTGTCACATTGGGGATTAAGTTTCCAACATATAAATTCTGTGGGAGACATTCAAACTGTAGCAGACCTTAAACAATTTTTATAAATCACATAATAGAATTGGCTCTGAAAATGATGCAACTGCCTTAATAAATCATTTGTGTTTGCACATTCTAAGCTGGTTTCAGCCTATAATATTTCCTCATTCAAAATGCAAATCAAAACCACAATGAGATATCATCTCACACCAGTTAGAATGGCAATCATAAAAAAGTCAGGAAACAACAGGTGCTGGAGAGGATGTGGAGAAATAGGAACACTTTGACGCTGTTGGTGGGACTGTAAACTAGTTCAACCATTGTGGAACTCAGTGTGGCGATTCCTCAGGGATCTAGAACTAGAAATACCACTTGACCCAGCAATCCCATTACTGGGTATATACCCAAAGGATTATAAATCATGCTGCTATAAAGACAAATGCATACGTATGTTTCCTGCGGCACTATTCACAATAGCAAAGACTTGGAACCAAGCCAAATGTCCAACAATGATAGACTGGATTAAGAAAATGTGGCACATATACACCATGGAATACTATGCAGCCATAAAAATGAGTTCATGTCCTTTGTAGGGACATGGATGAAGCTGGAAACCATCATTCTCAGCAAACTATCGCAAGGACAAAAAAACAAACACCGCATATTCTCACTCATAGGTGGGAATTGAACAATGAGAACACATGGACACAGGAAGGGGAACATCACACACCGGGGACTGTTGTGGGTGGGGGGAGGGGGGAGGGATAGCATTAGGAGATATACCTAATGTAAATGACGAGTTAATGGGTGCAGCACACCAACATGGCACATGTATACATATGTAACAAACCTGCATGTTGTGCATACGTACCCTAAAACTTAAAGTATAATAATAATAATAATTTCCTCATTCATACATCCTGTATATTAAGTTGCCATATTAATTTATTGAAAGATTTTTTAGTATACTTTCCCACAGTTTAGCATTCTTCTAAGGCTCCTTACTTCTAACACAAAGTCCAAGCTCTTTAATCTGACATTTAAGTTTTTCCACCAACAGGACCCAATTGATCTCGTAATCTTGTCTTTTTTAATTCTTGATAATCAGCTTTTTCCACTAAAAAGCTGAAATGATTAAGGAGAATAAACCCATACTCATGATTTTTAAGGAGAGCAGCTGAAACACTTGAAAATGACATAAAATTCCAATTTATATGAGTTTTCAAAAACAAAAATCACATCTTCAATTAATTAGTCCCAAGGAAATATGGTATTTCCATATGATAAGCTATGCTGCATATCCTGTGGCTTTTTGGAGCACCTATTCTAGTCTATTCTAACCTTTTTTACAGAGTTGATATTCAATATTTGTATGTTTATTTTGATTTTTCTTTGGATTCTTAGATTGGATGGGCTTAGGTATATCTTCTGGCTAACAACCTTGCCCATGAGTCCCAGCTGGAGAATACATTATAATTCTCCTCAAAGGCAACACTCTGTTCCAGCTGATTATTTTTCACATATTGCTCCTTGAGGGAGTCTTATGGTTTTCTACTCCTTTGCTTTTGTTGATGTTTTGACCCCTTCTTTCCCCTTTACCCAGGAAAACTCCCCTTCTCTTCTGGCCTTCTCTGAACTCCTAACTTAAATTTTATCTCATCTAGGAAATTTTTATCAACTAATATAGTGTAAAATATATATTCTTCCTTGAAATTCCTAAATCACTTTTATTTTATGACCCCTATTTTATTATTAGTCATTGAGTATGTTATAGTATCTCTTCTATTATATATAACATATTTTAATATTTTATTTAAATATTTTATTAATGTACCTATGTCCAATTCTTCTAATTTGAAAGTTAATACCTTGAGAGAAAAAACATATAAATAATTGTCTCACCCCAGCACCTATTCTAGTCTATTCTGATCGTTTTTACAGAGTTGATATTCAATATCGATATGTTTATTTTGATTTTTCTTGGGATTCTTAGATTGGATAGGCATAGGAATATCTTATTCAAGAAGTAATGTGCATAAATAGGAGAATTGTATGGCATGTGAATTACCTCAGTAAATTTGTTAAAATAAAATGAAGTGATGTGAAGAACAAAGACAGATAGATTTTGGCAAACGTATTTATTTTGTTTTGTTTCTTAACGTAATTTTATTATTTAAAATGTAAATAAGTGGAAATAGTGTAGATTTTTATTTTTTCTTTAAAGTGAAATCTAGTTTTTGAAAACTGTTTTCAAGCAGTTGTTTTAGCAATGAGACACTATCATTGACAAAAAAAATAGAATGATTTCTCTCAATATGAACCCATGATGATGGAAAATGCATAGAAAGATACTTCCTATACCTTCTACCAAGATGATTTAAAAAGATAACAGCCATACAATAAATCATCCTTTTCTTGCCATTTATTCGTTTTTCTAACAATACAAGAAATTTCTGAAGTCTACATCATTTTAATTCTCTGCTCTGTGATGTGTTCAATTATTATGTTATTACCACTGTGTTCAGATAACATATTTTGTTATACTTGTCAAATTCAAGAAATTATATTAACAGGGAAACTATTTGCCAAAACTCAACCTGTTAATAATAGTATTCAAATGAAAAAGAAAAGTACACTTTTAAATTCTATTTTAGTTTGAAGTTGCTCTGATAAGTCCTTAAGGACTTTAGAAAGAAACTGATAATAGTACTAGTATTAGTAGTAGTAGTATAAGAATATCCAATTATTATTATCAGAGAGTCAGAAATTTGCTGCTGATAACAAGAATTTTATACAGCTACATTCTTTCTTCTTCTTTCATCTAATTATCTAATTTCATCTAATCACAGCAACTCTGAAATTCAGGTACTGTAACACCTATTTTATAAATAAAAAGACTGAAAGTTAGGAAGATTAAGTAGCTTATACATATTCACACAGAAATTAAGCAACAGAGCCAAAATTTGAATCCAGGTGTGTCTGAATCCAAAACCTATACAGTTTTTTTTACAATTCTTGAGTTCTTGTCTTAGCCAGTAGTAAGCCATTTCTTCATTTGTAAAATATGGAGACCAAATCATACGTACTTTTATTCTATAATGTTTTTCTTGTACTTCTTATAGTCATCTTTAGAATGAAAAATGATTAATAATTTGAAGGACAAAATGTTTAAATGTTGAAAATACATTCACTGAGTAGCAGCATAATAACCACATATTAAGTTAGAAGTCAGAATTTTTATATCAAATATGAAGCTATAATTTAAACATTAATGTACAAAATGATTTTTAGAGATGAAAATATTCCCATATGTCTGAAGGTACAAATTCAGACATTGGGTCAATGCCAAGACCACTGATATTTATGTATATGTGTGGAAATGGGCCCCTTGTGTGTTTCTGTGTGTGTGTGACACATACACAGCACATATGTCTGTTCTCTAGGGATAGTAGCATAAAGAATTATACCACTAAACCATAGTAAAGTAATAAAATGCCAAGTTTTTTTTAAGAAATGGTTTGATATGCTTTGGATGTTCCTTTGAAATATCATGTTGAAATGTAATTCCCGGTGTTGGAGGTGGAGACTGATGGGCGGTGTTGGGGTCATCAGGGTGGATTCTTCATGGCTTGGTGCTTTCCTCACAATAGTGAGTTCACATGAGATCGAGCTGTTCAAAAGCTTGTGGCACCTCCTCCCCCTCTCTCTTGCTCCTGGTCTCACCATGTGATATGCCTGCTCTAGCTTTGCCTTCCACCATGAGTAAAAACTCCCCAAGGCCTCCCTGGAAGCCAAGCAGATGCCAGTGCAATGCTTGTACAGCCTGCAGAACCCTGAGCCAATTAAATCTTTTTTCTTTATAAATTACCCAGTGTCAAGTATTCCTTTATAGCAATGCAAGAATGACGAAATACATGGTTCTATTGGTGTCACCAAAAAGGTAAAATAATGGTAAACTTCATTCTTTATCTCTTAATTGAATCAATTTTTTACCAGATCCATTGTTCTGGTCTCAACAGACATTAACACAATATTTACAAACAGCAATTTATCAGGAGGTGAATGAAATAAAAGCTCAGCAGTGCTAAGATGCATGTGATTGTTATGCTTTCTTGTCTAAAGAGAGGTTTTTATACTTGTAATTTAATGACACGTCAGGAAAACATCTTGGAGTATAGTGATAAGAAATAAGTTGAAGTATTATATAAGTAAATTGTTCCTTTATAAGTTGCCTGTACATATTGACTTCATACTTGCACTTGGCAACTGAGCTAGAGGCAATACTGTATGCTGCATACCACAGTGCTAATCAGACCATTTGTTTTTCTCCTCCTAGGCAGACAGGAAGAATATATTTCTGAGCCCCTTGAACCAATACAGAGTAATAGAGCAAGTTCTGGCCAAACAAATGTGACAAGAAGTGACACATGTCTATTTCAAACTGGCTCCTCATGGAACGGTATATTGTAATTGCCCATTTCCCTCTGTCTGTCTCTCCCATCCATTTCTTGGAGGCAAAGACTCAGAGTTGGCCCAGATACATGACAGAAGAAGCCCAGATCCCTGTGTCATGGTTCGGAGAGGAGTGAGTAAAGTTTCTAGCCCACCTCCAACTTGGATGAAGCAGAAAGAAAATTCTATTGTTGTAAGCCACAAAGATTTGAGGGTTTACTCATTACTCACTAGAGCAGGGGTGCCCAATCTTTTGGCTTCCCTAGACCACACTGGAAGAAGAAGAATTGTCCTAGGCCACACATAAACTACACTAACACTAATGATAGCTAATGAGCTGAAAAAGAAAAAAAATGACAAAAAAAACTCATAATATTTTGGGAAAGTTCACAAATTTGTGTTGGGTCATATTCAAAGCTATCCTGGGCCACATGCAGTCCATGGGCCACAGGTTGGACCAACTTGAACTAGAGCATATCTTGGCCTATCTCAACTAATACAGCTCCACGGTTATTTGTGTACCATTTTATCTCTTTTTACATATGTCTAGTTTTTGACAGTAAGGGCTTATATCTTACTCATCTTTGTGACCTTAGTCACATAACACAGTACGTTATATGCTATTTGTTTAATCCCATAGATTTCATAAAATATCATGTTGTTTCCATAATTGCTAAAGGGAATATCCATCTATTCAATGCACATTCATTGAGCTCTTACTTTATGTTGGCACTGTGCTTGGCTTAGAGATTCTTTAAGTTACTCTACTTGTCATCTGGAAACTTTCAATCTAAAAAGCAAGACTTGTATGTAAACAAATATGTATATAATGGGATTAAGATAGAGAAAAAATTTGTGGTGTAGGAAGAATATAAAGGAAGAATCTATCAGCTCTATCTGAAAGGTCAGAAATTGCTTCCAAGAAGGTAAGTTATTTGAGCCTAATCTGAAGGGTATATTGCAGTTCATTAAATTACATCAACAACCAACAAATGAGGTAATTTGAAAACACTCTTCCCACTTGTGTATTTTGGGGGTTGTATATTCTGCACAATCTTCTTGAAAAGCTAAACATTTATTAGATACATCTCAGAAGTATGGTGGTCTCTTTCAGATTAAGGCTTTATCACCCTGGACTTGGGTGTAGTTTACAGATGTGATTTTTCTTCTAGATGTGAAAGTGCAGTTTAAATGTAAAACTTCAAAGAACAATTTCAATTCAAGAATCCAGAAGCAGGAAGAAAACAAGGAAAAGTCTCCAGTAGTTAAAAGACTACAGTGAAGCTTTTACTATAAAGTCCATATTTTAAGGCATTACTCACAGACCAATTTTATTAAACTCATTATTCTAATTAGCTTGGTTACCTTATGAGCTGGTCACAATAGATTAGAATTGAGAGAGGAAAAGCTGATGAAGACAGAATCACTACAGAACTAGAAAAGGGCCATATAAAAGCCTGAATAAAGAAAGACAGAGGAAAACTATAAAACACTGACATATTTAAAAAGGCATAAAGTCTTGGAAAATTTCATGTAGGGAACATCAATTTCACACATTTTCTAAAGACAATAATATATTATAGCCACAAAAACGGTATTTGATAATGCAAGTGTTGACACTGAATTATTAGTGAAACTATAAATTTTAAAAGTTTGCCCTATGTAGAAAGAACAAAATACATGGAATGTACTTTAGAAAGATATGTGGTAAGTAGGTAACCCTTTTGGAAATTATTGATTCTATTTAGGGAAAACTTCAATTATCTAGAAAACTAAAATGTAGGACCATCTAGTATTCTATAATACCTGATAGAACATTTATTATTATTATAAGCATTATTTTACATTCTAAATTGTCTATAGAACAACTTAAACTTTTAACAATATTTTATTTATGGCAGAATATTTGTATTACATAGACAGTCCTCAATTTATGATGGTTTTACTTAAATTTTTTTATTTTACAATGAGCTTATCAGGGTATTAAATTTTTGACTTATGATATTTTAGACTTTTGATGATTTCATTGTGACGTAACTCCATTGTAAGTCAAGGAGCATCTGTATAAAACAATTTGTTGAATACATGAATATACAACTGAGTGAACAGAAATATCTAGTGTATATAAGTAAGATGTTAATTAGTTGTCACAATCCCCAGGTTGGTAAATTTCATTAAAATCATACATTTCTAAAGAAAAGAGGCTTGGTTGATACTGATGTAGCTTCCTTCATACAATATTAAAAGTAGATGCTCGAAAAGAATTTTAATTGAGATAGGTGTTCTCCTCAAAATTGTATATATATATTTAACAATATACAGTTATCAAAACTGCACATTAAAAATGTAATTTTATGTTTGTCTTGTAATACTTTATTCAGGCTGCATTTCTAAACAAAACTACATTAATTCAACAGCATTTATTAAATATGATGTTTGATCATGAATGCATGTTATAAATACAGTGTTGATTATTGTTACCCTAATAAAATGTAAAGGCTTGACAGTCCATGGATGCTAATACAAAAGCAGAAGATTCATTCTGATATTCAGCTTTAGGTTCAAAACAGATGTCATGGCCTATTCATCTTTTTTAAAATTACCAATATTTACCTGGTACCGTTCATTTTATCAAGGTTTCACCATCTAATATTTTGCTGGCATTTATCAGACCTTTGTAAAGGTAGGGAATTATTGGAAGGAATGTTAAACTATCCACAGTATCAACATAATTTGAAAAAAGACTTTATATTTGCACACATATCCTTAGAACTTCTATCCACATGGGATATCAGAAACTGGATTCCCTCTCTCACCTGAAACAAACAAATAATGAACAAAATATATTGAAACAATTATTTCTAAAACACTAGACATCAGGTAGAAATGACACTCATGACTGAGAGTTGGAAAACAAATAAGGAGAGCCCCATGGCTGCCTGCCTAGCTTACTGCCTTGAGAGAGTTTTGAGGCTACGGAGCAGAGAATGAGCTAAGCCCCGTGAACTTTCTGAGTTAAAGAGACAGTTGAAAGTCCAGGAACACCAAGGCAGCTAAAATCTTCAGGACAGACTCCTGGAAAGGTGAGAGCTGCACAGAAAGTGAACTGTCCTCTCCCTCCCTAAATGATAAGAGTGAGCAGTACTGGGGCTTATATAGGGCCCATAATAGTGCCTCTCCCCACCAGCCAGAATTTAGCAATTCCTTTAATTTCACTTCAATTTCTCTTTCTTCTAAAATTTAAAAATATTTTTAAATTGAATACATTTAATTAAATATTATAATGTAGACCATGAGGTAATTTTTGTCTGTCTCCTTATAGAAAATGTTTAGCTGTCTTTCTATATCTGTTCATAGTGATATATTCAGTGATGTATGGGCTTGCAAATCTTTAGTAAATGGCTTTCAAAACAACAACAAAAAACAGCAACACAAAAAGAGCCTCTGAGTGTAGTCTATTTCCGTGGTGTTAATACTCCCATCATGACTGATTTCAGTCTACTAATGTAATGTCCCTGGGTACAGAGCTGGGACAAGATGCACACAATTAGTTCTCAGAAGCCAGTACAAGCCAGTTCCAGCACACCAGCAGACATATCTGTAATTATGTCCATCAAGTGTTAACAGTGTTTATTTCTGAGGATTGGGATTTGGGACTCGTCTTCTTACTATCCTTCTGAAAATTAATATTATAGTTAACATAATATTCATTTCTTTTTTCAAAAAAAATTCATTAACGAAAACAATGAAAAAGCCTTGGAAGAGGGAAGATGTAGGAAAATAACCTTTATTAGTTATAATTTTTAGTCATTTTTGTACAAAATATAGGAAACAGCAAATAAATGAGTGGGTAAAGAAATACAGTTCTGGAAAACGGCAGATAGGAGGCAGGACTAACTTGCAGCTCCCACTTGGATGGGCAGGACAGTGTGTGGAGACCCAAATTGTGAACCTTTTCTCCAAGAACCACGGCAGGAACATACCAGGAAAGCTGAGAACTTCCACAGACTTTTTGAAGTGGATGGATTGTTGCTGCAGGCTCTGTGGGGCAGCAGAGGAGCTGAGTCCCTTTTCTTTCTCAGCTAGGAGGCTTGTAACCTGGGGTAAGTTCTCAGCCCTGGAAATAAACTCAGTCCTGTTGTCAGGGGCACAGAGGGAGTGAGATCAGCCTTTCAGGCTGCAGGCTGCATAGGAGCTGGGTGAGGCCTGAGGTTGCCGGCTTTCCCCTACTTCCCTGGCAACCTGTGTGAGGCAGCAGAGGCAGCCATAATCCCTCTGGGAACCACACCCTCATCCCCCACAGCAGCTGCAGCAAGCCCCACTCAAGGAGAGTCTGAGCTCCTAACCCTGCCCTCCACTGATTGTCTTTCTCTACCTGCCCTGGTAGCTGAAGACAAAGGACATAGTCTCCTGGGAGCTCCATGGCCCCACACACCGCCTGATCCTAGGCCAAGCTTGTATCCTCCCTATACTACTGCAGCTGATGTGCTCTTGAAAGCACCACCTCCTGGCTTGAGGCCAACGAACACAAAATCAGCAGTACTTAGCAAAAATACAACCAAGAACTCTCATGGAGTCCACTTCACTCCCCTGCCGCCTCCACCGGAGGAGGTGTTAGTATACACAGCTGAGAGACCTGAAGACAAATCACATCACAAGACTCTTTGGAAACACTCTCAAGCACCAGGTGGAGCCTGGCAGCTCAGCTGAGTGGCTAGATCCAGAAAAGAAATAACAATCACTGCAGTTTGGCTCTCAGAAAGCCCCATCCCTAGGGAAAGGGGGAGAGCACCAAATCAAGGAAGTACCCAATGGGACAAAAGAATCTGAACAGCAGCCCTTGAGTCCCTGATCTGCCCTCTAACATAGTCTGCCCAAATGAGAAGGAACCAGAAAAACAATTCTCATAATATGACAAAACAAGGTTATCACCCCCAAAATATACTAGCTTACCAGCAATGGATCCAAACCAAGATGAACTCTCTGAATTAACAAAAAAAAAAAAAAAGAATTCAGAAGGTCAACTATTAAGCCAATCCAAGAGGCACCAAAGAAAGGTGAAGTCCAACTTAAAGAAATAAAAAAAATGATACAGGATGTGAATGGAAAAATCTCCAGTAAAATAGCATGAATAAAAAACAATCACAACATCTGGAAATCAAGTACAGACTTAGAGAAATGGCAAAATGCACTGGAAAGTCTCAGCAATAGAATCAAACAAATAGAAGAAAGAAATTCAGAGCTCAAACACCAGGCTTTTGAATTAACCCAATCCATCAAAGACAAAGAAAAAAGAATTTAAAAAAATAAACAAAGCCTCCAAGAAGTTTATGATTACATTAAATGACCAAACCTAAGAATAATTGGTGTTCCTGAGGAAGAAGAGAAATCTAAACATTTGGAAAACATATTTGAGGAAATAATCAAGAAAAACTTACCTGGCCTTGCTAGAGATCTAGACATCCAAATACAAGAAGCTCAAAGAACACCTGCCAAATTCATTGCAAAAAGGTCATTGCTTCACCACCTAGTCATCAGGTTATCTAAAGTCAGAATGAAATAAAGAATCTTAAGAGCTGTGAGGCAAAAGCATAAGGTAAACTATAAAGGAAAACCTATCTGATTAACAGCAGACTTCTCAGCAGAAACCCTGCAAGCTAAAAGGGTTGGGGTCCTATTTTTAGCCCCCTTAAACAAAACAATTTTCAGCCAAGAATTTTGTATCCATTAAACTGAGCTTCATAAATGAGGAAATGATACATTCTTTTTCAGATAAACAATGCTGAGAGAATTTACCACTACCAAACAAGAACTATAAAAAATGTTAAAAGGAGCTCTCCATCTTGAAACAATCCTCAAAATATACCAAAATAGAACCTCCTTGAAGCATAAAACTCACAGGAACTGTAAAACAATATGATGAAAAGAAGGTATTCAAGCAACAAATGGCACAATGAATTGACTAGAGTCTCACATTTCAATACTAATGTTGAATGTAAATGGCCTAAATATTCCACTTGAAAGACAAAAAATGGCAAAATGAATAAGAATTCACCAACCAAGTATCTGCTATCTTCAAGAGACTCACCTGGCACATAAGGACCCATATAAACTTAAGGTAAAGGGGTATAAAAAGATATTCCATGTAAATGAACACCAAAATGAGCAGGAGTAACTATTCCTATACCAGACAAAACAAACTTTAAAGCAACGGCAGTTTAAAAAGACAAAGAAGGACAATATACGATGATAAGAGGACTAGTCTAACAGGAAAATATCACAATCCAAAATACATATGCATCTAACACTGGAGCTCCCAAATTTATAAAACAATTACTATTAAACCTAAGAAATGAGATAGACAGCAACACAGTAATAGTGGGAGACTTCAATATGCCACTGACAGGACTAGACAGGTCATCAAGACAGAAAGTCAACAAAGAAACAATGGACTTAAATGGTACCCAAGAACAAATGGACTTAATAGATATTTACAGAACCTTCTACCCAAGAACCACAGAATATACATTCTATTCATCAGCAAATGGAACCTTCTCCATGATAGACCATATGATAGGCCACAAAATAAGTATCAACAATTTTAAGAAAATTGAGATTATATCAAGTACTCTCGCAGACCATAGTGGAATACAATTGGAAATCCACTCCAAAAGGAACCCACAAAACCACGCAAATACATGAAAATTAAATGACCTGCTCCTGAATGGTCACTGAGTCAGCAATAAAATCAAGAGGGAAATTTAAAAATTATTTGAATTGAATGATAATAGTGATATAAACTATCAGAATATCTGGGATATAGCAAAAACAGTGTTAAAAGGAAAGTTCATACCATTAAATGCCTCCATCAAAAAGTCAGAAAGAGCACAAATAGACAATCTAAGGTCACACCTCAAGGAGCTAGAGAAACAAAAACAAACCAAAACCAAACCCAGCAGAAGAAAAGAAACAAACATGATCAGAGCAAAACTAAATGAAATAGAAACAACAACAAAAAATACAAAACATAAATGAAACAAACAGCTGATTCTTTGAAAAGGTAAATAAAATTGATAGAACATTAGTGAGACTAACCAAGAAAAGAAGACAGAAAGTCCAAATAAACTCAATTAAAAACAAAACAGGATATATTACAACCGACACTACAGAAATACAAAAGTTTACTCAAGGCTACGATGAATGCCTTTTCACACATACACTAGAAAACCTAGAGGAGATGGATAAATTCTTGGATATGTACAACCCTCCTAGATTAAACCAGAAGAAGTAGAAACACTGAACAGACTAATAACAAGCAGTGAGCAGTGGTAAATTGGTGATTTAAAAATTGCCAACAAATAAAAAGTGCAGGACCAGATGGATTCACAGCTGAATTCTATCAGACATTAAAAGAAGAATTAGTACCAATCCTATTGACACTATTCCAAGAGATAGAGAAAGAGGGAATCCTCCCTAAATCGTTCTATGAAGCAGTTCACCCTAATACCAAAACCAGGAAAGAATAATACAAAAAGAAAACTACACACTAATGTCCCTGATGAACACACATGCAAAAATCCTCAACGAAATACTAGCTAACTAAATTCAACAGCATATCAAAAAGATAATACGCCTTGATCAAGTGGGTTTCAGACCAGGGATGCAGAGCTGGTTGAACATACACAAGTCCATAAATGTAATACACCACATCAAGAGAAGTAAAAACAAAAATTATATGATCATCTCAATAGATGCAGAAGAACATTTGACAAAATCCAGCATCCCGTTATGATTAAAATAGATTAACGTTTATGATTAAAACCCCCAGCAAAACTGGCAGATAATTAAGGTAATAAAAGCTATCTATGACAAACCCACAGCCAACATTATGCTGAATGGGGAAAAGTTGAAAGCATTTCCTCTGAGAACTGAAACAAGACAAGGATGCCCACTTTCACCACTTCTATTTCACATAGTACTGGAAGTCCTAGCCAGAGCAATCAGAAAGAAATAAAAGGCATCCAAATTGGTAAAGAGAAAGTAAAACTGCTGCTGTTCACTGATGATATGATCGTGTACCTAAAAAACCGTAAAGATTCATCCATAAAGCTTCTAAATCTCATAAATGAATTCAGTAAAGTTTCAGAATACAAAATCAATGTACTCAAATCAGTAGCACTGCTAAACACCAACAGTGACCAAGCTGAGAATCAAATCAAGAATTCAATCACTTTTACAATTGCTGCAGAGAAAGGAAATAAAATACTTAGGAATATACATAACCAGAGGGGTGAGAGATCTCTACAAGGAAAACTATAAAACACTGCTGAAAGAAATAATAGATGACACAAACTAATAAAAACACATCTCACGCTCATGGATGGGTAGAATCAGTACTGTAAAAATGACAATACTACCAAAAGCAATCTATAAATTCAATGCAATTCACATCAAAATACCATCATCAATCTTCACAGAACTAGAAAACACCATCCTAAAACTCATATGGAACCAAAAAAGACCCTGCATAGCCAAAGCAAGATGAAGCAAAAAGAATAAATCTGGAGGCATCACATTACCTGACTTCAAACTATGCTATAAGGCCATAGTCACCACAACAGCATGGTACTTGTATAAAGACAGGCAATAGACCAATGGAACAGAATAGTGGACTCTGAAATAAAGCCACATACTTAAAGCCAACTGGTCTTCGACAAAGCAAACAAAAACATAAGAGTGGAGAAAGGACACCCTATTCAACAAATGGTGCTGGGATAATTGGCAAGCCACATGTAGAAGAATGAAACTGGATCCTCATCTCTCACCTTATACAAAAATCAAATCAAGATAGATCAAAGACTTAAATCTGAAACCTGAAACCATAAAAATTCTAGAAGATAACATTAGAAAAAAACCCTTCTAGACCTTGGCTTATTCAAAGACTTCATGGCCAAGAACCCAAAAGCAAATGCAACAAAAACAAAGATAAATAGATAGGACTTAATTAAAGTAAAAAAACTTCTGCACAGCCAAAGAAATAATCAGCAGAGTAGACAGGTAACACAAAGAGTGGGAGAAAATATTTGTAATCTATGCATCTGACAAGGGACTAATATCCAGAATCTACAAGGAACTCAAACAAATCAGTAAGAAAAAAATCCCATCATAAAGTGGGCTAAGGACATGAATAGACAACTCTCAAAAGAAGATATACAAATGGCCAACAAACAAATGAAAAAATGCTCAACATCACTAATTATCAGAGAAATGCAAATCAAAACCACAATATGATACCATCTTACTCCTGCCAAAATGGCCATAATCAAAATATCAAAAAATAATAGATGTGGGCAAGAATGTGATGAAAAGGGAACACTTTAACACTGTTGGTGGGAATGTAACCTAGTACAACCACTATGGAAAAGAGTGTGAAGATTCCTTTAAGAACTAAAAGTAGATATACCATTTGATCCAGCAATCCCACTACTGGGTATCTTCCCAGAGGAAAATAAGCCATTATATGGAAAAGATACACACAGACGTTTATAGCAGTACAACTCGCAATTGCAAAAATATGGAACCAGCCAAATGCCCATCAATCAACAATTGGATAAAGAAAATGTGGTACATATATACCATAGAATACTACTCACCATAAAAAGGAACAACATAATGATATTTGCAGCAACCTGGATAAGATTGAAAACCATTATTTTAAGTGAAGTAACTCAGAAATGGAAAACCAAACATCGTTATGTTCTCACTCATAAGTGGGAGCTAAGCTATGAGGACATAACGGCATAAGAATGATACAATGGATTTTGAGGACTCAGTGGAAAGGGTGGGAGAGGGTTGAGGGATAAAAGACTACACGCTGGGTACAATGTAGGCTGCTCAAGTGATGAGTGCACCAAAATCTCAGAAATTACCACTGAAGAACTTATTCATGTAACCAAATACCACGTGTTCCCCCAAAACCTATTGAAAAAAAAAAGAATTGTTTTCCCCACATGTCAAGGGAGGGGCCTGGTGGAAGGTGATTGGATCATGGGGGTAGTTTCCCCCAAGCTGTTCTTGTGATAATGAGTGTATTCTTGGGAAATCTGATGGTTTTAAAAGTGGCACTCCCTCCTTTACTCTCTCTCTCTCCTGCTGCCATGTAAGACGTGTTGCTTCCCCTTTGCCTTCTGCCACTATTGGTAAGTTTCCTGAAGCCTCCCTAGCTATGTGGAGCTGTGAGTCAGTTAAGCCTCCTTTCTTTATAAATTAAAAAATAAAAGAAATACAATTCTTCAAATCTACAAAAGCAAACATACACATAGAAGTATGTATGCCTTCATATAGTCTCTCTACATATGTCTATATATATATGTATATTCTATAAACTATCTTTAAAATGTAAGCTATATTACTTACTTTGAATAATTTTTTTAAAATCTGCTCCTTAAAATTCATCTTCCCTTAAAGGTCAAAACCTACACATTTTCATCAATATGTTAGAGACACTCAGGAAAGAAAAGAAGAATGTGGTAGAAATATAGAGTTAAATAAATACGCAACATAGTTCACAAATTAGTGAGGCAGCCCAAGAAATTCACCCATTCATTACCTAACTAATAATCATACAAAAAAATGTGTACTTTACTTTTATCTATACTTCTGAGATAAGCCTTTTTGTTAATGTCTATTTTAAGTCGCTATTATCCTACCCAGTGGACTGTGATAAATCCAGTTCTCTCTCTCTCGGAATTTGAGGAAATTAAGTAGTGAAAAGAGGTATTTGGTCTCTCTTCTGGTCCCAGGTTCTGGCTCTCACTAAATTCTCCCCTCTTTGGCTTTCTTGACCTCCCATTTAATTTTCAAGGTACACTTTTGCATGGCTATTTTTGGGGGGATGATGCCAGAAAAATGCAGCAGAACCAGAAATGAAACAGCCTTAAATTGGACTTTAGATAACATTTTTCACAAAGTTCTTCTGTCATTGCTACCATGAAAAAAATGTTTTCTTCAAGGGAAAAGTTAATTTCCTTAATCTCAGCCTGTGGGAACCGTTCTCACACTCTCCAGTCCCTTCCATTTTCTCCCTTCTTCCATCAGTCCTGACCACTCCTTTCTAAAAAGCAGCAAAGTTCTCCTTTATCTTCAGCCTTATCTAGGGACATTCTCAAATTTCTGTTAAATTTATTACTCAGATATTAGCTTATTTCTCTGAATTCTTTCCTTCCCCATCCTATACAGGGGCTCTCATCCATCACAACTGAAGAAGATTACCTACACAAGACCATCATGTATTAATGCTTAGATTCTTAGCAACCCAGATCACTAGCAAAATTTCTAATTTTGGTTAAAATTTTCCTAGATGACATTTTTAGTCAAATCTATCTTTCCTGTAACAATATCTGTAAATAAAAGGCAATAAGAATTGTATTATCTGCCTTTCCAAAGGAAACAGTAGGAGCCATGGAAATTTATTTTTATATGTTGTGTTTGGATTTTCTTCCCAGAACTTTAGCAACAATGTTAAACAACCAGGCTTTTAGTAAAGCAATTCATAGAATCTCAGGTGAGTCTTAATTTTATTTGTAGCAAGCTGCTGCGTTGACCATAACCCAGATTTTTCAGTGCTTAGAGGTGAATGTTAAATCGAACTCCTACGAGCTGGCATGTACCTTCAAGGCAAAATCCTCACACCAAAATACGTACATCATCAATATAAGCTTAGCGCAAAATGGTCTCTTTCAACCCAAGTTGGTATTTCTGGTGGAGTCTACCACTCTTCTAATGCTAAATGTGAAAATAAAGGCTTTATTTTCTTTTTCTCTCCCAATTTCTCTGTCAGAATGTTTATGCAGATATTACAGACTTGACAAAATACTTACTAACTTTATTATTATTAAATGTGCATATCATAGTTTATCAACAGTTCAGTAATCTAGGAAATATATTTTTGTGTTCCCATGGGATGCATAACTCTTTATTAAACATGGTGTCATCTTACATTTATATGGAGCTCAATCTCTACCAACAATTGTTTTACTATTTATTCTGCATTAGCAATCAACTGTTCCAAAATATTTTTTATTTAAGGGGATCCATTATTGAAGGATAGCATACAATATGGTTAATGAGATTTTAAAGTATTCTGGATACTAAACAGAACTAACTAATGTAAATCATTAATTTCAACTTTTTTCTCTGTTAACTAGTTAAAAATACTGAAGTGAATAGACATATAGTTATTTCCTTATAATCATCAAGAAAATCAGAATAAACATATAAATTACATATTTAATAACTAAATTTTCACAAGACCCTTACTTAATTAAGACCTAATTTTTAATTGTCAGTTTGCTAGCTTACATTCTAAGAGGTTCTAAATAGAGCACTATAGGTGGCAAAAATAGCTGAAAATAACGTAGCCTGCTTACAGTGAGACAGAAATACAGAGTTATTAGTGATATCCATGTTCTGGTCCATCAGACTGCTATCTACGTAAGATGACTGCTACCTACTTAGGAGAGCTTAAGAAAGCTGAAACCATTACCACACTGCAAAACAACAAGGATCTAAACCTTTTTTTATGGACTTCGCTAGTTCACAGACTATTTATTTAAATTTATTTTCAACCTTCAATATAAAGCAATGATTGCTGCATTAATCAACAAATGAGAATAGGGCATACCAAGGAAAACACATTTATTTTACACTTACAATGTGCTTGGTATTTAGTAATCTTCTATCCATTATTTAATATAAAGAATGCTCATAATAACCTTGTGATGTGATAACCAATGGCACATTGATAACGAGTGATCATTATTGAGCATCTTCTTGGTATGTATCAAGCAAATCAGACAAAGCACCTGCTCTCTTCCAGTTTATAAGACAAAGAAATCCATGTTTTCCCTCCATTGTTTCTTCTTAGATTTTGGCTTGCTGTGACAATATGTATATACACTAAACTTGTACTTTTAGGACTTACCAAAAAGATAATTTAATTTTTAACCATTAGTTTCATTTAAAAACTTTAGTTTGCTGTAAAAAAATCATGTGCTGAAGAGTGGGATGGAAATGTAGTCAGTGTAGGAGGGTTCAGAGGCTTTTTTAAAAATTACATAACTAGCATTTCTTTACATCTGGATTGTCCCATCAGCCTACTTAATTGAACCTAACATAATTTAGTTGTCCTCCTTAATCAGTAATGATGTCAATAAAAAGTGAAACAATTTAATGGTAGAATACCATTTGCCTAGGCAATTATGCAGAAACAACTCTGAAATGAAAGGTTTTATGCTATGAGGATCTCAACATGGCATACATTTAGTTGAACAAAAGAAGAAGTAGATTAAGGCATGTAAGAGAAAGAGAAAAAACATAAAATATATGCTGGGGAAAAAAAAGCTTGTGGCTGAAGCTTGAAATGCAAAATATACATATAAAAAACAAGAATCCAAGTTACGAGCCCTTTGTCTCAAAAGACTTTCTTCCCTTGTCCTTCACAGCTGAAGATTGCTCAGATTTCACAGGATTTTGACACTGCTATTATATAAGATACGAAACTGAGAGCAAACAATAACTCCATGTTCAGCTGAGAGCCACCTCATGTCAGTTGAAATAGCTACCAAAAAAACTAATATGGGCTGAAGAATGTGGAAAATAGTACTAACTAGTATTAACATTTGTTGGTATCTGTCTTTTCATCCCATACATTTCTAGTTTTACTCTTAGAAGATTTACCATTATTTTATGAAATGTCTTAATGACTTTTTTTTTAAGCACATTATTCTCAACTAATAGTTCTCGAATAAAGAACAGCATGATTGTCTGTAATTTTTGGATTCCACCTAATGCAGAGTCTAAAACAAGGACTTGGATGCCATATTTGGGAGGCAATTACAGGAAGCAAGAGTGAGTGAACAGGGTAAATGAGAAAGTGAAAGAAGAAAACTCAATAAAGTCCAGTTTTCCAGCTGCCTAGTGCTGTGGGCGAAAAGAGCTCTCTGAGTAAATATGTGGAAATCATGACCTGTGGCCAGGGCATTTATCTACTGACTCCAGACACCCTTAAGGCATTCAGTGTCCCTCATTCCAGGTTGAGAGACCTGCTGCTTTCAGGAAAGCACTGAAGCACAAACGCTGAGAGTGGGCCTCTTTTGAGATGAAAAGTTGACATTGTTTGCAGAAATTGTTCACCACAGCTGTTGCTGAAATCAGACGTGGGCTGAAAGAATGAGTGGGTCACCTAAAACATCTGCTAAAATGATTAATCTGAGGCACTGTTTATCATTGATAAACCAAAGTTAGTTTATTGCCAGTTGGTCTTAAAAATGTGTAATTTTTGATATAGTCATTTTATTGTTCAAATTCCTTGAGGAAAGTCTCAACTTCTAAGTTCCTAAGTCTTTTTCAATTTCATCCTTTCTATATTTTCAGTCTCATCACCTTCCAAAGTTTCACATATCTACCTTTATCCTCAGCCATATTAATGTTTTGCAGTTTCCCAGCTACAACATACTGTTTTCTATTCTTTTGTGGAGTTGAGATAAGAGACTGCAAATATCAAATCAGTTTTAAGTAAATTTTTACAAGCCATGGTAAAGGAAATGAATTTTTTCCTAATATGAAGTGTTTCAAACTGGGGAGAAAATTACCTGCTTTACATTTTTAAAAGATGTTTCTGATTGTTATATAGAATGGTTTGGGCAGAGGAGAGGAGCAAGAATAGAAGCAGGAAAGTCGTTAAGAAGTGATTCTAGTAGTTTACATGGAAGATGTTGCTGTCTTAGGTTAGGTGATAGCATTATAAATATAGAGAAAAGGATGGATGGGTGATCTTTGGTGGTGGTAGTGTTGACTTTGACAATGTATTGGATCTGACTTGAGTAGAAAGGAAGAGAGCAAGCAAACACGCTCTAGCTTTGACTTGAGAACTGAATGGAATGCAGTAACATTTACCTATGTTGGAAAGCCTGTTATGTTTTGGCCGTACTAAATATAAGATGCCTTTTAGAGAGCCTAGTGGAGACTTAAAGTGCTTGGTTTTATGAGCTGAGAGCTTAGAGGAGAGATAGAAGATAATGAGATCAATTTGGGAATTATTAGCATATTGATGGTATTTTAAACTGTGGAATCAGAAAACATCACCTATGAAAAGAAGGTCGATGAGAAGAGAGGGGCCCAGAGTCAAGCTCAGAGTCCTGCAATATTTAGAGTTTAGGCAGAGGAAGTGAATCCAGCAAAAGAAATTGAGAACAGAAAGTGAGGTACAACAAAACCAGGAGAACATGGTGTTCCTAAAGCCAATAAAGTTATTTCAAAAAGGAGACAGTTGTCACTGATGGCAAATACTCAAATGCTGCTAAGGTACTGAAAAACTGCCAAACACCAGTAATCATCAGGGAAATTCAAATTAAAACTACAATGAAATACTACTTCACATCTATCAGAAGGGCTATTATCAAAAAGACAAAATATAACAAGTGTTGGAAGGATGTGGACAAAAGAGAACCCTTGTATGCTGTTGGTAGAAATATAAATTAATACAACCATTATAGAAAACAGTATGGAGAGTTCTCAAAAAATGAAAAATAGAATGACCATATGATTCAGAAATTCCACTTATGGGTATAGAGTCAAAGGAAATTAAATCAGTATCTCGAAGAGATAACTGGACTTCTGTGTTCATTGGAGCATTATTCACAGTAGCCATTATTCAAGTGTGATACATATGTCACTTTTTATCAATTTATCTGTTGTTTATACACACACACACATATACATATGAATGTATACACATACAAACAGTGGAATACTATTCAGGTTTTGTTTTTTTAAAGAAAATCCTGTTATTTGCAACAACGCAGATGAACCTAAAGGACATTATGTTAAGTTAAATAAGCTGGGTACAGAAAGAAATGTGCTGCATGATAGCAATTATATGTGGAATATAAAGAAGTCTAACTTAGAGAGGTAGATTGGAAAATAGGGGCTACCAGGGAGTGGGGGCTGGGGTGGGCAGGTGGAATGGGGAGATGTTGATCAAAGGATACAAGGTTTCAGTTAGTTAGGAGATTAAGCCTGGATATCTATTGTACATCGAGGTAATTACAGTTAATAATAATGTAGCGTATACTTAAGAATGCTAAGATAGTAGATTCTAAATGTTCTCATCACAAAAAAAGATGCAGATTTATATGAGGTGATAGATATATTAATCAGCCTGATGTAATCATTCCACAATACATATATATCAAACCATCAATGTACACCATAAATATAAACAATAAAAATCTATAACAAATTATATAGTGTATAAATAAAATAAAATGTCAGTTTAAGAAAAACAAGTTGAGTAAAATGAGGACCAAAGAGTAGTCATTGAATTTGGCAAAATAGATATTCCAGATGAACTAGAAAAGATTATCTTTGCTAGAGCAGGTAGGCAGACAGCCTGATTGGAATGAATTAAAGAGAGACTCAGAGAGGATATACCTAGCCCCTTGGCTTCTTCATTGAATGGAACAATTCCAGTCTTTTTGCTGAGCTCCTCCTATTCCTTGAAGGAAGTTGTCTTGAAAGTGGTTCTTTCTAAATTAGTCTTATGCTGATGTCTCTACATCAGGTTCCATATGTATTATCTGGGAGACATGCATCCTTTTTGAAGTTGTGATGGGAATACAGTTACTTTCCAAACACAATTATGTACTTTGCTGCCATAGGCACCATAGCCAGTCTCTTGCCAGTTAAGTCTGCAGTTACAAGTCTCTAGTATCAAACTTATGTGGTCTACTTAAAGCTACTCCAACCCTCATCCCACTCCCTGACAAGGCTTGATCTTAGAATATCCCTGTGTCTTGCCTATAAAATGTGTAAGAATATGGTAGTGGGATGGAAAAACTGTGGGCAAGGGAGAATGCCACAGCTGTTCAACAAAATGTTTTTCAAGGAAATTCCCTCTCCAATTGTTCACTGGACTCTAAACCTCTGTAAAACTTTTTAGGGGTGCCTATTTGGAGATGAACTAACAGTTATTAAATCAGGCTGAGTGTGGTGGCTCATGCCTGTAATCCTAGCATTTCTGGAGGCCAAGGCGGGAGGACTGCTTGAGCCCAGAGGCTCAAGACAAGCTTAGGCAACATAGCAAGATCCCCATCTCCACAAAAAAATAGAAAAAATTAGCCAGGTGTGGTGGCATGCATCTGTAGTCCTAGCTACTTAGGAGGCTGAGGTGGGAGAATCGCTTGAGCCTGGGCAATTGAGGCTGCAGTGAGCTTGACCATGCCACTGCATTCCAGCCTGGGTGACAGAGCAAGACCTCAGTCTCAAAAAAAAAAAAAACAATTCTTAAATCAATTATTAGCCATCTTCTTTACATGTCCTATTTAAGTGAGAACATCAGTGAAGGTTCAGTCAGGAAGGGAGAAACATAATGGAATATGGAATTTTTATAGGAATTATACATTACAGCAGACATCAACACCTTTTCTGTAAAGAGCCAGCAGTAAATATTTTGGGTTTGCAGGCCCGAAGGCTTCTGTCACAACTACTCAATTCTGTTGTATAGCAGAAAGCAGCCACAGATGATACAGAAACAAATGGGAATAATCGTTTTAATAAAATTTTCTTTTAAAAAATAAGCAATGGGACTGTAGATACTTTGCCCGTTCCTGTCTTAGACAAGAGTAGGAATTGCTGGGGAGGTGAATTTTCAGAGGGAAGTTTTGGAGTATTGCAGATAAAGTCATTAAACAGTCATCTTGAAGCACTGGAGCAGAGGACCACTAGGAGTTGGCAGTGACATCTGAGTAGACAAGCAAGTTGAGCTTCCTTAGAGGGACTGTATAAGGGAGGTTGTGGAGGGATCTATGGGGAAGATGTCTCAGTGTGGCCTCTGTTATCTGCAACTGGGGGCAGGCTTGGAACCGCTGTTGGTCCTCAAGGTCAACAGTTGGGAAGAAGAGCTGGTGGAGTAGAGGAAAGTGAGGAAAAGCCGAGCGCCTCTGTAGTTGTCAGTGACTCTCAAACTTAGATCTTTCTGAGAGTAAAGGCCCCTGATTCCCTTTAACCTCCTAATATGGGATTTCCTCTCTTATCCAACTCTAAGCTGGAAGTATACAGATTAAGGAGATTATGGAGAACATAGCTCCTAGTTCAATACAGTTGACACTAGAACAAATTGGTATGTTCTATCTTTGGATCTCAGCTGAAATTGAGGAACAAATATTCTAATTTTAGCATAATGTCACTGTGAGAAAATAAACCTGGATTTATTCCCATGTTTCAAAGCTGCAGGTCCATGAAACATGGAAATATGTATAGTATAAGATAAATAATGTTTGTTTCACTTCTCTTAGAAATATTTAGATTAGGCCAGGCGTGGTGGCTGACACCTGTAATCCAGCACTTTGGGAGGCCGAGGCAGGCAGATCACGAGGTCAGGAGTTAGAGACCAGCATGGCCAACATGGTGAAACCCTGTCTCTACTAAAAATACAAAAATTAGCCAGGAGCAGTGGTGAGCACCTCTAATCCCAGGTACTCAGGAGACTGAGGCAGGAGAATTTCTTGAACCCGGGAGGTGGAGGTTGCAGTGAGCGGAGATTGCACCACTGCACTCCGGCCTGGGTGACAGAGCAAGACTCCATCTCAAAAAAAGAAAAACAAAACAAAAAAACAACAACAACAACAACAAAAAACAGGTATTTATATTTCAAAAGAAATTGGTCCCAGAACTTTAGAGACATCTCTATGTTGTGAAACCTGGAGATACTGAACTTATTTGGTTCCTAGAGAGAATTATTTATATATCAAAGAGCTAGAGTGTGCATTTCTTCCATTACATATCCAAGGAGCCTCTCTCAGAAGGGAAGAGGGGAAGTTGGTTTCTTTTCCCTTTAAAAGCACAAAAATGTATTTTTTTCTGTTTTCCTCATTCAACAAGTAAAATCTGACAATCATGTAAGAGATGTCTCCATTTGGCTCTCACTGCATCAATCTACAGGGTTGCAGGGCCCAGGGGACATATGCTGCAAAGCTAATCTGGCTGTAAGTACTTTTCTGGGTTGTTTGTACACTGAGTTTTGAGATGTTTTGATACATTCTGAATACAAGTTGTTTATCAGATGTGTAGTTTGAACATACTGTCCCCCTATCTATGGTTTGTCTTTTCATTCCCTCAGTACTGGTTTTTGAATTTCTTAATTTTTATGAGGTCTGATCTATGAATTTTATCTTTTCCTAAACAAGGTCACAAAGATTTCCTCCTATTTTATTCTAGATATTTTATTGCTTAAAGTTTTACATTTAGGTCTCTGATCTATTTTGAGTTTATTTTGGTATCATGTTCTTATTTCTTAATTATAGTGCTGATTGGTAACATAAGTTGATTATGTTGACTAACTGGTCATATGTTTTTAAAGCAATAATTTGCATGCATCAAACCACAAAATCTTTCATAAGGCTATCATCCAAATGTAGTATTTGAAAGCTTACAATGTTTTTTTCAATAGGAACTAAAAAAAATAGAAGACGAAGATCAAACCATTTATAGTCTGTCTCCTGCTTTTTTTTAACATTTTATTTTGAGATAACTATAGACTCACACATAGTTGTAAGAAATCATACAATGAAGAGCCTATGTGCCATTCACTCAAAGGTAACATCCTGCGTAACTACAGTACAATACCACAAGCAGGAGTTTGACACTGATACAATCCACTGAGCTTATTCAGATTTCAACAGATGTGTGTGTGTGTGTGTGTGTGTGTGTGTGTGTGTTTAGTTCTATGCATTTTATAACACATGTAGATTCTTTGACCATGACTACAGTCAAAATAACAGTTTTATCATAAGTATTCCTTGTGCTACCCTTCTATAGCAACAGCCACCTCCCACCCTCCAACTTCCATAAACCTGGCAACCACTAATCTATTCTTCATCCTATAATTTTGTCATTTTAAAATGTTATATAAATGGAATAATATATTATGGAAAATTTGGGATTGGCCTTTTCCACTCAGCATAATTCCACTGAATTGCTTTTACATTTTTGTCAAAAATTTGGGTATGTTTGTAGGGGTCAAGTTCTGCTTTTTCTATTCTCTTTCACTGATGTATGTGTCAATTTCTTCACCAATACCACATTGCTTTTTTATCAATGTAGCCATATAGTAAGCATTAATAGCAGGTAGAGTAATTCCTTCTACTTTATTCTTATTTTTCAAGGTTGTTTTAGCTATTCTAGTCCTGTGCTTTTCTACATAAAGTTTAGGAGGAACTTGCCTATGTCCACAAAAATCCTTGTGTGCATTTTGATAGAAATTACAATATTCTACAGATCCATTTGGGGAGTCTTCTGTCCTCTTTCAAAAAGCACCAGATCTTTTGAAACTCATGCCACAAGACAAAGCTTCATGCTAATCGTTTTTTGTTGCTATCTGCTCTCACTCATTCATTGATAGCTTTAGTACATATGTCACTCTCTTTCTTCAACCCTTTCTCTTGATTTCTTTCAAAGACACCATCTTTGAAAGCTTGATTTTAGAAGACATTCTTATATATTCAGTTCATTTACTTTATCATGTCACAGCAGCAATTTTGTTGCTACATTAAAACTTCTAATCCAATATTTTCAACAAATACTGCTGGAACAATAGGGTACCTATATGCAAAATATGAATCTTAATCCATAATTATGGCTGATTACCCATGGCATCTACTATGGAACAAACATTAAGAAATAGCACACCAATTATAGATTATGAGAGAGCAGATACCTTTTATTTCTAATATATTGCACTCATTTTTTATTTCAGAATGGTTCTGGCAAACAAAAAAAGGAAATGACACCACCACACAACCACTACACACATGCACACAACATAAATGACCTTTAAAATCTCTACTTCAAAATTGCAAACTAAATCTAATTTTCACTTTCTTTATCTGAGTAAAAATTTGTTGAGGCAAATCTATTTTTTACAAAAACACGTCGCTTCATGCTGGCTTTCTAATAGCTAAAATGTGTGAGGGAATTAATACAAAAAAATAGTAAAATAGAATCAAGTGAAAATTAAAGCCCCAAGAAAAGTATGCCTTAAAAATCGGGACAAATCTGTGCTAAAAGATTTGATAGTTTCTGATGAAGCTCTTATTTAAGGAGTGAGGACTTTCAGTGGGTGCCTGTCAAGATCTGCAGCAATTTCAATTTCAGTGTTTAAGATTAGCAAAATGAACAACCTTTTAGGAATGCTAATTAATAATCAACCTGTTTGTAAAAGAGGTTCATTTTCTGCCAGACTGAAATCGTGGATGAGATATTAATTTTGTCTTCCCCTCATTGGAAGGGCATTTGGAAAGAAAAAAGCAAGAAACCTCAGTTGTCAGTGTATGAGGATGGTTGAATTTTTCTTCCCTTTATATTTAATCAACCTTTCATTAGATTTGGCAGCTAATTTGTCATTTTCCTGGCCCATGACAGGCCCTAGAAGAGATGATAGTGGTAGCTTTTAGTACTTTCATAAAATATTATGTAGAAACAAAATTTTCTTGTGGTAAGTTTATGCCAGCCAACAAAAATCCCCAATATATCCAGTGTAATGTACAGGGTTACATTAGTGAAAGCCTGGAAGAATGGAACTCAGGAAAGAAGTATTTTAAAATAGGCTGAATATGAGGATGAAGATAGAGGTAGAAAATGGAAACCAATGAACATAAACAAAAGATTTTTTAAAGACTATTTTATCCTATGTACCTCAGCAAATCATTAACTGATAAGGGGAGTAGCACATGTTCTCATTTGGAGGAAAATAAGAATAAGATAAAATTAATTTAGATGATTTACTACTTTTTAGAAAAAAGAACAATATTTTACTCTTTCTTGAAAATACTGATGACTAAAGGCAGTAACATTGAATAAGCACTTAGATGTAATGCTTTACTGACAGTGCAGACTGTTTCTTTAATTACTTTTCATGATCACATTACAGATATACTGTGTGAAAGTGCAGCACCAAAGGAGTGATGAGGGACATTCTTGCTGGATGACTGTTGAATGAATTTGCTTGCTCTCTCAGGACTTGGCTACATTAGGTTGTATTTGTGCTAAAATGATCTGGTTACCCTCAAGCTGGCCTCCTGCTCTAGCAGTCACTCTTAATCATCCTGAAGAAAAATGATGCTGTCTTTACCCCTTCAACCACCATTTATTCTTCCACACACAGCAGTTTGGCTTCTGCCTCTATTTTCCACTGAATCTGTACTTGCTAAGATCATTTGCTGATGGTCAAAACAATGGCTTATTTTCATATCAAATCATGATGTCTTTCTTGGGCACTCCAAAGCCCTGTATTCTCTTAATATTCTGGTTGGGGGTACATGCTTATTAGGGAAATGGTTTGTACTCAATATTATTAAAAGGAGATATAAATGAGTACATAAAAATCAACTTTTGTTAGAATATAACAATTTATATATAATATAGATGAAATAGTTTTTCTCAAAATACCAAAAATACAAAGTATCTTACTCAATTCTCTTTCCTCTCCCATCTATATTTCCATATTATTTTTTCCCAAGACATAGAGCAAATAAGGTCATTTTATTTTTTTAATCCAAAAATGTATTTGCTTTAAATTATAATGGAAAAAAAAACTCCATAACATAGCATCAATTATTTTTCTAGATTTGACATTTACCCAACTTTCTAGACTTATCTCCACTATCTATGCCGTCTAGCCTTACCGGTCCTTTGTTATTTCCCAAGTATAGAAAGTGCTTTGTTCCTTCCTGCTTTGGCTTGTGCTGTCTGCCCTCTCTCTCTCTCTGTGTGTGTGTGTGTGTGTGTGTGTGTGTGTATGTGTGTGTGTGTGTGTGACAGAGAGAGAGAGAGATTGATTTACTTTTTATTATTTTGAGTAACAACTATTTTAGGTGTAAAGTTTGGGGATATTAAGTACATTCATATTGTTGTGCAACCATCACCACCATTCATCTCTAAAACTATTTTTGTTTTGCAAAGCTGAAATTCTATATTCATTAAACAATTACTCCCCATTCCTTTCTCCTCCCAGCCTGTGGCAATTTCCATTATGCTTTCAGTCCCCATGATTTTGACTACTCAATGTACCTCATATAAGTGGAATCATACAGTATTTGTTATTTTGTGATTGGCTTATGTCCTACATGTACCTGAGAAGAATGTGTATCCTATTGTTATTGGGTAGAATGTTCCACATATGTATGTTAGATATAGTTGGTTTATTATGGGTTCAAGTCCACTGTTTCCTTAGTTATAATTCTGTCTGGTGGTTCTCTCCATTATTGAGAGTAGGGCATAGAAGTCTCTGAATATTATTGTAAAACTGTGTATTTCTCCCTTTAGTTCTTTAGTCATTTCTTACCTCATGTATTTTGGTAGTCTGTTATTAAATGTATTAGTCAAGTTTCTCTAGAGGGACAGAACTAATGGAATGGAGTTTATTAAGTATTAACTCACACAATCACAAGGTCCCACAATGGGCTGTCTCCAGGCTGAACAGCAAGGAGAGCCAGTTTGACTTCCAAAACTGAAGAACTTGGAGTCCGTTGTTCAATGGCAGGAAGCATCCAGCATGGTAGAAAGATGTAGGCCAGGCCAGTCTCACCTTTTCATGTTTTTCTACCTGCTTTATATTCACTGGCAGCTAATTAGATTGCACCCACTAGATTAAGTGTGGGTCTGCCTTCCTCAGCCCACTGACTCAAATGGTAATCTTCGTTGGCAACACCCTCACAGACACACCCAGGATCAATACTTCGTATTCGTCAATCCAATCAAATTGACACTCAGTATTAACCATCACAAAAAATAAACATATTTATATTGTCTCTTTGCCATATTGAATCTTTTATTAATATGTAATGTCCTTGTTCATCTCATAATCTTTTAAAGTTAAAGTCTATGTTGTCTGACATTAGTTTAGCCATTCTTCTGAATTTTTATTACCGTTTGCATAGAATATCCATTTTCAACCTTTCAACTTATTTGTATCTTGGTCTCTAAAGTGAGTCTGTTGTAGACAGCATATAGTTGGATCATGTTTTTTTCCATCTATTTTGCCAATCTCTGTCTTTTGATGGGAAGGTTTAATTCATTTACATTAAAAGTAATTACTGATAAGTAGTAGGGTCTTATTTCTGTCATTTTGATTTTTTTTCTATATAGTAGTCCCCCTTTACCCATAGGGGATACGCTCCCAGACCCAAAGTGGATGCCTAAAATCATGGATAGTACTAAACCCTATATACATTATGGTTTTTCCTACACATAACCACCTAAGATAAAGTTTAATTTATAAATTAGGCACAGAAAGAGATTAACAAAAATACAGTAGTAATAAAATGGAGCAATTATAGCTATCTACTGTAATAAAAATTATGTGAATGTGGTGTTTCTTCCTCAAAATATTTATTGCACTGTCCTCACCCTTCTTCTTCTTGTGATGAAGTGAGATGACAAAATCCCTATGTGATGAGATTTATGAGGTGAATTATGTAGGCATCGTGACATAATTGAAAAGTCCAAAAATAAACAATTCATAAGTTTTAAATTGCATGTCATTCTGAAGAGCAGGATGAAATCTTTACCTGGATTGTCATTAGTCACCTAATAACCATCTTGGTTAGCAGCTTATTTGTCACAGTATTGCAGTACTTAGGTTCAAGTAACCCTTATTTTACTTAATTCTGGTTCAAAAGCACAAGAGTATTGATTAATATTTTTGAACTGCAGTTCACTATGGGAAACTGAAACCATGGAAAGTGAAACCCTGGAAAGTGAAACCCATGGAAAGTGAAACCACTCTATGCCTTATAGCTTTTTTCTTCCTCATATTCTGCATTACCATCTTTTTTTCTGTTTAGCTAATTTTTTTGTAGTGAAATATTTCTATTCCTTTCTCATTTCCTTTAGAGTATACTCTTTAGTTATTTTTCTGTAGTTACCATGGGGATTACATGTAACATCCTAAAGTTGTTACACCAATTTGAATTTATACCATTTCATTTTAATAACATAAAAATTCTGCACCTTTAACAGCTTCAGCACTACCTTTTTTAGTTGTCGATGTTATAAAATTATATCTTTACACATTGTGTTTTAAGAAACATAAACTAATAAATTTTAATATATTCATCTCTACCATTATGTAGAAAAAAATGTTAATTTACAAACTAAAGTTATAATACTAACTTTGACACTAATAATTTTTTTAAATGTGTAAGTCTCTTAAATAGAGTAGAGAACAAAAAGTAGAATCATACATCAAAGTTACCACACCATTAGCTTTTATAATTGCATATGTATTCACCTTTATTGAGATCTTTATGTCTTATTATTTAGTGTTCTTTAATTTCAACCTGCAGGGCTCCCTTAAGCATTTCTTGCAGGGCAGTTCTAGTGGTAAGCTTTTGAAAGATAGTTTTGCCAGCTATAGAACATTTTTAATTTTTGTTGGTACATTGTAGTTGTATATGTTTATGGGGTACAGGAGATATTTTGATACAGGCATGCAATATGTAATAATTACATCATGAAAAATGGGGTATCCATTCCCTAAAGCACTTATTCTTGGTGTTACAAACCATCTAATTATACTTTTTTAGTTATTTCAAAATATACAATTAAATCAGTTACACAGTTCTTGGTTGACATGTTGTTTCTTTGTTTGCTCTTTTAGAAGTTTGAATATATCAGTCCACTGCCTTCTGGATCTAAAATGAGTCTCTTGTAGATGGCATATAGTTGAATCATTTTAAAAACTCTATTTTGCTGATCTCTACCTTTTGGTTGGAGAATTTAATTCATTTACATTAAAAGCAATTACTGATAAATAGGGACCTACTGCTGCCATTTTGCTATTTTTTTCTACACCTTAGTTCCTCTTATCCATAGGGGAAATGCTCCAAGGTTTCTGATGAGAAATTTGCTGATAATAGTATTGAGATCCTTTTTATGTGGTAAGTCACTCCTCTAAAGCTACTTTCAACATTATCTGTTTTGGGATTATGATACTTTGATCATAATGTATCTCACTTTGAGTATCTTTGAGTTTATTCTACTCAGAATCTATTGAACTTCTCGGATGTTTATTTCCATATCTTTCATTATATTTGAAAAGTTTTCAGCCATGATTTCTTCAAATATTCTCTCTTCCTCTTCCTCCTTCTCTTCCCCCCTGAGATTTTCATAATGTATATGTTGATCTGTTTGATGGTGTCCCACAGGACTCATAGTCTCTGTCCACTTTATTTCAATCTTTTTTCTTTCTGTTTCTCAGACAATAATTTCTATGGTCCTATCTTCAAGTTAGCTGATTTTTCTGCTTGATCAAATTTGCTCTTGAATCCCTCTAGTGACTATTCATTTCAGTTATTTTTTTTGTCAGCTCCAAATTCTCTTTTTTTCTTTCTTTTTAGGTTTTCTGTCTCTTCATTTATGTTTCTATTTTTTTCATACATTGACTTCTTGGCATTCTTCATGTCTTGCTTTGGTTCTGTCAGCATCTTTGAGACAGTTGTTCAAAGTCTGTGTCTCATAGCTCCACTATCAGTTCTTTGTCAGGGGAAGTTTGTGCGGTTTTCCTTTGAATTAGCCATATTTTCCTGGTTTGTAAATATGCTTTATGATTTCTGGTGAAAACTAGACATGTTAATCTAATGGTACAGCAATGCTGGAAACTGAATCCTTCCTCTTCACCAGGATTTGCTGCTTTTTTTGTTGTTGTTTCTTGATTGTTGTAGGCTATCTATCTCTGTGCCAAGAATAAACCACAGGGGCAAACTTAATGTATTCTCTGGCCTTTTCTGAGCCAGTGCCTTCCCCTGGGCATGAGTGGTGACTTTCTAATTTTCTCGTGTATGTGGTTTCTTTTCAATGAGCTAGTCTTCAATGTCTGGCTCACAAAGTGGAAAAAGAGAAAAATGAAGGTGAAGGGGAAGTCATTGGCCCTGGCAGTCACTTCAGTCAGAAGGGGAAGGGCTTGCAGCAATGGGAGGAGGTAAAACAACAATGGCTTTAGCCTCTTTGTGCATCTGCAATCAGAAGTAACAATCAGGGCATAGATCCCCAGTATATAAAGGAAAGGGTCCTTTTTGTGCACCCAGGCTTCTTCAAGCTATGTTCAAGCTATTCCAGGTACATGTGCAGATCTACCTGTCATGTGGCTGAGAGGTAGGGGATGGATGGTTTTGTGCCAAGAGTTGAAATTTACTGAAATTAACTGCAAGTTATCATCCAAGTCTTCAACTGCAAGCCTTCAATACACTGTAGAGCTCCAAAATAGTTACATCAGACAGATTGTGCCAGTGCAATTATTGTCTAGTTAGGGAGAAAGATTTCACATGCTTTATGCTGCACCATCTTCCAAGAATCCACTCTGTACTATCTTCTATTTGGGGGGTCATACACGCTCCTCACAAAAACAAAATCTCACTTAATACTCAAAAATCAATAAAGTGTCAAATCTTGCCTGTACCTCTGACCTTAGTAATTAATTACACTTTCCTCCATGAATTCATAGTCTCAGCTAGGTGATATTTACCATACAGCATTGACATTTACGATATTCATGCTTGTTTTTAAACATGTCTGTGCATGAGAAACACCTGGAGAGCTTGGTTAACAAAAAAGGAAAACATAGATTCTTGGAGGAGTAACTCTAGAGCTATTGAATCATACTTTCTGAAGATGATGTCCAGAATTATGTTTTTTTCTCAGTCAATGTTCAACATTATTTGCTTTTGATAATTTGCTAACAGTGATAAAGCCTCAGTCACATGTACCACTTTTAAAACTAGAAATGCAGTCAACTGTTACTCTCCCTCTCAAAGAACATGAACTATTGGCAAGAGGGTGAAGGCTGAAACATTGTCGAAATAAATTTGATCCTAAGAAAATGGGAATGGATATTATAAAAACAACCACAAAGTTCATTACAAGTATACAATACGTTTTCAATCATTAAACCTATTGCTATGCATCCACCCCTTAGTACTACATGCTGCAATAAACAATCTTGTACACATCTTTACATTCATGTACTTTTTTTTCCTATAAAGTGTGTGAAAGTTGTCAGAATCAAAATGGAGCCACTTCCCTGACAAATGGAGCTGCGGAAGGCCATGAGGGGAGGGTCCTCAGGCATTTGTGTCTGATAAAATAACTATCACAAAACACTCTGCATAAAAACACAATCTTGCACAAAGGCCACCAGAGCCCCACCCCCCCCCCCCACACACACACACACACACGATACTTCCATGAGGATATCTGCCCAGCAACTGCCTGTCCAACTTTGGACTGATGCCACCCGTATTATTGATACTTGTAGCCAAGGATAATTTTCTTAAAAAAATGTATGTGACCCTCCTCATTTTTCCTTTAAAAACTGTGTGTTCCTCTACCTCCCTGAATTTGCTTATGGTTATTCCTATTGGAATGCTTATTCACAAATAAATATTGTCAAACCTAGAAGTGAAGTGAGGGGCCAAAGGCCATAGTTCTAATTTCAATAAATAGTGTGGGTTACTCTATAAAAACTATAATAATTCTTATTTCAATGAGCTATATATGAGAAGGACACTTTACTTATGTTGCTGATAGCAATGAGAAAATTTAGTGTAGTGGTTAAAGGAGCAATCTCTAGGGTCAATCTGCTAGGGATCAATTATAGCTCTTCAACTTTTCACCTGTGAGACCTTGAGTAAATTACTAAATTGCTATATTCCTTGGTTTAATTGGGTGTAAAATAGGAATAATAATACCAGTATTGATATATTAGACTAATATTAGTTTTAGTCATATGCTTGTTACAAAGAATATATGACTTGATATACATAGAACATGAAAAAGTCCCTAGCATAAATCAGTACTTGATTATAAATGTCGGCTATTATTAACAGTTTGTATGATCAATTTTTTTATATTTACCAATCTGATATAGAAAAGGTATTCTGTAACTTTTAAAACAATTTACATTTCCTTATTACTAGGTTGAACATATTTTCATGTTTATTTGCCATTTAAATTTACTTTACTGTGAATTTCCTATTCATATTTCCAATAATTCTGTTACTAATTGTCATTTATTAATTTGCAGAAATATTCTGTACATTAAATATTTTTCTAATCTATGGAAAAGCTTTTGACTTTATTATATCTTTTGTCAGTGTTGTTTATTGTCTTGTCTTATCGCAAACGTTTTAAAACTTTCATGTTGACTAATAGTAATAACAACATCTGCAGTGATCATAGGCATACCTGTCTGATTCCTATTTTAATAAAAATGGCTTTAAAAGTTCACTTTTTAGAATTTTTCCGGTTGGACTTTGGTGAAGACCCTGTTTTATACTTAAAAGTTTTTTAAATTTATATTTTATTTAGCACTTTAATCAGGAAAGACTGCTGAATTATTTGAAATGCCTTTTTAGAACGTGATTGTACAATTATAGTTTTTAAAATGCTATGTTGTGTTTACATAATGATATAATTTGATAATTTACTATTGACTACCTTTGCATTCATATTTTTTCATAGGTCATAATCCAGTGTTCTTTTGACACACAGCTAATTTCCAGATTGCTAATAGTTTGCCTTTTAAAAATCTGTAGTCATAAATGATATTTCTCTAGTTAAAAGTGAGATTTAGTCAGTCTTTATAAGGCTTAGCATTACTGTTATGCTATTCTTATCTTTTCCTCATCAGAATAGCTTAAGTAGTGTTGGTATTATCTCTTTTTCAAAAGATCAAAATAATATTAGAATACTTACATAGCAGTCACTGATCTACATGCTTCACTCTTATTAAGACATTCAATCTTTTTGATGTTTCTTGTATGTCAAAAGCTATAATTAACATCCTAATTTCGCAACTGAGGAGACCTGGAAATAAAGAAATCAAACCATATGTGTCTAGAGCCATGCAGGAAAAAAGATAAGATAAAAAAAAAAAAAAACTAAGAACCTCAGGCATTCATATTCTAGAACTTAAGCATTATTAAGTTCTATTCTCTAGCATAGAACCGTTATTCTATGCGGTCTCACCTGAATCCATCTGCTAATCCCCTTCCAATTTTTTTCTATGGAAATTGATCTATATAATTTTTCTGCTTTGTTCATTTATTCATTCATTAATTCAAAAATTGGTTCATTCAACCGTATTTACTGAATGCCTATGACATGCCACTGTCTGTTCTAGGCACAAGGATAGATACAGCAGTAAACTAAACAGAGAGGGCCCTGCTCTCATAGAAGTGGTGCTATGGCTTGAGCATGTCTCCTCCAAAATTCAGGTGTTGAAACTTAATGGGCAACATGATATTATTAAGTACTATTGTAGGGCCTTTAAGAAGTGATTAGAGCATGAGGGCTCTTTTCTAATAAATGGGACTAAGCCTTTTATAAAAATAGCTTTACTCAGTGTTTGGCCCTCTTGCCCATATGCCTTCTGCCATCTTAGGACACAGCACTCCTTTCCAGAGGATGCAGCAACAAGGTGCCATCTTGGAACCAGAGAACAGCCCTCACCAGACAACTAACCTGCCCACATCTTGATCTTGGAGTTCTCAGCCTTCAGAAGTGTGAGGAAATAAATTTATGTTCTTTAAAAATTACTCAGTCTGTGATATTTTGTTATAGTCATAAAAATGGACTAAGAGAGAAATCAGTACCAAAGAAGTGGGTGTTGCTATAACAGATACCAAAATATAGGGAAGTAGATTTGGAATTGGGTAATGGCTACAGACTGGAAAACTTTTGAAGTAAATGTTGAAAAAAGCCTGTATTGCCATGAATGGAGTGTTAAGGGTGATTCTGATGAGGGCTCAGAAGAAGAGCAGAGCTACAGGGAAAGGTTCATTCTTCCCAAAGATTACTTAAAGTGGTTGTGAACAGAATGCTGGTAGAAACATGGTTAGCGAAGACTATTCTAATGAAGTCTCAGATGGAAATAAGAAACAAGGTATTGGAAACTGTAGAAAAGGCTGTCCTCATTATAAAGTGAAAAATAATTTGTCTGAACAGTGTCTATGTCCTAGGACTTTGTAGGAGGCAGAACTTAAAAGCAATGAACTAGGAAATTTGGTGGAAGAAATCTCTATAAGCAAAGTATTCAGGGTGCTACATGGATTCTCCTGTTTATAGTAAAATGTGAGAAGAGAGAAAAAAAACTGAAGAAGGAATTTATAGTTAAAACAAAAGTAAAATATAAAGATTTGAAAAAATGCTCAGCCTGGCCATGTACAGAATTTTAAAAGCTTGTTTAGGAGAGAAAACCAACGGTATACCCAAGAGACCATTTGATAAGATTATTATGAATAGAAGGAAGCCAGGTATTATTCATTAAGATAATGGGAGCACGACACTGAAGGCATTTTAGAAGCTGCAGTACCCATCAAACACCCAGAGTGCTAGGCCTTGAGAACAGAAAAGCTGGAAGAGAGGAGCCCAGGGTGGCTGTGGGGCCTCAGGGCTTTCCACCCAACGTTACTGTAAGTCCTTTCTTTCCATATTCTGGTACAGTGCTCACTGGCCACTTCAGCGGTGGCTAAAGTGGGCCAGGTAGAACTCGGGCCACTGCTCTGCAAGGCATGATCTGTAAGCCACAATGCTATAAACAGGAGAATCCATCCACACGATGCTAATTCAACAGGCTCACAGAGTCCTTGACCTGTGGTGGCATGATTTCACCTCCACCAAGATTTCAAAGGACGCCCCTCAGAGAGGATCGGGGCCCAGGGAGAGGACTGTTGCTCATGTGTTGAATAAGGCCCCAACCTGGGAAAAGCCCAGCAGAGCCGAGGGGTTGGGGCCACTGCAGAGAGCCCCCAGTAGAGCAATTCTTAATGGAGCCATGGGAGCAGAGCCACCTCAGAGAGCCTAGATCTGTCACCAATGCGGAATGCCAGTCTGGGAGAGCTGTAGGCACCCAATTTCAATCTGTGAGGGCAGCTGCTTGGGGTACACTCAGTAAAGCCATGGGGTTGTAGTCCCCTGGAGCCTTGGGGACCTAACCCTTGCCCCATTGTTCCTGGAATGTGAGACATGGAGTCAAAGATTATTCTCAAGGCTTAAGATAGAGTGTTGTTTGCCCTGTTGGATTTTAGACTTACTTAACACCAGTTACCTCATTCTTCTTTCCTGTTTCTCCCTTTTGGAACAGAAACATCTAACTTGTGCCCATCCCACCACCTATTTTGGAAGCACATAACTTTTTTAATTCCACAGATTCACAGCTAAAGGGACACTTGCCTACAGATGATATACACCTTTGCATCTAACCCATATCTGATTGAGAAATATTTAAATGAGACTTTGGACTTTAGACTTTTAAGTTGATACTAGAAATAGTTAATACTTTAGGGGCTATGGGAATGGACTGAATATATTTTTCATCTAAGAGGGACATAAATTTGGATGTATTGCTTCAAAAATTCAGGTGTTAAAACTTAATGACCAACGAGATGGTATTAAGAGGTGGGGCTCTTAAGAGGTGATTAGGTCATGAGGGATCCTTCTTCATTAGTGGAATTAAAACCCTTATGAAAGAGCCTTCACTAGGTGTTTGGCCCTCTTGCCCTTATGCCTTCCACCTTGTAAGGACACAGCACTCCTCCTCTCCAGAGGATGCAGCAACAAGGTGCCATCTTGGAGGCAGACAGCAGCCCTCTCCAGACAATCAAACCTGACAGTTCCTTGATCTTGGACTTCCAAAGCTCCGGAACTATGGGAAAACAAATTTCTGTTCTTTACAATTGTCTCTGGTATTTTGTTGTAGTAGCACAAATTAACTAAGACAGGTGGAGAGATATAACAAATAAATGCATAATATATGAGGCAAAATATCAAGTAGGGTAAGGGGGCTTGCATGAGTAGTAGTTCATTAATTCACTAGGGGATGGTCAGGGAAGTGGATAAGCTGACACTTAAGCAAAGTCCTAAGGGCATCGCAAGGATGAGCCTTCTGAAGATCTGGGTAGGGAGAACCACAGGACCAGATTTGCCTGGGATAGTTCCTGTACCCTGCTGCTAGTCTTAATGTAATTATTACAGCACTCTCTTTGGCTCTCCAATTCCAACTGTGTAGTTGGGGAAAGGCTGCTCCTACTAGAAGAAAATGGGACTAGGAATGATGGTGCCCTGCATTTAATGAATAGCAAATAAACCACTTTGGCTGAAAGAGAGTGTCTTAGAAGAAAATGTGTATCTCCTTGGGTCAATTTGTATAATTTACAATAGGATAAATTGTTTTATTCTCAGAATTCAGTAATTATACTAACATATGATCAGGAGTTTCTTTTAAAACATTAATAATGGAATTTCATTTTCCTTTCAATCTTTTGGAGAAGAAAGTCTTTTTGAGACCAAGAGCTTATTTCTCTCATATATTTAGTGATTGCCTGTCATTTCTTGATATGTTTTTCTTCTTTAAGAATTAAGATTATTTACATATTTGCATTCATTATTTCCATCGCATTCCTTTTGGTCTCTGATTTTTTTCAGAGACCTGATTCTTTAACTTGATATTTCAGTTTCTGATTCAGTTCTCAATGTTAATGTCATTTCTTTCCACTTGCCTATGGAATTATTTCATTCAAAAATAATTTTTAATGAAGTTTTTTAATCCTCTAAATTATCTTTTAAAATATTCTTGATATTATTTTTGTGAAAATTGCCTTTGTCATAAGCTTTGTTTTTTTTTTTTTCTCTGAGCAACCAGTGCTGGTTGTTTTATTTCAGATTTCTGTCTCTGGCCACTGGACAACTTGGATGCATTGATATTGTGCTCTGTCCTTCACCTCCTCTTTTCTCTTTTCATATTTGGCAGTCAGGTTAGGCTGCAAGCATCCCTCCAGCAGCATCTTGCCTGTGTAGAAGAAGTAAGAAACAAGTCTCCACCACGTGGGCATTCGAAGCTCTTCTTTTCCTAGATGTCTCAGGTGATCATTGTTAGCATTGTTTAGCCCTACTCACAGGGATCAATGTATCCTACCTATGCAGGCTCTCTAGTCATTTCAGTAGAACACTAAAATGTTCCCTATCATTTACCAACTGTCTGTCTCATCAATTTCATGTATCCTTATCACCGACCTCTTTTCCTAGTACTGTCACTCATGATGGATGGAATTACTTTTACCATCTTTTGGGGACTGCTTCTAAAAGGCTCCCAATGATCCCTCCCTCCTACTATCTATGTCCTTGCTTTATATTCCTTCCCACTTCCTTAAGAGTGGGTTGGATCTAGTAACTTGCTTTTAATGGATATAATATGGCAAAAGTGACAGAAGTCACGTCTGAGATTAGGTAACAAAAGATTGACATCCATCTTGCTCACACTCTCTCTGGCTCTCCATGCTTGCTTACAAGCTGAGAAGTTGAGAACTGCCTACGGAGGGTGGCAGGGAACTGAGGGTGGCCTCAGGCCAATAGCCAACAAAAACTGGATCCTGCTGATGACCAGTGAGCATGGAAGTGGATCCTCCCTGCACTGTCCCTCCAGATGAGGCTGACAGCAGCCTTGATGGCAGCCTGAGAGATCCTGAGCCAGAGGGCCCAGGTGAGCCATGCTGAGCTCCTGACCCACAGAAACTGTGAGATTAATATTGTTGTTTTTAAGCCAGTAAGTTTTGCACTAATTCATTTGCAGAAATAAATAACTAATATACCATCAGTACTATCATATTTTACCTCCATCCTCTTCTGTCCTGGGTTATCCATGTTCCTGGTGGGTGGAATTTTCCATTGTGACTCACTCATTCACATCCCTATGCCTTTGTTTATACTGTTCCTTTTTATTACTGTCATCCTTTTTTCCTAAATGGTAAACTATAAACGTAAATCGAGACCCAGTCATTGGTTTTCTCCTCTGTGAATCATTCTCTAGCCACATAGACAAATTTTGTTTCTCATGTCTTGCATATACTATTATTCTGCATTTCACACAGATTTAAAATCATTGTCTTTGGCCAGCTCTGTTCTCAGTACCTAGCAGAATGGCTAACACATTATAGGTAAAAGATTAACTTTTCTTGAACTATCTTGAAGCCCCTCTTTTGATAAGTCATTTCTATGCGCCATATGCCCCAGCTGGAAAACTTCACCAGGTACTGAATTAAAGTGGGCTGACTGGAAATAACCACTTTTGCCTTTCTCAAGCAATACTGAAAAGAACTTTTATTTTTATTTATGCCAACTAATATTATGTTTTGAAACCTTGCCTGCTGAATGCTTGAAACCTTGCTCTGCTTTCTACTCATAACATTTATCCTACTTATCCTCAGAGTAACTCAATAGCCTTAAAATACTTATAAAGCTTTTTCTTCTTAATCACTTCAAAACCATTTCTTTAGAAGCTGACTTCCCTGCTGCACAACATTATTAAAGAGAAACCATTTATTTATTCAAATTACCTTGTTTGCTTCGACGTAGGCAGCAAGTTAGTGTAGAATGCAAAATGCAAGGAATGAATAATTGCTTCTGATTTGTATGTTTTGCCATAAAATTTTGCCATGCAAAATTCATTTTGCCAATGAATAAATTCTTTAGACTTGTTTTATAGACCCTTGGTAGAATAACAAATATAAACATACTTTTGGTTATGAATGCAGATGCTCTAAATTTTCCCTAAATTAATGTTTTTGAAAGCATTATATTGTATATTTAGAAAAAGCATCAAAAAGATGAAACTGCTACTATTATAACATTGCTAAACAAAAATACTTTTTGAATTTAAATATACTTACTGCTCAGTTTGTAATCATGTCACTGTGTATGTACAGTTACCTGTTGCTGCAATAATTACAACCAACTACACAACCTTCAAGACGTACAGTGTTTTTTGTTTTGTTTTGTTTTCTCAAAAGTCTCCTAGAAATTCAACTAATATGAAGTGGGCTTGGTTTGGCTCATCTGTGTATCATTGGTCAGCTATAGGCTGGCTTTGCTAATTTCAACTGGCCTCTCTCACACATCTGGGGCTTTAACTGAGACAACTGGGCTGAATCAGCTCTGCTCCATATGGTTCCACAAGTCTCATCCTCTAACAGGCCAGCTTGAGCATCTTCTCATGATAAAGGCAGAGGAGCAAGAAAGAATCACAAAGCCTCAACCTGGAGTACCATTACATTTTGTTGGGAAAAAAAAGTCACATGTGCAGCCCATATTAAAGGGATCGGGAAGATTTCACGTCTTTATGCAAGAAGCTACAATTTCACATTGGAAAGGACATAGATACGGGAAAGAATGAAGACTCACGACTTCTTTTTTTTTTTTTTTACAATCTATTACAGTATACCTAGTCTTGAATGAATTTAAAACATTATGAAATTATAAAGTCAATTTGTGAAAAGTTTAATTGATTAAGTTGCAATCAATGCTTCCAGAGAAATTCAAATTGGAAGATTTTGTTTTATTACTTTATAGTTATGGAGCAAACCTTTAGAGGCATCTTAATTATTTATGGACATTTAACAAAATTATGATCCTACCAAGAAGAGTAAAAAGACCTGTGGCATTTTTCCTTGGCCTTCATGAAAAAGTAAAATATAATGACTTAAGTATACTACCTTGAGCTTTCAGATGAGTGTCCTTTATGTAAAAGCAATGCTGATTAAACATAAGCTAGCTGCTAGTATATTTAGCCTCAAACATAACGTAAACCTAAAATAGTTAAATAGTTATGGTTCCCGTGGAAAGAAATACCTCAAATAAAAAAAAAAATTGAGTACCAAAGAGTTCCAAACAGATTATGCAATGCCTAATCACTTTATTTGCATTTTTGCAAAACCATTTTCTACATTCATATATTTTAGTAATAATTTCTTTCTTTCTGTCCTTATGTATTTATTATTTTACTTTAAGTTCTGGGATACATGTGCAGAACATGTAGGTTTGTTACATAGGTATACATGTGTCATGGTGGTCGCTGCACCTATCAACCCATTATCTAGGTGTTAAGCTCTGCATGCATTATGTTATTTGTCCTAATGCTCTCCCTCCCCTTGCCTCCCACCCCGCAACAGGCCCCAGTGTGTGATGTTTCCTTCCTTCTGTCCATGTGTTCTCATTGTTCAACTCCTACTTATGAGTGAGAACATGAGGTGTTTGGTTTTCTGTTCCTGTGTTAGTTTGCTGATAATGATGGTTTCCAGCTTTACCCATGTTCCTGCAAAGAAATACATATGTCAGGCATTATCATATAGTATATTGAACTAACTCTTAAAAATCTTTGAGGTAGGGAGATTAGCTACAGTTCAAAACTGTCACAACTGAGGCACAAAGAAATTGGGCACCCTGCCAAGGTCATAGAAATAGTAGGTGGAGGAACCTGGCTCTGAACCCAGGTGATCTGGCTCCGGAGCTTCAAAGCCCATTCTCTTAACCACTATGTCAGTTTGTCTAGTGATAGATTAGCACAGTCTCAGCTTTTCTCTAATATTCCTGTATCGCAGGGCTGGAAACAAGTAACTTCTTTAGTTCTGGGTTAGGTGCAACAGCAAAAAGCAGTTATGAGATTTGGAAGGTGAAAGACAGGCAGAAAGCTCTACTTTGCTCCTCCAGCAGTGACAGTCAGCTCTATGAGCTTCAGCAGATAGAAAGTGTTTCACTAGCCTCCAGGTGCTTTGCAAATCATGACTGTCAGTGCTGCAGTGAAGACACTGGTTCCACACCTTCCTGATTTTTTTCTAAAACTTGATAGAGATTTCTAAAACCTACAGCCAGCAGCAGCTTTCCCTGATCTTTGATCCTCCAATATTTCTAATGCTTTTGTGAGCATATATTCTCTGACTTAAATGTCTTTCTGCTGTCGAAACTCTCCTTTAAGAGACTGTTGACTGATATTGTATAAGGTACATAAATGGCTTGCAGTGAAAAATGTGATATTTGTAATCTCTAACATGCAGTGGCAAAAAAGTTACTTAAATTATCACAGGTTTTTTAATAGAATGAAATGTCCATTAAAGGCAAGGTTTAGAATGAACAACTCAGCAGCTACTAAATGGGGACTTTAGTAGAAAAGTGATGATGAAGGGGACTCAGGTGGGTTGGCTTCTGACCTCATCGGAAAAATCCCCAAATAATAATAAGAATGACAAGCTCGGGGTTCTAAATTCTCAGCTCAACGTCTATACTTACATATGTTGTTTTCCCCCAAAGGTTCAGAATTTAATATACTGTTTTACGCAACTGGAATAAATCTGTTTTCTTGGTTCATTAAATTCAACATTAATCTACATTAAATAAAATTATATTCTTGAACACTTTTGTTATAATATTGAGGAGGGAATCTACCTCTTCATTGTATCACTAGGAGGGCCCAGAGAACTTTCTATTTTACCAAAGCACTGGGAAATGCATTGGTCAGTGAAATGCCAGCATCCTTGGGTATGGTTATATTCTGAAATCAGTAGATACATAATAGCTGGAGATGGTGTCATTGAAAGAGGTTCCTTGATTACAATAGCTATTATGGAATCCTGGACAGACAGACACTTAACTGCCAGACAAAGATGGGTGTGCTTATTCTAATGGGAGGTAGGTTGAATAAGGTAGTAAGAACGTCTGACACACAGAGATTATTACAAAATGCCATTGACTCAAGAATTGAAGTAGGTGTACTTTCCACTAAAGTTATACTTTAGGAATAAAGATTGGACATCTGTCTCAAGTCACTACAATGGAAAACTATAGTCTCTCACCCAATTTTTAGACCTGAACCAGTTCATAGACATAAAATCTCTTTAATAAATGGGAAGCTGGATCTACTTGAGAAAGCATCATATATCACTGCCTCAAATATTTCCATAGATGTTTTAATAAAGGAAACTGCAGCTAATTATTAAAGTGATAATTATCTGGGGGGAAAAATAACCAGGTCTTCCAGGATTTGTGGTCATTGTTAATGTGCAGGTTCCCAAGTTAATTCTGGGCCACAAGTTATAGCGGAGACTTACGGAGGTCAGATAATAATAGAACATTAGCCTGAGTCTGTCTCACAGTAGACCCAGTAGGTCTGCAAACATGCTATGCTCTTTTCTTCCTTTAGTGACTAAATATTAATATAAGTTGGAATATCCATACTCAGCAATTAGAAGAAACCCCACTTTGGTTCACAGCACCATAGAGTTAATACTATAAGAATACGAAGGGCCAAGTTAAAGACCCTGTAATTTTCTCCTCCCCAAAGATAGTAAACCAAAAGCAATTACTATATCACTGGGGCATTACAGAGATTAGTGCCATCATCAAAGACTTCAAAGACACAGAGTTGTTGATTCCTCTTACATCCCTGTTAAATTGCCTATTTAAGAAGACAGATAAGTCTTGGAAAATGACAGGGACTTACTGCAAATTTAAATCCCATAGTATAGAAGACCCTAGAATCTGGTGTGCAGCTCTTAGTCTGACAAATATGTTTTCTCTATGCAAATTATCAAACTAGTCAAAAAACCAGTTTTTTGTTTTCAGTGTGCAGAGATAGTAGTATACATTTTCTCTCAGCGCTATGTGAAACTATATCTTTTCTTTAACTCTGTCATAATCTATCTTGCAGACCTTGCCCATCTTGTCATTACACTGCCCTACTAAATCAATGAAATCATATTAATCAGACCTGGTAAGCAGAAATTAGCTAATTCATGAGATGCCTTGATAAGACACATGAGTACTAGAGGATAGGAGATAATTCTCACACACCCCAAAATAGTAAATTGCCACCTGAATAAAGTTTCTAGGAGAACAATGGTCTACGGCCAGAATAGCTATTCCCTCCAAAGGGAAAGAGAGTTCCATTAATTTGTACATCCTCAACAACAAAGAAGTACTGCACTTGATAGGCTTATTTGGCTTATGTGAACAATATTTTGTAACGGATTTACTGGTGTATTTGCTAGAGCTATGAAGTTTGAGTAAGGCCCAGAGCAGGAGATAGTTTTGCAGCAGGTACATGCTGTGGTGTGAGCTGCTGTGCCTCTTGGGCCTTAAAATCATGAAGATCCAATTGTACTTGAAAGGTTTGTGACAGACATGATACTGAAAAAGTCCTGGTGACCCTAGAATGAGGAAAAACAGCCAATCCCATGGGTTTTACAAAAAAATCCATGTTAGATGAAACCCTAAGTAGAAAACTCAGTCAAATAATTCACATTAAATTATAAACAATCCAGAAGTTGTCTTATTTTCCATAAGCCCATTCAAAGACTGATAAGGAAGAACAATCATACAATCCTCTAAATATTCACTGCTGCTTCAGAAAACCAGTCAGGTCACTGGCTTAGTTGCCAGGGACCAGCTTATATGCATTAAAACATATATCACATCAGTGTTCCAGCCACAATGAATTTTGGGAACCAGACTCCTCTGGGGTAAGTAGATATTTTCTTCAAAAGTCTTTTTTTTTTTACTTTTTATTTTGAAATAATTTCAGAACTAGAGAAAAGTTACAGCAGTTATACAAAGAACTGCCACATACTTTTCAGAATCCCCAAATATTCACACTTTGCCATATTTACTAAATTTTCTTTCTGTATATACATAGTATTTTCTAAACTCTCTAGGAGTAAGTTATTGAAATAATGTCCCTGTGCCCATAAATACTTTAGTGTGTACTCCCCATAAAATAAACACATTCTCCTACACAACACGATAATCAAAATCAGGAAATTATCACTGATAAAACGCTGTCTCTACCCAAAGACCTTACTCAAATATTATTACCTCCTGGCAATGTCTTTTAGAGCTGAAGAAATGTTTTTCTAGTACAATTTTTAACTAGCCAAGCCTCTCCATCCTCTCTTCCTGTCTTTCATAACTTTGAGGTTTCTGGAAGTATCAGAATGCCACTCCATTTGGATTTGTGCAGGTTTTCTCAGAATTAGATTCACATTATGCATTTTTGGCAGAAATGTGGTAGAAGTGACACGGTACTCTTCATAGTGCATCACGCATGGAGGGATGCAATATACATTTGTACTACTATTGATGACATTGACCTTGATTTGCCAGGTCTCTCCATTATGGAGTATCTACTTTTCCCTTGGCACTTAATAAGTATATTGTGGGAGATACTCTGTAAATATCCTATTTTCACTGTTGTGCATTGGTTTGTGACTCCTCCAAAGATTTGTCCACCTGGAATCTATGTATGTGACCTTACTTGGAAAAAGGGTCTTTGCAAACATAATTAGGGATCTGAAAATGATATCACCCGAAATTTAGGGTGAGCCCTAAATCCAGTGAAAGATATCCTTGTAAGAGAAAGGCAGAGGAAAATTCAGACATAGCAACAAAGAAGGTTATGTGAAGACAAAGGCAAAGGTTGGAGTTATGCTGCCTTAAGCGAAGGTGTTCCTGGAGCCACCACAAGCTGGAAGAAGCAAGGAAGAATTTTCTCGGAGATCTTTCAAGGCAACTTGGTCCTTCCTACCCCTTGATTTCAGATTTCTGGCCTCTGGAACTGTGAGAAAATAAATTTCTATTGTTTTAAGCCACCACATTTATGATGATACGTTATAGCAGCCCTAGGAAACTCACATGGTCAGCAAACCTGCACCCACCAGTTTTAGCCTTAATTGATGTTTCCCACCTGAGTCAATGATGATGATGATGATGATTGCCAAGTGGTAATTTTTAAATTCTATTATTTCTTTTGTATTTGTTAGTTGGCAATCCAATATAAGGAAGAGCTTTCTTCTATTTGTTTATTTCAGTATGAACCAATATATTCTTTTATTATTCAATAGGCTTCAATATATCACTTTATTGTGGTTTTACTCATGTCATTTATATACAAATCCTTTGTTGCCATTTCAACAATGTCCACAGCATCTTCACCTGTAGTAGATTCCCTCTAAAAAACAGACAAAAAACCACTCTCTTTGCTTATCCATAAGAAGCAACTCCTCATCTGTTTAAGTTTGATTATGACATTGCAGCAATTGAGACACATCTTCAGGTTCCACTTCTAATTCTAGTTCTCTTGTTATTTCCATCAGATCCACAGTTACTTCCTCCACTGAAGTCTTCAACTTCTCAAAATCATCCCTGAAGATCTGAACCAACTTCTTCCAAACTGCTGTTAATGTTAACATTTTGACTACCTCCCATAAATCACAAATATTCATGGCATCTAAAATGGTGAATCCTTTCCAGAAGGTTTTTAGCTTACTTTGCCCATGTCCATCAGAAGAAGCACTATTTGTGCCATTTATAGCCTTAAAAAATGTATTTCTTAAATAAGACTGGAAAGTCAAAATTACTCATTGATCTATGGACTAAAGAATGTATGTTGTATTAGCAGGCATGAAAACTACATTAATCTATTTGTATATCTCTATCAGAGTTCTTGAGTGACCAGGTGCATTGTAAATGAGAAGTAATGTTTTGAAAGGAATCTTCTTTGCTGAGCAGTAGGTCTCCATAGTGGGCTGAAAGTATAGAGTACACCATGCTGTAAACAGAAGTGCTGTCATCAAAGCTTTGATGTTTCATTTATAGAGCATGGACAGAGTATATTTAGCATAATTCTTAAGGAACTTAGGGGTTTTGGAATAATCAATGAGCATTGGCTTCAACTTAAAGTCACCAGCTGCCTTATCAGGCTGTCCTTTGAGGTTCTGAAGCCAGGCATTTTCTTCTTCTCTCTAGCTATGAAAGTCCTCAATGGCATCTTCTTCCAATAGAAGGTGTTTTCATGCACATTGAAAATCTATTACTTAGTGTAGCCACTTTCATCAATCATCTTAGTGAGAACTTCTGGATAACCTGAGGCAGTTTCTGTGTCAGCACTTGTTGCTTCACCTTTGACTTTTATGGCACGGAGAGAATTTTTTTCCTTGAATCTCATGAACCAACCTCTGCTAGCTTCACACTTTTCTCCTGCAGCTTCCTCACCTCTTTTAGCTTTCATAGAATTGAATAGAGTTAGGGCCTTGCTCTGGATTAGACTCCAACTTAAGGGAATGTTGTGGCTTGTTAGATTTTCTATCCAGATGACTCAGACTTTCTCCATATCAGCCATAAAGCTATTTTGCTTTCTTATCATTCATGTATTCACTGGAGCAGCACTTTAAATTTCCTCTGATAACTTTTCCTTTGCATTCACAACTTGGCTAGCTGTTTGGCTCAAGAGGCCTAGGGTTTGGCCTGTCTTGGCATTGGACATGCCTTCCTCACTAAGCTTAATTATTTCTAGCTTTTGATTTAAAGTGAAAGATGTGCAACTTTTCCTTTAACCTAAACACTTAGAGGCCATTGTAGGGTTATTAATTGGCCTAATTTTGATATCGTTTTGTCTCATATAATAGGAAGCCTCAAGGAGAGGGAGAGGGGAGAATATCTGCTCTACTATGTGCTATGGTAGAGCAGTCAGAATACACACAACACTTATCTATTACCTTTGCCATTTTATGCAGTCACAGTTTGTGGTACCCCAAAACAATTACAATAATAGCATTACAGATCATGTTCACAGATGCAATATTTCAAACTTTTTTATTATCACAAGAATTACCGAAATGTGACAAAGACACGAAGTGAGCCTATGCGCTTGGGGAACATGGGAACATGGCACTGATAGCCTTGTTCAATACAAGGTTACCACAAACTTTCAATTTGCAAACACAATACTGTGAAGCACAATAAAGCAAAGTGCAATCAAATGAGGTATACCTGTATGTGGATATTAAGATTTTCTTCTACTTAGTCTAATGCTTTTTAAGATTCATTGATGTTTTGCATATATTAGTAGTTTAATAGTATCTGTTTTATACTGTGTGTATATGTATTATATGTACATATAAAATCTGTATATTATACAATATAGAAAATTTTCCTCTGTACCTAAGAACTAATTTTTGCTACCTTGGGGATGATATCACCCTTGTTGAGGATGATGGTGTAGAGATGTCTCATTGTTTTTTAGTTTTCTTTTTCATGAAGACAGAACTCTGAACAGTTTTTCATGAGTTTATTAGCTATTAATATCTCCATTTGTGAAGGTTCTTTGTATTCTCATTGAGTTATAAGAATTGTTTATATCTTCTGGATAAAGTACTTTGTAAAATATATATTTTCAAAACATTTTCTCCCATTCTGTGGTTTGTCTCTTTGTTTTCTCAACTGTGTCTTTCAGAGAGCAAAAAAATTGTTTCTTTAAGTTTTGATAAAGTTAATTGTGTCAGTTTATTTCTTTCATGGTTTGTGATTCTTGTGTTATATTTAAGAAATCTTTCCTGTAAAAGTTTGCAAAAATTTTCTCTTATGATTTTTATAGAAGGTTTATAGTTTTAGCTTATATGTTTACATTTATGTTCCATTTCAATTTAATTTTTGTGTATGGTGTAATGTAAGAGTTAAGGTTAATTTTTTATAGGAATATTTGGTAGTTCCAGTACTATTTATTGAAAAGATTAACCTTTTCTAATTGAATTATCTTGGATCCATTGTCTAAAATAAATTGGCCACATAAGTGTGGGTCTATTTCTGTACTGGTGATTGTGTTCTGTTTGTCTACATGGCCGTGCTTACACCAACAACACTGTCTCAATTACTGTAGTTTACAGCAAATCTGTAAACCAAGTAGTCTAATTAAACTTGTTCATTTAAAAAAAATTGTTGTTTCTTCTAGGTTGTTTGCTTTTCCATATACATTAATAGCTTATTATTTTCTTCAAAAAAAGCATGCTGAGATTTTGTTGGATTGAATCTATAGATTGAATGGAGATCAATAGTGTCTATAGATCAACTGAATCTATAGATCAATTTTGAGAATCAAAATCTTAATAATATTGAGTTTCTCATAAATGTAGACTCAAAATATGAACATGCTATTCAATACTGTTTATGATTTTTAAAACTAGGAGAAAAGGGAATTTGAGAAAGGAGACCTATACAAAACATACAGTTACTATAGTCATCAATGGTAAAATGATTGAATACTGTGCTCTTAGATAAGGAATAGGCAAAGATGTCTGTTCTTTCTGTTTTAACACTGTACTGGAGATATAGCTAGTGCATTAGAAAAAAATATAAAAGACATACAGATCAGAAAGAAGGAACTAAAACTGTCTTTATTGGCATAATGCATGATTGTGTACATAGAAAATCCTGAATCTATATGAAAGTCATCATAAATAATAATTTAGTAAGTTCTCAAGATATAAAGTCAATTTACAAATAATAATTGTATTTCTATATATTGGCAATGGATAACCTGGAAGAAATTTTTTTAAAGTACTTGATTTATCATAAATAAAAAAACAAAATACATGGTAATAAATTTAAGAAAAGATGTATAAAATGCATATGCTTAAAACTACAAAACATTGCTGGTGGATATTAAAAAAATAACTTTCTTATAGAATTTCCAGTACTATTTATAGTATTTTTGTTCCTAGGGTAAACTTTCTCTTTCTGGGGACAATTTTAGTTCACTCATAGGCTCTCTGTTCTCTCATTATCTCTTCCATGCTGTTTTCTTTCCCCCAGATTCACTTTGTTCTCCACATAGCCTGGAGATCTGGGAGCTTGAGAAACATCTCTGCTTGAAATTGGTATTGTTGTTGTCATTATTATTGTTTTCTATTTACAGATAACTTGGTTTGAAGTTGTTGACAAAATGAGTCAAATTCTGTAAAATATATGAAGAGACTTATTCTGAGCCAAACCTGAGGACCATTGCCAACGACACAGCCCCAGGAAGTCTTGAGAACATGTGCCCAAGGTGGTCGAGCTACAGCTTGGTTTTATATATTTTAGGGAGGCACACGATATCAATCAATACATGTAAGATGTACACTGGCTGGTCCAGAAAGGCAGGACAACTTGAAGCAAGGGGTAGGGGTGTTCTAGGTCATAGGTAGATTCAAAGATTTTCTGATTGTCAATTGGTTGAAAGAGTTAAGTTATTATGTAAGACCTGAAATTAATAGAAAGGAGTGTCTGCTTAAGATAAGCGATTGTAAAGAGCAAGATTTTTATCATGAAGATGAAGCCTCCAGGTAGCAGGCTTCAAAGAGAATAGATTGTAAATGTTTCTTATTAGGCTTAAAAAGGTGCCAGACTCTTAGTTAATCTCTCCTAAATCAGGGAAAAGACCTGGAAAGGGAAAGGGATTCTCTACAGAATGTAGATTTTTCCCACAAGAGACAGTTTTGCAGGGCCTTTTCAAAATATCTCAAAGAATAGGAGTGGTGTGAGAAGGCATCCCTGTCTTGTGCCAGTTTTCAAAGGGAATGCTTCCAGTTTTTGCTCATTCAGTATGATATTGGCTGTGGGTTTGTCATAGATAGCTCTTATTATTTTGAGATACTTCCCATCAATACCTAATTTATTGAGAGTTTTTAGCATGAAGGGTTGTTGAATTTTGTCAAAGGCCTTTTCTGCATCTATTGAGATAATCATGTGGTTTTTGTCTTTGGTTCTGTTTATATGCTGGATTACATTTATTGATTTGCATATATTGAACCAGCCTTGCATCCCAGGGATGAAGCCCACTTGATCATAGTGGACAAGCTTTTTGATGTGCTGCTGGATTCAGTTTACCAGTATTTTATTGAGGATTTCTGCATCAATGTTCATCAAGGATATTGGTCTAAAATTCTCTTTTTTGGTTGTGTCTCTGCCCGGCTTTGGTATCAGAATGATGCTGGCCTCATAAAATGAGTTAGGGAGGATTCTCTCTTTTTCTATTGATTGGAATAGTTTCAGAAGGAATGGTACCAGTTCCTCCTTTTACCTCTGGTAGAATTCGGCTGTGAATCCATCTGGTCCTGGACTTTTTTTGGTTGGTAAGCTATTGATTATCGCCACAATTTCAGATCCTGTTATTGGTCTATTCAGAGATTCAACTTCTTCCTGGTTTAGTCTTGGGAGAGTGTATGTGTCGAGGAATTTATCCATTTCTTCTAGATTTTCTAGTTTATTTGCATAGAGGTGTTTGTAGTATTCTTTGATGGTAGTTTGTACTTCTGTGGGATCGGTGGTGATATCCCCTTTATCATTTTTTATTGCATCTATTTGATTCTTCTCTCTTTTTTTCTTTATTAGTCTTGCTAGCAGTCTATCAATTTTGTTGATCCTTTCAAAGAACCAGATCCTGGATTCACCAATTTTTTGAAGGGTTTTTTGTGTCTCTATTTCCTTCAGTTCTGCTCTGATTTTAGTTATTTCTTGCCTTCTGCTAGCTTTTGAATGTGTTTGCTCTTGCTTCTCTAGTTCTTTCAATTGTGACGTTAGGGTGTCAATTTTGGATCTTCCCTGCTTTCTCTTGTGGGCATTTAGTGCTATAAATTTCCCTCTACACACTGCTTTGAATGTGTCCCAGAGATTCTGGTATGTTGTGTCTTTGCTCTCATTGGTTTCAAAGAACATCTTTATTTCTGCCTCCATTTCGTTATGTACCCAGTAGTCATTCAGGAGCAGGTCGTTCAGTTTCCATGTAGTTGAGCTGTTTTGAGTGAGTTTCTTAATCCTGAGTTCTAGTTTGATTGCACTGTGGTCTGAGAGATAGTTTGTTATAATTTCTGTTCTTTTACATTTGCTGAGGAGAGCTTTACTTCCATTTACACTGTTGGTGGGACTGTAAACGAGTTCAACCATTGTGGAAGTCAGTGTGGCAACTCCTCAGGGATCTAGAACTAGAAATACCATTTGACCCAGCCATCCCATTACTGGGTATATACCCAGAGGACTATAAATCATGCTGCTATAAAGACATATGCACACGTATGTTTATTGCGGCACTATTCACAATAGCAAAGACTTGGAACCAACCCAAATGTACAACAATGATAGACTGGATTAAGAAAATGTAGCACATATACACCATGGAATACTATGCAGCCATAAAAAATGATGAGTTCATGTCCTTTGTAGGGACATGGATGAAATTGGAAATCATCATTCTCAGTAAACTATCGCAAGAACAAAAACCAAACACCGCATATTCTCACTCATAGGTGGGAATTGAACAATGAGAACACATGGACACAGGAAGGGGAACATCACACTCTGGGGACTGTTGTGGGGTGGGGGGAGGTGGGAGGGATAGCATTGGGAGATATACCTAATGCTAGATGACAAGTTAGTGGGTGCAGTGCACCAGCATGTCACATGTATACATGTGTAACTAACCTGCACATTGTGCACATGTACCCTAAAACTTAAAGTATAATTTAAAAAAATACATCAAAGAAATGTATTTTGAGGTAAAACATGTTGCTTTCCTTCAGGGCCTGCTATTTGCCATGTCATGTTATAATAGAGTCGGGTTGGAATTTGGTATTTTATTGCTGCAAAGAGTCTGTTTTGTCATTCTTAAGGTGTCAGTTTTAATGTTAATGCTGTTCAGTTGTGCCCGAATTGTAAAGGGAGGAGTGTATAATGAAGCACGTACAACCCCCCTTCCCATCACAGACTGAACTAGTTTTTCAGTTTAACTTTTGAATGCCCTTGGCAAAGAAGAGGGTTCCATTCAGTTGGTTAGGGGGGCTTAAAATATTAGTTTGGGTTTATATAGTACCCTGTCTTCTGGTTAATGTCAATGGCAAAGGATTTGTGTGAAATTATTTGTTCTTGGTTTGTATAGTTTGGAGATTGAGACTTACAGCCCTCCATGTGTTCACTAACATGGAAAATCTCCAAACTCCTTTGATTAGGACATTCATGAAGGATTAGGATATTCATTACATAGGCATGATTTGTTAAATCATTGGCCACTAATGATTAACTCAACCTCAAGCCCCTCTCCCATCCTTGGAGGTTTGGATGGGAGTGCTAAAAATTCCAACCCTCTAATCATGGTGTTGATTTCCTTCACAACCAGTGACCCCCACCCTTAGGGGCTTTCCACAAGTCACTTCGTTGACATAAATTCAAGTGTAGTTGAATGGGGCTTGTTATGACTAGCAAAAGGTTATTCTTTCACATTTTTAGAAGCATTTCAAGAGCTAGGAACAAAAACCAATTACATTATAATAAAAGGTGCTCCTATAGCTCTTATCACTAGCACTTACAAGAGTTTCAGGAGGTCTGGCCAGGAGCTGGGAAAGAAGACCAAAATGTGTATTCTTATTCTATCACAATATCTCAATAGATATTTGGAATTTTTGATATAAATATGAATTTATAATACCTAAGACTGCATTGCCTGTGGATCATAGCTTTGTGAGGTGATCTCTTAGTTGCCAAATCATATCATACTCAAGGCTACAATTATAACAGGTTTTTAAAGTTCTCCTACCAAACTTTTTCCAGCTGTCTAAACATCAAACAGCATATTCTGCAAATCAATGGCAGTCTGTTTTCTACAGCTTTAGCCAAAAGATCATTTTCTAGGCCCTTTTATATATTTTTAACAGAACAATCACCCTGCAAAAATTCTATTTCACTATATCTTGGCAAGCTAAATTAAAATATTGTTCACACTGAATGTAGTGGAACACATATATGTCTTTTATGAGGACACTAAGTTGATGCTCCTTTGTAGATTTACCAAAAGACAACCAAAGACACAACACAGCCTTGACATTGATTGCAAAAGATGCTATTTAATATATGTACTTTGGTTTCTGTTTCCAAATAATAATTTTCATAGGACAAGTTCTCTTAATAAAAGTGAGCTCTCAGTTCAAACAGTTCTATTTTTAAAGTTTTGTCTTTATTATTCACTTTCAGATAAAACAATCCAATTATGCTGTGTAATAGAGCAGTAAAACCATCTGTTAAAAGGTAGGTTCAAAAAATAAGGGAATGAGAACTTTCTTCCTTTTCTTTATTGGAAGATTCATTGTTATTGACTTCCCTACATATCTTCTTTCACAAGATCTTCAAAAATTGTGAACTAGGGTAGATGACAGTATTCTAAAGCAGACACTACATTAACTGGCAGAATAAGAAACCTGACCCCTCACTGTGGCTCTATAAGCAATATAACTATTTGTAAATTTTAATATGATCTGTGAAATTACGAAAAAGATTACATTCTAACTCTAAAACTTCACAATAATTCCAACAAAACTCATGCTTACTGAGAAGTAGTAGAAAAATATTGAAAAAAAAAGATAAGTTATTTCACATTTTGACCACATTACCAAAGTATCATTAAAAAAAAATTAGTACTCATATCACTTGGCACCAGCCACTTCATTTAAAATATAATTTTCTCACACAAGAAGCTATCCCCAAGTAATTGTGAATAGTTAATATAGATGTTTCTCTTTTATATATTTTTAAGCTATTTGTTCATTTTCTCCATCAGATACTTCTTTCATTCCCACACAGGAGATCTACAATTTTACACAGGCATATATGTATATTGTGAATTGGCCAAATTAACACTTGTGAGAAAATAAGAGGCCAAGAAAAATTAAGATTGCAATTTATGTTTTAGGAATTTTTATCTGATTAAAAATAGTGCATGATCATTGGAAAACATAGAAAATATAAACCAAAAACCAAAAACCCAAATTACCCCCTTCTAGAGATAACTTATTCTCTATTCCTGAAATCTTCTCTTGGGTAAGTTGCCTGACTCCTCCCTCACTTCTCCAAGAATCCAGAACTTGGGAAGAAGAAACTGAACTTGAGTGTCTCTGGCCTTTTCGTTGCTCCCCATTGAATCTTGCTGCCAATAAAGTGCATATGCTCTCTGTGCATTTACGTACGTGTGTATATATATATGGCAGGGAGATGACCTATACATAAACATATATGTGTGTGTGTGTAATATACGTGTGTGTAATACATACACACATAATATGATATGAACTGTAATATATACGAAGTTAGCCATCTCCCTGTAATGAGAGATTGAGTGGGGGAAATCTGTCAAATTTAGGAATAACTTTACTCCTTGCCCACAGTCCCTAGACACATTCTCAAATAGTTTCAACAGAAATAAAGCTGATATTTTGATGTCTATATGTTTGCATCTATCCTAAATGGAAGCATATATGCTTGTGTGTCTATCTCTAAATAGCTCCAAATTCAGATGAGTGGAAAGAAGGCTACTATTTGAAATACTCTGTAAGACCCAACTATTATTAACATATACGCATATATTTCTATAATTTTTATTCATTCATTACTCATTTAGGATCTTCTGCTGTGAATTAAACACAATATTCGGGCTTAACAGTTTTCATTAAGCTAACAATCCTATATAAAAGACAAAGCATTGAGCAAGTAATCACAAGGATTATGAGTTCTGTGATTTGGGAAACCTGGGCAGTGGGGCAAAGTAGATCAGGGAGAGCTAAACCAGATCCCTGACTGGGCATGCCCACTTGGAAAAGGGTTAAATCAAAATGTTAGATATGAGATGCTCCCAGTGCAGACTAGGGGCACATTGCTAGAATCACAATGAGTGGAGACCCAAGTTAACCCTGGGCAGTGAGCCCATGGAGGATGCTTCAAGACCATCACCAGAAACCATTCTGCCCTCCTACAGCTCTGGGCCTATAATGGAAGGGGCAACCTCAGTGATAAGTGAAATGCCTTCAGGGTCTTTCTTCCATGGTCTTGATATATAGCACCTGGCTTTTATCCATATTAATCTCTTTGGCAATTGTCACTTGGCCACATCCTTAGTGCTCTCTTCTGAAATTTTCTTTTTTTTTTTTAATTCTTTACATAACCAGGCTGTGAATTTTCCAAATCCTTTCACTCTGTTTCTTATTTTATTATACAATCTTTATTGAAGTCATCCCTCACGTCTCACTGTATATGGTTAAAAGCAGCCATGCAGCAGCCTGAATGCTTTGCTGCTTGGGTATGTCTTCCACCAGATATCCTAGTTCATCACTTTAAAGCTCTGCATTCTGCAAAGCCCTCAGGCTTTGGGTACAATTCACTCAAGGTCTTTACAACTGTAAAACAAGGATGGACTTTACCCCAGTGTCTAAAACATTGTTCTTCATTTCCCTCTGAAACCTCATCAAAATGGCCTTTACCTTTAATATTTCAATCAGCCTTTTGGTCACCACCCCTTATGTAATCTCTAAAAAGTTTCATGTTTCCCTACAGCTCTCCTCTTGTTTGGACCCCTTACCAGAGTTGCCTTTAATGCTACATTCACAGCAATCTAGGCTTTTTCTAGCCTGCTCCTCCAAATTCTTCCAGCCTCTACCCATTATCTAGTTCCAAAGCTGCTTCCACCTTTTCAGCACTTTGCTATAATGACAGCCTCACTTTTCAGTATGAATAGTATGTCTTTTTTTCTGCTGTTATAATAGAGTACCACACACTGAGTAACTTATAAAGAACAGAAATTTATTTGGCTCATGGGTCTGGATAATGGGAAGTCCAAGAGGATGGTGCCAGCGTCTGGTGAGGGATATCCCACTGTGGAAGGGTAAGCAAGCATGTGAGACAGAGAGAACAAAAGGCGGCTGGGCTTATCTTTTTATCAGGAGCCCACTCCTGTAATAACTAGCCCACTTCTGCAATGATGGCATTAATCCACTCATGAGGGTGAAACTCCCATGACCTAATCATCTGTTAAAGTCCCCAGTTTGCAATAATATTATATTGGCAATTAAATTTCAACATGAGTTTTGGAGAGAGCTTCCAAACCATAGCATTATCTATATTTTACAGTGCTGAAGCAGGAAAAGTATAAGTAACTATCCAAAGTTATGACAGGGCCAGGACTCAAATCTATCCAGTCTTTTCATTTAACCAAGTCATGGCAGCTATTTTTTTGCCTACCTGTGGTATTTACCACATGATTATATTACCTATTACTTACCCATTCTTTAATTAATGGTTTAATTTTTCATTATTTTATTATAAATAATACTGCAATAAACATCTTTATATATATCTCCTTATGCATATATAGGGCATATACATTTTTAATTGTATGAAATCAGATTGCTTTCTAAATTGATCAAAGCAAGTAAAAATCTTCATTACTCCGCACCATCAATACACACAGTTTCCAACATTCAAAGGGTCAACTTAGGATTTTTCTACTTTATGATCATGTGAAAGCCATATGCATTTAACAGAAACCATACTTTGAGTACCCACACAACCATTATTTTTTCTCTTTTCAGTACAGCATTCAATAAAGTACATGAGATATTCAAACTTTATTACAAAATATGTATTGTATTAGATGATTTTTGCCCAACTGTAGGCTAATGTAAGTTTTCTGAGCATGTTTCTGGTAGGCTAGGCTAAGCTACGATGTTCAGAAGGTTAGATGTACTAAATGCATTTGGGAATTGCAATATTTTCAACTTAACCATGGGTTTATTATACATCATAAGCTGAGGAGCATCTGTACTTGGTTGCTCAGATATCCTGAGCAAACAGAGCAAAGGCAAAAGTATCACACTATTTGATTAAAAAATATATTATAAGGCTATAGTAACCAAAAGAGGAAATGGTATTGGTATAAAAATAGACACATAGATCAATGGAACAGAATAGAGAACGTGGAAATACTCCCTGGTGTGGGAATGTAAATTAGTACAGCCATGATGGAAAACAATGTGGAGATTTCTCAAAAACAACTATAAATAGAATATCATTCAATCCTGCAATCTCACTACTGTGTATTTATCCGAAGGAAACAAAATCAGTATATCAGATACTTATAGTGAACTGATTTTTGACAAAGGGACTAGAACATACATTGAGGAAAGAACACCCTCTTCAATAAATGGTACTGGGAAAATTGGATATCCATATGTGGAAGAAAGAAACTGGACCCATATCCTTCATACACAAATATCAACTCAACATGAAATAAAGACTTAAATCTAAGATTTAAAACTATAAAATTACTAGAAAAAAATAGGGAAACAATTCAGAATATTTGTCTAGGCAGAGATTTTATGGCTAAGACCTCAACACAGGCAACAAAAACAAAAATAGACAAATGGGATTAGTAGAAGCTGAAAAGCTTCTGCACAGCAAAGGAAAAAAATGAACACAGTATAGAGACTCTGCTGAATGGGAGAAAATAATTGTAAACTATTCATCCAAAAAGGCACTAATATCCAGAATATACAAGGAATGAAACAACTCCACAGAAAAAAAAATAATAATCCCAGTAAAAAGTGGACAAAGAACACAAATAGAGATTTCTTAAAAGAAGACATAAACATGGCCAATGGCTACATGAAAAAAAATTCTCAACATCACTGATTATCAGGAAAATGCAAATCAAAACCACAATGAGATATCATCTTACCCTAGTTTGAATGGCTACTATTAAAAAGACAAAAAATAACTGACACTGGTGAGAATGTGGATAAAAGGGAACACTGTTGAAAGAAATCACAGATGACATAATCAAGTAGAAAAACGTTCCATGTTCATAGATTCAAAGAATCTATATTGTTAAAGTAGTGCTGGGATAACTGGCAAACCACATACAGAAGAATGAAATTAGACCCTTACTGCTCACAATATACAAAAAGTAACTCAAGATGGATTAAAGACTTAAATGTAAGACCTAAAACTATAAAAATCCTGGAAGACAACCCAGGGAATACATTTCTTGACATTGGCTGTATTAGTTCATTCTCATGCTGCTATAAGGACATACTCAAGACTGGGTAATTTATAAAGGAAAGAGGTTTGATTGATTCACAATTCTGCATGAGTGGGGAGGCCTCAGGAAACTTACAATCATGGTGGAAGGGGAAGCAAACATGTCCTTTTTCACATGGTGGCAGCAAGAAGAAATGCCAAGCAAAACAGGGAAAAGCCCCTTATAAAACCATCAGATCTTGTGAGGACTCACTCACTATCATGTGAACAGCATGGAAGTAAGTGCCCCCGTGATTCAATTACTTCCCACCACATCTCCTTCATTACACGTGGGGATTTTGGGAACTACAATTCAAGATGAGATTTGGGTGGGGACACAGCCAAACCATGTCATTCTGGTCCTGGACCCTCCCAAATCTCATGTCCTCACAATTCATAACACAATCATGCCCTTCCAACAGTCCCCTAAAGTCTTGACTCATTCCAGCATTAACTCAAAAGTCCAAGTCCAAAGTCTCATCTGAGACAAGGCAAGTCCCTTCCACCTATGAGCCTATAAAATGAAAAGCAAGTTGGTTACTTCCTAGATACAATGGGGTACAGGCATTGGGTAGATACACCATTTCACATGGGATAAATTAGTGAAAACAAAGGGGCTACAGGCCCCATGCAAGCACAAAATCCAATAGGGCAATTATTAAACATTAAATTACCAAAATGATCTCTTTTGGTTCCATGTCTCACATCCAGGTCACACTGATGCAAGATGTAGGCTCCCATGGCCTTGGCAAGCTCCACCCCTGTGGCTTCGCAGGGCACAGCCCCCTTACTGACTGCCTTCATGGGATGACTTTGAGTGTCTGCACCTTTTCCAGGTGCATGGTGCAAGCTGTCAGTGGATTTACCATTTTGAGGTCTAGAAGACAGTAGCCTCTTCTCACAGGCCTACTAGGCAGTGCCCCAGTGAGGACTCTCTCAGGGCTCCAACCCCACATTTCCCTTCTGCACTACCCTAGCAGGTTCTCCACAAGCGATCAGCCCCTGCAGCATACCTCTGCCTGGACATCCAGGCACTTCCATACATTCTTTGAAATCTAGGTGGAGGTTCCCAATCCTCAATTCTTGTCTTCTGTGCACCTGCAGGACCAACACTACATGGCAGCTACCAAGGATTGGGAATTGCAATGGCCCGAAATGTACATTGACCCCTTTTACCCACGGTTGGAGTGGCTGGGACACAGGGCACCAAGTCCCAAGGCTGAACACAGCAAGGGGGCCTGGACTTGGCCTAAGAAACCATTTTTCCCTCCTAGGCCTCTGGGCCTGTGATGGGAGGGCTGCCATGAAGGTCTCTGATGTGCCCTGGAGACATTTTTCTCATTGTTTTGGTGATTAAATTCTGCTCCTCGTTACTTATGAAAATTTCTGCTGCTGGCTTAAATTTCTTTTCAGAAAATGGATTTTTCTTTTCCACTTCATAATCAGCCTGCACATTTTTTAAACTTTTATGCTCTGCTTTCTCTTGAATGCTTTGCCACATAGAAATTTCTTCTGCCAGATGCCCTAAATCATCTCTCTCAAGTTGAGTGTTCCACAGATCTCTAGGAAAGGGGCAAAATGCCTCCAGACTCTTTGCTAAAGCATACAAGAGTTACCTTTGCTCCAGTTCCCAACAAGTTCCTCATCTCAATCTCAGATTACCTCAGCCTGGACATTATTGTCCATATCACTATCAGCATTTTGGTCAAAGCCATTCAACAAGTCTCTAGGAAGTTCCAAACTTTCCCACATTTCTTATCTTCTACTGAGCCCTCCAAACTGTTCCAACCTCTGCCAATTACTTAGTTCCAAAGTTGCTTCCACATTTTTGGCTATCCTTATAGCAGCACCCCATTCTGGATATTAATATACTCTACTAGTCCATTCTCACGCCGCTATACGAATATAGCCAAGACTGGGTAATTTATAAAGGAAACAGGTTTAATTGACTCACAGTTCTGCAGGGCTGGGGAGGCCTCAGAAAACTTACAATTATGGCAGAAAGGGAAGCAAACATTTCCTTCTTCACATGGTGGCAGCAAGAAGTGCCAAGCAAAAGGGGGAAAAGCCCCTTATAAAGCCATCAGATCTCATGAGAACTCACTATCACAAGAACAGCAGGGACACATGGGGATTATGAGAACTATAATTCAAAATGAGATTTGGGTGGGGGACACAGCCAAGCCATATTATTGGCCATGGCAAAGAATTTATAAACCTCAAAAGCAATTGCAACAAAAACAAAAATTGACAAGTGAGACTCTAGTTAAACTAAAGAGCTTCTGCACAGCAAAGGAAACTCTCAACGAAGTAAACAGACAACCTACAGAGTGGGAGAAAATATTTGCAAACTATGCATCCAACAAAGGTCTAATATCCACAATCTATAAGGAGCTTAAATCAAGAAAAAATAAACTCCATTAAAAAGTGAACATAGGACATGAGTAGATGCTTGTCAAGAGAAGACATACGAGCAGTCAACAAACATGGAAAAATGCTCAACACCACTAAACATCAGAGAAATGCAAATCAAACCACAGTGAGATATCATCTCACACCAATTAGAATGGCTATTACTAAAAAGTCTAAAAAGAACAGATGCTGACGAGGTTGTGGAGAAAAAGGAATGCTTATATACTGTTGGTGGGAGAGTAAATTAGTTCAGCCACTGTGGAAAACAGTTTGCAGATCTCTTAAAGAACTAAAAATAGAACTACCATTCAAACCAGCAATCCCATTACTTGGTATATATCCAAAGGAAAATAAATCATTCTACCAAGAAGACACTTGCATTCATATATTCATTGCAGCACTATTCACAATAATAAAGACATGAAATCAACCCAGGCGTTCATCAACAGTGGTTTGGATTTAAAAAATATGATACATATACACCATGTAATACTATGCAGTTATAAAAAAGAACAGCATCATGTACTTTGCAGCAACATGGATACGGCTGGAGGCCATTATCCTAAGCAAATAAATGCAGAAACAGAAAACTAAATACCATATGTTCTCACTTATAAGAGGGAGCTAATCATTGGAAACGCATAGATATAAAGATGGGCACAATAGACACTAAGGAATACAAGAAGGGGAAGGGAGGAAGGGATTAAGGGTTGAAAAATTACGTATTGGGTAGTTCGCTCACTACCTGGGTAATGGGTTCAACTGTACCCAAACCTCAGCATCACACAATATACCTTTGTAACAAACCAGCACATGTACCCCCTGAATATAAAATAAGTTAAAAATTTTTTAAAAGTAGCCATTCTTAATATTAGCAATAGCACCTAGAAATTAAAATGAATATATATATATATATTTTACAGCAGTGACTAAAATGTAGCATATATAAAAATAAATTTAACAGGCAAAAGATGGAATATAAAATGATGACATAAAAAATAAAACCCTACTGAAAGATTTTAAAATTTCTTTAAAATTGAACAACATGCCTGATTTTTGGAAGATAAATTTTAATACTTTATAGGTCATCTCCCCAAATTAACATATCAATTTAATATAATATCATTTAAAATATGTATAGACAAACAGTTCGTTTGGTAAAAATATTTGCAAAGCAGTGACAGGATTTGTTTTGGAATATGATTTTTAAAAGTTCAGAGGGAAGAAAATGTGCCCAAGAAAAGCTAAGAACATTTGTGAAGAAAAACAGTAAGGAGATATGCTTTTTAGGATATCAGAAAAATAATCTATGGCAAATATAATCAAAGCAATTTGGTGTTGCCATAGAAATGGACAAATTGGTCAGTGAAACAGAATCAAGGATACAAATATAGATCCCATTATATATGAGATTTTAAAATATGACAAAAGTGTGTTTTCAATTCGAAGGGGAAGAATAAAATATTTAGTAAGCTGTTTGGAAGAAGTGAAAGTTGGCTCACTATTTATGGCATGTGTTTTAAAACTCCACTTGAATTAAAAACCCATGCTAAAATTTTTAAAAATAAAAATCCTTCAGTAAAATCTAGAAGACTACATGTCTAATGCAGCAATAAGAAAAAATCATATTAATCAACACTGGAATCCAAAATGTATACAATAATAAATATATTGTCTATACAAATATTTTAAATGTGCATGATAAAGTTATGAACAAAGGCAGCCGACAATATGGAAAACACCTACTATGATAAGCATTAATAATTACAATATTCAAAGAATGTATAAATTGAGAAAAAGACTAATATCTCAGTAAAATGAGCAAGAATATTAATAAATGATTTACACAAGAAGTCCAAACATCTGAAGAAGATAAAAATATATTTAATTTCACAAGTAGTTAAGAAATTCAAATTAATTTAACAACTAATAACATAAACAGTTACAACACCTATTGCTGTAAGGACATGAGTAAAGAACAGTGTCATAGTCTTCTGGTAAAAATGTAATTATTTGTAGTACTTAGAAAGCAATAAGGCAACATACATTAAAATTGAAAAATAGCTTTGCTCTTTAAACCTGGAGATAAAGTAGTTTTTAAATAACTACTTTTATTGTAGCCTTGTTTTGTGACAAAACCCAACAAGATAGAAACCTCTGGAAACAAAGTGAATGTTTATCAAGAAGGGAATGGTTGAATTTGTTTCTTATTATCCATATCACGGTATATTATATACAGCCATTTAGAATTGAATTTTATCCATAACAATCAACATGGAGGGCTTTCCACAAGGTCATCATGAGTTAGAAAACAAGATGCATATATTTTTTAAATGATGACAAAAAGATTGATTTGAGAGTGTATATATGTGAATGGGTATAAGAGTAGAGAAAAATCTAACATAATAGAACCCAATTAAGATTGGTTACCTGTAATATGGAAGCAGAAGAGAAGAGGTGGGCAGAGGCAACTAAGAAAGGAAATTGGCCGGGCGCGGTGGCTCACGCCTGTAATCCCAGCACTTTGGGAGGCCGAGGTGGGTGGATCACGAGGTCGGGAGATGGAGACCATCTGGCTAACACAGTGAAACGCCGTCCCTACTAAAAATACAAAAAAATTAGCCAGGCGTGGTGGCGGGCGCCTGTAGTCCCAGCTACTCAGGAGGCTGAGGCAGGAGAATAGCGTGAACCCAGGAGGTGGAGCTTGCAGTGAGCCGAGATCGCGCCACTGCATTCCAGCCTGGGCGACAGAGCGAGACTCCGTCTCAAAAAACAAAAAAAAACAAAAAACCCAGGCGCCAGTCCCAGCTACTCGGGAGGCTGACGCAGGAGAATGGCGCGAACCCGGGAGGCGGAGCTTGCAGTGAGCCGAGATTGCGCCACTGCACTCTAGCCTGGGCGACAGAGACTCCATCTCAAAAAAAAAAAAAAAAAAAAAGAAAGGAAATTTAAAAATCAAGAATTAAAAAACAACATTATGATATAATTTAGTTTAGGCACTTATGCAAAATTATATCTCTATATATGTATATATTTTCAAAATATATTTTAAACATGAAAAATCATGCCAGTGAAAACAGTGGAATGGCTAATGTAACTTTAATAAAAAGTAAACGTTGTGCTACTTTTTATTTTCGTTTTTCCTAGTACTCAGATCCAGATTATTCTTTGAAATCAACATATACAGATACTATGCAACCTGAATGTATATTAAAATGGTGCAATGATAGCTTTTTCAAATTTTTTTCCATATTACAGGAAAAAAAATATACTGATTGGTATTTTAGCTAAGGTAGGATCAACAGAAAGGAATTAAAAAACAGGAATGATAAGGTTGAAGTTTCGGCAACTTGTCTGGACCTGTAAAAAGATGCAGGATAATCTAATAGGGAAATGGAAGTAAAATTTTCACAGAACAAATATTTTCTGAGTATCTACTATGCACTAGACTCTGTTCTAGGCACTAAGGCCAGCAATAAATATGAAAGCATACTGTACATCTCTCATGGAGCTTATATTTCATTTTGGGGAATAAAATCATTAATAAGTGAACACATAAATGAGAAAGTCTCAACTAGCAAGTGGGCTTTGACACAAATCAGACAATACTGTGAGGACTAGTAGTGTGGAGAAGCATTCCAGACCCGAGATGAAATGACTTAAAGAACCCCTTCCCTGCAGCTCTGAGACTCACGATTCCCAGGCAGGGAGAGCATCACGTGCAAAAGTTGTAATTGAGAATGAGCTTGGCATGTTCAAGACTCGAGGGTGTCAAAGGAGGAAAAAAGATGAGAGCTGAGGATAGAGACAGTGAGAAACTGTAAGGCTTTGGATACTGTAGAATCTTCAAGCGGGCACTAATTCTGTAGGTAAACATGAATTAGAAAAAGTTACTAAAACCTAGATAATCAAAATATCAAAAGCAAGCTCAGGATATTGGTCAAGCTCATGCTGGTCTTTGATACTTCTGTGTTAAGGGAAGCATAGGGCCACTAGTTTTGAAAGAAGCATATATCACAGAAATTACTTAATGTAGTTTTTCCAGCTGAAAAAAGAGCAGGAACAAAGGAAACTCCCTCAAACAGGGAAGATTTTAGCCAAAGGCTTTGAAGCCTTAAGTAACACTGATATAAATGATATAAACGGCTACCCAAGGACAAAAACAAACAAAACAGTTTGCACACCTGTGGAGGATGAGGAATTCCAGACAGAAGAGGAGATCATGAGTAAGTAGAAAGGGAAACACAAGACTACGAACTCTGCTGAGAGAGTTGTCTATTATAAATGAGATACAGCATCCTTACAAAGACTGGAAGATGTGATCCTAGAAAGACCCCACATTCAGTTTATTATCAGTGTGCCAAGAATGCAAGGACAGAAAGTAAAATGAGAAGGAAAATTTAGAGACTTTAAATGAGGTCCTTTTTTTTTTTTTTTTTTCAAACAAGATCTTGCTCTGTTGCCGAAGCTGGAGTGCAGTGGCATAATCATGGCTCACTGCAACCTCAACCTCCAGGGGTCAAGCAATCCTCCCACCTTAACCTTAACTTCCCGAGTTGCTAGAACTACAGGTATGTACCACTATGACCAGCTAGTTTTTTGTTTTTTTTTTTAATTTGTAGGCACAGGATCTCACTATGTTGCCTAGGCTGATCTCAAACTGAGCTCAAGCGATCCTCCTGCCTCTGCCTCCCAAAGTGCTGGAATTACAGGCATGAGTTACCACACCTGGCCTAAATGAGGTACTTTAAAGATTTTAAATGAGACTCCATACTTTAAGGAAAAGTAGGGAATTTGAGAGAAATCCTGAACGCTGCAAGTATCACCTCTTTAAATGTTTACATTTAGCAAGGAGACAGGGTGTTTGAGATGTCACTCTTGGTAAGATAAAGCAGTTTTTATAAGTCGCAAACTCTCCCAAGATATGAGAATCATAAGGTCATGTGCAAGCACTTAATCGAAATTTGTCCTTATTTCCTTGCATGTTTGCAGCTGGTAAATTCTAATATATACATCTATTTGATTTAACTCACATTCTGGTGAGGCTAAATTAAAGAAATGTTTATCCTCTCATTATAATTTTTCTAAATACCTCCTGTCCAAGACAACACTTAAGATTCTTAAGATTAGTCTGTCTATGGCTGCAAAATGGCATTGTGGATTGGGACAAATTTTTTTCATTATGGGAAATCATGAAAATAATTTTGACTCAGAATCTCATATATATACTATATATTTAAATGTATATATACATTATATATACTATATATTTAAATGTATATATACATTATATATACTATATATTTAAATGTATATATACATTATATATATACACACACACACACACCACCCGAACCCAACTCCAGCCCACTAATCTGTGGTGAGACATTTGAAAGTTTCACAAATAACTCTGATGCTTCTTACTTCCACTTAGAAAAATCTTCATGAGGACTGTAATATTTATCTCTTCCTAGGTATATAGCTTTCATGTGGAAAGGATCAGTATATACAGAAATTGGTACTTTGATTATAAGCTGTTGTTGCTACATACTTGGGAGTCCTGCAGTGTAGAATTTAAGCATGTAGACTGGGAGACTACATGAGTTCATTATCCTGGTTCCTCAACCTAGTAAACATGTTTACTTTGGCAAATTATTTCTGAGCCTCAGTTTCTTTATCCACCGAAAAGGGATTGTAAGCATACTCAATTTCTAAAATCATGAAGATTAAATGAGATAATGCGTATGGTTGCAGCTCACTTAAGTTTAGATATTTTGATCTCGTTTGGCTTTGGGAAAGATTTATTGATGCTTTCTAAATTTTGTGGGAATGCAACCAGAACTGTAATATTCTGTTTGGTAAACCCTCCAGAGTTCTGAAAATATGGATCAACTGAGACTTGTTTGAAGGACTAGAAAAAGGCACATCAGTTCTAATGGCAGGTGCTTTATTCTGCAACTGCCACATGGAACCCAGACTCCATGCAGACACCTAAATGAGACTCTTACAATAGCCCAAGAAGAAAAAAAGTAAGAAATATACTTTCATAACATTTGAAAACTTTAAATTTTAAATGGAAATACAGCTGAAAGAGAACCAATTTTTTGGCATTTCAGGAGTTATTTTATTTGTTTTTTCTTTCCTTTTTCTAATTACTGGTGTGGTGTGATTTGGATTGTGCAATTATTCTGATGGTCATTATACAGCCTAGCTGGTATGCTTAGCTGTAACAGAATCAAGCCTAGTTTGACATGGAAACCAGAACAGGACATGTCTTGTCAGTCATGTGTGGCATTAAGTTTAATATTTATGCTGTCCTGACTCACTTTGACTTTTTTAGGGGGGGCTAAACTATGGAAAGATACCAAGGAGGCATTCATACTATGCTTGAGGCTCTGGCCCTCTCTTTTCCTGGTCTCTGGTGAATACTATAGAAACTATACTGCGAAATGCCTACCTGCAGATGCAGGATAGACTCCTCTGCTTTTAGGTCATTTCCTCCCCTGCCACAGGCAGAAATCCCTTTAGATTTTTCAGAGATGGGTGCCTTAAAAACATTCTTGTGCGTCTTCTATGTACTAGACACTGTATCCAGCATAATAGATCATTCTATTAATTTCTTCTATTAGGCCATTTTATAGATGAGGTGTTGATGTCACAGAATTTCAGGGCCTTGCCTAAGGGCAGAAGCTCTCAAATGGCAAAGCAAGGACATCTGAGCTTTCTCACTCTGTATCCTCTGCCTTCTACCATAGAAACAGAGAAATCTAGAGGGGTAAAATAATTTTAGAAATCAAATTATAATTCATCCTTTTACGTTTGAGGAATCTTAGACATAGAGAAGTTAAATGATTTGCCTGAGGCACAGAGCCAGTTAGAAGTCTGACTGGGAAGAAACCTAATTTCTTTACTTTTAGAAGTCTTGTATTTGAAAACTCCGCAAAGCAAGGACACAAGACCCATTCTAAACAGCTGTCTGCTATAGGGACCATTGCATCTTTTTGTATGGGCAGTATATTTCCATTTCCTTCTAGTTTAATGGAGTGAAGGTCTCCCTGGACCCTTAATGTTCAGTTTCAAGGCAATTGGAAAATTCATTTAAGAACCAACTTATCCAAAAAGCTGGAACTTAAAATCAAAGGGAAACAGAGAGGAAAAGAAAATCAGCTGTTAACATCAGGTTAATGGTAAGCATAAAATTCATATGTTTAAGAGAACAATTTGTTAAGATTATTAAAATACTATATAAATATTGATATAGTTTGGCCGTGTCCCCATCCAAATCTCATCTTGAATTGTAGTTCTTGTAATCCCCATGTGTCCTTGGGAGGGACTTGGTGGGAGGTAATTGAATCATGAGGACAGCTACCACCATGTTATTCTCATGATAGTGAGTGAGTTCTCATGAGATCTGATGGTTTTATAGGGGGCTTTTCCCCCTTTGGCTTGGCGTTTCTCCTTCGTGCCATCACGTGAAAGAGAACGTGTTTGCTTCCCCTTCTGCCATGATTGTAAGTCTCCTGAGGCCTCCTCAGCCCTGCAGAACTTTGAGTCAATTAAATCTTTTTCCTTTATAAATTACCCAGTCTCAGGCAGTCCTTTATAGCAGCATGAGAATAGACTAATCCAGATGTGTTTTAGGAATGTGAGATTATATTTATTCCATTTTCTTTGAATGTGCTTGACAGTTTTGAAGTCTTTAGCTAAAACCAATGTCCTTTTTTCCATAATAAGGAGGGCAGTATTTTACAAAATTATTATTTTTAAGTATCTGAAGCTTCAAGGCATGAAGTTGTCCTTATTTTGTGTTCCATGTTACAGCTGGAAATCCATTTTAATGCAATACAGTGAAAAGGTTTATAAATATTTATCACAGAGGCATTTGCATGGAATTCTCATAAAAAATCACACTCACTCACACACATGCACACACACACACACAGAGCCGAAGAACAACTACAATAAATAAACTGATATTTCTGGAAGAAATCATTCATTGGTTTATAGTGAATTCATATTTATTCAACCTATAGTCTTTGACATCTGTAAAAGAGAGTATTGGTGAGCAGTATGATTTATAGGAACTATGGGATAAAATAATCATACAAATAAAACAATGAATTTCTAATATATAATTTTAGATACTTTGTAATGTGTTCACAAAATGCACCAAGAATAAAACTGCCAGATGAAACAGACAAACAGATAGATGAAGCAAAAATAAGCTTAAGCCTCAAATGCTCTGAAGTTTTCTATAGACATGAAGAAATCATGGCTAGTAGAAAGATCTTATTGGGGTGTATGGATTTTGGAAAAACACATATTGAGAAAAAGAATAGGATAATGATATATGAGTAACATGTTATTTTCAAGCAATAAAGAAAGCACATTTTTTTATTATTACAATAGCCAGTCTGTAATGTTAATATGTGCCTTTAAATATAGTGCAGTAGGTACTGTTACTGCACTATATTGCATCACTGTTTTATTAAATGATCGATCTATAGAAGTTTTTAACAGATGAAAGACTCTAATTGAACTCTGCATACAATTGCCATTCTGTTGATGATAATGGCACTATTTTTGAGCACATTATAGCCATTTTGCAAATTCATCCATAACTTAGATTCATCATTATTATGATAATTTTACTCAATTTATTATGGTTTAATTAGAAATCCAGATGGAAACAAAAATATGTCCTTCACAGTTTACAAACCATTGATTTTTCCATCCTTCCTCTCATTAGTAGTTCCCACTTGAAAGTTATTTGGATGTGAATGGAATTAGAAATTTAGACATATGTTTAAAACAACTTTGAATATTTGGATTAAAAAAAGGAAACCAGCATCTTTGTATAATTCATGTTATCATTAAGATTTTTTAAAAAGAAATAAATATTTCAAATATCTACACTATAGCTGAGGGGAAATGGGAGATGAACAAATGTATTTTTGGTTTTTAGTTAGTAGTTCTGTCTTTAACTAGAACGACAGCTTGAAGAAGATCATTTTCCTCTCCTCCAGACCCTAAATTTGACCTAGGGCGGCACTGTTGGAAAATGCCTGATGGTTTGACAGAAGAACTAAAATGGTATTGTCTGGAAACCCTATCTCACTCCCAGAAGGGGATAAAACCTCTCCAAACGCCTTCAATAAGGACTCTGGTGTCCTGTACGCAGCTCAGAAACCTGATTTCAGCTTTTCTAGCAAGTGGAAATGCACAAGATGAAGCCTCAGATACACAAAGATCATTGCTTAGAAGCATCACGGATAAAAACAGTTTAGAAACTCGCTAGCTTCAGACCCGCTAAGGAAATTCAACAAAGTTACAACACAATACAGCCCCGGAGAGGGCTTGGGGGGAACTTTAAGGTGAAGAAAGCGCCCCACATCCCTTGACCAGGTCCCTGCTCTGCAAGCCTGGGGCCACAGCCATCTGTGGTGCAGACATCCAGGGCAGAGAAGCCCCCCAGTGTTGGGCCAGTGACCAAGCGGGTGCCTGTGTAATTAGGAAGGGATTTGAAAAATCCAAGGTGTCGGTCCACAATCGCTAATATGTGTCATCAAGGCAAGCGTTGGGCATTAGAGAGGGGTCGCGCCCCCAAGCGGGGGCCCCCAGACAAACTGGCCCATGCTGTTACCTCTCCCGGCGAGCCCTGTCGGCGGCAGGAACCAGAATCCACCAAGCCCGTCTGCAGCAACAGGTTCTGTCCCTGCTCCGGCTCCAGCTACTTTTCGCAGTCTGCCGGCTCAATCCCAGCCGACGTCTGTCCCCCGCGGACTGCCTGCTCCACTCCAGGCTTCCGCTCCAGGCTGGCCCGCCGCGCTGCTGGACGCTGAGTGCTCTGCGCTCCCTCCCCGCCTCCTTGTCCGGTGCAGATGAGACGTCACTTTCCAGGAGGCACCAGCTGGCCGCTGGGGTTCCGAAGAAGCTATTCATATCCCGCTAAGGGGCACCCAGGTACATTCTTGTGAAACTCAGAATCCGAGCGCGGCAAAGAAAAGGAAGCATCAGTATCACCATTACTTGGCTCCAGATCCTGGGCAAGTGATTTAGCCTCTCTGTGCCTCAGTTTCCTCGTTTGTAAAATAGAGATGATGATGATATTAATCAGTAAGTAATCTGAGAATTATTTGTCTACATGCAAAAGTGCCTGGAATGGTCCTGGTACACATTAATCATTACATTAAATGTGAGCTATCATCATCTTTAAGGTTCTAATGGGACTGAGAGATTCATCGCATATTGCAAACCCTCTCTCTGTCTGAAGCAGACCGTATTTTTTGAGCCTTTGCAAAGATCTTTTAGCTTGCAAGCAAACCCCTCTGAAATTCTGGAAATATATTCACAGCATAATCAGAAATGGAAGGGGAAGAACCCTGGGGAGACTCACAATGATCCTAACAACACTATCTGCCCAGTTGGGTCTTGCTAATAGAGAGATGATGACTAGACTTTAATGGATTAACTTAGAGATTTATACAATTACTAAGAAAGGGATAATTAAAGGTGCTTTAAGCATGAGAAACCTGTGAGGAGCCTTTTAGACCTAATCCTCACGATAGCACTCTAGGTTTGTGAAGAGTTGATATATAATTATTTCCAATTCACACAGAGGCACCAAGGTTTAGTGACTTGTCTAAGATTACAGAGGTGGTATTTAAATGAAAGAAAAGCTCCAGAAGCCAAATTCATTTCTTTATCTGCTACATTTCTCTGCCTATATCACTGGTACACGTGGAATACAGAAAAAAAGCCTATGGTGAGACAGACCTTTTAAAGTAGGATTCCTTGGTCTTGGATTAAAGTTGCAGATTTTGACAAGTGTGTGTGTGTGGTGTGTGTGTTTAATGACTAAATTGAGGCGTATTTCTCCCAAGACTTTACCAAGTTCAAGGTAAGGATACTGGTCCCACTTCTCTAAAGTTTATCAGGATACTCAAGGCACAGAAAGTCATAGAAAAGAAAAAGACGTTAAAGAGATAACACAGGAGTCATAGGATAGAATAATAAGTTAGTTGGGTAAAATAAAACTAAGAAGAGAAAAGCATTTTGTATTCAACCTGAAATTCTCAAATCAAAGTGCAAAAATAATTGTGATTCATTGCTCTACACAGTACCTCATACCACTGGAAAAATAAGTCATTAAAAAGAATGAAAGCAATAGCAACGCTTTTGATGAGACAGTGAGGTAATGTCCAGCTTGCTAGGATTCTATTACAAATTAAAAGAAATATGAAACTTATGTAACAATCATTTAAACTATGATTCCATTTCTGTATCATGAAACAACACACTGCAAGAACTATTCTCCTGCTCCCCACCCCTACCATTCCACCACCACTAAAAACAGTAGACTATATCCATAAGCAGGAGAAAATTATATAAAACTAGGGAAGGACCTGATATGCACCTTTCCCTGAGTACTTCTCCTGTAAACACCTACACACCCTGCTTTAACTTCCATGCATTCATTCATCATTCTTTGCTATAACTGGTTTTAATAGAGGAGCTTGTCTTTCTTTCTCCTAGCTAAAGCCCATGTCTACCATGGTGAGCTTTTCTTCCCACCCTCTCCCGTACTTTCAGGATTCTCACACTCTCTTATATATTTCTTCTCTCCTTGTGAAATGAATTATTCCTGGCTTTTATATATGTCAAGATCTTCCATTTAAAACAAAACAAAATAAAAATCCCACTGTTTTCCTGCAAGGTCTAAGTGTAATACCTACATCGTTCCTTCTCAGGAACAACTGCACTGTTCTGCTGCCCAATCTGTCATTTGCACTTCCTCACTTCCCATCCACTTAGCAACCCACTCCAGTTAGACCTTCTCACCAGACAATCTTGCAAAAATCATCAGTACTTCCATGTTGAGAAATACAATGAAATACAATGGATATTTTTCAGACTGCATCTTATTTGGCCTTAGAACAGCTTGATTTCTATCTGCAACAGTTCCTCCTCTTGGCATATATTTCATCATAATCCCCTATTTTTTGTTTCTTTACCCTGCATCTCTGGCTACTCATTTTTTGTATCCTTTACAGGCTGTTTTTAAATTTTTATTTTCCTACACTGCCATTTAACATAGATATTTCTTTGTTTTTTGTTTGTTTTTTGTTTGTTTGTTTGTTTTGAGATGGAGTCTCGCTCTGTTGCTCAGGCTGGAGTGCAGTGGCACGATCTTGGCTCACTGCAACCTCCGCCTCCCAGGTTCAAGTGATTCTCCTGCCTCAGCCTCCCTAGTAGCTGAGATTACAGGCATGTGCCACCACACCCAGCTAATTTTTTGTATTTTTAGTAGAGACAGGGTTTCACCATGTTATCCACGATGGTCTTGATCTCCTGACCTCGTGATCCCTTGGCCTCCCAAAGTGCTGAGATTACAGGCATGAGCCACCATACCCAGCTTTTTTTTTTTTTTTTTTTGTGAGACAGAGTCTCTTATCACCAAGGCTGGAGTGCAGTGGCTTGACCTCGGGTCACTACAACCTCTGCCTCCCAGGTTCAAGCAATTCTCTTGCCTCAGCCTCCCAACTAGTCAGAACTAGAGGCACACACCACCACACATGGATAATTTTTGTATTTTAGTAGAGCTGGGGTTTCACCACGCTGCCCAGGCTTGTCTCAAACTCCTGAGCTCAGGCAATCCACCCCCCTTGGACTCCCAAAGTGCTAGGATTATAGGCATGAACCATGTCACCCGGCCTAACATAGGTATTTCTTTAAGGCTCAGTGCTAGATTCACTTCTCTTCTTATGCTAGACTGATTTCTATGCATTCTTATCCACACCAGTGGCCTTAATTAGCATGCATATGACGGCAATCCCTACATTTACATCTCCAGTCGAGATTTCTGTTATAAGTACCAGACTCTTACTTGACAGTGTTAATGGCTGTCTCAACATTTCCTCAAACTCAGCATATCTAAAACTAGAATCATGGTCTTCTTCCCAAAACATACACTAGCTCAGTTGATGACATTGCCATACATCCTTCTCACTGCTAGCTTAAATATGGTGGCACTCAGGCTACCACCTTGAACCATGGGGTGTATACCACATGCTGAGGGTGGCAGAGAAACAGGATGAAAGGAATCTGAGTTTTTGACAGCCCTAGAAAGCTTCGTCTCCAGTTTGGACTAGCCTACCTCTGCATTCCTTTTCCATGAGAGAGGAATAAAAGTCCATCTGACAAAAAAGATATATGTTATTAAGTATCTTTTTATATAAATTCTTCACAGAAGTGGAAAATCAGTGTAGCTTGACATAAACAGGAGGTAGATAATAATATAGATTAAATAAAATGTTATTAATTTTTACAAAGTTTGTCTATAGAGCATTTTAAATTATCTTATATTCCATTAATAGTATGTGCCACCTTGTACCCCACCTTGGGGAATATTACATTAAGGAATATGAGGATAAACTGTTATGTTGCCTTGCAAAAGAGCAGAATATTGCAAACTACATGGAAGCTTTGGGAAGACAGTTCAAGAAAGCACAACAGGGAGAAGAAAGCAAACCTGGACCCAAGAAAGGAACAGAAATTAACCAAGTGACTAGTGGGAGGGCAATAGAAAAGAAGGGCAGAGAAGACTATAACCTTAATTGTGGTCATTTCTGATCCAGTTTTTCTGTTGTTTTAAACTCAGTGTTGCTGTTGGTTTTATTTTTTTCTTGACGGGCAAAAAGCAGATTAATTTTAAAAATTGCATCAAAGATAAAAAAGACTTAATGTTAAGAATAGCCAAAAGGCAAAAGACATAGATAAATCATACATTCTCAATTAGTAGAATTACAAAGAGTAAAGAAGTAGACATTGCTAATAATCAGGAAAATGCAGATTAAAGTGACATTCAAGTACCTTTTTCCCATTTAAATTAACAATAACACATGCTTGTCAGATGGTTATAAAAGTAGCATAATCCCTTTAAAAACAACACCTTTGGAAAACAGTTTAATAGTGTTGATGAAAAATCAATAAAGATATTTATAGATTTTTGATTTAGAAAACTCATTTTTGGAAATATACCAATTGGAAACAATTAAACATAAAAGCTACAAGCAGAAAATTATGTATTAGCTTTAACTAAATAGTGGGAAACCAGGAGCACCCTGGTATGCTAACTCAATGAAATTCATGTGGCCATAAAAAGTTTCAATTATAGTGACAATAATAACAAAGAAAAAGGAATGTAGAATAATATTAAGTGAAAATAAAGCAAACACGATATTTTAGGTAAATCAGGATTATCTATGCAAAACTATACATTTTTATGGATAATGCTGAAATGAGCATCTGAATAATAGCAATTCATTTATTCTGGAGTCATGATCTTGGATAAATACATTTTTTCAAAATTTTTATCTATAATAGGGTTTGTATAATTAAAAAATATTAGGTTATTTAAATTGAAAAGGATGCCAGAATGGAAAATGGGAGCCCTAGAATCTGGCCCAGTCTTTTCATTTGGGATCCTTATTTACATAGGCGTCCGTTTTTTCAAATAATATGCTATGAAAAGATTCAACTAGTATTTTTCAAGCTGTAAGAGCCTATGATTCTAACTCTCAATCTAGAAAACTGTCTTTCTCCTTTTCTACATTAGCTGTTTTCTAGTCTTTCTGAAAGTTGGCTTTGGTCACTCAATAATATTCATTGACTCTCCACCATTGAGTAAAGTCGTGCTAGTTTTTTGATGCGGAGTAGGTAGAACTTAGATAAACATATGAAACACTGTTCCTGAACTTAGAAAACTTTTATTTATGTCTGTTATGAAAACGCAAGACATGTAAGATAGGAACTACATGACCAAAGAAAGAACTCTGGAGTCAAAAAGAAAATATTATCACAGATAGAGGCATCGAGGATATGACATTTGAGCTGGGTCTCACAGAATAAGTACCATTTGGACACGTCAGATGGGGATGAGGGTGGATACTTCAGGCAAAGGAAACACTGTGGCAAACTATGAAGCTAGGGAACCCTGAGGATTGCACAAAAACAGTTCTTAGCTTGGTTTGGTAAAAGCATAGGCTGTATGAAATAAGCAGAGCAAGTACTTGAATACCTTTCTGAGACCGGGACTATCGTGAATTGTAGGTGAATTGTAACCATCTGCACAACTACTCTCAGAAGCAATGGGAGGGGGTTTTTGCAGTTGCTTGTCATGAACACTGAGAAGCGCCCCGTGGTCGGAGCTCAGCAACACAGCCAACTTAACATGGGAGGGACAGAGCTGCAATGGTGGAGTGAAGTGGCCAAATCGGTGAGTCTGAAGTCTTGTTCCTCATTCTCCACAAGCTGGCTATGAAATGCAGCTGAACCAAACCAATCCATATTCTCCTCTGAGGAAATATAGATGTCCTGAGAGAGTCTGAGTCAGGATAAAAAGCCACTGTGCACAGGAATTAGGCAATCAGAATCAGCACCTAGCAGTAGAATACAGCACACTTCTCTGAGAGGCCAGAAGGTACTGGTTTTAGATGAAGGGACCAGTTTTCACCTATCATTTCCTGGCAGAAAGACTCTTTCTTATTTGAATCTCCAAAGGACAAAATACCACCTTAGCAGGAAGCAGGGAAAAAAGAACAATGCATTGAACAAAAGGTGTTACTTCATCCAAATAAGAAGAGATTGTAATATTATAAGTACACAACTTTCAAAGTTTTGTCTTTCCACCCCCTCCCACTACGAAGAATATCATCAGTTACAGAAAAATGAGGAAAGTATATTTTTGCTGTACATCTGAATATAATATATAAATGTGTGGCCATACTATGGAGATTTAAGTCCTGGTGGCTTTATTTACTGGTATATGATCAAATGATGTTATTAAAATTCCTTAAACTATTTTCCTTAAAATGGAAAAATATCCCTTAAAATGGGCAATTTTCAAAAAGTGCCTTTGAAAATTATTGATAATATTAACTCTAGGCTCATATTTCTGTATCATGCTAAGCCGTTGTTAATTGTTACTCCCATTTAATCCCATAAAGCACCTTTATAAAGGATTTTTAAACCCTGTTTTACCTTATTTTTAAAGATGAGAAAACTGTGGCTTACAGCAATGATCCTTAAATTGTAATGCCAATTTTAGGGAAGATTTTGTTTTTAAATGCAGATTCCAACTCAGTGGTCCAGAGGTGGGTCTGAGAGTCTGCATTTCTTTCTTTTTTTTTTTTTTTTATTATACTTTAAGTTTTAGGGTACATGTGCACATTGTGCAGGTTAGTTACATATGTATACATGTGCCATGCTGGTGCGCTGCACCCACTAACTCGTCATCTAGCATTAGGTATATCTCCCGATGCTATCCCTCCCCCGTCCCCCCACCCCACAACAGTCCCCAGAGTGTGATATTCCCCTTCCTGTGTCCATGTGATCTCATTGTTCAATTCCCACCTATGAGTGAGAATATGCAGTGTTTGGTTTTTTGTTCTTGCGATAGTTTACTGAGAATGATGATTTCCAATTTCATCCATGTCACTACAAAGGACATGAACTCATCATTTTTTATGGCTGCATAGTATTCCATGGTGTATATGTGACACATTTTCTTAATCCAGTCTATCATTGTTGGACATTTGGGTTGGTTCCAAGTCTTTGCTATTGTGAATAATGCTGCAATAAACGTACGTGTGCATGTGTCTTTATAGCAGCCTGATTTATAGTCCTTTGGGTATATACCCAGCAATGGGATGGCTGGGTCAAATGGTATTTCCAGTTCTAGATCCCTGAGGAATCACCACACTGACTTCCACAATGGTTGAACTAGTTTACAGTCCCACCAACAGTGTAAAAGTGTTCCTATTTCTCCACATCCTCTCCAGCACCTGTTGTTTCCTGACTTTTTAATGATTGCCATTCTAACTGGTGTGAGATGGTACCTGACTTCAAACTATACTACGAGTCTGCATTTCTAACAAACTCCCAGGTAGTGACAATGCTGCTGCTCTACAGAGGACACTTTGTGCAGCAAAGTATTACTGAAGCTAGTATGTACCCAAGTCACACAGCTAGTAAGTGACAGGTACAGTATTGGACCCAAAATCTGTCTGAGCTGCAAGCCTTTGTGATTATCCATTATGCCTTGCTAACTCCGCTCAAGGAATATTGAAATTAATTCACGTAGAATACAGGGAGGGCCTTTGATGAATGGTGTGGAAGCGAATCAAGGCCTGATCATGAGTGCCTGGTGTGCTGACTTGGGACCCTGTCAAAGCAATGAGGAGCTTAAGCACCTGGAAGAAATTCATTTCTAAATACTCTAGTTTCTTTTTATTGTTGTTCCAAAGAAAATGGTTTGACCTTGTTTTATGTGTCACCATGAGTGATTAATCCTTTGCTGAATACTACAAAATGATGTTAATAAATTTTTAAAAAGCTATCTTTAGACTTCTTTTCTGGTTAACCTCTCTTTTATGTTTTACCTAATCATTGGTTCTACCTTTCTAAGTAGTAATTTATATGTTACTGGTAGAAATTTCTACATTACAGGGTAGAACTTTCTAGTTGTATGTAATGCAAGGAAGTAAGTTCTAGTTCCATGCTTGGTTTTTGTTTCAGTAGCTCATTCTTATATTTAAGCCACTGTCTTAAAAACATCATGGTTCACCAAATTGCAATAATGATTATGTAACAGATAAAATTAAAGCAGCTACCTCTGGAAATATATATTATCCAGTTACAGTGAATGCATAGGGAAAAAAACCTTACAGTTCTTGGAAAGGTAATATTCAGAAGTACCAAGACGTATTAGAGTGAGAAGTATTTTGTCACTCAATACATTTTATAAACTCTAAAATATGTTTCTGGGTTTTCTGACATAATTTAGCTTAATCCACTGTGAATAAGTTAAGAGTGGATTTGTGTTATTAATTTAGACTACAGAATGCTCTAATAATCTAATATGACTAAATCTATTAGCCCTCTTCCAGAAGGAAAGGTTCCCTTAGAATAAAGGCTAAAATTTGTTATCAAAAGCTTCTAAAATTTTATTTAGGATGGCAGCTTATATAAACTCTATAACTAAAAGCAATCCAAAGATGGTCTACAATGCTATTGAACTCAGAAACTATGATGACTGATGACCTGCAAAGGAAAATGTTATAGATTGTAGTAGCTGGCAATACAATAATAATTTTCACCTGCATTTACAATTTATATAATATGGTTTCCAAATGGTAGATCACCTAGAGTGCCTTTAAAAATGAGGATGAGGGCCAGGGAGCCTCAGAAGTCTCTCAGGTGATTTATTCGGATTAGTCTGGTTTGGGATACTTTGAATATCTTTTTACATCTGTCCAATTAGATCCTGCCAACAACTCTGAGAAATAATCAGGACAGGCATTATTTCTGTATTATTATATATTTGTGTGTGTGTTTGTGTGTGTGTGTGTGTCCTCAGAGATGCTCAGAAAGTTGAGGAAGTTCACACAGCTGACCATGATTCAGAAAGAAAAATGATGATATTTTCTGATTCCAGATCTAATGCTTTTCCTTCTAACATTTTAAGCTGCATAAACTAAGCTATACTTTTGACAAATACCCTAATGTAGAAACTTAAGGGATAGGGATGTGAAAAAAGAATTAGTTAACAGTGTAATCAGTAATCAAAATATTGTTGTTATTTGTATGTATTGGATTTGTTTACAATGGATTTATTTGAGATTCATTTCTTGAAGTCATAGAATGAGAAATTTTAACTTCTCTAAAATAACTATGCCTTGAAGAACTTATGCGTTATTCCCTGCATCTCTATAGTGTGTTATGCTCATTGGGTTACCCATAACTTGAGATGATTTGTGTGTTCTTTCCTCCCATAGTATGAAGACTATGGCTTGGGACCTGAAGTGAGAAGTTCCCATAGCTGAGACCAGCTGTGTGGGTCCCTATAGCTGAGACTAGCTATGAAGGAGCTTTACCTAAACATGTTACACAGCAAATCCTAGAGAGAGAACAAAGTTAAGAAGAGCAGTAACCAAAATCAGTTAAATGTGGTAGTGGGTACAGGCAATGGATTTTGTACAGTTTTGGTGAGAGAACTTTATTTAAAAAAGAGGAAGTGAAAATGGAAATGAGGAGGTGGAGACAGGATATTTGATGGAGGTACATGCTGCAGAAATTGGCAATTGAGGTTAAGGTGACTCCTGTACTTGATTTAGAGTTTTAGTAACTAGAGGATGCCAATACCATCAACATAAAAAAGAAAGTGAAGAGGAAGACATACACCCTGGAGAAGACGCTTATTCAGTTTTAGACAGGTTGAATTTAAGGTGAATTCAGGAGAGACAGATAGTGATACTGAGTAAGCAGCTGATATATAGAATTGGAGAGTGCCAGAGAGATTGTATTTCCAATTTAGATTTTGGTAGTTATTCACATAGAGGTATTAGTTGAAGCTACAGGGTTGAGTCAACGAATCAAGGGGAAAACTGAAAAGAGAAGTTTCTGTAAACAGCTTTGATGGATGCCCAGATGGTAGGAGAAGGAAGATACTCCTGGGAAAAAAATGAGGATACTTTGGAGAGGTGTTTAAATAATGTGTTCAATTTCATGGAAATCAAAGAAAGCATTTTAAAAAGGGCATCCTAACATCAGGTGCCTAGAGAAGTCAAAGAGAAAGAGCATTGAGACAAGGCCATTGAAGGGTTATCAAGTGTGGATCAAAGCTAGGCAAATGTAGACTATGGAGAGTCATAAAGAAATGTAAATGATCAAATATTTCAGTTTCCTCTTTTCCCAGGTGAGAAGAATAAAAAAGAAAAGATTAAATTACTGGAAATCAATATCCTAGGGCATAGGCCTAAGAATCTCACCTGTGTTCTTCAAGTATGTATATATACAACTACACCTGATAGGCTCCTATTCCAATATCTGCTTTTGAGCTCTCAGGTAAACCAACAATAAGTACAGAGATATCAAGACATCATTTACTTCTGTCTGTTCTTTCTGTGCTCCATTCTCTTTTGTTTGTTTGTTTGTTTTTTGAGACGGACTCTCGCTCTGTCCCCAGGCTGGAGTGCAGTGGCACAATCTCCACTCACTGCAACCTTTGCCTCCTGGGTTCAAGCGATTCTCCTGCCTCAGCCTCCCTAGTAGCTGGGACTACAGGCACGCACCACCACACCCAGCTAATTTTTATATTTTTAGTAGAGATAGGGTTTCACCATGTTGGTCAGGATGGTCTCTATCTCTTGACCTCATGATCCACCTGCCTCAGCCTCCCAAAGTGCTGGGATTGCAGGCGTGAGCCACTGCACCTGGCCTCCATTCTGGTTTTTAATCCAGCACATGTGTTTGTGTGTCTGCACACTTGTGTGTATCTGTGTTGGCTTATTCTTGTCAAATATTTCTAGCTTCAGGAATTAGCTAAGTTTGGTCCTTCCTATTATACAAAAACATGCAAAGGCTTCGCTGTGCTATTTTAATAAACTCAGTCTCTATTTTTGTAATACCATGCGTATTTTAAGCATATGTACATGGGGTGGCAGATTAATAGATTTTTAAAAAAATATTAATACATTAGTTCTTAACTGGATGTCTTGCTATTTTAACAAATGATTATATCATTATTTGAAAATCAGGGATTGCTAGCACATCAAATCCTGATTTTAAACATCAGTAGTATGAACTAAATGTTTTGTTGTTGTTGTTGTTGCCTTTATCTCTGAAACCTAGCAATGTGTCAAGCCATAGCAGAATCTCAGTAAATATTTGGTAAATGAATGAGTAAATGTGCAAGGATAGCTAATTTTTGCTAGTCTTAAAATATCTTCAGAAGTTAGCGGTAATTGTTCAGGTGGTAATAGTTAAGCCAATAAACCATTTTCTTAAGCTGGTCAATATTATTTATTCAACAAGTATTTGTTGAGCATTTACTGTATTTCCAGAGCACAGTAAGCACAAAGAATTTTTCTCCTTCAGGGCTCAGAAGCAAGTAAATGAAAAATTGCATCCCCCTAGTAGCTAGTATAATAAAGGCACTATGGAAGGATTTAACAAGATTCTTTTACTCCTTCAGGAGCAAAGACCCCCCCAGAAGAGGTGACATTTTGACTACTGTTTATTATCAGAGTGCTTAGCACATCAAATAATATTGAAGTGTGAGTAAGAAATTATCAGGCAAACAGTTGGGTAGAAAAAGAGTATTCTAAGAAGACAGAACAGTATATTTACAGGTACAGAGATGAGAGAAATGCTTAAACACTAAAAAAAAAAGTTAAAACTGCTTAACCACTGAACTATTCTACAACTCCATTAGAATAACTGCAAGTAGTTCAGCATATCTGGATTCAGTGTGTGTGAATTAGGTAGTACAGAAGCAAAGGCTGGAAGGACATATTTGGCCAGATGGTAAATAGCCATCTATGCCAAGAATTTCAAGATTTTTTCTTGAGGGCAACAGGGAGCCATGGAATATTTAGGCAGAGTAATGATGTGATTGGATTGTTATTTTAAACTGATTGCTTCCTATTAAACATACAGTGTACTGGAGGAGGAGCAAGCATAGGGAATTGCCTCAAAAGATGCTTTAAAAACAATAAGAAAATAAGAAAGTAGCAGCCTATACTGAGAGTAGTATAGATGGATGAAAAACTGTATAGACATGGAGGATGTGGAATCAACAGAACTTGGAGACTCATTAGATATAAAATATGAAAGAATAAGAGGATGTGAAGATGCCTCAAATGTTTCTGTCTTGGTCAAGCAGGTAGGTTAGGGTGCTATTAACCAAAAGGAGAAATGCTAGAGGAGGATCACGTTTGCCACAAGAAAATTCCCTATTTTAAATATTTTCTGAGAAAAAAAAAAAGACTAGATACAGCATACTTTCTGATTTATCCCCTGCCTCTTTTCCATCCTCTTCTTTCATCAGTCATCTTTGAGCTTTATGCTCCAGTCATTGTGAGCTCATACTCACGCTTCTGTAAGGGATTCACACTCTCAGGACTGGCTATTTGCATATGCTGCTCTATGGTCTTGAACTTTCCCTAATGAGAGTACAGCTCTCTTGTGCCCCTTTAGCATGTCACCCATACTTCTAACGGAATTTATCACATCTCATCACTATTTTGTATTTACCTTCCTCCTTCATTCAATACAGGCTCCACAGGTTCTGATTTAGTCACTTTTGAATACCCAGCACTTACAATTATTATTGGCATATAATGGGTGCTTAGCATATTTTAGGAAGTCAGGAGTAGAGAGATAGATGTGGAGTCTTCAGTATATAGTTACTCTGACAAAAGTAATATTTGTTATAAAAGCAATTAAGCATCATAGTTAAGGCCAAGATTCTGGGGCAGGACTACTTGGATTTGAATTCTAGTTCCATAATTATTAGCTTTGTGATGTTGGACATGTTACTTAACCTCTTCGTGATTTGGTCTCCTTATCTGTTAAATGGGGATAATAGCAATATCTATTTATAAGGTTTTTGTGACCATTAAGTAAGTTAGTGCATATAATGTGTACGGCATCTGGTACATTAGTGAACTCAAACCTTAGCTATAAATTTTATCATTTGTTATTGATGGATTTTAGCCATATGGTAAGTAATAATTACAAGTGTCCCTGTCTTTCTCTCTCTCTTCTAAGATTATGTCTACCTGTCTTAGAATCTGAAGGAAAATCACTTATATACTTAACAATGAATAATGCTCTTCACCACTCATCTCTGAAGGAAGTAGAATGCAGGCTACTTTAATTTAGATGAAATGGTTGTCATTACAGCGTAAAAAGTATCCCATTAGTCTTCATAATAGTCTACCAGATAGCTGGCGGATAAATATTATTATATACCTATTTTCTTCTTTTAAAATATATTGTAGAAAGAATTATTTGCAGTGGCTCTCACCTGTAATCCCAGCACCTTGGGAGGCTGAGGTGGGTGGATCACCTGAGGTCAGCCTGACCAATATGGTGAAAACCCGCCTCTACGAAAAATACAAAAATTAACTGGGCATGGTGGCACATGCCTGTAGTCCCAGCTACTCGGGAGGCTTAGACAGGAAAATCACTTGAACCCAGGAGGTGGAGGTTGCAGTAAACCAAAATCACACCACTGCACTCCAGCCTAGGCGACAGAGCGAGACTCCATTTCAAAAAAAAAAAAATCACAAAGCAAGATAGGTAACATATCTGGGTTTATTACAAAGGAAGTGTTCTACTTCTTAATCCTTGCTTCCTTAAAGTATTTTGTTACGAATCACTGAAGATCAGTTTTCCTAGCAGACTTGAATAAGGTTTATATCATTTTAAAAAGATATTCATTACATGTACTATGTTATTATTTGACTTATTATACTTAAAGAAGATAGGGGAATTTATTTTTGTTTAGAATTACTTACTATGCCCACGAAGAGTTCCCAACAATACGCAAATGCAGACATCTAACATTTTAAGTGATTTAAGAAAACAATTATCTAATATTTTTCCCCTTTTGTACATTTCCAACAATAAATGTTAGGTGATAAAAATAGAAAGTTAAGAAATTTTAATGTAATTTTAATTAGATTATTTTAACATATTTTTAGAGAAGTGATTTATTCATAACCAACTTACATATAATTCTGTAGAGGGCCCCTCTGACAACAATTACTAGTTATCATTTAGTAATATCCTTCTGTCTGATCCAGTGATAAATCAAGATGTTCTATTCAAATACTAGCCCCACTCCAAATTATTAATTAATGCTTTATAAATAAAAAAATCTTTTATTTATATATAATTTTGGAGGCTTTGTTGCTTACTGGTTGCATTTGAGACATTTTAAAGTGAAACATGTACTAAAATTATTTAAAAATGACATATTGTTCCATTTTAATTACATGAAATAGGAAACTAAAAGATTAGTTTGTCAACTTATTTATACTCTAAGGTGGTTTATTCTTGATAACAAAAGAATTATCAAAAGTTCTAAAGAATTAGATAAATGTAAATATTCTCAATTTGAAGAAGAAACGAAGTTGGTTTAAATATTTCTGTCTAAATAAGATATCTATTGAGCATATCGTAAAGATAGACTTTTCGGATGGATGTTTTCAATATTAGATGATTACATTAGCATTGCAAAAAAAGGTGGTTGTACAGCTTTTGAAGCCTACCTTTTAGGAAAAATATAAAATTACTTTCTTTGGGGAACAGCAAAAGACTTTGCCATGCCAGACAGTAAGCTACATATTATTATTGGATTGTATGAACTATTATAGCAATTTCACTTAAATCAATGAAACAATCTATATATATTCAAATTAGTATTGATTATGAAATTGTCATCACATGATCATTTGTCTTATTAATTTATTTGCTATAGTATTTAAAATTTAGAGAGCTACATCAAAAGACACTGCTCAGGTAAAGGTATTTCCTCTCAAAAAAAGAATACCTTCAGAATAATTTTGTGGCCTCAAGTTTGTCAATGAGAATGAAAATAAATTAGTGACTTTTTAATGCATAATTAATATCCAACAATCAGAGTGTCAATGGGCACAAAGTGAAGTGTAATTTATTTGAGCAAAAAACAATAATTGGTGTAAAGAGCAAAAATCCGTTTTGAGTACTGATTCTGGAAAAATGAAAAGGTAATTTTGATAAAATAATGATCTCAGAAAAAATGGAATATAAGAGAGCTGGAAAAAAAAAGCTGGGCATAACCTATTTGGCCCAGTTTCCTAATGGACGCACTCATGATTTTGAACTTTTACTAATGCTTTTAGGTATTATTATATTCTATGAAATCATCTCTTTATTATTAAGCAAGAGTTTGAAAATTAGTGAGAGTCAACATCTATACAATTAGAAAGAGTATGATTTAAAGCAGTGACATGTCTTTTTCATAATCTTTAAGAAGTAAAAGAGGAAAAGCAGAATAGAAAAGCATAGGTAGGAATGCTTTTTTCCATTCACAAAACTCCCAGAATGGAGTTTTGTGAATTACATAGTCCAAACACCCTCTCATTTTAAAAGATTATTGAGCCAAGTGCAGTGGCTCATGCCTGGAATCCCAGGTACTTGAGAGGCTGAGGCAGGAGGATCGATTGAACCCAGGAGTTGGAGACCAGCCTGGGCAACATAGTGAGACCCTTTCTCTAAAAAAATATATAAAAACTTAGTTGGGCATGGTAGTGCATGCCTGTAGTCCCGGCTACCCAGGAGGGAGGCTGAGCCCAGAAGTTTGAGGCTGCAGTGAGCTATAATCATGCCACTGCATTGTAGCATGGGTGACAGAGCAACGCTCTGTCTCTTTAAAAAAAGATTATTAATGATGAGAATATAATAACTATTATATGAAATACATATTTGTGCATTCAAAAGAATAGGGAAACGTCGCTGGGATCAAAAATGAAGATGGTCAAAAACCACAGCTGAAGCCACAGACATCTTCAGAGCCTTTGCCAATTCTAGTCTGTATTTTAATGGCCATTGAGGACCGGCACTTTAAGGAGCACTTCCCTAGACACCATTAGCACTTAGAACAGCTTCTGGCACATTAAACCTGTTCAGAAAATATTTGTTGGATGGAAAATTTGACTCAGTGCCCAGTGTAGTAACATGTAAAATTTAACAGGAGGTAGTTTTACTTTATGTTATCATTTCATTATGCCTGGCAACTAAGGTTGTTAGCACTTTTTGAAAGGAATAATTTGGAAAAAATCCTCAAAAAAAATGTTGCATTCAAATGATTATGAGTAATTTGGCTCACCGAAAGCTATTTATTCCCAAAACTAATGACAGCATGCTCACCAAGGCAGAATTGCAATCTGCTTGCTATAACGGTCTTACTAAAAGCTAAGAAGCTGAAGACCATCCCACCACTGTCCCCAATTATAGGAGACTAAATTATGCAACTTTTTTTGGACTATAGTTCTACTATTTTTACAGGAAAGCAGCTGAGAACTTGGTCTGTATTGCTAATTACATGATCAATGGATCTGACATATTTGTTTCATTGGAACCTCTTGTGCTATTCAGGTTTTTATCACTAGGCATGTGAGGATAATGGGGCAATTCTACCATATGAATATCTAATTGTCCTTACCAGGGAAAGGGAATTTTCAGGTTTTAAACGTTACAAGGCTCTTATATCCCATCCTTTCTACTTTAAAGGATGAGGGAGCTTTTGACTGACATCGAATTATTTAATTTTTATTAGGAAAAGTGGTAATTCCTTTTAGTACAAAGCTAGTGTGGTATAAGCCACAGACATATTGTAGTTCAATTACATTACATAAGGGAAGCAGCTCACAGCCAAGATGGGCACAAACAATTCTCTAGAATAGACTGAGGCTCTCCCTGCTGCTGTGTCATTAAGCAGCATTATGTTTAATCCTAAGGACAAGGTACAGGATTAAAAATCAGCAGAGAGGCTGGGCTCAGTGACTCACACCTGTAATCCCAGCACTTTGGGAGGCCAAGGTGGGCAGATCACAAGGTCAAGAGTTCAAGACCATCCTGGCCAACATAGTGAAACCTCGTCTCTACTAAAAATACAAAAAAATTAGCTGGGTGTGGTGGCAGGCGCCTGTAGTCCCAGCTACTTGGGAGGCAGAGGCAGGAGAATCGTTTGAACCTGGGAGGTGGAGGTTGCAGTGAGCCGAGATCCCACCACTGCAATTCAGCCTGGCAACAGAGCGAGACTCTGTCTCAGAAAAAAAAAAATTAGCAGAGACCCGCACTTCTTAAGTGTGAGCTGCACATAGTGATTTCTTTCCAAAGAGTACAGTATGCAAAGAGGAGGGGGGCAGTTTTATGACAGAAAAACCTGACAAACATTACCTTAGACAGGTGACCAAGGTCAACATCAATGATGCTCAGTCGGGTTGATAGTATGGACCTTGAAATATGATGAAAATGACATTTTTACCTTTGCAGTCTTCTTCCCCAAAACTCAGTCTAATCATCATCAGATAAATTCCACTAGGGGGACATTCTATAAAAGACCTGACCAGTACTTCTCAAAACTACATAGTTTATTCAAAAGAAGTAAAGTTTAAGAAACTGTCCACACTGAGAGTCAAAAGAAACAACTCAATGTAATGTAGTGTCCTGGAACATAAAAAAAAAGTGTCAACTTAAATAACAAACAGAGAGAAGCTCTGTGAAAGAAAACGATGTTTATTTGGGAATAGGACACTGAAATGGGAATGTGCAAACTCTAGTAAACTGTGTGTATTCAGGGAGGTAAAGAAGGAAAAAATGAGGAGGATTACTTAATTGTTTTGAAATAATTATCTACAAATGATTTGGCTACAAATCAATAATAAGAGTGACGCCAGTTAGAGGATGGACAAGCAGTTGTTGGGCAGATGTCCTTGCATTTTTTTGTGTAAGGGCCTTTGTGCAAGGTTGTGAATTTTTCAGTATTTTGTGATAGTTTTTGTTATCAGGTATACAAGCATGAGAACCCTCTCTTCATGGCCTTCCCCAGTGCTATTTGTCAGGGTTAAAAAAAAAAAAAACTAGTGACTCCATATTGACTGTTACAACTTTCCCAAAGGATATCGGATAAAAACTAAGGAAATTTGAATAGAGTGAAATTATTTTAGTCAATAATAATATATTAATGTTGGTTGATTGTTATTACAAATGTAACATACTAAAATAAAATTGTTAATAATAGGGGAAACAGGATTCAGGGTGTATGGTAACTGTACTATCTTCACAATATTTCTGTAAGTCTATAGCTGTTCTAAACAATAAAATTTATTTTCAAAATCAGTAGAGATTTACTACCCATTGTATAAGCCAGGATTCAAACCACTTGAGATATTTCAGTCAGAAAGAATTTAATATCATGAATCAGTTACACAAGTGATAGAAGAGCTAAGAAACCAGAGATGAGCTGGAAGTCACTACCACCCCTAGGGCTAGAGAATCAAAGAGAGGAGTTCATATTAGCAGGGTTCAGGAGCTGGTCACCCAACAAAAACTAGAACTATAATAAGCCTGTTCAGTGAGAGCTGAGACCACAGAGGTAGGGGCAATCTCATGGAGGAACTGGAGCAATGAAGGGGAAGCAGACGGTTCAGGAAATGCCTAGAGTGGCAGAAAGAAAAGAGAAGAAATATTCTGGGTCCTTCTACCCTCTAGTCTTCCTGTGCCTTCCACTGACTAAACCAACTAGAAGTCAAGTTGGCATGTGATATGGTTTGGCTGTGTCCCCACCCAAAATATCATCTTGAAGTGTAATCTCCACAAACCCCTATGTGTCAAGGGCAGGGCCAGGTGGAGGTAATTGGATCACGGTGGAGTCGTTTCCCCCCATACTTTTCTCGTGATAGTGGTAAGTCTCACGAGGTTTGATGGTTTGATAAGCATCTGGCATTTCCCCGTTTGCACTCACTCTGTCCTGCCGCCCTGTGAAGAAGGTGCCTGTCTCGCCTTTGCCTTCTGCCATGATTGTAAGTTTCCTGACGCCTCTCCAGCAATGTGGAACTGATGAGTCAATTAAACCTTTTTCCTTTATATATTACCCAGTCTTGGATATTTCTTCACAGCAGTGTGAGAATGGACTAATACAGCATGGAAGCCTGGAAAACATAGTTACGTGAGATAGAGATTAAAGGAAGAGAACGGCAAGAATGGATCTGAGAAGAAAAAGGCATATAACAAATGCTCTAATCTTTTCTTTAATTAAATCTTTATGTATTATACTGCAAACAGGAACACTGCCTATTTAAGGAAGCTATAGTCTTTGTTTCTTTTGCTTTATATGGGACACAGAAGAAGAATATAATTATTTGCTTCTGGTGTACTTTAATTGGTGTTTAGTAATTCCTTTCACTTTTATTCCCTCCCTTCTTATTTCTTACACTCATTTAAAAAAAATAATAGTTTTCACTCTTTTATTGTCAAGATTAAGATTTACCTTCATAGGCAGTTTTTCATATGTTTTAACTTTTTGAATGAACTGTAAAATTATCTTGAATTGTTTTTACTCAAAAGAGCCTTGTCATCTCATTGTGGAAGACAAATGTCAAAAACTTTGCTCTTATGCTATTTCTTTGAAATAAGGAAAATGAGAGAAACTCTTAGTGACCAAGGACAAGTCAAATATTAGTTTTCCAGTATGACCAAACATATTGAGTGTCTGGCATTAAGCAGCATTTCAAAAAGGAGAGAGTGTTTCAGTGATGTTGATGGGCAGACACTTAAGGAGGAAAAAGATTCATGAAGGTTTTTTTTTGTGAGAATTGTGTAAGTTAAAGTCACCAGATGTTTCGGTTTTGCTGAGTTTTTAACTTTCATTAAAATTTAGGAAATGTCACTACCATATGTTAATTCGCTAACCCAAGCTTTCAACTGAGACTGATTATGTTGTTGATATGGACTGAACGTTTGTATCACTACAAAAATTCATATGATGAATCCCTAATCCCCAGTGTGATGGTATTTTCAGGTGAGGCTTTTGGGAGGTCATCAGTTTTAGATTAGGTAATGAGGTTGGAACCCTCATGATGGAATCAATGCTCTTATAAAAAGAGAAAGAGACATGAGAGCTCCCTCTCACTCCACCATAAAAGAATACAGCAAGGAGAAAGTCTGCAAATGAGGAACAGGGGCCTTACCAGACCCTGAATATGCCAGCACCTTGATTTTAGACTCCTCAGCCTCCAGAATTGAAAGAAATAAAAATTTGCTATTTAATCCTCCCAGCCTATGGTATTTTGTTAGAGCAGCTTGACTAAGACAGTTGTGATCCACTGTATCAAAACCAAAACAGTACTTCCTGTGGTATTTGATGATGTTGTTGAATTTCCAAATTTTTTTAGAAGCCCTTAGTTGTAGTTCTCTTAACAATAGAATTTTTTATGCCCAAGAAAATGAAAGAGAAAGTTAATTCTAAGGGACCACAGTTAAAATCAACTTTTATGCCAAATTAAAGATTTAAAAATACAAAAATAGGCAAAGTTTCTCTATCCAACAAGGAATTGAATGATGCCATGTATATTAGGTATGCATACATTCTTTTATTCAGAGATTGTTGTGTTAAGTATCCATATGCTAAAAGTTTTACAGTATGATTTTTTTTCCCAAGCAGGCTATAATTATGACAGTGAGAACAAGCTGCTGACTACCACACCCCACTTTCAGAACTAATTTCAGAATAAAGCAGGGATATCATCCTTACTTGGAAATACGCCATGGCAATTTTAACAACATGACTTAAAGAGAAAGATTGTGCATCTGAAAATTAAAAGAAAATAAACATACTTCACTATCATTTCCATGACAGCAATGACCAAACTCACATGGGTAAGAGTAAGAAGGGCCCATGCCATACAAAATTATATGATCTGCATCAAAGCCATGAAAGGTAAAGCAGAACAAATGCCTTAAAACTGCTTGCTGGTGATAACAGCTTTGTATCTTCCACATTAGCCATCTACAAGATTGATATGTAACCTAAAAGCTCTTCCTGGCCGGGCGCAGTGGCTCACGCCTGTAATCCCAGCACTTTGGGAGGCCAAGGCAGGCGGATCACGAGGTCAGGAGATCAAGGCCATCCTGGCTAACACGGTGAAACCCCATCTTTTCTAAAAATAAAAAAAAAAAAAATTAGCCGGGTGTGGTAGCGGGCACCGGTGGTCCCAGTTACTTGGGAGGCTGAGGCAGGAGGATGGCGTGAACCCAGGAGGCGGAGCTGGCAGTGAGCCGAGACTGAGCCACTGCACTCCAGCCTAGGAGTCTCGCTCCATCTCAAAAAAAAAAAAAAAAAAAGCTCTTCCCTCTTTATGACTTTTTCTACCTATGTTGTCTCAAACAACATTTAAACTGCCTGAAGAAAAGGGTATATATTAAAATTTTAAAAAATGTTTTAGTTAAAAATACTACACGGCCTACTAAAATAACTTAAAGCTGCTTTTTATGAATAATTTGTCTTTTACTGTTGCATACAAATCTATGGCTAGAATTTAGAAAATCAGCCTAGAAGTAAAAATAAAATAGTAAGAGTTGTAAAGTTTGTGAATTCATACTGAGTCAGATTCAGAAGAACAGAAGTAATTGAAAAACTGAGGTTGTAACAGATACATTTAGATTATAAAATGTAAACAGTACTTGGAGAAAAGTCTTCTATTTGATCACCCTGTCAGATTTCCTACTTTAATAATAAATAGTCCTGTTTATAACTAAGGAATAGACAACAAAATCCAAAAGATGAAAATTGCTGTATTACCCAGTGTCCTAGAATTTTTACTGTTGATATTTATGATAAACATCTAAGCAATGAGGTCCAGCTTCAGTTGGAATAAAAATAGGTAATAGTTAAATGAATTACACTAATCTAATTTTAATTTCAAATCTATTTATTAAGTAACTTAACTGGCTATGTGAATCACTGAATTAATTTCTCTTCATCAAATCCAAGAGAATCTTTGAATGTACGTGGAAACTTTTGATTTACTTCATTCCATGTATTTTTCCTTTAAAATAAGCTTTTATAACCAGTGATTTTTAATAGATGATATTAGTTATTTGTGATCATTCTAAAGACAACAACAACAAAGCATATTATTCTTATATTCCTCGACAAAGTTATTATCCAGAGAAAAATGTCAATTCATTTTAGTTTATTAGCTTTTGGAAGCAGATTTTCCCTGAGGGTGATCCCTTTTTAGTTTTCTCTAAGGATAGATCTGAATTTAGATTGGGATCTTCAGAGTTCACACAGAGCCTAATAAGTGTGTATTGTTGATGCTCAGTAATGATTTGCCATTATCTGGTTTCCCAATAACAAGGTGAAGCAGGGCTTGCTTTCGTTTATTGCCATGGCTCCCCAGGTTCCTGCTGTGCCTAGCTGCTTGTCCAAAATTACACAAATTTTCATATCAGAGCAAAAAAATAAAGCCAAAAAGACCCAGTAATTTACATCAAACAATCCATACAAAAAAAACTACACAAGCTCTTTTAGAACAAATATGCCCATAAAATGATAACATCTGCATAGAAAAATCCATGAATCATAAATATCTAGCTCAATGAAGTATCATGACATGAACCCAGAGCTGTCACCTGTGTCAAGAGATAACTGTTTAAGTCATATCACAATAACCATAGTCAAGAACACTACTAAAATCCTGTTGTTTGCAAGAAGAATTTTAAGAAAATGTATACATGGTTTTATTTTCAAGGTACAAATAGATAAAAGCTTTACATCTTATATGTGCATTAAAAATTTCCCATTTTTAAATGTAAAAAAAGAGACAGAATAAAAATATATTTTTTTTGACCAGGCTCAGCGGCTCACGCCTGTAATCCCAGCACTTTGGGAGGCTGAGTCGGGCAGATCACTTGAGGTCAGCAGTTCGAGGCCAGCCTGGCCAACATGGTGAAACCCTGTCTCTACCAAAAATATAAACATTATCCAGGCAGGCACTCTCAGGAGGCTAAGGCAGGAGAATTGCTTGAACCCAGGAGCAGAGGTTGCAGTGAGCTGGGATCATACTTCTGTACTCCAGCCTGGGCAACAGAGTGAGACTCTGTTTCAAATGTTATATATATATATATATAAAATATACATATATATATGTATACATAAATATATATGTATATATAAATTTTAGAGCAATTATCTGTGATACACACAGTCACTCGCCTTTTGACTGTGGGTCAATAGCTGCAGAGTTGCTCACAGGTACATCAATCCCCATCTTTTTCTTAGGCTTTGATGGTCTCCAGGCTTCTCCCTGAATATTGAGATGATTCCCTTTCACTGAAGTGATTCTATTCAACTATAAACAGATTTATTGGTAAAAATGGAAAACTAACATTTTCTTTTCAAGACCACATATTGTTCTGGGAAAGGGACTTGATGCGTGTAGCAATTTTCTTCTCTTCCAATACTTACTTCTCCAGAGAACACTGAACAATCCTTCCTTAGCAGGCTTAAAGAGCTTTTTGGCCTGTTTCTATGTGATAATCCTTCCTTCTTGTGAACATATGGATCCAGTGAACTGCAAGATGGACAGCATTAATCAGCAAGGTCATATTTTGCCATTCCCTCTAGATTAATTTGTATAAGTTTTGACAAGGGAATGGAATAAAAGCAGTGTGTTTCCTAGTTTTATAGCTTATATCATGAGCATTCTTTTTCATACTTGTCATTTTATAAGAGCTCTATTTGAGAATAGATGAAGCCAACCTCCTCATACTAAAAATGAGAAATGACAAGCTAAATTTTGATTCCATCATAATCAATCACCTTCTGATAACTTCAGAGGAAGAAGCAATGACCAGGCCAGACCAGGAGACTTTCTGTAGAGTGACATCTTTTTCTCTGCTTCTCCTGTGACTAGGGTTGGGGATGAGTAGTTTGAAGGTGATTTCAAATTTCTGAGAGAACTGAAATAGTGCTGCCATTAAAGAGAGAAATCTCACCAGAAATAAATAGTGCAGATAATATCTAAGCATTATTTATCAGATAGAAACTAAAGGGATTTGGCAAAAAAAAAAAGTACCAATTCTAAATTGTTCTATACACCATCTTACAAAATAAATAACTTTTGTTAATTTGGGTATGGCAAAGAGAGGGGAGACATCCCGCATTGTTGAAACAATCTTCCTTGGTCATTCCTCATGCCTCTCGTTGTCTCTTGACATGAAAGGATACTGATGACCCTTTGTTAGAACCACCTTCACTTTCTTCAACAGAGATTGGCCTCTTGGGAAGGGCAGTAGGTGTTGGTTCTCACTGCTTTCTTTACGTTTCTTATAAATTGTGCTCTATCTGATCAAATTGCCCCAAAGTTTTTGCATTATTGGGAATTGTTTTTTAGGTTTAATGTTAATAACCCTAGCTACCTCCATGACAAGGATTTTCCCCTTGTTTCCATCATTCTGTGGCATTTGATGCGTTGGAGAAGAGAAGGAGTTTGATTGGGATTGTAAACCTGCTCTTAGCACTTTTGAGCATCTCTACATGTTTTACAACTGTTTTTTTTTCTTTCAACTATCTACAAGAGAATAAAAATTAAATGTAACGTAACTAGATGCTAAGAAATTTCATTATACTCATATAATTTTCTCTAATAATAAGCAGATTGATAAATTGGGGAATAAAAGTTTTATATTTTACTTGTTATTATGTTACTATGCTCTTATTATATTTCTAACTTGACATCAAAATTTTTTCCTTTTAGAGCTGTTTATTTATTTAAAAGTACAGTAATTAATGCTGTTAATATATTTATATATATATGATTTGGATCCACTATAAATATTGATTTATATATTCTAATAGTGTGACTGCATTGAGAATAGGTAGGAAATTGTGTGAGTTTATATTAAATTTAGGATTATTTAAAATTTTCCTTTGGGGCTTGGACATGCTATATAACTGGCTCTAAATAAGTAATATCAGAAAATGGACAAAATGTTCGAAACAAACTGAGTAAAGTGTATTTTGCACAAGAAAAACAGTATAATCGGAACAAAAACCTTAAATATGAAAAATATCTGGCTCACTTATAACGCTCTTACTGAGCACCAGCTATCATCAGCCACTGTTCTAGGTACTATTCTTGCCCCCCTGTAGCTTACATTCTAGTAAAAAAAAAAAAAAGTGGGAATAGACAAGTAAACAAAGCAGTATCTGGTAGTGGTAGATTATATTGAAAAATAGAATAGTTTGAAAGTGATTAGTGGGAGAGATGCTTTTAGATGGATAGTTACAAGGATGTAAAGAGAAGGCAATAGTGTCAAAAGAAAAAGATTGGGAAATGAGTTGGAAAAGAAAAATCTAAATAATGTAAGCCGTTTTAAGAACTTTGGATATTTTTTAAGTTTACTGAGACCATTGCAAAGTTTTAAGCAGGGAAGTGACCTGATATGATTTATATTTTTAAAATGTTATTACAGCTCCTGGGCAGAAAATATACAGCAGGGAGGCAAATGTCTTGGAAACAGCAAAGTCAGTTTGGAGGCTATTGTGATAATCCAGGTTAGATATAGATGTGATTCCACAGAGATGAAGACAAACTATGAGATCACTGTATGTTTTAAAGAATGTACTGTTAAATTGGAAGTGGCTGGAGTGATGATTCAGCTCAGGGGAACGAAGAGGGAAATGATTAGTAGTTACAGGAAGAAAAGAACTAGGGATGACTGGTAGGTTTATAGCCTAAGCCAGTGAAGGAATGAATGAAGAAAAAAGAAATCACAGTGAACTACAAGCAAAGTATAAGTAAACTGTATAGAACAGAGGCCAACCTCAAAGTAACGCTCCTTAGGTTTGGATTTTTCACTCTTTTGTAGAATATTCTGTTCATTGTTTTATTATGAAATATTAAAGGAAAATATAGAAAGTGAAAATCATACATATAATATTTATGAAAGTTATTAAAGAAATGAGGATAATTTAAAATAGTAATATAGCTAAAGGGTAACAATAATAGACAATGCATGCTAACTTATGGCACATTGAAGTAGATGTTCATTTTTTAAAAGATATTGACTGATACAGCAAAAGTATTCAATTTAGACATATAGTGTAAATATATCTAGAAAGAGAATTTATCAAAAAATGTTTTGCAAAACAACTGAATGTAATTGCAATAATAAAAAAGATAACCACAACAATAATAGTCAATTCAAGTACCAGGTATCCAGTAATTACTATATTATGGGAATACTGCTAAATACCGTCAATATATTATCTTGTTTGATCCTTAACAAATCCTCTCAGAGAGGTATTATTTTTTAGCCTTCACAGTTAAAGTAATTAAAACTGAAGAGATTAAACAATTTGTTCAGGATAACATAATTATTTAATGTCAAGACATGGAGGTCTTAATCTCCAGAAAATACCATCAACCAGCTATTTAAGAATGGTTTAACTTGACAACTTGGTATGACTAGATGATGTCAACCTAAATAATACAGAGAGGCTTTTAAATAGAAAATTATATTTATTCAGAAATAGGGCATTACAACTGGATTACGTGTGCTGTAGTAAACTATGTGCATATTCAGAGAGGTAAAGAAAGACAAAGATTTTTAAAGGAAAATGAGGAGGATTACATAAATGTTTTGAGATAAATTATTCTTTGCTACAAGGACCAATTAACAAGGGTGGAACTAGTTTGAGATTAGACAGGCAGTTATTGGGCAGATGACCTTGAAGAAGTATTTTTTGTGTTAGGTTTTGATGCTCTTTGTGCAAGGTAGTTGTTTTTGCAGTCTTTTATGATAGTTTCATTATTAGGCACACATGCTTGAGAACTCTCCTTTTATGACCTTCTCCAGCTCTGTTTTTCAGGGTTATTATTATTTTTTTTAACTCAAGTGACTCCATTTGGATTTGTACAACTTTCACATTTCCCCCTATTGCTTACGATATTTCTCTAAAAGCATCAATGATCAATTATCTATTAGTTAAGTTTTCATAGTTCCTTCATGCTGGATGACCCTGTCCCAGGTTGCTGGTCTGATCCTACATTGGCAGAAGTGATTGACAACTAGAGGTCTGTGTCAAAACCCTTTTAGCCACATTTGAGCAACAAGGAATCTTGAAGGGAGTGACCCTTAGACTAAATCTACCAGGATTTCATTATTAACTTCAATTTTATCTCTTCCACAGTCTTGTTATTATCTCTAAGAGCTGGGCCAGCATTATTCTGCTAGAAGTTACATTTCTGCAAAAATTTAACAAGAAACATACAAAATTTTAAAGGGAAAATACAAAGTAAAATTAATAGTAATATAATAATATGAACCTAGGCTTAAATGCAGCCAATAAAATAAATTAAGTGGTTATTACTTGCCAAGTAAAGAAGATAGGCATTAAGAGGAGTAAGTCTCATTTTTATATCACTTCTTGTTCCAGTGTCTTTGGAAATGCAGTCTACAGTGTGAAAATGACAACTTCTTATTCTGGTTTGCCCTTGGAATATCTCTGTTTATGGCATTAAACAGTTTGGTGAGTATTTGTGTGCTCTATACATCAGACATGGGATTTTTCCTTAAAGTTTATTTAGTTTCAACCATATAAGGCTTTAGGAAAAAAGCAATTTCTATTTTTGGTAATTCCCTGGAATAAAATTGGACTGGAGAGATCTAGGAAAATTCAGGATATAGTCTAATCCTAGGAGAAGACAAGAGCTCAACAATAATGCACAGAACTATTATCTAACAACAGTCATATTACAGCTTTTTTAAAGAAACATGTCTATTTCTCTCTACAATGATCACATAACAATTTCACATTTGCCTCTTGAAGCTAGGGAGACAAACCAGTGAAGACTTTAGGTTTTATTTAGAGTCTTAGGGTTCCTAGACCTGTGAGGAAATTATGATTTTTACTCATTTATTGTGAAGTTAGAGACCCTTCATGTCAGGCATTTTATGCATATTCTCAAAAATGATATTTCAGTCAAAGCCTTGGTAATATAATCAATTGTTAGAATGACATCTTGCTATAGAGACCAAATTTTTATTGAACTTATGCAAATAATAATATTACAATAAAAAACAGGAATAGTCATGATTAGTTTCCAAATTTTTGAGGGATTAAGTATAGAGAAAAATCAAATGCTTTCGCCTTTGTTTACAAAAGCATACTTTACCAAATTGTTTTAAACTATAGATAGCTTAAGGAAAAAAATTCCTCAAATCTGGAAAATAAAACATTTAAGTTAATAATTAATACTATATCAAATAAGTCATAAAAAACATTATGTTCAAATTTCATGAGCCAATCAATTTCCTTGTTAAAATTCTGAAAAAATGTCTGTTGATCTTAACTTAGAGCCCTGTATTTAACAGTACTTGCTAGAGTCTTTTTATGAGTCTGATTGCAGAAGACTTTGGAGAAAAATTAAATTGTGGATGACAGAGACTTAGAATAACCATGGCTAAAGATCTGATTAAAGTTCACCATAACCAGAAATTGACAATGAAATTTGGTTATTTTTGTAGCATGCAATATAACAACCAGAATTATACCTGACAAATTAATTTGTAAGATTTTTATGTAATTTTGGAACACTAATATGAATAACATACCCTTAAATGGAACTGAAGACCTCCCATCACTTAGCTTTTGATAGTACTTCCCATACAAATAATCCTAAGTATTTAATATTTTTATAAGATGAAAAACACATTCTTTGAGGCTCTCCAGGGCCCACTTAAAAAAAATCTCAGAATTAATCCTAGGTTAAAAAGTCTTAATTTAAAATTTTGGTCCTGGGGAAGTTGGCCAAAGATGTTAAAACTTTCAAAAACACTTGACCAAAATAGGATCACTGTGAAATAATAGTCATTAATTTAACCAAAGTGATAATCAAAGGACATCAAAAGCAATACAGAATGTTACATCAATGAAAAACTTTAACCATTTCAATGCTCAGTTTTCATTTTCCTAAGTAATTAAAAAATAACAAAAATAACACAGGAAGTTATCTTGATAAAATATAAAAGCCTTATTTCTTAGGCCAGTTACCAAAAAGGTAAAGAAAAACTTCCTGCAGTGTGATTCCTTCTCTTTATTGAAAGCCTATTTTGATAACCTAGAAGTTGAACCTGATGAAAAGTATACTTGAATGTAATTGGACACAAGAAGAACGTGTCTAAGGTTATGAGTGTACACCATGTTATAGAACAATGTAAATAAGAAACTAGTACCTTAATCAGAGTAATACCTGGCACTTAGTAACAGCATGGGAAGTTTTCTGGTTACATGGAACAATTCAAACACAGCCAGAAAAGCCAAGAGCATAGAATTACGTTATACTGGAGGAAAACATTGTTTTTTCTGGGCCTTTAAGATAAACATTTTAGCACCAGGCCATACCAGCAGAGTTAGAGAGAAAAGTTACAGGAGCCAATAACAGGTTTCATCCTAGACCTTCTGAAGGGGAGATTTATTATCTCAAACTTTCTCAAGGGAAGAAAGAGGAAGAGCAGAAGGTAACGATGTATGCCTTGCAAATCACAAGCAGTGAGAAACAGCAACAGTTAAACTTCTGAGATTTTAACTTGAGAAACTAAGAAAAAAACTTTACACACAGAAACGAAATTACCATTATGAATGAAGAAAATGGCATTTCCAGTCTGAAACTATGGAAATTAAATAGCTCTCAGAAAGAAATATGGCAGGAATACAAATTGTTTGCAGTTTAGAAGATGACCGTTAATGAAACATTTCAGAATTATACAACAAAACCTCCTGCAATTTTATTAAGGAGATCAATATTCAGGAAAATTTTGTTGTTCTAACATAAAGAACCAAATTTTTAATTTTGTAATAGTGTACCTTTAATATCAAAGCTCAATCTTTAGGAAACTTATTAATAATTCCCTTCTAATTATAGCCAATTTGATCACTCACAAATTTCTGTCATATTCATCTTTCACAAACTTTAACACAATTTAGATCTTTTTTAATGCATTAAATTTTATTTTATTTTATTTTATTTTATTTTATTTTATTCTTTTTATTATACTTTAAGTTCTAGGGTACATGTGCACAATGTGCAGGTTTGTTACCTATATATACATGTGCTGTGTTGGTTTGCTGCACCCATCAATTCATCATTTACATTAGGTATTTCCTAATGCTATACCACCCCCATCCCCCCATCCCACGACAGGCCTGTGTGTGTGATGTTTCCCGCCCTGTGTCCATGTGTTCTCATTGTTCAGTTCCCACCTATGAGTGAGAACATGCAGTGTTTGGTTTCCTGTCCTTGCAATAGTTTGCTGAGAATGACGGTTTCCAGCTTCATCCGTGTCCCTACAAAGGACATGAACTCATCCTTTTTTATAGCTGCATAGTATTCCATGGTGTATATGTGCCACATTTTCTTAATGCAGTATGTCATTGATGGACATTTGGGTTGCTTCCAAGTCTTTGCTATTGTGAATAGTGCCACAATAAACATACATGTGCATGTGTCTTTATAATAGCATGATTTATAATCCTTTGGGTATATACCCAGTAACGGGATCTCTGGGTCAAATGGTATTTCTAGTTCTAGATCCTTGAGGAATTGCCACACTGTCTTCCACAATGGTTGAACTAGTTTACAGTCCCACCAACAGTGTAAAAGCATTCCTATTTCTCCACATCCTCTCCAGCACCTGTTGTTTCCTGACTTTTTAATGATGGCCATTCTAACTGGTGTGAGATGGTATCGCATTGTGGTTTTGATTTGCATTTATCTGATGACCAGTGATGATGAGCATTTTTTCATATGTCTGTTGGCTACATAAATGTCTTCGTTTGGAAAGTGTCTGTTCATATCTTTTGCCCAATTTTTGATGGGATTGCTTGACTTTTTCTTGTAAATTTGTTTAAGTTTTTTGTAGATTCTGGATATTAGCTCTTTGTCAGATGAGTAGATTGCAAAAATTTTCTCCCATTTTGTAGGTTGCCTGTTCACTCTGATGGTAGTTTCTTTTGCTGTGCAGAAGCTCTTTAGTTTAATTAGATCGATTTGTCTTTTTTGGCTTTTGTTGCCATTGCATTTGGTGTTTTAGACATGAAATCCTTGCCCATGCCTACGTCCTGAATGGTATTGCCTAGGTTTTCTTCTAGGGTTTTTATGGTTTTAGGTCAAGCATTTAAGTCTTTAATCCATCTTCAGTTAATTTTTGTATAAGGTGTAAGGAAGGGATCCAGTTTCAGCTTTCTACATATGGCTAGCCAGTTTTCCCAGCACCATTTATTAACTAGGGAATCCTTTCCCTATTTCTGGTTTTTGTCAGATTTGTCAAAGATCAGATTGTTGTAGATGTGTGGTTTTATTTTTGAGGGTTTTGTTCTGTTCCACTGGTCTATATCTCTGTTTTGGTACCAGTACCATGGTGTTTTGGTTACTGTAGCCTTGTAGTATAGTTTGAAGTCAGGTAGTGTGATGCCTCCAGCTTTGTTCTTTTGGCTTAGGATTGTCTTGGCAATGTGGGCTCTTTTTTGGTTCCATATGAACTTTGAAGTAGTTTTTTCCAATTCCAAGAGAAAAGTTATTGGTAGCTTGATGGGGATGGCATTGAATCTATAAATTACCTTGGGCAGTATGGCCGTTTTCATGATATTGATTCTTCCTATCCATGAGCATGGAATGTTCTTCCATTTGTTTGTGTCCTCTTTATTTCGTTGAGCAGTGGTTTGTAGTTCTACTTGAAGGGGTCCTTCACATCCCTTGTAAGTTGATTCCTAGGTATTTTATTCTCTTTGTAGCAATTGTGAATGGGAATTCACTCATGATTTGGCTCTCTGTCTATTATTGGTGTATAAGAATGCTTGTGATTTTTGCACACTGATTTTGTATCCTGAGACTTTACTGAAGTTGCTTATCAGCTTAAGGAGATTTTGGGTTGAGACGATGGGGTTTTCTTTTTTTTTTTTTTTTTTTTTTTGAGATGGAGTCTCATTCTTTTGCCTAGGCCAGACTGCAGTGGTGCTGTCTCAGCTCACTGCAAGCTCCACCTCCTGGGTTCATGCCATTCTACTGCCTCAGCCTCCTGAGTCGCTGGGATTACAAGAGCCCGCCACCGCGCCAGGCTAATTTTTTGTATTTTTAGTAGATGACGGGGTTTTCTAAATATGCAGTCGTGTCATCTGCAAACAGGGACCATCTGACTTCCTCTTTTCCTGATTGAATACCCTTTATTTCTTTATCTTGCCTGATTGACTTGGCCAGAACTTCCAACACTATGTTGAATAGGAGTGGTGAGAGAGGTCATCCCTGATTTGTGCCAGTTTTCAAAGGGAATGCTCCCAGTTTTTGCCCATTCAGTATGATACTGGCTGTGGGTTTGTCATAAATAGCTCTTATTATTTTGAGATACGTCCCATCAATACCTAGTTTATTGAGAGTTTTTAGCATGAAGCGCTGTTGAATTTTGTTGAAGGCCTTTTCTGCATCTATTGAGATAATCATGTGGTTTTTGTCTTTGGTTCTGTTTATGTGATTGATTACGTTTATCGATTTGCATATGTCGAACCAACTTTGCATCCGTGGAATGAAGCCAACTTGATCTTGGTGGATAAGCTTTATGATGTGTGGCTGGATTCGGTTAGCCAGTATTTTATTGAGGATTTTTGCACTGATGTTCATCAGGGATATTGGTCTAAAATTCTCTTTTTTCGTTGTGTTTCTGCCAGGCTTTGGTATCAGAATGATGCTGGCCTCATAAAATGAGTTAGGGAGGATTCCCTCTTTTTCTATTGATTGGAATAGTTTCAGAAGGAATGGTACCATCTCCTTTTTGTACCACTGGTAGAATTCAGCTGTGAATCCATCTGGTCCTGGACTTTTTTTGGTTGATAAGCTATTAATTATTGCCTCAATTTCAGAGCCTGTTATTGGTTTATTCAGCAATTTAACTTCTTCCTGGTTTAGTCTTGGGAGGGTGTATGTGTCCAGGAATTTATCCATTTCTTCTAGATATTCTAGTTTATTTGCATAGAGGTGTTTATAGTATTCTCTGATGGTAGTTTGTATTTCTATGGGATCCGTGTTGATATCCCCTTTATCATTCTTTATTGCATCTATTTGATTTTTCTCTCTTCTTTATTAGTCTTGCTAGCGGTCTATCAATTTTATTGATCTTTTCAAACAACCTGCTCCTGGATTCATTGATTTTTTGCAGAGTTTTTTGTGTCTCTATCTCCTTCAGTTCTGCTCTTATCTTAGTTATTTCTTGCCTTCTGCTAGCTTTTGAATTTGTTTGCTCCTGCTTCTCTAGTTCTTTTAATTGTGATGGTAGGGTGTTGATTTTAGATCTTTCCTGCTTTCTCTTGTGGGCATTTAGTGCCATAAATTTCCCTGTACACACTGCTTTAAATGTGTCCCAGAGATTCTGGTATGTTGTGTCTTTGTTCTCACTGGTTTCAAAGAACATCTTTATTTCTGCCTTCATTTCATTATATACCCAGTAGTCATTCAGGAGCAGGTTGTTCAGTTTCCATGTAGTTGAGAGGTTTTGGGTGAGTTTCTTAATCCTGAGTTCTAATTTGATTGCACTGTGGTCTGAGAGACAGTTTGTTGTGATTTCTGTTCTTTTCCATTTGCTGAGGAGCACTTTACTTCCAACTATGTGGTCAATTTTGTAATCAGTGCGATACCTTGCTGAGAAGAGTGTATATTCTGTTGATTTGGGATGGAGAGTTCTGTAGATGTCTATTAGGTCCGCTTGGTGCAGAGCTGAGTTCAACTCCTTGATATCGTTGTTAACCTTCTGTCTTGTTGATCTACCTAATATTGACCGTGGGGTGTTAAAGTCTCCCATTATTATTGTGTGGGAGTCTAAGTCTCTTTGTAGGTCTCTAAGGTCTTGCTTTATGAATCTGGGTGCTCCTGTATTGGGTGCATATAAATTTAGGATAGTTAGCTCTTCTTTTTGAATTGATCTCTTTACCATTATGTAATGGCCTTCTTTGTCTCTTTTGATCTTTGTTGGTTTAAAGTCTGTTGTATCAGAGACTAGGATTGCAACCCATGCTTTTTTTGCTTTCCATTTGCTTGGTAGATCTTCCTCCATCCCTTTATTTTGAGCCTATGTGTGTCTCTGCATGTGAGATCAGTCTCCTGAATACAGCACACTGTTGACTCTTGACTCTTTATCCAATTTGCCAGTCTGTGTCTTTTAATTGGAGCATTTACCCATTTACATTTAAAGTTAATAATGTTATATGTGAGTTTGATCCTGTCATTATGATATCAGCTGGTTATTTTGCCCGTTATTTGATGCAGTTTCTTCCTAGCTTCGATGGTCTTTACAATTTGGCATGTTTTTGCAGTGGCTGGTGCTGGTTCTTCTTTCCATGTTTAGTGCTTCCTTCAGGAGCTCTTGTAAGGCAGGCCTGGTGGTGACAAAATCTCTCAGCATTTGCTTGTCTGTAAAGGATTTTATTTCTCCTTCACTTATGAAGCTTAGTTTGGCTGGATATGAAATTCTGGGTTGAAAATTCTTTTCTTTAAGAATGTTGAATATTGGCCCCCACTCTGTTCTAGCTTGTAGGGTTTCTGCCGAGAGATCTGCTGTTAGTCTGATGGGCTTCCCTTTGTGGGTAACCCGACCTTTCTCTCTGGCTGCTCTTAACATTTTTTCCTTTATTTCAACCTTGGTGAATCTGAAAATTATGTGTCTTTTGGTTGTTCTTCTTGAGGAGTATCTTTGTGGCGTTCTCTGTATTTCCTGAATTTGCATATTGGTCTTCCTTCCTAGGTTGGGGAAGTTCTCCTGGATAATATCCTGAAGAGTGATTTCCAGCTTGGTTCCATTCTCCCCATCACTTTCAGATACACCAATCAAACATAAATTTTGTCTTTTCACATAGTTCCATATTTCTTGGAGGCTTTGTTCCTTTCTTTTTACTCTTTATTCTCTAAGCTTTTCTTCTCACTGCTTTTCATTAATTTGATCTTTAATCATTGATATCCTTTCTTTAACTTGATCGAATCAGCTATTGAAGCTTGTGCAAGTGTCATGGAGTTCTCATGCCGTGGTTTTCAGCTCCATCAGGTCATTTAAGGTGTTCTCTACACTGTTTATTCTAATTAGCCATTGTCTAATCTTTTTTCAAGGTTTTTAGTTTCCTTGAGATGGGTTCAAACATCCTCCTTTAGCTCGGAGAAGTTTGTTATTACCGACTTTCTGAAGCCTACTTCTGTCAACTTGTCAAAGTCATTCTCTGTCCTGCTTTGTTTCATTGCTGGCGGAGAGCTGCAATCCTTTGGAGGAGAAGGAGTGCTCTGGTTTTTAGAATTTTCAGCTTTTCTGCTCTGGTTTCTCCCCATCTTTGTGGTTTTTATCTACCTTTGGTCTTTGATGATGGTGACCTACAAATGGGGTTTTGGTGTGGATGTCCTTTTTGTTGATGTTGATGCTATTCCTTTCCGTTTGTTTGTTTTCCTTCTAACAGTCAGGTCCCACAGCTGCAGGTCTGTGGGAGTTTGCTGGAGTTCCACTCCAGACCCTGTTTGCCTGGGTATCACCAGCGGAGGCTGCAGTACAGCAAATGTGGCAGAACAGCAAATATTGCTGCCTGATCCTTCCTCTGCAAGCTTCATCTCAGAGGGGCACCCGGCTGTATGAGGTGTCAGTCGGCCCCTACTGGGAGGTGACTCCTAGTTAGGCTACACACAGGTCAGGGACCCACTTGAGGAGGCAGTCTGTCCATTCTCAGAGTGCAAACACCATGCTGGGAGAACCGCTGCTCTCTTCAGAGCTGTCAGACAGGGATATTTAAGTCTGCAGAAGTTTCTGCTGCCTTTTGTTCAGCTATGCCCTGCCCACAGAGTTGGAGTCTACAGAAGCAGGCGGGCCTAGTTGAGCTGCAGTGGGCTCCACCCAGTTTGAGCTTTCCAGCCACTTTGTTTACCTACTCAAGCCTCAGCAATGGCGGATGCCCCTCCCCAGCCAGGTTTGCTGCCTCACAGTTTGATCTCAGAATAGCAGTGAGCAAGGATCTGTGGGCATGGGACCAGCTGAGCCATGTGCAGGATATAATCTCCTGGTGTGCCATTTGCTAAGACCACTGGAAAAGCTAAGGGATAAGAATTAGTTTATAATTTTTAGAAACATTTTCCCCATAATTTTATGTGTATTAATAGACCCAAATATAGTTAGTCCTTCTATAACTGCTTATTGAATTTACCTTATTTATTGATTTATAGCATGAGGAAACTGGTCTGAGGGTGATGCAGTGGATGTATACATGCCAGGGGCCTCTCAAACTAGATCTCTAGTTCTTTTTTATTTTTATTTGTTTTTTAAATTGACTAATAATAATTATATATATTTATGGGGTAGACAGTGATTTTTTTTACATGTAATGTATAGTAATCCATTCAGGGTAGTTAGCATACCCATCATCTCAAACACTTATCATTTTTTTTGTTGTTGGGAACAATCAATAATCTCCTTCCAGCTATTTAAAACTATATGTTATTGTTAACTACAGTAATCCTACAATGGTATAGAATAGAAGAAGCCAAGAACAAACTTATATTTATGCTCAACAATTTGTTTTAGTTTTTAAAATCTTATTTAAAAATGACCCAGACATAATTTAACATAACTTTAAGATTTCAAATTACATGAAAAACTTATTTATTGATGTTAATCTCATTTACCTTTACCTAATCTATTTACTTCCAACAATTTACCTAGATTACTTATGGAAACTGACATATTAGACATAGCTAGTCATTATTGGAAGTCATTTCTCTGTGATCATTTTTATAGTTTTTAACTATCAAGTGTTCACCTAAGAACTTTCAATATTGAGTAATTTGCCAATAATTCAGAAGATACAGCTGTTTTTATTAAACCAATGACATTAAATTAGCCATATTTATCAAAGAGTTACAAAGACAACGATCATTCTGTTTTTAGGCTAAGTGTATAGTTTTATGAATTTAGAACATCTGGTAGAGACAAAGACAAAGATAAAACTGTCTGACCAGTCAATCTAGGCAAAAATGTATGCTGACAATTTTAAAGACAATTGTATTTTTATTTTACCAATAATTTTAAAAACAGCTTATTTATTAAAAATTTACTTAAGTCACAAAAACTAAAAGACATTTGGCTTAATTAATACATCTCTTATATGTGTTCATTTAGTTAAGCTGATCTGAATATAATTTTTTTCAGAGATTTCTGTCCAGTGACACCAGATTTTATTTTGTAGATAAAACATATAACAATACAGGTACACATGCAAGAACACACCTAAACACTTCTACATATACACAAGTAAAGATTTTATGCTTTAAATATAAAATTTTAGTCATGAAATAGTGATACAAACTCATCACTTTAAAAAAAGACAATCTGATCCAAATTACATTTCTGACAAAATGGGACCTGTTTACATGGCTAAAGTTTATTTGACCTGTTAGGTAATCTAACAAAGGCTGTGGAGCAAAATTTGGATAAAGGAGGTTTTTTTTTTTAATCTCTTTTTTTTTTCTTTTTTCAGTTTCAAATGAGGTCTGGTTAAATTTTTAATGCTTGCATTTTAGCTGGGACTGGGTGAATTGCATAAGAAAAATCAAAACTTCAAGTACCTTTGAATTTTCAGTAACGAGTCTATCTTATGTTTGCTGGTCTGGTTTGCTTGACTAGTCAATGCAGGCATGAAACCATTTCAGCAGTTTTTCAATGTTTTCTGGCCCTTGCATGGCAGACACAGCAATTTTTATTCTGGACAGAGACACATTATATTTTTGCTCTGATTTCAAGATTTTGACCTGTATAATCTGAGAGCTTAACTTTTATACACATTTCTCTGGCATTTCCTTTTCTTTCTTTCTTTTTTTTTTTTTGTTTTTGTACTATTAATCCTTTCATTAACTGTTCTATCACCCTAAGCAATTGTTAGTCAAGCAAACCTAAAGTTACATCTTCAAAATGTATCTAGGTTGATGGTTGCCATGGAACTGTTGTAATTTGTAAGCCCATTAATTTGAAAGCTCTTTAAGACATTTTTTTATCTTGGCTGCCAAAAGCAGTGAGCTTTATGTCAACACCAACATAAAAGTCAGCAGATTCAAAGTACGCAGAAAAAAATGGACAGATAACTTAGGAGGATCTACAAGTTAAGTTTGTCATTGTAAGAGTTTTTTAAAGAGAGTTTGGATAATGACCATTGAGCTCTGAATTTTTCTTGATGTAATTTGCCCATCAGTTAAAATATATGCATGAGAACAGGCCACGATATGCAGGTGGCTAAAGTACCAGAAAACTTGGCAGACCTTAATGTTTTAATCCAGGCATGCAGATAAAATAAAGTATTAAATTAGGCATGCAGAAAAGACATGCCTCATAGACAGAATGTAAATTTTACAGAAATCAGAGTACTCAAACCAGGAGAACACTTGTCCTTAGACCATAAAGTACCTTCCAAAAACACAAAAGGTTTTTATTATCTCAGGAGGAATGTAAGGTCCTTTATTTAACTGCCTTTATCCAAATCAGATTCCAAATAATGTCTAGAGCTTCTACCAAACAGAAAGGAGGGAGGCTCAGCCTAAGAGAAGACTCACCAGGGCAGAAAAGGTGAGTTGAGGAAGTGGAGAGCTGAAAGAGCTCAAATGAATTCTGCAGTTCATTTCCAAGAGTTGCCATTTCCTTTCTAAAGTGATCTTGTTCCAGGTCTCACTTCTGGACACTATTTATGTCAACTTAAATAACAAATAAGAGAGAGGCTTTCTAAAAGAAAAAGATATTTATTTGGCAATAGGGCTGCAATGGGACTACACGCGTCATAGTAAACTATGTGTGTATTCAAAAAGGTAAAAGAAGACAAAAAAATTTTTAAGAAAAAAATGAGGAAGATTACATAATTCTTTTGAGATAACTATCCTTGGCTACAAGGATCATTAACAAGGATGGTGCCAGTCCAAGATTAGACAGGCACTTGCTGGGCAGATGTCCTTGCAGAAGTATTTTTTTTGTGTAAAGTTGCAAAGTGGTGGTTTTTGCAGTCTTTTGTGGTAGTTAAATTAGACATATAAGTGTGAGAACCCACTTTTTATTGTCTTTCCTGGCTTTGTTTATCAGAATTTTATTTTGTTTTTAACACAAGTTACTTCATTTTGATTCTGACAACTTTCACAATGAACAAAAGGGCTTAGAGCTGAAAGTATTCATAAAGACAAATTTGTCCATTCAAAGAACCAATGCATCGTCAATGCCTGCCATTCAAACACTACCAGGGACACACCCATAGTTGAAGAGTTGGTTTTATTGTTGTTGCAATGAAGGAGAATCTACACCATGGCAAATGCTGGGGTAACTTAGCAAGAGGGTGTGAGAAAGACTTATTTTAGGATTTTGACTTTGTGTTAAGTGGCTTGACAGAGGATTTTAAAAAGCTGAACTTTGCTCTGGCATGGATGCTGTCAGAAAAAGGAGGATAATTCTAAGATTGTTTATCATGATAAATCTAATCTAGAAGATGAGCAAACTGAAATGAAGCTAAAGCCTGACTGGTGCAGAAGCAGCAGTCATGCATATTAGCCAGGATATGGAGATGTCTGAACATTTTTGTGGTCTGGACAATATTCATGCTTTTGTCTGTGTTCAGATATGATTACACAGTGATTTTGTTTTTGTCTTGATCCTTCGTGGCTACAGCCTTGTTTGATGTCAGTGTTCTGGGAAATAGCACATGACCAACATGAGAATACTATGACTTAGCTATGAGTGCCAAGCCAGTTGCTGGATGTTAGAAGTAGTTTTTCTTTGTAGCATTGATACAAATAAGTGATTTCTCCATGTGCATGTGCTTTCTCCTTAATCTTGGCATAGATTCATTTTATTTCTTAATTTCAGGTAATAGTGACGAATTTAGTATATACCCCCATGGTGTTGTATTGTCAATAATAGAACTTTTCTTAAAAAAAATACAAATTTGTTATTTAAAATACAGTGCCACTCAAAGATATATTTGTTATCAATGTTCATTTTAGTTTCCAACTTTAAGATACTGTTTTGAAATGAAAGAGGCAATTGTTTGTGAAAATTAGTTTTAAAAAATTTATTATAATGTAGCAACTGGAAGATAAAATTATCTTACTTTCTTGTTTCTTTGTAGAGTCTACTAAAGTAAAATAAAATATAGAATATATGAAAATATATGATTTCCTATGTTTCAAATGTAGTATGTATGATCTTTTGTAAAAGTAAAATACTCTTATTTTAAGAAATTCAGACTACTGTAATTATAAAACATTACAATTTAGAATATGAAAAATACCTTATTTCCATCTGAGAAAAATCACTATTAATTAACATTCTATTGAATGTATAAAGCACATATGTATATATTTATATCTATAAATATAAAAAGAAATCACATTATCTATACAGCTATAAAGCATTTCACACATAAATATAGCACATGCAATGAAATTCTATTTTGTTGATATAGATTGTTGACCCAATTCCTTATTGTTTAGATTAAATTAGGCCTTTTGGCTAATTTCTCACTATTAAAATAATGCTTTGCATATTAATCTGGTTTTTTTTTTAGATGTTACATTGCTGGAACCAAGCATTTCCATCTTTTATATTTTGGTACTTACCACTGTCAGATTTTACCCAAGGAAGTTCCTAAAATATACAGTAAAACATGTAAACAAATGCTTATTTCTTCATGTACTCACTAATATTTGACATTAGTCACTATTTTATTTTTGTGACTATTTACGTGCAAATGAAACCAAACAGCTCTTCAGCAGATACATCAGCATCTCCTGGAACTGATTCATAGGGAAAACTCCCTGAGACAGGAGCAATAGCAGTCATAGTACCCCTACCACCCTTGCCTCCTTGCCTTATCACGATCTGAAGCACTGGGCAGTGATCTGGCAGGAAAAAATATCAGCTCAGTGAGAGAGTCCTTGACCCATGGACTGTGTGGCCTTTAAGTCTGTGATTAGGGATGCATCTAGCTCTCCCCTAGTAGGATCAGGGACTGGGCTATAGTAGCCATATGATGTGTGAGAACCTTAGCTCCATCTCCTCCTGGCCTCTTCCTGGTATACTCATGTGTCTGGGGTCAAAGTTTTTCATTGCAGATAGTTATCAGAGCAACCTGGTGACAGGATTCACATCAGCCTCTGTTGGCTGTGAGTACCAAGCCTTCCCATGAAGTACAGTTCCTAGGGTTGATCAGGACTGACTTCCTTGAGTACTGGGCCATGCCAGTTTTTTGGGGAGCTTTGCTAGGGTGGGTGAAGACTGACTTTCTGGAAAGCCAGCTTGCAGGGATTCATAAAGCACAAATTAACCCTTAACTCCCAATATTATCAATGAAAAATAATATCTCATTATTAAAGTTTTGGTTCATTTGATTGCTAGTATGATTATTTGTCCACATACCTAATTATTTGCATATATTCCTTTGTAAATTCTTCATTTATATTTTGCATTTGACACAACTAATCCTGTATTTTTCCTTGAAATCTTTTTTTTTTTTTTGCATTGGCATTTGGAATCCTACCTCACTGAGTGCTCTTTTTCAGTCTCTTTCAGAGCTTCCTTCTATTCTCTCTGGCCTCTAAATGTTGGAGTATCCAAGAGCTTGGTCCTTCGTCATCTCCTCTTCATCTATAATCCCTCACTACTGACTTCATTTGGCCTTATGGTACAAAATACTGTCTACGTTCTGATGATTCCCAAATATTTATCTTCACCACATCTCCTCTGAGCTCCAGAGAAGGATGTACCTGATGGCCCTACTTGAACATTTTATAGGAATCCTAAACTATTGTATTAGTTAGGGTTCTCTAGAGGGACAGAACTGATAGGATAGATGTATATATGAAGGGGAGTTTATTAAGGAGTATTGACTCACACTATCACAAGGTGAAGTCCTGCAATAGGCCGTCTGCAAGCTGAGGAGCCAGGAAGGCAGTCCAAGTCCCAAAACCTCAAAAGCAGGGAAGGCGACAGTGCAGCCTTAGGTCTGTAGCCAAAGGCCCGAGAGCTCCTGGCAAACCACTAATATTAGTCCAAGAGTCCAAAAGCTGAAGAACTTGGAGTCCAATGCTCCAGGTCAGGAAGCATCCAGCACAGGAGAAAGATGGAGGCTGAAAGACTTAGTGTAGTCTTTCCATCTTTCTCTTCTGCCTGCTTTTATCCTAGCCATGCTGGCAGCTGATTAGATCGTGCCCACCCACATTGAGGGTGGGTCTGCCTCTCCCAGTCCACTGACTCAAATGTTAATCTCCTTTGGCAACATCCTCATAGACATACCCAGGAACAATACTTTGCATCCTTCAATCCAGTCAAGTTGACACTCAGTATTAACCATCATAACTATCTATGTCCTAGATCAAACACACTATCTCCGCTTCTCATGCTTCTTTTCATGCACCCCAGTCAGCTTCTCTCTCAGTCTTTCTTCCTCATGTCAGCAAATGGTACCATCCAACTCACAGCTGCACAGTGGGAAGACCCAAGAATCAACCCTGATTCTTCTCTTCTTCTCATGCTTACATATAATTGATTTGCAAAGCCCACAGACATGAACTCTAACATACATCTCAAATCAGATATCTTTTCACCACATCCACTCTTAGTGCCTATAGTCCAAGCCACTTTTCTGCAGTAACCTCCTAATCAGCCTCCTGTATATCCACCTCTGCCTCTGCCTTCCACAGAGAAGTCCAAGAGATGCTTTGCTCCTCAGGGTTTCTCTACTTCAGCACTGTTGACATTCTAGACTGGACAGTCCTTTGTTGGAGGTGGAGGCTGTGCCCACATTGTAGTATATTTGGTGGCATCCCTGGCCTCTACCCACTAGATGCCAGTGACAAGTTCCAACTTGTGACAACCATAATTTCCCTAGACATTGCTAAATGTCCCCTGGGGGCAAAATCACTCCAAGATGAGAACAACTACTAAAGGTTTTCCTTCACATTCTGATAAAATCCCAGTTCTTTTTGAACCTGCAAGCTTTAATATGACCCTATCACATCTCCCATCATTCTTCCAGTGTTCGGTCTGCTTTAGGACACTGGCCTCCTTATTTTTCTGGGAACCAGAGATATTTCCCTTTTCCTGGCCTTGTGCTTGTTCCTTCATCTGCCTTAAGTGACTTTCCCCCAAATCAGCTCATAGTTTACTCTCTCATTTCACTGGTCTCTGTTAAAATGCCATGGAGACAGAAAAGTCTCCCCTGTATAAAATACCTTTCATTTTTAATCATTCTCCCTTTATCCTGCTTTATTCTATTTAGGTAATTGTTCCTATTTGATATTTTATTATTTAAATATCTTTTTATTATTTGGCTTTCTAAATATGTCAGCTCCATAGAACATGTGACCTTCTTCATGCCTACCCAACAATAACCCAGAACCTGGTATCTTATTTATAAGTAAGTAATTGTAATAATAAGTAAGTAATGGTTGAATAAATTGGTGGTTAAAATAATTTTAAAAATTTCAAAGTATTTTCTTCACTGTGTAAATGAAAGTGAGAAATATATAGAAACTCATTCTTGTATCTACTTCAGAGGTAGACAGACAACAAATATTTTTTATATTAACAATCCCAGAAGGAAGAACTGAGAAAAAAATATTGTTTTCAAACCATGACTCAGAGAATAGTCCATAATTATAAATCAGCTCTCCTTACCCCTAGGCTAATTCTAATGCCAAACTATTCTGCAAGTCTATATTTTCTGATCATAAAATTGCATTTCAGTAGGGTGTTTTATGTAATTACAAATGCTTATATTTCTGGCAAATTCAATAAAAGTAGATAAGAGGTAGGTTTGCAAACAAAGGTCATAACAGCATTTTATTTTACTAGTCTATTACTGACAAAAATTTTCTATGACAACTTATCAAAACTTCTAGCATATTATATTGCTTCCAAATATAGTTATGATAAACCGCCAAAAGCTATTTAGCATAGACATTTCTTCCTGTTTATCAAATAATTAAGATAGTTGGTGACTTAAGCGCATTTAAAAATGTGATACATAAAATTGTATAAAAATTAGTTTCATCAAATAGCTGTAAATGATAAGCATGCTGTCCTACTCATGCTTCTGAAATTAATTTGTAATTTTACTTCTTCATTAAAATTGTATTATTTTTCCAATCAAATTTGTCTTGATTATATATGCCTATATTTTTTCATTGAAAGTCACCTTTCTACACTCTTTAGTACAATAACTTACACATTAAAAAGAAATGTATCATTGGTTTAATATAGCAAAGCTATAATGCTAACATTAAGATTAAAAATGTGTATTAGTGCTAAATTTATATGCTACTCAATGAAATGGGGAAACAACAGTGCTATATTTAGCATTCATTTAAAAAATGCCTTTATTTGGTATGATTAAACAATACAAAGTAAGTAATTTTAAATGTGTATATTTTACTTTCTTCCACTTAAACACAATGAGCAATCCTAGCATTACTAGTAGCATGAAGATCTGACATTTTAAACCTCCTGATGTATTGCAATAAGAAATCCACAATATCAATAATATGGTATTCTTGCTGAAAATGTCTAGACAATGTAATCATGAGGAGCTATCAGATCAGTCCAGAAAATAGCACCCTTTATAAGGGAACTGGACTGGATCCTTTAAAACACTCAATATCATAAAAAGCAAAACAAAACAAAAAGGTTCAGGGCTCTTCTACTGTTATGTATCTAAAGAGATAAAAGATACATAACACCTCAAGGCTGTGTGTGAACTTTGACTACAGCTTATGAATCTTATTACCTAAGACAAATGAATAAAAGGCAAGTAAATGAACAACTAACTATTAAAATATATATCTTGTGTAATTGAGACATTTTTAAATATGTGTTGTATATATTGTGATATTTTTGAATTAGTGAAACTTTTCTTAGGTTAATTTAGAAGACTGCCATACTTTTTGCAGATGAATGCTGTAGGTGAAGTGTCATGATGTCAGCAACAAAAGTTCAAATGTGTGTTGAGGGAGAGTAGTAAAATATGGCAAAATTAATCAACTGTGAGTAAATCCAGGTGAAGACTGTGTAGACATTCCTTGTACTGGTCTTTCAATTTATCTGTAGATTTTTAAATCTAACAAAAAAAATAAGCAGCAATAAGTTTTCTTTTTTATTATTATTATACTTTAAGTTCTAGGGTACATGTGCACAACATGCAGGTTTGTTACATATGTATACATGTGCCATGTTGGTTTGCTGCACCCATTAACTCGTCATTTACGTTGGGTATATCTCCTAATGCTATCCCTCCCCCCTCCACCCACCCCACAAGAGGCCCTGGTGTGTGGTGTCCCCCTTCCTGTGTCCAAGTGTTCTCATTGTTCAATTCCCACCTATGAGCGAGAACATGCGATGTTTGGTTTTTTGTCTTTGCGATAGTTTGCTGAGAATGATGGTTTCCAGCTTCATCCATTAAAAATAAATTTTTATGTTTCCAAGTCTATATAGTATATCCTTTTTTCTTTAAAAGTTATTTTAATTTATTTGCATTTTATTTCAAAGACAGAACAATAGTCTTAATTTCATTTTAAGTTTGCTCAATACATATGACAACTAAAGCAGAACAATTTTTGGTTTAATTATGCCTATGATTGACAGAAGTACCAAAAAAAAAAAAAGAGTCCTGTAGAGAATGTGCCTCTGGGTTTCTATCATATATTTGTACTACTCTTTGGCAGGGAGAAATAAACTACTGGGAATTTCATTGTACCTATAGGTCATTTCACTCTAAACTTAAAAAAGCATGAGTCAGTTATTTCCAAAATTTAACTCTAAAACATTGCTTAAAATATATATTACTGAGACTTTGAAAGTATAGTTCTCTTTTGCTTATGTACAATACATAGGAATATTGGTAAGTGAATACAAAGGCAGTCAAAAGAGTTAAATTTCATTCATTTAAAAACATTTCTTTATCATTTACTACTGGAAAGGTGTGGGCTATCATGGCTGTTTTAGAGTTGAATATGATTTGCTTCTTGTGCTTAGGGAATTTGCTGGCAAGCTGTAACAATAAGAAACATGCCTGCCTTCAGGTTGAAAGTGACCTAACAAAGATATGCATAAATGCTCTGAGAAGACAGGATAAAAAGATTTCTTATTCTTAAGGAAACATAAGAGAATTCACCATGGAAGATATAATATGTGATCCTGACTTTAAAGGTTATGAGGCTCAGAGAGTAGAAGAGTAAGAAGCAGAAGAAATACTATTCTATCCTACTTAAATCAGAGATACATAACTTATTAAAAATTGTACTATGGGCCGGGTGCGGTGGCTCACGCCTGTAATGCCAGCACTTTGGGAGGCCAAGGTGGGTGGATCACCTGAGGTCAGGAGTTCAATACCAGCCTGGCCAACATGGTGAAACCCCATCTCTACTAAAACTACAAAAATTAGCTGAGCATGATGGCACATGCCTGTAATCCCAGCTACTCAGGAGACTGAGGCAGGAGAATCATTTGAACACAGGAGGCAGAGGTTGCAGTGAGCTGAGATCGCGCCATTGCACTCCAGCCTTGGTGACAGAAGTGAAACTCTGTCTCAAAAAAAAAAAAAAAAATTGGGCACTACAAAGTAACTACATTATTATTTTTATTATTTGTAATTCAACATAATCACATTGCATAAATTCAATGAGTTGGCCTTATTCTTTTTTAGACATAGGTTAAAAACACAGTATAGACTTCTGCATTGGGCTATGATGGAAAAACAGACTCAAAAATTATGTGACCAACATAAACAACTTAAAAACTATGTTCAGCATATGAAACAATTGTTTTCAGACACAGAACAATAGGCAGTATGGGTCTATGATCTCTGAGAGGAGAAAAAGTACAAATGACACGAGTCCTGTGATTTCCCTAGCTGTCTACCTAAATGCACTTTTGGTACCACAGTATAGGGAAATGCACTTACTCCAAGCAAAGCATGGCATTTATATTGAGATGTTACTACCAAATTGCTGGAAGCTGGTGACAAAAAGAACAATCTTGAGTAGATACAAGGAAAATAGTAAGAATGATCATAGACTTCTTGTAAGAAACAATGTAATTGAGAAGACAATGCAAAGTTTCAGCATCTTTACCATGCTAGGGGGACAAAAACATCAACCTAGAATTATTTATCTAAAAAAAAAATTTAATTAAAAATTAAAATGTATCTAAAATTAAAGAAATTGATTTAAATAAAAAAAAATTTTAATTAAAGAAATTTAAAATTATAAGAAAATTTATCAAGAGAAGACCTGAATTAAACAAAATGCTAAAGGAAGTTAGTTTCTCAGTCTTAAGGGAAATGATCCAAGACATACATGGGTCTACACGAAAAATTAAGAGCACTGGAAAATGGCAGAATTTTAAGTTTTTCTTATTTTTAAACTCATATGAAAATAAAACTGTCTAAAGTAAATGTATATTAATGTATTTTGAGGTTTATAATGCGGGTTGACCATCCCTAATCCAAAAATCTAAAATTTGAAATGTTCCAAAATCCAAAAGTTTTTGAGCACCAACATGACTCTGCTAGTGGCAAATTCCAAATCTCCAATCTCATGTGATGGGTGCACAAAATTATTAAAAATATTACATAAAATTACCTTTAGGCTGTGTGTATAAGGTATACATAAATTTCTTGTTTAGACTTTAGTGTCATCTCAAAGAAATCTCACTATGTATATGCAAATATTCCAATATTTGAAAAAAATCTGAAATCTGAAACACTTCTGGTTCCAAACATTTTGGATGAGGGATGCTCAACTTGTATAGGTCAAAATAGGACAACAGTAAGACAAAGAACAGGAAGGGGGAATGGAAGGTTTTTATGTATAAAATGATAAAATTTTATTTGAATGGAGATTTTGATATGTTGTAGATGCAATTGCAAATCCTAGAACACAAATGCCCATCAATGATAGACTGGGTAAAGAAAATTTGGCACATATACACCACAGAATACTATGCAGCCATAAAAAAGAATGAGTTCATGTCCTTTGCAGGGACATGGGTGAAGATGGAAGTCATCATCCTCAGCAAACACAGGAACAGAAAACCAAACACTGCACTTTCTCACTCATAAGTCAGAATTGAACAATGAGAACACATGGACACAGGGAGGGGAACATCACACACTGGGGCCTATTGAGGGGTTGGGGGCAAGGGGAGGGAGAGCATTAGGACAAATACCTAATGCATGCGGGGCTTAAATACTAGATGATGGGTTGATGGGTGCAGCAAACCACCATGACACATGTATACTTATGTAAAAAACCTGCACATTCTGCACATGTATCCCAGAACTTAAAGTAAAAAAAAAAAAGTTAATAATGATGATAAAACTAAATCCTAAAATGCTCAATCTAAAAGAAGAAGAATTGAAAAGAAAAAAGCAAACAAATTGCAAAATTTCAACCCAACCATAACTAAAATTATGTTATAGTGTAATTATAATGTATAAACATTCCAACTGAAATAAAAGAAGAAGCATATTAGCAATTTAAAATTTTATGATAGCCATATTTTTAAAAATTAAATCAGGTAAATTCATTTCGATAATACATTTTATTTAACGCAACCAAAAATACCACTTTAATGTATAATCCATTAAAAATTATTGAGATAGTTTGCATTCTTTTTTCATATCAAGTTTTCAAAATCCTATGTGCATTTTACATTTATAGCACACCTTAGTTTGGACTAGCCAGTTTTCAAGTACTGAGTAGTCACATTTGGTTAGTTAGTACCACACTGTATGGCACAGATCTAAATGCTCCTATTAAAAGGAAGAAAACATTAGGCTGAATATACTATCAAGACCCAACGAAATGCTGACAACAATAAATGTACTTCAAATATAAAGACATAAAGCAGAAATTAAAAGATGGAAGAAGAGAAACCAAAAACAAACTAATCGTAAGAAACTAGAGGAGCTATATCAATGTCAGACAACATAGACTTCAGAACAAAAACTGTACCAAAGGTAGATGAGCATTTTATAAAAGTAAATTGTTTACTTATTTTGAAACAAGACATAACAGTGTTATATGTATAGGTGTCCTATGACAAAACTTCAATAGACATGAAGCAGAAATTGACAAAACAAAAGAGAGATACAAATCTACAGTTGGAGAACTATTCTTCTATCAGTAATTACAGAAGAAGAAAATCAATGAGAATATAAACAACACAAACAATACTATCAACCAACTTGACCTATTTCCCATTAAAAAATCCATACAATAGCAGAATACACACCTTATGCTGTACATAGAAAAATTGGAGGTACACCTGGAAAATTCAGTGAGACAGAAAATATGCTGGCCCATAAAACAAGCCTTAATACATTGAGAACAACAGAAGTCATATAGAGTATGTTCTTTGGCTAGAACTGAATTTTATTCAGAATTAATAAGTGAACAGTATCCACAACATTCCCAAATATTTGGAAATTAAACAACACATTGTTAAAAAAGAAAATCACAACTGGAATTAGAAAATATTTGTAAATAAATAATGAGAACGTAAATATAGTTGCAGGATAAAGCCGTAAACTGTATTGCCTAGAGTTAAAAATATAGCTCTAAGCTTTATATTAGAAAAGAAAGTTTAAAATCAATTATTTAACTTTCCACCATAAAATGGTAGAAAAAGAAGAGCCAAATATACCCAAAGAGGGAGAAGGAAAGAAATAACATATAACACCCAAAATCAATGTGATAGAAAATGGGCAATGGAGAAATTCAATTAAATCATGTATTAGTTTTCTACTGCTGCCAGTAGCAAATTACCACAAATTAGCAGCTTCAGACCACACAAATTTAGTGGCTTAAGACAAAACAAATTTATTAATTTACAGTTCTAAAGATCAGAAGTCTACTACAGGTCTCACCAGAATAAAATCAAGGTGTTAGCAGGCTGTGTCCTTTTCTGGAGGTTCTGGGTGAAAATCTGTTTTCTGCTCAGATTGTTGGCAGAATGCAGTTTCTTGCAAATACAGGGTAGTGGCCTGGTTTTCTTACTAGCTCTCAGATGAGACCTGCTTCTAACTCCTAAGAGACACCGTTTCCGTTAGGCCTCTTCCTCCATCTTCAAAGCCAGAAGTGGATTGTTAAGTCGTTCTTATGTTGCCCCTTTCTGACTCTTCTTAAGTAGTCACACGTTGTCTCTGAACCAGGCTGCAAAGGTTCTCCACTTTTAATGATTTATGTGATTACATTGGGCCCACTTGAATAATCCAGAATAATCTCCTATCTCAAGACCTTTAGCCTCAATCACATCTGCAAAGTCCCTTTTGCTACATAGGTAATGTTAATAGCTCCAAGGGATTTGGAGATGGGCATCTTTGGGTGCCATTATTTTGCCCACCACAAAACTGTCTCTGAAAAGTTCAATAAAATTAACAGCCTTTAGCTAGACCGATCATGAAAAAAAGAGAAAACACAAATATTACAAACATTAGAAATGAAAGAGAGGATATTAATATCCTACAGGTATTAAAAGAAATTTGGGGCAATATTATAAACAATTATATGCTAGCGAATTTAGCAAGGACAAAATGGACATATCCATTGAAAGAAGTATATTACTAAATCTGATCTAGGAATCATTAGAAATATTACTAGCCATTTAACTCATAGAGACATTGAATTTGTGACTTGAAATATACATAAAAGACAAGAAAAAAGAAAAAACAATTAAAAAATGATTTATTATTTATAAGCAATAATTAGACTTTCTTACCAGTAGAGCTCCTGTCATAACAGGATGCCAGAAGCATGGAACTCAATTGAAATAGAGAAAAAAAGGCATCTCAAATAAGATCTGGTACCTGGGGCTGCCACCACTGAAATATCTAAAAATCAATAAAGCAGATACTATACTTTGAAAGAAAAGATAATGTGCCAATGGTTTTATTCTCTAAATCTATTAAATACTAAATTAGACTTTTGATGAGAGATTTCCCTATATTGAATTTAAGTCCATAGGCATGGACTTTGATAAACACCATAGCTGAGCAGGGCAGATTTTCTCACTTCTTCCCATGTTCTTCTCCCGAGCACATACTTAAAATCACCAATTGTAAATTCAATATAGTTGTTTTCACGGTACCAGGGAAGGAAGAGTGAGTTCAGGGGAATGTTTCTGTGAATAATTCAGGACAAAATCACCCAGCCATAACTTACATTACTTCAACCACAAATAGTGGAAGATTAATAGGCATCATAGGGACTCAGGATTTCATTATACATCTCCATTCATCTGGAATACAGAAGTGAACATTGCAGTTTGCAAGCTAAATAATCCCAAATTGTGACTATGATGAATCAATAGTCAGTTGTTCACAGTGATATCTTATAACAGTTGTGATGTTGGCTAATTTTCTCTTTGCCTTTTTCTTTCATACATTTAGTTTTGCCATTCTTAAAACATGATTCATATCTAAATGATATATAAATTTTACTTGATAATTTTAGGAGTTTTTGAAACCCTATATAATGGTAAAATTAAAAAACTCATTTTTTCTAGCTAATCTGAAGAAAACATAAGCTTTGGTTATTAAGAAACTAGGAAACTTCATTTTTTAAAATTTAAATATGAATTTGCAGATAGCTGTTTTATCAATATTCTATTTTATATGCATAATAAATTTGTAGTCACAATTTTGAGGAATTAACCTTTTAGAGCATTACTTTGACGTCCAAAGTAAAACATAAATTTATCTAATGCATGCTAACATAAAATATAGATACACTTAATTTAAGTTTCCCTGATGTATTTATATCTATTATTATTGACAAATTATTGATAAAATACTTCAATATCTTGATGATATTCCAACATTATATGATTATATAAACTGTACTTAGAAGCTTATAGGAATGAGTCTTGTTAGTTTTTCAAGTCAAGCCATTAAATTCTTGGACCATTAAATTCTAATAACAAAATAATTCTTTAAGTAGAAATTACTTCTGTATATAAACATATAGTAATCTGTCCCCTGTTATCTATGGTAGCAAATGTTAAATCTGCTTCTTATATCACAAGACAGATTGCCTTTAATAAAAGCAAATATAATCCTGTAGTTTCTAGGATTGTTTATTTTTCCAGAATTTCTCTTAAGTTGCAATTGTAAATAAATGTAATCCTCCATATGTACTCTGACCAAGTTAGAGTTTAGTAAGATGATTCTCATCATTTCATGTCCAGAATACTGCTTATCAAATATGCACTTTTAATAATCCTCAGTTGCAATAATAAGTGAATGCAGCAAAGTCACAGGATACAAAGTCAACATACAAAAATCAGTTGAGCTTCTATATTCTAGCAATGAACAATCCAAAAAGGAAATTAAGAAAGCAATTCTATTTATAATAGCACCAAAAATAATAAAATATTTAGGAATAACATAATCAAGGTTGTGAAAAACTTGTACACTGAAAACTATAAAACATTTTTGAAAGAAATTGAAGACAAATAAATGAAAAGACATCCATGTTGATGTATTGGAAGACAATATATTTAGGATGTCGACACTACCCGTGTTGTACAGATTCAATACGTTCCCTAGCAAAATCCAAATGGCAATTTTTGTATAACTAGAAAAACCCATCTTAAAATTCATATGGAATTTCACGAAGCTCAAATAGCTGAAACAATCATAAAAAAATTTAAAAAGCTGAAAGACTCACCCTTTCTACGTTCAAAACTTATTACAAAGCTACAGTAACCAAATAGCGTGGTGCTGGCATAAAGGCAGACATGTAGATCAATGAAATAGAATAGAGAGCCCAGAAATAAACCCTTATGTATATAGTCAATTGGTCTTTAACAAGGGTGAAAAGGAAAGTCTCTTCAACAAATAGTGCTGGGAAAACTGGATAGCCACAGGCAAAGAATGAAATTAGGCTAATGTATACAAAAAATGACTAAAAATGGATTACATACATAAACATAAGACCCAAAACTATAAAATCTATAAAAGATAGCATAGGGGGAAAGCTATATATTTGATTGGCAATGGTTTCTTGGATATGACACCAAAGCACGGGCAACAAAAGCAAAAATAGACAAATGGGATTACTTCAACAATTAAAACTTCTGTGCATTAAAGGACACAATCAACAGAGTGAAAAGCAACTTACAGAATAGGAGATTATAATTGCAAGTCATTTATCTGCTAAGGGATTAATATCCAGAATATAAAAAGAATTCCTACAACCCAACAACAATAAAAAATTATCCCATTAAAAATGGACAAAGGACTTGAATACAAATTTTTCCAAAGATGATCTATAAATAACCAACAAGCATATGAGATAATGTTCAACATCACTAATCATTGAATAAATGCAAATCAAAACTGCAATGAGACCTAACACCCACTCAGATGGCTACTATCAAAAAGAGAGAAAAACTAACATGTGTTGGTGAGGATGTGGAGAAATTGGAACCTTGTGCACTGTTGCTGGGATTATAATATGGTGCAACTGCTATGGAAAACAGTACAGCAGTTACTTAAAAAATTAAAAATAGAACTACCATGTGATCCAGCAATCCTATATATGGATATATACCCAAAGAATTAAAAGCAGGCTCTCAAAGGACATTTGTATACTATGTTCATAGCAGCATTAGTAGCAGTAGCCAAGAGGTTGAAGCAACCCAAATGTCCATCAACAGTTGAATGAAAAACAAAATCTGATATACACATACAATTGAATATTACTCAACCTTACAATGGAAGGAAATCCTGTCACAGGCTACAGCATAAATAAACCTTGAGGATATTATGCTAAGTGAAATAAGTCACTCACAAAAAGACAAATACTGTTTTATTCCACATACATGAGTTATTTAAAGTAGTAAAATTCATAGAAACAGAAAGTAGAATGGTATTTGCCAAGAGCTGGGTGCAGGAGAAAATGGGAAGTTGTTGTTTAATGGATATAGAGTTTCAGTTTTGCAAGATGAGAAAATTCTGGCAATCCATTGCACAACAATGTGAATATACTTCGCATTATTGAACTGTACACTAGAAATAGTTAAGATGGTGCATTTTACATTATACATTTTAGAGCAATTAAAAAGAAAAAGAAACCTCTCAGTTATACCTTCAGTTCACTGAGAACTTGTATTCATCACAACATGCTGATCTATTACAAATGAAATGCCAACAGTTGTTTCCCCAATTATGAAATCCTGCTTTTTATCAGGTCAGACATTTAAGGAGGTGCCAAAAACACAACAATGAAGATAAACATTTTAATGAAAGATTTTTAGTGCATCAAAATTAATGCAAAAATCCATGGCAGACAGAATATCAAAATTTAAATAAAGACAGAATCATTAAAAGTGGCATGTTCAGTTATACTGGAACCTGAGGCCAAAGGAACAATCAGTAATACCGATCCAGGGTTAACCTTTTTGTCTCCACCCACTCTCAAATGCTCTTGCCACAGCCTTACCAACAAGACTGAATTCATCTGCTATAAACGCTATCCCATTTCTTCTTCTTCATCTCAGAACTCTCAGAATCTTTACTTCCTTACTCCTGTTTTCAAGATGTTCTTCCTGTAGAAGTTTGGTGTATTTGGGCTCATCTTCTTTCCCATAAAGACCCATATAGGTCTTTCTTGATTATTTATTTCTGTTTATCATATAATCACACTCCCAGATACTTGGGATTGAATTTGCTGCTTTAACTCCACCTTCTCTGTCAACAACTATGTCCATTCAATGGTGAATTCTAATTCTAGTGTAGAGGCTCAGTCCATCACTTCTATTCCTGCTGCTTCCTCCTTATTTAACATAATAGTTGTATTTACAAACCACCTTTACTGATACAGTCTTTTTTTTTTTTGAGATGGAGTTTTATTCTTATTGCCCAGGCTGGAGTGCAATGGCGGATCTCGGCTCACTACAACTTGTGCCTCCTGGGTTCAAGCGATTCTCCTGCCTCACCTCCCGAGTAGCTGGGATTACAGGCATGCGCCACCACGCCCAGCTAATTTTGTATTCTTAGTAGAGACGGGATTCTCCATGTTGGTCAGGCTGGTCTTGAACTCCTGACCTCAGGTGATCCACCCCCTCGGCCTCCCAAAATGCTGGGATTACAGGCGTGAGCTACTGCATCCTGCCACAGTCTTCAATTTGTTGCCAGTTAAACCTCATTAAAGTATCTCCTTTACAATGCCATGCATCTGTTGTCACAGTTCAATCCCTGGGCAGGAGTTTTCTTTTTCTCTACAGTTATGTACATTTTACTCAATTCCCAATGAGCAGCCACCACTTCCATGAAATCTTCAGTGATCAATAAAACTAGAAATAATCTTCCTGCTTCTGTATGACTATGAAATTTTTTACATCAGTCACATGTGATTTAAATCACCAGTTTTGATCTTATTTAGACATATCTCATCCCTTATAAATTGTAAGCTCCCAGAAAGCAAGGTCCATGTATTTACTTTCAACACCCAGCAGAGTGTTGCAACTTAAAATATATATATTTCTTGAACAAACAAATAATCACTTTGAATCCCCTTATCCAGTAAATTCTTCCACATTATAAATTATATAAGACCAGCCACTTAAATGCTGTCAGCCCTGAGGAAAAGACAGAGAGAGGTTCATAAACTTCAGAAATAAAATGTCTCCCTAGGGAATTGAACATATTTTATTTGTTTACAGGTTAGAAAGCTAAAGTGTTATAAAATATTCAACATGTTCTGGGCCCAAGGGAATCACTAGATTGTAATAAAACATATTAACATTGTCATCTTAGAATAAAGTAGAATTTTTAAAGCTTAGAATGATGATTATTGCAAGTATGCTTCTGAGACCAGAGAATTATTTTTACATTAATTAAATTTAATAATACTCTGCTGAAATTGTTATTCTGAAAGGACATTACCACACATTACCAATTCATATGGCTTTATAAAAGGAAAATAATTATTTTCATCTTCTACAGTGATAAATGGGCTTATATTACAGCAACAGAAGTAGCATCTTTAATTTCTAAGATATTCAGGTAAAAAAATTATTCCAGAAAAGAGAAACATACAGAAAATGAGTGTTTGTTTTGTGATGAGTGTTTATTGAGCATTTACTCTCCCGGGCACTTTTCCAGACTCAGGAAGTATATATAATGAGAAGAAATCATAATTCCTGCTTTCGAAGAGCTTACAGCTTGGGATGGACAAAGCCTTCTAAATTATGTAAAAAATAAATTTCAAGATAACACACAGTTAAATGGTAAAATGCTCTAAGAATACAAATAGAAGTGAAACTCATTGGGTTTTTTAGTGGACAGAGCTTCATGGCAGGGGTTATATTAACGAAGAGTATCCTCAATCTTTAATGAATATAACTAGAAAAGAGAGAATTCTAGGAAAGTAAACCAAAGCATGAAAGTACACTTGAGCCGAGTAACATTGTGATGGAAAACAAATGAATTTGGGAAATTTATGTGTATCTTGTAAATTCAGGTAAAAGTCTAGATGAAAGAAATAAAGCTAATGAATACTTAAATTTTCCAAATTGTGTATTTTCCCATCATTTAGTAAGTATTATTATGGAAAAGTATAATAATAGTATCCAGGAAATATTAAATCTGTATCTTCTAAAAGCTCATTTTACTCCTGAAATCTGGCTATATTTGTTAAGAGTTAATTCAAAATTAGTTGAAATTTTCTTATTCTTATGGGCCCAATCATTCATGTATTCATTATTTCATTCAATAATTTTTTTTAATGTTTGCTACATTCTAAAGTGAGGCCTGCGTGAATTCATTTAATAGCTGTCAAGGACATTTTGTCATATGATGAGGATCTGTTAGGGGTGCACCTGGTACCCACTTTGTGTGGAAAGAAAAGTATCCAGAGGTGAAAATGTAAATGGATTCCTGGACAGTGACAAGAGTCCTGGCCAGCTGGTCAGAAACCTGGAAGGAAAAGCCGGAAAGATTGGAGACAAAGAGTTGTGGGGGAGAGCCTAGTGGTGGAAACATGGTAATGTGCACAAGTATCAAAAGTTTGGTACCACATGTTAATGCATTCTAGAAATCTTCTACCCTGGAAGGACCACTAAGCAACCAATCTGCCAGTTGATTTTACCTTTTTTCATTGGTCATTCCAGAACAAGTAATATCATAAATATTAACTTTTTGCTTCCCCTTCCTTTCTTTTAGATTCTTGAAACTAATACAATACTTCCCCCTTATCCATGGTTTTTCTCTCCAAGGTTTCAGTTAGCCATGGTCAACCCTAGTCTAAAAATATTAAATGAAAAATTCCAGAAATAAACAATTCATAGGCTTTTTTTTCCTTTTTTTGTTATTTAGTTTATTATTTGTGGCTTATTTCTATCCAAGAAAGAAGATAAATTTTAAATTACATGCTATTCTGAGTAGTGTGATGAAATCTCACACCATTCTGTTCCATTCCAGGGACGTGAATCATCCCTTTGACCAGCATCTCCACTCTGTCAATGCTCTCTGCCTCTTAGCCACTTACTCGCTGGCTCTATTATCAGATCAGCTTTCAAGGTACCGCAGTGCTTGTGCTCAAGTAACCTTTATTTGACTTAATAATGGCCACAAAGCAGAAAAAATAGTGATGCTGGCAATTCAGATACGCCAAAGAGAACCCTTAAAGTCCTTCCTTAAAGTGTTAAGGTGAAAGTTCTCAATTTAATAAGTAATATGCTGGGGTTGCTAAGATCTGTCAGAACAAATCTTCTATCCACAAAATTGTGAAAAAGGAAAAAAAATTGTATGCAAGTTTTGCTGTCACACTTCAAACTGCAGAAGTTATGGCCAGAGTGCATGATGAGTGCTTAAGGAAAAGGCATTATATTTGTGGGTGGAAGACATGAACAGAAACATGTATCGATTAACAGCAATTGGGTTCAGTACTGTCTGTGGTTTCAGGCTCCCACTGGGGTTATATCTTAGGATATGTTTCTCATGCCTGTTTCAAAGCAAATACTATTTGAGCAGAAGTGATAAAACATTGAACTCACTCTTTTCTCTTATACCCAAGTATTATCTCCAAAGAATGAGATTTACTAAGTGACAGGTTTATAAGATGGCAAAAGTAATGTACTTGAATTCTGGGGAAAGAACGTGAAAGATGAGAATAAAGATACATTTCTATCACAGTATTACTTAGGGTTAACCTTACTATTATAAAATACAGGTGAAAGAAATGTAAATAAAACATATGCAACCAAAGGGCCTTGAGAATTTACATAAATAATAATTATTATATGTTTTTATTTGGCATTAGAACTTTCCAGCTTAAACTAAAATAATATTCATTTAGAATTAAATTGTAGTTAATATTTAAACATTCTTACATTTAACCATAATGAAATCTGTCAATAGTATCAAAAGAGAAAGCTCAGTTCACTATGGCTCATTTATTCAATCTATTTCCTTAAAGTCTATTGAAATTATGCTTGAGCCATTCTAGGTTAAAAATTAGCTAAGATGGCCAATGTATTGATCTAGTGATGATGTGATATGTTTATGCAACAAAGTTTGTAAAGTCAGTGTATAAGTTTCTTGGATTTAATATTAAACCTGTCTGCATTTAATCAACGCTATGACCCCATTTTTCTACCTGATCATTAACAAATAGGCAATAGGTAACCTTATTATGGTTTTTAAACCATTGTTGTTTTGGGAAAAACAAATATCAAGCAATTTGTTACAAAGATCAAAAAAATCTGTCAAAAATAGATTTTAAATAAGCTTTAATATTCACAAAATAACTTAACGTGCTTTTTATGTTAGCTTGGATATGTGGATAGCTTGGAGATATATATATAGATATATATATATATCTCCATTTTGTAGCTGTAGAGAGAGTGAGCATGCCATTTCTTTATGTACCTTTAATTAAATATTATAAAAGTGGCACTTAACCTCGATGGTCTTCCTTTCAAAAATCAATAACCTCAATCTAATAGCAAGTAAAACATCAGACAAATTTCAATAGAGAGATATTCTACCATGTACCTGACCAGTATTCCTCAAAATTGTCAAGGTCACCAAAAACCAGGAATGTCAGAGCAACTGTTACGGCCAAGAGGAGCCTAAAGACACATGACAACTGACTATATTGTGGTATCTTGTATGGGATCCTAGAAGAGAAGAAGGACATTAGATAACAATTAAGAAAATAAATTATGAACTGTAGTTAATAATGTATTAAAATTGGTTAACAAATTATAACAAATCTACCATACTAATGTAAAATAGTCATCGTAAACATGCATTCTCTCATGTATGGCCTGTGAGCCATAGTCTTTTCTAAGAATCCAAAGAGGAGCATGAGGCTGGGTGTGGTGGCTCACATCTGCAATCCCAGCATTTTGGGAAGTTGAGGTGGAAGGATCACTTGAGCCCAGGAGTTTGAGACCAGACTGGGCAACATAGGAGGACCCTGTCTCTATAAAAATAAAAATATTAAACAGGCATGGTGGCACGCACCTGTGGTCCAAGCTATTCTGGAGGCTGAGCCAGGAGGATCCCTTGAGCTCAGAAAATTGAGGCTACAGTGAGCCATGATTATGCCACTGCACTCCAGCCATGGCAACAGAGTGAGACCCAGTCTCAAACAACAACAAAACAAACAAGTAAACCAAGAGAAGCACTGATGTCCCTCTCCTCTACATTGAAGAGCCAAAGCTTTCTGCTTCCCAAATTTAACCAGACCTGCTTTCTTCAGATGTCATATGATATATAAGCTCTGCTGTTGTTTTACGGGATTTAGAGGGTGACCTTCCCACAGAAATATAGAGTTGAATCACTCCATATTACAGAAGGAGGAAAAAAAGTCTCACAGCAGCTTAGGCTTTCAGAAAATTTTTCTAAAAAAATGTACCTTTGACTCTAATTCTCTCTGATGCATCCATAGACTTTCTGGAGATCAACATCAGACTGCCCACAGCTTCAGGTGCTGGAGTTGTGGAGGGTAGAGAAAGGGGTCACTGTAAAATCTTCTTCTAATACCTGCAATTTTAGCAATCTTTCTCCCTACCTCCCTACTCATTCAGAGCTGGCTCAAACAGCTCTTTCAGGCCAATTGAAACCAAACTTCACTACAGCACTTCTATATGTATTCACATCTGTGTTTTCCTCAACTCATCTATTTTGTCTGTAAAATAAATTTTTATCTGCTCTCCATCTTCCAAAAATTTAAAATTCCTCAATATCTCAAAGGCCACATCCTATTTTTACCATGGGTTTATTTTTCAATATATTTTCAAAGCAATTACCTGGGTAGATATAGAATGGCACTAATTTTTGTTTAATAAATGACTACCTGAACACTCCTGATAGTTTTCTTATTGCCTATCTTTGCTTCTCTAGATAATATCTTATGAAAATAATGTTTTTCAAAATCTATTCAATATTTATCTTATAATACTGAAGAAACAATATTTACAAATATAGTATAAAACCTATGATGAAAGCAGATACTCAAGTTTTTAAAATCAAATTTAATGAAAATCTATCATCTTTTATTATATTCATAAGGCTGAATTTTTCTTTGAGATGACACTTTTATCAGTATATAGCTTCTATTTCCACTTAATTAAGGTTTTTTTTTGGTTTGTTGTTGTTGTTGTTTGACAAGTCTCACTCTGTTGCCCAAGCTGGAGTACAGTGGCAAGATCTTGGTTCACTGCAACCTCCACCTCCTGGGTTCAAGCGATTCTCCTGCCCTAGCCTCCTCACTAGCTGGGACTACAGGCATGCCCCACCAGGACTGGCAAATTTTTGTATTTTTAGTAGAGACAGTGTTTCACTGTGTTGGCCAGGCTGGTCTTGAACTCCTGACCTTGTGATCCACCCGCCTCGGCCTCCCAAAGTGCTGGGATTACAGGAATGAGCCACTGCGCCCGGCCTAATTAAGGTACTTATAACGAAATGGACAAGAAATTTTACCTAACATTTTTATTAAAATTCAGATGTTTGTATATATTTCCTCCTTAAACATATTTATTTGATTTATATTCATGTACATATATTTCCTAATTTTGAATTCTTTTGGCTTTCTTAAAGCAACACAATTTGAGACAGTTTTAATATGTTACTCTTTTCTATACTATTATATTGAAATAATTTCAAACTGACACAAATGTCACAAGAGTAATACAAATAACATCTGAATATCCTTTACCCAAATTCCACAATTAACATTTTATTGTATTTATTTTATCTTTCTCTCTTTCCAATGGTGATTTTAAAATTTCATCATCCCTTTTACAGTTAGTAGTTGGCATTCTATTATTTCCTTGTTAATTTATTTGTTGATATCTCTAAAAACTCATGGATTTTTATTTTATTCATTTTTTTTTTTTTTTTGAGAAGGAGTCTCACTGTGTTACCCAAGCTGGAGTGCAATGGCGTGATCTTGGCTCACTACAACCTCCACCTCCCAGGTTCAAGTGATTCTCCTGCCTCAGCCTCCCAAGTAGCTAGGATTACAGGCACCTGCCACCACACCTGGCTAAATTTTGTATTTTTAGTAGAGACGAGTTTTCACCATGTTGGCCAGGCTGGTCTTGAACTCCTGACCTCAAGTGATCCACCCTTCTTGGCCTCCCAAAGTGCTGGGATTACAGGCGTGAGCCACCATGCCCGGCTGACTATTTTTAATCTATTTTTATTATTATTTATTTCGATATTAAATTGACCCAATGTTGGCCAGTGTAAATCACTTTGAGCTGTCTCCTCTAGTCTATTGATAAGTTCTCATCATGTTTGAGCACTCCTTTGCTTTATGACACAAGATATTCCAAATGTATAGCAATGATAAGTGTGTTCACTTGTTTAACAATCATAGCATTCAAATCAAGATAAACACCTCTTTGGAATCAGGTACACAGCAATAAATTGACGATTATGGCAAAGTTTTAGTAATGAAATAAGTAGAAACAGATGTCAGTTTGTCCCCTATATTATAATAGAGACCACTCTGAGGGTCAGATTGGTGTCACTGCATGCATGCAAAGACTGTGACAGAATTCTTTCCCCCAAATAATAAGTGGAAGATTCTTGATGTCTACTCAGGGTTGAAGTTTATATACTCTGTTAGGAGGACAAAAGATAACTTCAGTGAATGCTAGGCCTAAATACCAACTCACTCAGTTGCTGGATCTAGAAAATAACTGAGGCATGAATGCCCTGAGCCACTAATGTAAGACCTGCGTCTGGAGCAGGGCCTCAGAAGACTGGTGAAGACAGTCACAAACCTAACAGACAGGGAAGGGTAAACATAAAGAAAGTAAAACAAATGGGTAAGTGGACAGCCTCCTTCTCAAGACAAAACTAAAATTCCAAATCACATAAAGAAATCTGATAAGGCAACGAAATCAAAAATTTAAAGCTGACAACATTCAGGTAATAAAAAGTTATTTAAAAAAATTTTATGCCTAGAATTTGCGTAAAGTCAATTATGCATATTTGCAAAAAGGTCAATATGGATTATTGGGGTTTGGGTTTAAAAACTTCCTCTATTCCAAACCAAAAAAGAAAAATGTCGGATAAATAAAATAAAAAAGAAAAGCCACAATAACATAGCTTGGCAGGAGTTAATCTGCGGGTTTACTAGTGTGTTTGCACAGAAGTAGGCAGTAAGGAATTTGGCATCTAGAGGTTAAAGGAAACCAAAGTGGTATTGCAGGAAATGGTGGGCCAGAGACAGGATCAATGTTTGAAGCTAGAAGGTAGGCAAGCCCTACAACGTGTTAAAGAAAGCTGAAAAATCACTGAAAATCTCTATTCCTACTAACTGGAGCTAGGCAGGCAGGTTAGTCTCACTAATTACTTCTAGGGACTGAGCAAAACCACCTCATGTAACAATGACTGCATCTGTCAAAATCCCAAATCCCCACAGAGGCAGTAACTCTGAGACATGCTTATTTGGCCCAGTTCTGCACTAAAAAAAAAAAAAAAAACAAACTACCAATCAATATCATAGAAGGATAATTTACCTGATATTTTTAGGTAACTGTTTGATCAAGTGGCAATAAATTAGTAAATGTCATGCAAACAAAAGCAAATGATTAGATGGCACCTGCACAAGGTCTGCTGGATCAGCATTCATTGGAGAAAAACTCAGGAAAACAGGATCCGTAGCAGACTTGTATATCCTTCCTTGCTTATCACAAGATTGGCAGCCTAGAGCAATTTAGCAGTGCCAGACGTAAAACTTCAGCAGAGATCTTCATACTTGGGCAACAGGGCTTCGAGGAGCCTCCTTTTTTAAACAGCTCTAACCATTCCCCTGGTGTTATCATGGGTTATGATATAATAGCAATATAATGTAACAGAATGTGGATCCAGCCTGTCTTCCTGACATCTCTACATTTGTGTTTGCTGTTGGAAGATAACCAGCCCATCCCTGGTGTGACTAGGAATCCCAGCCATGAGGATGCTGCTATTTGGTATGGAAGCAAGCAGCAGGATTACCACACCAACGTTCATGGCTAGATAAACATTGGTGTGGTAAATCCTGCTGCTTGCTTCCTTGGCACTATCAGGGAACTGGGATTCAATTTTTGTGGTTGGCTAGAAATTATTGCCTTAAGTGGTTGGATTTGGCTGGTTTATAAGGAGCTTCACAGGAGGCATAATCCCTCTCTAGAAGACAAGTTGAAGAACATCAGTCTTGGAAAAGTAACATTTACCTCTTGGAAAAAACAGAAAATTTGAATAATACCATGAATGGGCTTGATCTAATGGACGTTTGTAAAACACTACTCCACAGAATCAGATAATATTTGTGGTACCTTAAAAAACACAGGAAATGTTTTCTAAATGGCCACTGTAAAAGTCAAAAGTTTACCATCCTGGCTAACACAGTGAAACCCTGTCTCTACTAAAAATATAGAAAATTAGCCGGGTGTGGTGGCTGGCGCCTGTAGTCCCAGCTACTCCGGAGGCTGAGGCAGCAGAATGGCGTGAACCCAGGAGGCAGAGCTTGCAGTGAGCCGAGATCGTGCCACTGCACTCCAGGCTGGTTGACAGAGCGAGACTCCGTCTCAAAAAGAAAAAAAAAAGTCAAAAGTTGACAAATTTTAAAAATATTATAAAATTTAAAATAAAGTTAAATGAAAATGTAAAAAGTGATGGTTAAATTTGAAAATAAAATACAATAAATGGATCTAGCTATGTATCTAGATAATAGTATAATCTCAGAGAAAAATATTTCAAATTAGTTTAAAACTGTGTCTGTAGAGTGGAATATACCTTGTGGACAAGGAAGTCTTCAATAATTGTAAACTATGTTCAATATTATATTGCTTTAAAAATAACATCACTATGTTGTTCTTAAAATGTCATGTGCGTGCATGCAGATGCTTCAAGAGAGTGGTTTTTATTGGCCAAGATGAGACAATTTGCGTACCAAAAAGCATAATATTGGTACAACTAAATGACTACTTTGAAAAATCTTTTTGCCAATAAGTACTATGAATATATATGTGTGTGCATATATGAATTGAGGATTTTTCAGAATTGAAAGACATCAAAACAGGATTCTAGAACCCCAACGATTCCTAATAAACATTATTTATATTTACTGTAAATAATAATAGTGATATATTTGGAATTTTATAAAATACATTGAAATAATATATGTTAATATATATCTTAAAATATATCATCATTAATTGCATTGAATGTTAGTGGTGTGTGCTCCAACAAAAAGTAAATTATTGTCAGATTACATTTTTTAAACTATGTGATGTCAATGATAGACACTTGTAAAATAGAATAGTACAGAAATTTTGAAAAGAAAAAGATTAACCAAGCAAGCACTGTCCGGAAGAATCCTAGTATTTCTCTATTGATTACAGACAAAATAGTCTTTAAGGCAAAAACTTAAAAATAAAGAATCCGATTGATAAAGAAGACTTCTTTGAAGATAAGAAATGTCAATTGAGAAAGATAAACAGGTCTACGAACCAGGAAAAATTAACTATTTTGAATTTATATGCACCTCATCAAATTTCTTTTAAATGGTGCAAAAATGACAAAAACCAAAATTGACAAAAATAAAGGAAAAACGGATAAATCTGTAAATTAGGAATATTTTTAACTAGCCTATTAATAGAATAGGCTTTTTAAAGTATAAGTTTAATTTAAACAATATGATAGATAAATTAACAAAGATTGCAGAATATATATTACTTTCAACCATAAAATAAACTTTTTTTTTTTTGAGACGGAGTCTCACTCTGTCGCCCAGGCTGGAGTGCAGTGAGGCGATCTCCGCTCACTGCAAGCTCCGCCTCCCGGGTTCACGCCATTCTCCTGCCTCAGCCTCCCGCGTAGCTGGCCATAAAATAAACTTCTATGAAATTGACCATTAACTAGAGATAAAGCAAAGTAACAAATGTAAAAGGTTGAAGTCTTTCAATGCATGCTCTCTGATCATTATAAAATTTTGCTAAATTCAGTAATACAAAGATAACTAGAAAATTTCCATATTTTTGGACTAAGGAAGTATATACCTAATAATCCCTAGTCAAAGAATAATCATAATGGAAATATAAAAAATTTTTTTGATTGAAATTTAAAGAAAACGTTATATACCAAAATGAACCTGCACTGTGTCAACATGGACGAGTCTTACACACCTAATGTTGAGCAAAAGACTTGATATGTAAGAAGATATCAAGTATGTATAGTATCAAGTATGAAGATATGTATAGTATGATTCTATTTTGAAGGTTCAAAAATAAGCCAAACTGAACTCTATTGCATAGTGATGCTCGCATAGGAGGTAAAAATAAAAACTGTAGGGATATAATTACCATAAAAATCAAAATGTTGGTTGCATTTAAGTGGGAGAAGGATGCTATCTGGAAGGACTGTGTAGGAGAATTTCTAAGATACTCTCAATATCCTATTTCTTTTTTTCTTTTTTTATTATACTTTAAGTTCTAGGGTAAATGTGCACAACGTGCAGGTTTGTTACATATGTATTAATAGGACGTATCTCAAAATAATAAGAGCTATTTATGACAAACCCACAGCCATATCATACTGAATGGGCAAAAACTGGAAGCATTCCCTTTGAAAACTGGCACAAGACAGGGATGCCCTCTCTCACCACTCCTATTCAACATAGTGTTGGAAGTTCTGGCCAGGGCAATCAGGCAGGAGAAAGAAATAAAGGGTATTCAATTAGGAAAAGAGGAAGTCAAATTGTCCCTGTTTGCACATGACATGGTTGTGTATTTGGAAAACTCCATCGTCTCAGCCCAAAGTCTCCTTAAGCTGATAAGCAACTTCAGCAAAGTCTCAGGATACAAAATCAATGTGCAAAAACCACAAACATTCTTATACACCAATAATAGACAGAGAGCCAAATCATGAGTGAACTCCCATTCACAATTGCTTCAAAGAGAATAAAATACCTAGGAATCCAACTTACAAGGGATGTGAAGGACCTCTTCAAGGAGAACTACAAACCACTGCTCAATGAAATAAAAGAGGACATGAAAAAATGGAAGAACATTCCATGCTCATGGATAGGAAGAATCAATATCATGAAAATGACCATACTGCCCAAGATAATTTATAGATTCAATGCCATCCCCATCAAGCTACCAATGACTTTCTTCACAGAATTGGAAAAAACTACTTTAAAGTTCATATGGCACCAAAAAAAAGCCCACATTGCCAAGTCAATCCTAAGCCAAAAGAACAAAGCTGGAGGCATCATGCTACCTGACTTCAAACTATACTAAAAGGCTACAGTAACCAAAACAGCATGGTACTGGTACCAAAACAGAGATACAGATCAATGGAACAGAACAGAGCCCTCAGAAATAACGCCACATATCTACAACTATCTGATCTTTGACAAACCTGAGAAAAACAAGCAATGGGGAAAGGATTCCCTATTTAATAAATGGTGTTGGGAAAACTGGCTAGCCATATGTAGAAAGCTGAAACTGGATCCCTTCCTTACACCTTATACAAAAATTAATTCAAGATGGATTAAAGAGTTAAATGTTAGACCTAAAACCATAAAAACCCTAGAAGAAAACCTAGGCAATACCATTTAGGACATAGGCATGGGCAAGGACTTCATGTCTAAAACACCAAAAGCAATGGCAACAAAAGCCAAAATTGACAAATGGGATCTAATTAAACTAAAGAGCTTCTGCACAGCAAAAGAAACTACCATCAGAGTGAACAGACAGCCTACAGAATGGGAGAAAATTTTTGCAATCTACTCATCTGACAAAGGGCTAATATCCAGAATCTACAAAGAACTCAGTCAATATCCTATTTCTTGACATAAGTGGTGGCAACATGAGTGATACTGGTATAATTATTGTTTGGTACATTTAAGTCTCAGGTACTTTTTAGACATGTATTACTTAACAAAACTTTTTTTTAATAAAGTAAATAGTATTCATATGATTTTGAGAATAATATTCAAATAATTTTGAAAATGAAGTAAAACTTCCTATGAAAATAAATAAAATTGAATCAAAAGCATATCAGTACTTGTATAGATGCTTGACTACTAAGGAAATTCTGTTAATAACTAAGAAAATATTAGCTCATACTGTTTTACAGGAAAATTTGACTAAAAATTCAAGGAAATCTTATTTCCAAATGTAACACTCTTTCAGGGAATAGGAAAAGAAGAAACAATATACGTTTCTTAAATTAGACTCATATAACCATAATATCAAAGCAAAATATAAACAATACAAGAAAATCAAACTCACAGTCAGTCCCATGTATAATCATAAACAATCATCTAAAAAAAATTAGAAAACTTTTACAAGGAATATAAATTTAGGTTAACATACAAAAGTAAGAAAAGCCATGTTAAAGGTGAGTTAAAAGTGCAAACAGTATTCAGTAAAATTCAGTACTTTTTTATTTTAAAAACTTTGCAAATTTACACAAGAAGAAAACTTTCTTATAATGTCTAAGGGTATCTACCAAAAATGAAAACACATATTACATATAGTCAATAGTAAAAGTTAAAAATACATTGTTTAAAATCAGTCACAACACAGAGATTCAGTTTTTATCTCTACTATTGTACAGAGGTTCTAATCAATGTAATAAGATTACAAAAATAAGGCCAGGCGCGGTGGCTCACGCCTGTAATCCCAGCACTTTGGGAGGCCGAGGCGGGTGGATCATGAGGTCAGGAGATCGAGACCATCCTGGCTAACAAGGTGAAACCCCGTCTCTACTAAAAATACAAAAAAAAGTTAGCCGGGCGCGGTGGCGGGCGCCTGTGGTCCCAGCTACTCGGGAGGCTGAGGCGGGAGAATGGCGTGAACCCGGGAGGCGGAGCTTGCAGTGAGCCGAGATTGCGCCACTGCAGTCCGCAGTCCGACCTGGGCGACAGAGCGAGACTCCGTCTCAAAAAAAAAAAAAAAAAAAAAAAAGATTACAAAAATAAGTTACGATGAACAAAAATCACAATGACGTAAGAAAAATATAATTTGTAGATTCTATAAAGAAAATCAAATAATAACTTCTATGGAGAAAGTATTAGAATTAATAGAGTTTAGCAATGTTATTGTGTATAAAATTAATTACAATAGAGAGTTACTATAATCCAAACTGTTTACTCTAAAATCTAAGTGTACTTTGAAACGTAATTCAGAAAAGATTGCATTTATAATAACAAAAGTTAGTTCCGATCCTTTATAAGTTGTACTACATGATATAAAAGGTAAATAAAAGTTATTCAGTTCATTTAATAAGGCTAGGAAACTGTTGATATTGAGCTCACATCAGAACAATTCACACACAAAAAGGATCATTTCACACACATATATAGATAGAATCTAAATAAATACTATTTATATGATACTATAGAATATTAAAAATAATTATGATCGATAGTGTTATTATTGAAAATAATTCTTGGTTGAATATCAGGAAAAATGTTTATTATTATAACTCTCCACATTAATAGTCTAATAGAAAAAAATATTTTCTCAATGTAGAAAGGAATTTTCATAAAGTTTGACATCTATGCAAAAGAAAATATTAAAAATTAAGAAAAAAGAAAACTTTGTTAAATATATAATGAAAACACTAGGTAAATATTATATTTCGAAAACAGGCTCATTTTGCTTCAGTTCAGAAAAATCAAGAATACACATTGTAAAATGTATCGTATATCTATTGGGGATATACAATAGATAGCCAATGCAACCAGACGGAAAACAAAAAGTAAATAACAGCTACAGGAATTAGAAAGTGTTACATAAGAGCTATACCAACATGGTCATCACCTCTTGTACAATAGAGCTTGGGACAAATTGCACAATGTTACAAATGTGCAGTTGGATTAAGGAATAAGCTTTATTGGGGAAAGGGAAAAATTGTAGTAAATGCTTTAGTAAAAGAAGAGAAGACAGGTATCTGACATCTTTACTTGCTAAATTTGTACTGTGAGTCTATCTGCCTCTGTTTCCTTTTCCACTGAGCAAAGGACAAAAATAAGAATATCCGTACCCTTGGAAGGATAATTGGACCATTTACACAGCAGGCAGTTTGGAATTGGGTAGAGCTATTATTAGGTGTTGCCTGGGAAAATGTGTTGCCTGCAACTGAACAAGAAAGTGCATCACAGCAAAGGAAGTGACATCAGTGAAAGTTACTACAGGGGAAGGAAAGGTCTTATACAGTGTGCAACCCCTCCAGGTGGAAGAATGGGGTGAGGGAGGGGTCCAAGAGGCCTTCCATTTTCTTCCTGAATGAAATGGTGACTTTATGCCTGACAGTACAGTGGCCATCTTGTAATAATGAGGATGAAACTAATACTGCCAAAATGAGTGAGCATGAAATTAGAAGTCTGGTCCTCAGTGAAACCACTGAGCCACTATACCATCTTGAAACTTCCTTCCTCCAAACTCCTTACTGCAAATTCATCCTTTAGTTTTCTTAGACCCTGTAGCATAATTTCCTTAGCATGTAGTAGAACCTAAATTGCTTTATACAATTGTCTACATATAAAATCAAAGACAAAGACATTCAAGGGACCAAATATCAGAATTAGTAAGAGAATCTGCTAAGATGTCTGAATACAGGATCAACATAGAAAACTAAATAGCATTCTCATATTCAAGTAAAACCTATTTAATATAAAAATTATCCACTGTCATTCACATAAAAATTATTCATTATATTGGAATAAAGTTTTTAAAAGATGTGTGAAACCGGCAGAAATATTACCAAAATTTTTGAGGAAGAAAAAACTTAATAAATGGAGAGATATGCAATGCTCATGGACTGAAAGACTCAATGTCACATAACACTGAATTTTCTCCAAATCAAACTCTGAAATCAATGTAATTTCAATTAAAATACCAGTAAGACTTTACATGGACATATAATGAATGATTCATGTAAAGTTCATAATGTTAAACATTTATATGGAAATAAAAGGTCCAATAGAGACAAGACTACTTTGAAGAAAGTCAAGGTTTATATTTAAGCTATTTTGTGTTCTCATAAGGACAGAGAAAAAGATCATTAGAACAAAACAGAGAGCCAAGAAATAGGCTCATGCCAAGCACAAATATTGATTTTATGTTGCTTAATGATCTATTGGGAAAAAGAAAACTTTAAAATTTGGAAGAAAATGTGAATATAGCTTCAAGTCTGTAAATCACAACAGCAAAGAGTTCTTAGACAAGTCATAAAAAATATATATATACGTCCTAAATTAAAATATTTATATATTAAACCACATTAAATTTGAAATTTATACAGAAAGTAGAAATACAAAGCTGCAGAATGGGAGATTATTGGCAATGCATAAAGCTAACAAAAGGTTGATATCCAGATCACATACAAAATACTCGCTAATCAATAAGAAAAAGACAGAAAATAAATTTAAAACAGAAAATTTGGCAAGGGATATTAAGAGACAATACACAAAGTAGGAAAGATCATTGGCCAATTGAAAAACCATATTTGTTTATGTGTTTTCATCTGAAGACAGGTTTTTCTTAAAATTGAATCAATAACTGTCTTAGTTTAAATGGGAGGCTATAAGAAAATACCATGGACTGGGTGGCTTACAAACAACAGAAATGTATTATTTCTCACAGTTCTGGAGACTGGAAAATCTAAGATCAAGGTGACAGCAGATTCAGCATCTGGTAAGAGCCCACTTCCTGGTTCACAGATAGAAGTCTTCTTGCTGTGGCCTCACACAGTAGAAGGGATGAGGAAGCTCTCTGGGGTCCCTTTTATAACAGCACTAGTACCATTCATGAATGCTTGGACCAAATGATCTAATTGGCTCCCAAAGGCCCCACCTCCTAATCATCACATTGGGGTTAGGATTTCAGCATATTAATTTGGGGGGAGAGGGGGACATTAAAACATTCAGTCAACAGCAGTAACTCCATGAATTTAGGTCCAAGATCACACTATTAACAATTTCAAAAGTTTCCCAAAGCGTCCATTAGACTTTGTTCAGAATTTTTACCATCACTGGCTACAAAGAAAGGCAGGAAAATGAATATTTCTTCTGGGTTGGACAGATGCTTCCTACTCCTTAACCAAAAATAGGATTTTTACTGAGGAGGAAGAAGACACACTTAATTGTAAGTGTCTACCATAATGGGATAACTTTTATTCAAAATGTAATAAGTCAGAAAATTTGTGGGAAAACATTATTAGGAATTCACCCAAATGTATTCCAGAGAGATAATATAGAATAACATAAAGATTGAGACACAAGTATTTTTAAATTGAGAGACTCCAATTTAAAAATAGTCTAGTCTAGTGGATTGAGGTTTTTCCAGAAATAAAGACATCAGTCTAATTTTTTTTTAAGAGGAAGAGGAGTAAGAATGTTCTTCACTCTTCCACATGAAAGGAACTTATTGGAAAAGCATTTCTGTCCTCTTTCTGTCCCTTTACACACTCTATCTCAAAGAAGCAGAGTGACTTATCTACTGGGTGTTATTTGAGAAAAATCATTAAGCATGTTCAGGTCAGCAACTCTCCTCTTCATTGCAGACTCTTCATGTGGGAAGTCCACCTCCCTAAGTCCAAATGAATAAATATGCCCAGTTCCAGATTTCAATAATTAGCTCGCACACTAGACTAGCAGAGCTAAAATTAAGTTCTCTAATCTGACCTATACCTATAATAAAGATCACATTTTGGCCTTCATTTTTGCTTTTTGTTATTTTAGCAACTTTTTCAAAACCCATGAAAGGTAGAGATCAACTACTTATTGGGACCCCTTAATAGACCTTAAGAGAGTCCTCAAATTAGAGGTTACATCAAGTGCCAAACAAATAAAAATAATACTTTTGACTTACAGGGAAATGCAGTATATCAATTATAAAATATTTAAAACTAGCAAAAAGAAAAGAGAGTTTATGTTCAAAGAAATGACTGTTAAACTAACAGCAGGTCAAAGGAAATGTAAAAGCAGATGCGCAGAGTAAGGAACATCTAGGGCTAGCTTTCAGAATATTAAGCATTTCATGTATTATTGCATAGTTTACATAAAGTAAGCAGTGGGGAAATATTGTAAAGGCAATTGGACCATATTGCAATGACCCCAAATGCCAAGATCCTCTTTTGGAAACAAGGAAAAGCACAAAAGACTTTATGAGTATAGGAATAAAGATGTAACTGGCAGTAGCAGGAAAGATGATTTGCAGCAGGGAGAGACAAGAAGAAAGATTATTTTATCAAAGATCTCTCCTTCTGTGTGCAAACTGGAAAGTGTCTGTGGGACATGAAAGTCAGGGATGGACAGAAAGAGATACAGAATATTGGAATTTATGGTATAGAAACAAATTGTACAGAAGGCCAATGCGTTTTCATTACTATTTCCCCACTTTGCCTTTTTGGCCATTCTATTATTAGACTATTCTGGGTCTACTGCTTTTGAGCATGGACTTATCAGAGTGAAAATCCTATTCAAATCTTTCTGAATTTTGTCAAAAGCCTATACTCATGGTGGAATAAAGAGGACACTGAGATTTAGGCAAACTATTTGAGGTTTTGAGGAGTGAAGTCCAAGCTACCACCACATTCATGTTTAGGATAGATTGCTGTAGGCTGAGGGAAGGGGAAAAAGATGGACAATAAATTACAAAAGTAGACAAGTGAAGCCAGGCTAAAAGGGCCTCACATATAAAAACGAAAGTGTTTGTGGCAGGAAGTTGCTGTGAGTTTCATGGGAGGTAACTGTATATATATATATATATGGTTATATATATGTATATGGTTATATATATATGGTTATATATATATATATATAACCTTAGACCACAAAGTATATCCATACAAGTAAGCACCGTACATCAATTTTGTCTACACAAAAAGTAGTTTTAGAGAACACCTAAATGTAATACGCAAGAAGAGGAATCAACACAGGAGCTCAGAAGTAGGAAGAAAATGAAGAGGATATTCTTATTCACTTATTTACTTATACTTGTTTTGTGCCTTGTGCAGAGGCCTTATGCAAGTCACGGAATATAAACCAGTGAAAAGAAATATAGGATTAATGTTGAAGCATCAGTTTGAACTCATTATTAGCTTGATATTGATATAGGTGAATAAATATGTATATTATCATACATGTATTTTCTTGCTCTGTTGGCTGAGAGGGCCTAGGGGCAATGAACACAACAAAGCAAAACAAAACTCAGGGCTTTTGTAGGAATGACTGACTCTAATACTGAGGCAGGAAATATGTAAGATGAGTCTGGAGTATCTAATGGTACCAGAAAGCAGAGAAAGCAGGAAATTACTAAAACATGCGAGTGCACGCGCACACACACACACACGCACACACAATGATGGGAATATGTCAAAAGGACACAGAAGCCAAGTGAAAGAGTTTCCAATGGCCAGCTGGAAAATTTAAGGAACAAAACAAATGAATACTGATTGGATTATAAAACAAGGTGTAAAATATATATCCATGAGTCCATACTGACATAAATGATTACATAAATAAATAAATGGGGGAAAAGAAGTAAATATCCCTTGCAGAAGAATTCCAAATAATTTATGTGTGGGCAGTCTCTGTTATGGGAAATCATATTGTTAGTATACTTTAAATATTCAAGGAAAACGGTGGCAAAGATTATATATACAAAGTTTAATAGAGTATAAAACATAAATAAAGGCTGTAATATATAGTGAGTTCATCAGATCAAAGGTTAAGAATTTGATTTATCTTCAGTGGTATTGACTTTCATAAGAGGTCTAGCAGGTCTCAACCCAAAGAGAGACAATATGTGTCCTCTTCAAAGTCAGAGTTAAGGGCAGGGCACATTTTAAAAACAGTCAATACTCTGCCAAGCTGAATTGTCATCATTGTGTGTGACCTGGTGACCTAGAGTGTCAGAGGAGCACAGGGACTATGCATTACCCAAAAGCTGGTGCATATCTTCATCCCCTACACTTCCAGTGATCCATGTGTATTATGAAGGTATGTTGGCAGATAGATGAGAGAGAGAAAGAGATGTGTGTTGGGTTGGGGGGTGGAGCGGGGATTAATCAATTTAATGCATATCATTCTTATACAAGTGTTTGCTTTTAATATTTTTTCATTTACTTAAAATGTCCCAGAATGCCACAAAATAAGTATATATTTTTACATTCTCATCTTCAATAACATTTTTGTCTTTTTTAATTCGCTTTGAGTGTCCACTTTCTTACAAGCACTGTTTTAAGTCCTGGAGTTAAAGAGTAAACTGAAAAATATCCTGGTTTTCATGGTTTACCCTCTTATTAGGAAAACAGACGATAAATCAATAGATTAGAATATACATATATAGAGAGTATATCAGATGAGGATAATTTCTGTGAGAAAGTAAAAGCAAGGTGTATTAGTCTGTTTTCATGCTGCTGATAAAGACATATCAGAGACTGGGCAATTTACAAAAGAAAGAGGTTTAATGGAATTACAGTTCCACATGGCTGGGGAGGCCTCACAATTATGTCAGAATGTCAAAGGCACATCTCACATGGTAGCAGACAAGAGAAGAGAGCTTGTGCAGGGAAACTTCCCTTTTTAGAACCATCGGATCTTGTGAAACTTATTCACTATCATGAGAACAGCACAGGAAAGACCTGCCCCTATGATTCAGTTACCTCCCACTGGGTCCCTCCCACAATACATGGGAATTCAAGATGAGATTTGGGTGTGGACACACCCAAAGCATATCACAAGGAAAGGGAATACTGGAGAAGGAGTTGCAATTCTGAAAGGTCAAAGAAAGCCTTGCTGAGAAGACTAAGAAGACTACATATGAATAAAGAATTACAAGAGTTGCAGGAGCAGCCAGGTGGGTAGGTGTGGAAAAATACTCCAGGCATGTATAAATATCTCAGAGAAGGAACACCTAGGCCAATGCAGCTTTAATACAATGAACAAGGAGATCAGTTGAATGAACAAGGAGCTCAATAGGAGATCAATTCAGGGAGGAGGCCAGAATCTATAGGACCTTATAAGCCATTAAAGGATTTAAAGCAAGGCATTATCTGACTCAAATTTTACACTCGGGAGGCTGGGTCAGAAATAGGCTGAAGGGTCAGCCACCACCTAAGGGGCTGTTGCAGTGACACAGGTGAGATATAATCATGGTTTGAACCAGGGTGGTAGCAGTGGAAGTGATGAGGAATGGCCAGATTCTGTATATTTTGGCAGTTGAGCCTAAAAGATTTACTAGGAGATTGGACTTGTCATATGAGGAAAAGACTAGAGTCAAATTGGCTCAACCAACTGGAAGAAACGGATTGTCATGGACTGGATGAAAAAGACCAAAAAAACCTATTTAAACAGAACACTAGTAAGTAGCTGCTGAGAGTTGCCCTTCCATTCCTCAAAATTAACTATTGGTCTCATTCCAGTCCTATTATTCTTTATAGATGACAGCGTGTCTGTAAGTAAATAGGACCAATCACAACTTCAGCAGCCCTGGTAGTAGGGAAAGTGAATCTTGAGCAAGGATAGCCACAGCCCCAATCTAGAAAAGACCAATGAGAGTCTTTAATTAGGACGTCTCATCACAACAAGGAGTTTCAATGAGAGTATCTCAGAGGAATTCACTTGGCTTCCTGAGTCAACTAATAACCAAATATAAAAAATGTGAAACTTGTTGGCAAGTATAGCCAATCTACTCCTGTTCCATTATGTGAATTTTTGTATTTAAACAGGTAATTGCTGGACTTGGATCATCAGCTAATGGGATCTGTCTGTTGGAATAACTCCATTTCACTTCCAAATGTATATCTGGGGGGATTTGACCTCCTTGCTAAGTAAACTGGTTTCTGAGGCATAATTCTATAATCTTTCTGCTTCATATAGGAAATCTAATCTAAAATCTCTATATCCATTTCTAGAGATTCAGAGGCTTATTATTATATATATTCCATAAGGTATTTACTCATTTAATGTTCAAATTTTAGCAAGAATTTATTGTAACAGAAGGAGGCTATGAGAGAATGCTCTTATAATTGTGATATCTGAAGCATGAGGCATAGAAAATTGGATAAGATCATTGCAGAAATTTTAATTTGGGCCCAATTATTTTGCTAATAAGATGGCAGTTGTCCAAGTTCTATCAAGAAGTTGCCACAGAAAAGTTCCTAATTTTTCTTACCTGCCTTTGTCCAAAGCTTCCTACCTGTTCTCTGGTTTTAGTTTCCTGACATTCACTTTCTTGTATTACAGGTAAGAACATATTGATAACCTTCTCAAGAGCCTTCCATTGGTCATTGTTCTAGACATTCTCTCTTTGACTGTGAAGATCTCTTGTCCAGCTTTAACTGAGAATGAACTGTACACAATGGATACCCTGTTGAGATTAGTACACAGAGGCACCGGCAAGGGACCCGAGGGCAGAAGAGGATTAAGACTGGGGTATTTATTCCCTGGCTTCCCTCCTACTGGATTGTGAGTTTTCAGTGGCTACATTCCTCTAGTAAAAGTACAGTTTTTTGGGTGACCCTCCCTACACCTAATGCTACTGCTACACTTCTCTTAGGATTTGAACAACTACTCACTTCCTTTGCTCCTTCAGACTTAGAAGTGACAACAGATTCCCACATTGGTACACCAAGATAATTCTGACTTCACTGGCTCTTGTAGGATTTCCTTAACCTTGCTATCATGTTTATAAGCACAGTAATCCTTCCATTAAATTCTCCTCAATTACCTAGTTTAAGCATGTCATTTCTTTTTTGCTAGGACCCTATTGTATTCCCTTAACTGAATAATAGAGGTCAAACTAATTAGATTGGCACTCAAAACTTGCCACATCATCTTATTTTATTCAACATCTTATTTTCCAAGATCTCTCTCGTGGTACACTACTGCCCCAACACACCAAAATTTTTAGAGTTCTGTGCCTTTACTAGCAACACTTCTTTCAGTCTGGAATAATTTTTTCTATCAATAAAGTATTTGAAGTATTAGATCACACACTATTTTCCTAAAATATTATTATAATTTAACAGGACTCCTTTAGGAGCCTGATAGCTCATCTATGGTACCTACCCATTCTTTACTGTTCTTTACTCTTTTCTCTTAACTCTAGTCACACTATATATAAACTGATCTTTGAAGACAGAAGAGATGTCATCCACCTTGTCTGAATATCCCTCAAACTCCCAGCTGATACTTTAAAAATAAGAGGTACTTAATAAATGTGTCCTGTTCATGTAAATTAAAAAGATATTATTTGAAAGCCATTAGGATAGGCTTTTAATTACAAAGCTGGAAGAAGAGAGACATGTTTCTAGCCTTCAAAACTTTCAAGACCCTTGGCCAGGCACAGTGGCTCATGCCTGTAATCCCAGCACTTTGGGAGGCCAAGGTGGGTGGATCACCTGAGGTCAGGAGTTCGAGACCAGTCTGTCCAACAAGGTGAAACCACATCTCTACTAAAAATACAAAAATTAGCTGGGCATGGTGGCGGGCACCTGTAACCCCAGCTACTCAGAAGGCTGAGGCAAGAGAATCGCTTGAACCCAGGATCATGCCACTGCATTCCAGCCTGGGCGACAGAGTGAGACTGCATCTCAAAAAACAAACAAACAAAAAAATTCAAGACCTTGTCAGTCTGTACCTTACCTTCCCATGTATCTACCATCAAGCCCATCTGGGGTGGAGAGCTGAAATTCCATGGGGCTGCTGTGCTAACTCCGTCTAGAGGATCCTGGAAGCAAGGCCCAAGTAGAAGCCACTAACAAAGAATGAGTAGCTGCAGAGGCCAAGTGCTTCTGAAGTAGGTACGTGGTATCTAGACAGGTGTTGTTATGGAGTTGAAAACCTATCACCTTCCACCTTTGGTTAATTACTAGAATCTGTTTTTGCTTGAATGAATTTAAATTATGTGTATATGCTGAGGGTGGGAGATGAGGGAGCTATTAAAGTGTAGGTGATCTCAGACTGCGGTGGGGATTGAGTAGGAAGAGTAAGTTGACTCTGATGGTTTTCAGTAGTCAGGTATTTCTTCTCTTTGAACCAAGTCTTACTATCCATGCAATGTATCAATAATTATATGTACAGATAATTGTCAGAAATATATGAGAAGATGGATCAAAAATGGGCCTGCAGACTGTAAAAGATGGGGACTGACAGCAGATGTTATAATAATAATGAGCATTCCTTTTTTTTTAAAATACTTTAAGTTCTAGGGTACATGTGCACAATGTGCGGTTTGTTACATATACATGTGCCATGTTGGTAAGCTGCACCCATTAACTTGTCATTTACATTAGGTATATGCCCTAATGCTATCCCTTCCACCTCCCCCAACCCCATTACAGGCCCCAGTGTGTGATGTTCCCCACTCTGTGTCCAAGTGTTCAGTTCCCACCTATGAGTGAGAACATGTGGTGTTTGGTTTTCTGTCCTTGTGATAGTTTGCTGAGAATGATGGTTTCCAGCTTCATCCATGTCACTACAAAGGACATGAACTCATCCTTTTTTATGGCTGCATAGTATTCCATGGTGTATATGTGCCACATTTTCTTCATCCAGTCTATCATTGATGGACATTTGGGTTGGTTCCAAGTCTTTGCTATTGTGAATAGCGCCACAATAAATGTACGTTTGCATGTGTCTTTATAGCAGCATGACTTATAATCCTTTGGGTATACACCCAGTAATGGAATTGCTGGGTCAAATGATATTTCTAGTTCTAGATCCTTGAGAAATTGCCACATTGTATTCCACAATGGTTGAACTAGTTTACACTCCCACCAACAGTGTAAAAGTGTTCCTATTTCTCCACATCCTCTCCAGCGCCTGTTGTTTCCTGACTTTTTAATGATCGCCATTCTAACTGGTGTGAGATGGTATCTCACTGTGGTTTTGACTTGCATTTCTCTGATGGCCAGTGATGATCAGCATTTTTTCATGTGTCTGTTGGCTGCATAAATGTCTTCTTTTGAGAAGTGTCTGTTCATATCCTTTGCCCACTTTTTAATGGGGTTGTTTGATTTTTTTCTTGTAAATTTGTTTAAGTTCTTTGTAGATTCTAGATATTAGCCCTTTTTCAGATGGGTAGATTGTAAAAATTTTCTCCCATTCTGTAGGTTGACTGTTCACACTGATGGTAGTTTCTATTACTGTGCAGAAGCTCTTTAGTTTAATTAGATCCCATTTGTCAATTTTGGCTTTTGTTGCCATTGCTTTTGGTGTTTTATCATGAAGTTTTTTTCCATGCCTATGTCCTGAATGGTATTGCCTAGGTTTTCTTCTAGGGTTTTTATGGTTTTAGGTCTAACATTTAACTCTTTAATCCATCTTGAATTAATTTTTGTATAAGGTGTAAGGAAGGGATCCAGTTTCAGCTTTCTGCATATGGCTAGCCAGTTTTCCCAGCACCATTTATTAAATAGGGAATCCTTTCCCCATTTCTTGTTTTTGTCAGTTTTGTCAAAGATCAGATGGTTGTAGATGTGTGGTATTATTTTTGAGGGCTCTGTTCTGTTCCATGGGTCTATATCTCTGTTTTGGTACCAGTACCATGCCGTTTTGGTTACTGTAGCCTTGTAGTATAGTTTGAAGTTAGGTAGCGTGATGCTTCCAGCTTTGTTCTTTTGGCTTAGGATTGTCTTGGCAATGTGGGCGCTTTTTTGGTTCCATAAGAACTTTAAAGCAATTTTTTCCGATTCTGTGAAGAAATTCATTGGTAGCTTGATGGGGATGGCATTGAATCTATAAATTACATTGTGCAGCATGGCCATTTTCATGATATTGATTCTTCCTATCCATGAGCATGGAATGTTCTTCCATTTTTTATGTCCTCTTTTATTTTGTTGAGCAGTAATTTGTGGTTCTCCTTGAAGAAGTCCTTCACATCCTTTGTAAGTTGGATTCCTAGGTATTTTATTCTCTTCGAAGCAATTGTGAATGGGAGTTCACTCGTGATTTGGCTCTTTGTTTGTCTGTTATTGCTGTATAGGAATGTGATTTTTGCACATTGATTTTGTATCCTGAGACTTTTCTGAAGTTGCTTATCAGCTTAAGGAGATTTTGGGCAGAGACAATGGGGTTTTCTAAATATAGAATCATGTCATCTGCAAACAGGGACAATTTGACTTCATCTTTTCCTAACTGAATACCATTTATTTCTTTCTCCTGCCTGATTGCCCTGGCCAGAACTTCCAACACTATGTCAAATAGGAGTGGTGAGAGAGGGCAACCCTGTCTTGTGCCAGTTTTCAAAGGGAATGCTTCCAGTTTTTGCCCATTCAATATAATATTGGCTATGGGTTTGTCATAAATAGCTCTTATTATTTTGAGATACTTCCCATCAAAGCTATTTTATTGAGAGTTTTTAGGATGAAGGACTGCTGAATTTTGTCAAAGGTATTTTTGCATCTATTGAGATAATCATGTGGTTTTTGTCTTTGGTTCTGTTTATATGATTGATTACATTTATTGATTTGCATATGTTGAACCAGCCTTGCATCCCAGGGATGAAGCTAACTTGATTGTAGTGGATAAGCTTTTTGATGTGCTGCTGGATTCAGTTTGCCAGTATTTTATTGAGGACTTTTGCATTTATGTTCATCAGGGATATTGGTCTAAAATTATCTTTTTTTGTGTGTCTCTGCCAGGCTTTGGTATCAGGATGATGCTGGCCTCATAAAATGAGTTGGGGAGGGTTCTCTCTTTTTCTATTGATTGGAACAGTTTCAGCAGGAATGGCACCAGCTCCTCTTTGTATCTCTGGTAGAATTCAGCTGTGAATCCATCTCGTCCTGGACATTTTTGGGTTGGTAGGCTATTAATTATTGCCTCAATTTCATAGCCTGTTATTGATCTATTCAAGGATTCAACTTCTTCCTGGCTTAGTCTTGGGAGGGTGTATGTGTCCAGGAATTTATCCATTTCTTCTAGATTTTTGAGATTATTTGCGTAGAGGTGCTTGTAGTATTCTCTGATGGTAGTTTGTATTTCTGTGGGATCGGTGGTGATATCCCCTTTATCATTTTTTATTTCATCTATTTGATTCTTCTCTGTTTTCTTCTTTATTAGTCTTGCTAGAGGTCTATCAATTTTGTTGATCTTTTCAAAAAACCTGCTCCTGGATTCATTGATTTTTTGAAGGGTTTTTTATGTCTCTATGTCCTTCAGTTCTGCTCTGATCTTAGTTATTTCTTGCCTTCTGCTAGCTTTTGAATGTGTTTGCTCTTGCTTCTCTAGTTCTTTTAATTGTGATGTTAGGGTGTCGATTTTTTATCTTTCCTGCTTTCTCTTGTGAGCATTTAGTGCCATAAATTTCCATCTACACACTGCTTTAAATTTGTCCCAGAGATTCTGGTATGTTGTGTCTTTGTTCTCATTGGTTTCAAAGAACATCTGTATTTCTGCCTTCATTTTGTTATGTACCCAGTAGTCATTCAGGAACAGGTTGTTCCGTTTCCATGTACTTGAGCAGTTTTGAGTGAATTTCTTAATCCTGAGTTTTAGTTTGATTGTACTGTGGTCTGAAAGACAGTTTGTCGTGATTTCTGTTCTTTTACTCTTGCTGAGGAATGCTTTACTTCCAACTATGTGGTCAATTTTGGAATAAGTGTGATGTGGTGCTGAGAAGAATGCATATTCTGTTGATTTGGGGTGGAGAGTCCTGCAGATGTCTATTAGATCCACTTGGTGCATAGCTGATTTCAATTCCTGGATATCCTTGTTAACTTTCTGTCTCATGGATCTGTCTACTGTTGACAGTGGAGTGTTAAAGTCTCCCATTATTATTGTGTGGGAGTCTAAGTCTCTTTGTAGGTCTCTAAGCATTTGATTTATGAATCCAGGTGCTCCTGTATTGCATGCATATATATTTAGGATAGTTAGCTCTTCTTGTTGAATTGATCTCTTTACCATTATATAATGGCCTTCTTTGTCTCTTTTGGTCTTTGTTGGTTTAAAGTCTGTTTTATCAGAGAGTAGGATTGCAACCTCTGCTTTTTTTTTAATTTTTCATTTGCTTGGTAGATCTTCCTCCATCCCTTTATTTTGAGCCTATATGTGTCTCTGCAGGTGAGATGGGTCTCCTGAATACAGCACACTGATGGGTCTTGAGTCTTTATCCAATTTGCCAGTCTGTGTCTTTTAATTAGGACATTTAGCCCATTTACATTTAAGGTTAGTATTGTTATGTGTGAATTTGATCCTGTCATTATGATGTCAGCTGGTTATTTTGCTTGTTAGTTGATGCAGTTTCTTCGTAGCATCAGTGGTCTTTACAATGTGGGATGTTTTTGCAGTGGCTGGTACCGGTTGCTCCTTTCCATGTTTAGTGCTTCCTTCAGGAGCTCTTGTAAGGCAGTCCTGGTGGTGACAAAATCTGTCAGCATTTGCTTGTCTATAAAGGATTTTATTTCTCCTTCACTTATGAAGCTTAGTTTGGCTGGATATGAAATTCGGGATTGAAAATTCTTTTCTTTAAGAATGTTGAATATTGGCCCCCACTCTCTTCTGGCTTGTAGAGTTTCTGCCGAGAGATCAGCTGTTAGTCTGATGGGCTTCCCTTTGTGGGTAACCCGACCTTTCTCTCTGGCTGCCCTTAACATTTTTTCCTTCATTTCAACTTCGGTGAATCTGACAATTTTGTGTCTTGGGGTTGCTCTTCTTGGGGAGTATCTTTGTGGTGTTTCCTGTATTTCCTGATTTTGAATGTTGCCCTGCTTGCTAGTTTGGGGAAGTTCTCCTGGATAACATCCTGAAGAGTGTTTTCCAGCTTGGTTCCATTCTTCCCATCACATTCAGGTACACCAATCAAACATAGATTTGGTCTTTTCACATAGTCCCATATTTCTCGGAGGCTTTGTTTGTTTCTTTTTACTCTTTTTTCTCTAAACTTCTCACTTCGTTTCATTCATTTGGTCTTCAATCACTGATACCCTTTCTTCCACTGATCAAATCGGCTACTGAAGCTTGTGCATTTTTCACGTAGTTCTTGTGCCATGGTTTTCAGCTCCATCAGGTCATTTAAGGTCTTCTCTATGCTGTTTATTATAGTTAGCCATTCATCTAATCTTTTTTCAAGGTTTTTAGCTTCTTTGTGATGGGTTTGAACATCCTTCATTAGCTCGGAGAAGTTTGTTATTACCGATTGTCTGAAGACTTCTCTCAACTCGTCAAAGTCATTCTCCATCCTGCTTTGTTCCGTTGCTGGCGAGGATCTGCATTCCTTTGGAGGAGGAGAGGCACTCTGATTTTTAGAATTTTCAGCTTTTCTGCTCTGGTTTCTCCCCATTTTTGTGGTTTTATCTACCTTTGGTCTTAGATGATGGTGACCTACAGATGGGGTTTTGGTGTGGATGTCCTTTCTGTTTGTTAGTTTTCCTTCTAACCATCAGGACCCTCAGCTGCAGGTCTGTTGGAGTTTGCTGGAGGTCCACTCCAGACACTGTTTTCCTGGGTATCACCTGAGGAGGCTGCAGAACAGCAAATATTGCAGAACAGCAAATGTTGCTGTCCTTCCTCTGGAAGCTTCATTTCAGAGGGGCACACGGCTGTATGAGGTGTCAGTCGTCCCATACTGGGAGGTGTCTCCCAATTAGGCTACTCGGGGGTCAGGGACCCACTTGAGGAGGCAGTCTGTCTGTTCTCAGATCTGCAACTCCATGTTGGGAGAACCACTACTCTCTTCAAAGCTGTCAGACAGGGACATTTAAGTCTGCAGAAGTTTCTGCTGCCTTTTGTCAGCTATGTCCTGCCCCCAGAGGTGAAGTCTGCAGAGGCAGGCAGGCCTCCTTGAGCTGCAGTGGGCTCCACCCAGTTCGAGCTTCCCGTCAGCTTTGTTTACCTACTCAGGCTTCAGCAATGGCGGATGCCCGTCCCCCAGCCTCGCTGCCACCTTGCAGTTCTATCTCAGACTGCTGTGCTAGCAGTGAGCAAGGCTCCATGGGTGTGGGACACTCCGAGCCAGGTGCAGGATATAATCTCCTGGTGTGCCATTTGCTAAGACCATTGGAAAAGCACAGGATTAGAGTGGGAGTGTCTCGATTTCCCAGGTACTGTCATGGCTTCCCTTGGCTAGGAAAGGGAATTCCCCAACCTCTTGCGCTTCCCAGGTGAGGCAATGCCCTGCCCTGCTTCGACTTACACTCCATGGGCTGCACCCGCTGTCCAACAAGCCCCAGTGAGATGAACCCAGTACCTCAGTTGGAAATGCAGAAATCACCCATCTTCTGCATCTCTCACGCTGGGAGCTGTAGACTGGAGCTGTTCCTATTTGGCCAACTTGGCGGGAGTTTCCAACAAAAATTATATAATGGGCACTCTTTAAATTCCTCTTGCCTTTCTTCCCACCAATAATCATTAAATAAAAGATATTGGAGAGTGACAAAACCAAAGAAGTAAGTACCATCATGTGTTTATTGAGAGGCAATGGTGGCATGTTTGGGAGGTTTAGAGAACTGTCTGGTATTTGCTTCTCATTTCCATATGCCCAGAGCTCCAATCTTCTTAGATTAACATTAAGTTAAAGATGAAAAGAATATCAAAGATCTCCAAGGAAAATGATTTTCAATAGACATGCTCTACAAACATGCTTTGGAGTCTTCTGAGTTGAGCATTTGTGGCTTTCTAACTTTTTCAACCTTTGATCAAACATCTATTCTTTTATTATTCACACACACACACACACACACACATACACACACACACACGAGAGACAGAGAATGCAAAATGATAGACTTTTATTGATAAAGCAATTCTACTGGTTTAAAAAAAAATAGAAAATCTTTGTTTCAATATTCCCATCATACATATGGAAAGGGAGATCCAACATAATCACCTTAGAGGATTTTAAAATATGCAAATTCCTGGGGGTAAAAAAACCCCAGACATTAGGATTCAGGGTGTCTGTGTAGAGCCTATGAACATATATGTTTTAAATGCTCCAGGTGATTCAGGAAACATACCAGCAGGAGTTGACCCACTACTGTCTCCTGAGACCCAACACTTGAAAGCACAGAGTGAGATACCAAGGGGATCAAGGTTTAAACTTTAATTCCCCTTAAGCCTTGGACTTCCTACTTGAAAATGTAAGTGAGAACCCTCACCTGTCATAAAGAATAAATGGGGAAATATATTACAAGAAACTAGAATGATCCCAAATGTATTACAGGTAATCAGTAGAAGAGGTTGAAGATGATAAATTCTCAGCTGAAGCAGAGGAATGATGACCAAGGTGTGGTATGTGGAAGGTCTCCAGAGTCAACAGGACCTGCTGACTAGATGAAGAGTGTCAAGGGGAGGGAAAACATACAGGTAAAGCTCCTGTTTGGGCTTCATTATAAATAATCATCCACTAAGATAAAGTGCATGATAGGGAGAAGATTTGGATGAAAGAAGAGTTCACATTTGGACTTATGAATGTGAAATAACCATGGGGAGACATCTGGGTGGCAGTTAGATACGTGGGTCAGTTGCCCATAAGACAGAAAAAAGCTAGAAATAAAAATACGTCTATCACCAAAGAAGAGCACTCAGAAACTGTGGCAGATGATAAAGATGGGCTCACTCAGCTTAATTTTGTTATCCTTGTAGTATCCCTTAAGCTGGAGTCTGAAAACCTAAAGGCACATTTAACAGATCCTTTTATAGCTTAGGTTCCACACATGACACAGATTCTACTGATCAGATGCATCCTCATGAGGTCTGGCAGCAGAATTCATCCTTATGAGGGAGGGACAAACTTCTACTCCTCCTGCTGCTTCTGCTGGCAAGCCCAATTGTAAGTGTGGTTGGTTTTTGTGTTGGTTGCAGCAGAAGTCCCATGTTCTAGTCTTTAGTTTAATGTGTGTCAAGAGACAGGGCATGGGACATTCATTCTACTGGTGAAGGTTTTACAGAAATTACGTGGCCCTGGAGTCATCAGCTGTGATATTGGCTTTCTATTTCCCTTCCTTGCTGATTGTGGCAGAGGTAGTAGATCCCCTAGTGAACAAATTCTGTCATGTTTTTCTGAGAATCATTGCTATAAGTTCAACCTAGAACTTGATCCTCTAGGCCAGCACTGTCCAAAAGAATGTTCTGTCGTGAGAAAATTGTTTTGTGACTCTGTGTGGTCTAATATAGCAGCCACTAGACACATGTGACTATTAATCACTTGAAATGTGACTATTGCAACTGCGGAATTAAATTTTAATTTTTTAAACTGATTTTTAAATTTTAAAAAAAATTTTAAAAATAGAAATAGAGACAGGGTCTCACTATATTGCTCAGGCTGGTCTTGAACTCCTGAGCCATCCTCCTGCCTTAGCCTCCCAAAGTGTTGAGATTATAGACATGAGCCAGTGCACCTGGCCTGAATTTTAATTTTATTTAATTTAAATTAAGTGTAAATGACCACATGTGGTTAGTGACTGCCCTATTGGAAGCACAGCTGTAGACTGTCCAGTGATTTATGGCATCTAATTTTCTGAATTAAAATTCTTTCCACTTAAATAAAGTGGTTTCTGTTATTTGCAATTGAACACTGATTAACACAGTAATGCTTATATTTCCTCTGCGTAAATGCATAGAGTGAGGGGAGAGAGGTCTTAAAATAATGCCAAGGATAAACCTGCTGTTGAAAGAATGGTCAGAGGAGGAAATAAATAAAAATAGGAGACAGAGCAACAATACACAGGAAATGCCAGAGGAATTAGGGCCACAGAAACTAAGGAAGAAGAGTGTAAGGAACATGGCTGTGCTGTGGCCAAGTGGGCATAGGCCAAGGTAAACATCCTGTGTGACTCAACGAGTTTAGAGTGCAAGTGTGTAACTTCACTTTTTATCACATCCATGTAGCCATAATATGAGAAGGCCATCCCTTGACCCTACACCACTATTGTCTGTTAAAGGAATAATTGCCCTGCTGACACTGTACAGGTGTGTTTGTGCCCAGAGAGAGAAAGAGTCAAGCCGCTGACCCTGAAGGGAGAGCCAGCCACACAACTGTGTGTGGAAGCAGCCGGAGCAAGCAGCTAAGACAGAGCAGACAATGTAGGAGAGCTGCTGATGAGAGAGAGCTGCTGATGAGAGAGCTGCTGAATAAAGCCATGTCTTATTTACTGGTGTCTCTCAAATGTTCTTCCAGCTCCCTGACCCCATGCACCCACTCCCCTTGGACCTCAGCTGAGGCTGGAACCTAACCCTGAGCATGACAGAGTGTCCATCAATAAGAAAAGAAATTGGACTACAAGGAAAACAACACCCAAAGTACAGTAAGCTAAGCAGATGGCTATGGAGAAATCAAATTATATCACTTGGGTGAGTGTGACTTTTTCTCCGTTTTGCATGATCCCCCCGATATCTTTGGGGCTTTGAAACCTTGCTGTGTGCATACTAGTGTGATGTTTGGGTATGTCAATATGTGCAGGATAATAATTCATAGTCTAAATTCTGCTGCTTATTCTTCATGTCCCTCACTAAATACCTACCACTTTCTGTACTTCAGTTTCCTATGGAAAAAAATGAGGATAATAATATCCCTTATGAAGAATAAATGAAATGTTGATATTAAAGGACTTTGCCAGCTGAATAGAGCTGTATGTAATACAAATCATAAATGTCCCTCCCAAAGCCAGTCTGAAAGCATTCTCAGATCTCACATGGTACAGAGAGATATCTATAGGAAAGAATGAGTGAGTAATTAGAAGTCTGATTAGATGAAAACAACAGTATTTGAAAAAAATCAATTGACAAATTAAATTTTGATAGGATTAGCATGGATATTGAGAATGTAATCTCATCCAGGTGCTAAGAAAGTTATACAAAGAAATATGAATTTATAGCAAAGGGCAAGGGGCTTGTGTTTATTCTAAAGTTAATATCTGTCTCAATGTTTTTTATTTTGTCTTCCCTACGGCAAGCTTTCTTGAGCTAGGCATTCAGAAAAAGTTATATGGAATTCAAAATGAGTCTGCAAATGTCACAAAATAGCCAAGAAACCAGAACAATTTAAGACTGATGGCAAAATACAATTTTTTTAATACTTACATAACATACTGGAAAAAGTGGCTACACAAAGAAAGGAAAAATTCATGATATTAGAAAATAATAGTTACAATGTATATACTACAATTTTCTTTAGTGTTAGCAATAATTGTTCTCAACTTCAATTCTGATTTAGGCTTTCTACTACTTAGAAAAGAGCAAATTGGGAATCAGAGTAAACTTGAGGGGTTTTTTATAATTCCTTTAAGACATTTAACACAAGCTATTGTGGGTAAAAGCTATTTCTATTCTACTCTCTTCTGAAATCAATCAAAATCAATATGAAGACTAAAAAACAGAAAAAAAATAGTCAAAACCATGAATTTTGATAAATATTTGACAAAAACAATAGAAGTCTTCTTATTTTTACATAGAAGTTGACAGCAATTTTCCTAAACATAATTTCTGTGGTTGGAATTCCATATTGATTTGTCTTTACCAAATAATCTATGTTCACAACATATTGTCTATAATTCCAATTACATAAGTGGATAGATTATTACTATATTTATATAACTGAATAGATTTCTTGTTGTTGTTTTGGTTTGCATTTCCCTGATAACGTATGATGTGGGATATCTCTTTATATGCATTGCTCTCTGTTAAGGTCTTTGGCCCATTTAATCGAGTGGTTGGTGTCCTTATTGTTGAGTTTTAAAAGTTATTTGTGTATTTTGGATAATACTCTTTTATCAGATATGTCTTTGCAAATGTTTCCCCCCAGTTTGTGGCTTGTCCTTCATTCACTTGACTGTCTTTCACAGAGCAGACATTTTTCATTGTTAATAAAGTCCAGTTTATTATTTGTTTCTTTCATGGATAGTATCTTTGGTGTTGCAAGTAAAAAGTCATCACCAAGCCCAACGTCATCTAGATTTCTTCCTATGTTATCTTCTAGGATTTCTATAGTTTTGCATTTTATGTTTAGGTCTGTGGTTCATTTCGAGTTAATTTTGGGGAAGGGTATAATAAGGTCTGCATCTAGATTCACTTCATTGCATGTGGATGCCCAGTTGTTCCAGAATCATTTGTTGAAAAGCTTCTCTTTTCTGTATTGTATTACCTTTGCTCCTTTATTGAAAAATCAATTGACTATATTTATGTGGATCTATTCCTGTGCTCTCTGTTCTGTCTCATTGATCTATTTGTCTGTTCTTGCATCAATAATACACTGTCTTTATTACTAACTGTGGCTGTATAGTATGTCTTTAAATTAGGTAGTATCAGTCCTCCAACTCTGTTCTTCTCCTTCAATGCTGTGTTATCAACTATTCTGCATCGTTGCCTGTCCATATAAATTTTAGAATCAGTTTTTCAGTATCTCCAAAATACTTTGCTGGGAATTTTATTGGATTGTGTTGAATCTGTAGATCAAGTTAGAAAAAAATTGACATCTTGACATTGAGACTTCCTATCTGAGAACATGGGATATCTCTCCATTTATTTAGTTCTTTGGTTTCTTTCATCAGACCTTTGTGGTTTTCCTCACATAGATCTTGTAAATATTTTTTTAGGTTTATACCTAAGTATTTCATTTAGGGGGGTGCTAATATAAATGGCTTTGGGTTTTTAATTCCGAATTCTTCCTGTTCATTGCTAGTATATGGGAAAATGATTGGCTTTTGTGTATCAACCTTGTATTCTGCAACCCTGTTATACTCACTTTTTAGTTCCAGGAGATTGTCGGTTCTTTCAGATTTCCTACATAGATAATCATGTCATCTGCAAAAAAAAAAAAAAAAAAAAAAAAAAGTTTTATTTCTTCCCTCCCAATATGTATACCTTTTATTTCCTTTTTTGTTTGTCTTATTGTACTAGATAGGACTATTATTTCTCCCTTAAAAGTTTTATATCATTCTGTATACAACCCTTAAATCTTATTTTGTGGAAAGTTTGTAATTTTAGATTTATTTTTTTAAAATAAACACTAATTCAGATTTTATATTTCTTCTTATGTGAGTTTTGGTAACTCAAGTGACTTTATGCATATTTGGGAAATTTTATATTTTTTTCAAATTTATTCGCAAAAATGTTTGTAGTAACTCTTTCTATAAATTTAAATACTATGGGTTTTGTGATTACCTCACTTTTTCTTTCCGGTGGTTATAATTTGTGCTTTCTGTCCTTTCATTATCAGTCTTATGAGGGGCTAAGTAGTGTTATTTATCTTTTGGCTTTTCAAAAATTATCTGTGACTACAACTCTGCCTGCTTTTAGGGGCATGTTTAGGAACACATTGTTATTTTACCATTTGAATGAGAACAGCCCTTGGTATCCTAGATTTTCAATCGCTATGGAGATATCACTATATTTAGAGTCCTGATTAAACAAGGAGAAATTCCTTACTGAAACTTCAATTTGATGTTAACTCACACAGCACTTTTTTTTTTTTACAACAGAACACATTACCTTAATAATAATTTTTCATTAAAAATACATATTATGATCCAAATTTATTATTTTCTGCAGTCTTTGGTTCAGATTTCCTCTTTTCATGAGAATTAATTGAAGCCATTTGGAGACAGATAAAAATTGGGGTGTATATTAGGATATACTAAGTTGTGCCATGGTAATAAACCTCAAAATCCTAATGGCTTAAAATAACACAAATTGAGTTTTCGGTCATTTATCATATGTCCTTTGCTGGCCAGAAGGGGGCTCTGCTCATTTTAGTTAATCACAGACCCAAGCCAGTGGCACAGCCATCACTTTGAATGCTGTTGTTTACTGTATTGGCTGGAAGAACTCTTGGGAGGGTTGCCCATTTACCAATAAATGATCTGGTTCCAAAATGGCATCCATTACTCTGATCATAATTAATTGTTTAAAACCTTCTAACACATGACCTCATCTAACTAAAAGATGAGCAGAAAGTGAAATATTCCCATATGCTCAAAAGTGAGAAAACCAAAATTATTTGATAAACAGCACTTATGACTATCAAAGTTTACACTTTGATTTCCACCCAGAAAAGAAGTATAGGAGATAAGAAAAATAATGTTCTTACCAATTAGCATTAACTGTTAACTATGCTTATGAATACTTTTGTAAAAATGATCTATATATGTGATTTTTTAAAAGTAGAGGATAAAAACCATTACGCTATCAATAATTATTTCTGGCATAGGAACATCAGTGATATATATATATGTTATATTCCTTTCCAAGAAATTTTTAATAATCATATATTAGTTTTGTTATTTAAAAATAAAGTTCAAACATAAAAAGAAAGAATAATAAAACTTACCTTGAAGTCAAATATTCAGTTTTTCTGTGTATTTCTCTATTTTTCTCCTTTCACATCCTGGCTTTAATCAATTTTAACCACGGAGTGCATGTGGACTGAAAGAAACCCTCAGGCCTCAATTCAAAAGAAATCAGTGGCCAAGATACATCATAAAAATTCACTTTCAGTGAAATTTTTTCCCACAATTACACATAAGAAATAGTGAAGAAAAACATTTTTCTCTGTTTCAGGTATGCAAAAGGCATTTACAATTAAAATTTCATTGAGATGTGCCCAGGATAAACATCAAGCATTATAAATGTAACTAATTCATAGTAAAATTAAGAATAACAGCTAAAAATAGAGATAATGTTTTGCATTTGAATAGAAATTGAATGTTACCTACTAAGTGCTTCTTAATGAGTAGTTAACACTATTATAGACATATTAATATTTGGATTTATACATTTTTCTTTTAATTAGTGCTTAAACTATAAATAGTGGTGGAAGAAATACAAATTTCAAATAGATCTTCCTTGTCTTCTGTTAATTGCAAAATAAATCGATGTACCATTGAATAGGTCTAATCAGGCTTCCCGAGAGGCCAACCTCTGGAGTGCAGTTTTGGCGACAGTCACTGAATAAAATGTGTTATTGAGAGAAGACTTTGGATATCATGATAATTGTAGTATGTGAGCTTCCTAAGAAGTTTCTTATTCTGAAACAATGCAATAATATGTCTTTTTAATTTTTTAAGAGAAATATAATTTTTTCCCCATGTGATCATCTAGTTTTATCTCACATTTGCCTAGCATTAAATATTCTCCAGATCACAAGGTCAGGAGTTCGAGACCAGCCTGGCCAACATGGTGAAACCCCGTCTCTACTAGAAATACAAAAATTAGCTGGGTAGGGTGGTGCACACCTGTAATCCCAGCTAGTCAGTAGGGTGAGGAAGGAGAATTTCTTGAACCCAGGAGGTGGAGGTTTCAGTGAGCCGAGATCACACCACTGCACTCCAGCACTCCAGCCTGGGCAACAGAGCAAGATTCCATCTCAAAAAAAAAAAAAAAAAAAAAATTCTCCCTAGCTATGAAGATCTCCAAATATCCATCTAACCTTTCAGCAAAACTAAATGGAGTTAAAGCCAGTTAAATCAGTCAATAAGACAGGATTTAGTCTCTATTAAACTCTTTTCATTATTATCATATGTGTGTGGGGAGATAGAGAAAGAGGAAGGAGAGAGGCAGAAAGGTAAAGATAGAGAGAGGGAGAGAAGATGGAGAATGAGAAAGAATTTTAGTTTAATTATAAGACTAATTTTTACTGCTCTTTGGAGTTCTATGGGCCTCCCTATCTATAGTCTCCATAACAATATCAAACAAATTTACATTCAAGTCCTCTAGCTCTACTACTTATAAGCTCAGAAAAGTTACTCAAGAGGGAAAATAGCTATTCTTCATTGTTTGAAAATATTAAGATAAAATATATAGCATAGTTACTTTGGTACCTAGTATAAACTAAGTACTCAATAAATTTTATCTATATACTACCAATAAAAATTGTCATGATTGTTGTTATTATTATTATTATTTGAGGCAGGGTCTTTCTCTGTTGCCATGTTATAGTGCAGTGGCACTTGATGACTCACTCCCCCAGCTCAAGTGATTCTCCCACCTCAGCCTGCCAAGTAACTGGGACCACAGGCATGTACCAGCATGCCCAGCTTTAAAAAAATAAAATAAAATAAAATTTGTAGAAACTGGGTCTTACTATATTGCCCAGGCTGGTCTCTAACTACTTTTATTTTTAATAGGCTATAGATATTCTTGGTGGGCTTCTGTTGTGACAAAGAAGACATGAATTTTTTGAGTCTGTTCATACTTATTACCTTGATTGAAGAGCAACATTCAGAAGCCTCAAGTTCCTTTTTCAGAAAAAAAAATGCTTTCCAATTTATGCTATTAGCTTTTAGATACAATTCAACAAAATATAGAATAGGAACTTAATTTTGCCAAGAATATACAATAAGGATTTATCCACAAACCATGAAAGAAAATGAATGCACGTTTCTGTTAGAATTTAGAAAGAATTTCCCATAGATCTCTGCTATAAGTCATATAGTCTATAGGGTCTGTTCTGTTTGTAGAAGATAGAGTATCCCTCTTTCTCCAGGGATCTCAAGGATTCTCTAGTGGAATCATGAGGTAAGAGGCTAGATGTATTTATCTGAATAGATTCCAGTTCTACAAGACATGTTTTATTTTTTATTTATAGGTAGAAAGGTTACATTTTGATCAGCTTTTTCTGATAAATCTCTGACAAATCAGTATGCCAACAAACACTTCCTTAATTCCCTATATTAATCTTAAGCCATATTTAATAAGTGACTCCACAAATGGCTTATAAAGACATTTTTAAGGGGCACTCAAGCAAATGTGTGAATATAGTTATTATGCTGAGATCATGCAAAAAGAACCTACAATATACTAAGGATCAGGGAAGGCTACTTAAATCGAATGTTCAAAGCAATGTGTTTATGAAGAAATTCTGTTGTCCATATTGATCATAAATCTATTACCATTGTCTCTTTTACTCTATTTGCCCACCAGAAATGTGCTTTTGTTTTTCTTCTCCTTAATCTAGTTTCTAGAAATTAAATTGATTTTGCTTCATATCACTGCACCACCTGAATGCTTCTAGGATCAGAATTTCTCTGGCAATTTTTCTGTTGTCAAATTGGAGCATATCTTGCCACTGTGTTCCAACATTGACTCTAACATGATGGCAATTGCCTGTAATAGTTTGTATCGCTAAACTATAATTAGAGGAATCAGAAATTGAAATCATATAAATTTTATACTGTTTAGATTATATCATGCACAGCTTTGCTCAGTTAATCATTCCTATTTTTTAAAAAAATAAATAGAACCAGGGGATCATCCAATCCTTGAAAATTTAATGACTGAGCACTTGTGCAGTTCTAGGCTCTGTAACTACAAAGATGAGTAAAGCCACAGTCCCTGGCCTGGATAACTCATAGCATTGTGGGGTGGATTGAGCAAGGAAGGGAACGTGATCATAGACTGTTTTTTGATGCATGCTATATTGTAAGCAATTAAATAATCCAGTTTATTCTTGAATCCGAGCAGCAAAAAATTAAAGTGTAATGGAGGGGTCACAAAATATAAATAAAAATTGTTGATAATTCTACACACTAAGAACGATGCTAAGTGGGGTTTGTTTGTTTGTTTTGAGAGGAAGATTTGCTCCTGTTGTCCAGGCTGGCGTGTAATGGCGTGATCTCAGCTCACTGCTTCCTCAGCCTCCTAGGTTCAGGTGATTCTTCTGCCTCAGCCTCCGGAGTAGCTGGTATTACAGGCATGTACCACCACACCCAGTTAATTTTGTATTTTTAGTAGAGACTGGTTTCTCCCTGTTGGTCAGGCTGGTCAGGTGATCTGCCCGCCTCGGCCTCCCAAAGTGCTTGGATTACAGGCGTGAGCCACCGCACCCAGCCAGTGTTTTAAATGTAATATTTTAAGTAATACCTATTGCAACATTATAAAACAGAGATCATTCTTATTTAATAAATGAAGAAACTAGAACTAAGAGGTTTAAGCAGCTTTCCCAAAATCACAAAGCTAGATTGGGAATCGAACTGAAGGCGTGGGGGTAGTAATAGGAGAAAATAAACTAGGTTCCAACCTCTGCGATTGTTTATGGGTACAGAAGAGGAGTAAAAATAAGCCACCAAAATAAGCACAGAAAGCACAGTAGTCCCTCCATCCACTGTATCAAATATTTAGATAGCTGAATTGTAACTTTCTGTTCTCTCTCTTTTTAACCAGATCATGAGCTTTTTCAGAGCAATAACATTGTCATGCTCATTTTTATATTCCTTTGCCTTGAATTCTGCTATAAAATGAATATTGAATGGCTATTGACTCAACCACTAAGCATGTATCCTATTTAGGAGCTATATTTCAAAATAGTCACTTCAAAGAGGAAATGCCAGTTTCAGAAGGCCAGTTCTCAGCTCATAATTCTATTCTACAGTAATACATAAGTGCATAATTGAAATACAGCATACCAGTTTTAAGTTTCACAGCAAAAGAAATTGAAATTTCCTGCTGATATATTGTAAGAATCAAGTTTATTTAATTTTGTATTTATTGCATGTAACACTCACTATGTTAAAAATTTACTCAAAAGTTAAATATTTTAGAAATGTATGATGTTAAAGCTTTAAATGTTTATTAGACAAATAAAGACTACATTTTTTTCCCATTCTCCATTCTCCCCAGCACCATTTGCATTATAAAAATAATCAGATTCAAATTGTTAAGAAGTTCTTATAGCCAGGGTTTTCATCTCTCAAAATCATAGAATTCAAGTAAATGTCCCTACAGTTCCCTGTAGTTCTGGATTTTATTATTCCCACTGTAATTTTGAATCCATCAGTAAACATATCAATTTACATATCAATTAACATTTTATTGCACTATATCTATGAATAAATCAAGGAAAAAAAGACCTTTTTCTGTCTTAAATTACTTCACAGTGTAGTTATGGAAGCCAACTCTCTCAGTCCATTTTCTGCTGCTATAACAGAATACTTGACATCAGGTAACTTATTATAAACATTGGAAATTTATTTCTTATAGTTCAGGAAACAGAAGTCTAAGGTCAAAGGGCCTGCATCTGGTAAGGGACTTCCCGTTGTGACATCCCATGGCAGAAGACGGAAGGACAAGAGTGTACAAGAGAGCAAGAGTGAAAGAAGGCTAAACTCATCCCTTTTATCAGAAACCCACTTTTGTAATAACTAACCCATTCCCATAATAATGCTATTAATCCATTCATAAGGGCAGAGCCCTCATGACGTAATTACCAGTTAAAGGTCTCCCTTTTCAACATAGTTGCATTGGGGATTAAGTTTCCAACATATGAACTTTGAGGAACACATTTAAATCATAGCACCAACAAACTGAAAACATGAGTGAGCTGCAACATAGAGAATATGGTAAAGTTTGAGAATAAAAGAGTTAAAGGAAAACAGGAGAGTCCCAAACTTGATGGTGAATTTAGGAAGGCTCCAAAGGGAGAAAAAAAAAAAACCAATCATTAAACTTAAACTGAGTCTTGGAACATAAACAGGAATATGCCAGGTGACAAAAGGGAAGAAAGATATTCTTAGCAAAAGGATCGGAATGCACAAAGTCAGAGAGGCAAGGTGAGGAAGCCCACAGAGACATAAAAGATTAGGTTTTGTGCCATTCTGAGCAGTCATTTCACTTGGTAGCAGGCCTTATTCTTTTCTTGTATATAACAGACAAGTATTTTTCTCATCGAATTTTAGGCTTAATAGATGTCAAAAGAAGTAAAAGCCACAGAGATATAGATATGGCTTTCCTATACTTTCTCAATTTACAGAGATGAAGCAGCAGTGTCACCCCAGAAATGGACATGTGTGCTGGTTTAGAAGTTTGCCCTGCCAAGTCTCCTTGCAGAGTCACACAGCTATTACATTAACTAATAGGGGAAACATTTCTGCCAGCCTTTCTTATTCTCCCTTTCACATCAAAACCTATACCGACAATCCAAAGTGAGATTACCAAATAGTCAAGACTTCTCTCTGTGGAGGGACAAGTTGCAATATTCATCCTGATGTGGCCACATAAGACACTAACTCATTCAATACACTACTATGTACCAGACCTATGCTTGGTGCTAGAGCCATGGGGCACTGGTAACATTTACAGGGTACTGGGGGAATACAGACAACTAAACAGAAAATCACAGTTATTACATGCAAGTTTAGAGAAATCAGTAAATGTCTCCCAGAGAAAGTAATAATATACCACTAAACTGGGACCTGAACATGTGGTTATAGATCTGCCAGGAAAAGAGATGTGTGGAGGAGAAAAAACAAAATAAACAAGGTTACCTCGTCAATGAAAAAGCATTCAAATCAATTACTTGACATTAAGATAGAAGAGTCATTTAGCTGAATTTTTTTAATAGTCTGGCTTCAGTTTGGCAACAACTATGTAGAGGCACATGGGTAAGCATTAGGGAATACAGTGGTCTACAGTGAAGGGTACTACACTCCAACAAGAGTATACATTATGGTAAAAAGATATATCCATAAACAAATGTACAGAGTGACATCAGCAGTAAGAAATGCATTTTACAGGATCCGGGGTTGTCCAGAACATGGAGTCTTTTCTGGAGACACAGTTTAGTTCACCCGCACAGTCTTAACCCAAACTCTTCCTGGCTTCAATGTCTCAATTGCTATGTGGAGAATGGAAAAGGAAAGAAAAGTATACCCATCATGTTATTATATTCTGAAATAGTCATAAAAAATCTAAATTGATATCTATTTTAGAACTGGAATTCTCTTTTGTACTTTTGAATTACTCCCTAAGTGACAGAGAAGTAGGGTGACAATATAACTTATTATTTGAACCAAGATGATATTTTGAGTTAAAAGAGTAGACATTAATAATTAGGCTAGTGAAAGAGAAAGGCAGTGGGACCAACCAAGGCATATGATCCTCTTTAGATAAGAAAAGTTATTTGCAATGAATATGTAGTGGCAAAAACTTTAGACTTCAGAGATGGCATTTTAACTAGAACTAAACATAACCTATAATCATATATTTTAGAGCATTGCTAAACTACATTTACAAATTACTATACAAGCCAAGATGATATCTAAATTCCACAACTAAGTTATCAATATCAAAAGTATAATGAAGTGTGCCAATATACGAGTTTCAGGCTGGGCTTTAGTTCCCTACCTTATCGGGAAACAATCATTGTTCTCTTAATTTTATGAAAAGTAAAAATGAATATGTTTAAAATGCATCATATTAAAATGTGTGCAATTACTTAATTAAAAATGTCAATTTATGATTTCTCTATATTGACATGTATTTCTAAATTGTAGTTGACATTATTTAATATATTCAAATAGCTTATATGCATATTAATAAAACATTATAATAAAAAATCATTATATATATTTACGAATTAATGGGATCTTTAAACATGTTAAATTTGTTTTGGTGTAATATTACGAACCATGTTAGGTTTTAAATTTCATTTGCATTTCAATCCCTGGCATGTAGATATCAAAGCTAAATCCCAGTCTTCGTTGTAATGAAGTTCATGTTTTGAATGTGTTTCATGCTTAGTTCTATGGCTGTAAGAAGGTTACAGCAAATTGGCCCTGGGGCACTATTAGCAGTGGTTCTAAAGCAGGCTTTTTTTTTCAAATAAGCAGGTTTTTTTCTTTTACATAATTTGTACTTAAAGAATACCTAGAGTTTTAAGAGTCGAAAAGCACTAGTCAGCTTATGAACATTAACTGCAGGCTCTGTCTCATGCCTCCCACTTTCCAGTTCTTTTAGCCAAAAGTCGCCATATGAAACAGTTTTTTTTAACTTTATTTTAAGTTCAGGAATGCATGTGAGGATGTGTGGGTTTGTTACATAAACGTGTGTCATGGGAGTTTGTGGTACAGATTATTTCATCACCCAGGTATTAAGCCATTATCCATTAGTTATTTTTCTAATCCTCCCTCCTCTCACCCTCCACCCTCTGATAAGTCCCAGTGTGTGTTGTTCCCCTCTATGTGTCCATGTGTATTCATCATTTAGCTCCCACTTATAAGTGAGAACATGCAGTATTTGGTTTCCTGTTCCTGAGTGAGTTTGCTAAGTATAATGACTTCCAGCTCCATCCACGTTCCTGCAAGCTTGCATTCAATAACTGGTTCGTCAAAAATGAGGGTGCTCCAGGCAAGAGTCAAACGCTGACCTATGTGACCCCCCAAACTCCAGACATTCAGGTCATACTTTTCATGGTGACCTCAATCCCAAGTGACCGTCATTTAGCTTGAGGTCAGGAGATTCCCTTAAAATAAAAAATTCCTCATGCACCATTTTCCTTGTAAATAGACCAGTGATAGTATAAAGAGAGGAAGAAGAGGATTTGGATATCTTTTAGCAAGCCTGGCAATGTATGCAACATTTCTTTTCCTGGTTCATAAAAAATTTACCAGTTACTGAATGCAAGCTACTTATAGGGAAAAGGCATAACCCTTAAGTCATACTGCTTCCTTTGGCCATGGCAATTACTGGTGAAAAACTATATAAGTTTTTCTATAAGTCGTTAATCAGTTGGGGTAATGAGAACCTTAGTACAAAAGAGAGAATCTGAGCAACCCACATTTACCATACATCTTGACTAGAAGCCTCTGCAGTACACTGTTATCTGGCTTTGCTGATGCATTTGAAGATGCCTCTCAGCTCCAATCCACAGTACAGGCTAAAACCATGGAAACACACATCCTTTCCCCACCACTAATATACATGCAAATCTGTTCCCATGACCACCTTCTCTCCTTGCTTTGATATTAGCGGCAAATCCAAACATCTTTCACTCTCAGGGTGCTCCAGGCAAAAGTCAAACACTGACCTATGTGACCCCCAAACTCCAGACATTGAGGTCATACTTTTCATGGTGACCTCAATCCCAAGTGACCCTCATTTAGCTTGAGGTCAGGAGATTCCCCTAAAATAAAAATTTCCCCATGCACCATTTTCATTGTAAATAGACCAATGATAGTATAAAGCGGGGGAGGAGAGGATTTGGATATCTTTTAGCAAGTCTGGCAATATATGCAACATTTCTTTATTGCTTTTTAAACTGGATGAACACTAAATCTTCATGACCATCACACTTAATATATTGTTACACTCCTAGATCCACGAAGTCAACAATTTCTTTGACTTGAAACTTTGTGCCATAAATATTTTCCTTAGGGAATATTTGAGTAACTTGCATCTTTATTGCTAAAGATGTCATTGTTTCTTGATCTAAACAACATTTGTAATTTCTGAAATTTTTCGTATGAAGAAAAACCCAGTGAAGTGTCACATGAGTTATTTTATTTATCTGAGTTTCTTAACTTTTGCATTCTCAGGTAGTTGCACTTGTCTATTGTCTTTGAGTTAATAGGCTTCAGTGAATATTCTCCAAGGTCAAATAATTTGAGAACCTGATTAGGTGACAATAATGGAAATTCAATTCTAGAGTAAGGGAAATACTTAGTTTTTGAATTCACATGATAATATGGTGACTAGGGTGTCCAGCTCAATGTTGGGGAGTGTAACTGGTCTTTTATGACCATTTATTTTGTTTGTAAACTACATTATAGTAATTTTGTAGAGCAATATTCTTCATTTTCACTATGGGACAAGAATTGCTTTATATGTTATTAATATTTTAACCATCACAGTAAGCCAACATTCTGTGTTACAGAATGTATAACATTGGAGTTTAGAATGACATCATACATTTTATTATTTTTTAAACCTAAGTTAACACCTTATGCTAATTTCCAGCTTGAAAAGTTCTTCATTTGCTGATAAAAATAGTTTATTATGTTTTGCTGATGTAAGTGGGGACAGAATTATACAAGAAAAAACAGACATAGGATAAAGTTAGCCACCCAAGAATTTGCCTAACTTGGCAATGCCTTTGGATTACCACTTACTTACCATCAAGTTTTAAAACTTGAATTAGTCCAAAATAAAAATAAAAAAAAATAAGTCGCCTCTTTTTTAGCAGAATTGTTTTAAGAAATAAGATATCATATGGTTTGTTTTGAAAGCAACTCGACCAGTTTCTCACACTTACCAATAAGGCCCAATAACTGTTCACTTTCATTGAACTACTTATAACAAAAATGTCAGCCAGTTTTAAATGGTTGATGCACTCAAGCTTCATTGATAGGAAACTAAGTAACTAAAGAGCCATACAAAATGAACATCTACTTTTAATGCAATTGATTTGGTTCTGAGTAGTGGGTACAAGTGGGAGAGTGCTGAGTGTTTGGGGTGATAGGAGATTAAAGCAGTATCATCAAATACCAGATTCATCTAGGTAGATATTTAAAGACAAATGCTGAATCAGCATTGACACGAGAGAACACACACACACACAAACATACACACAAACACATACACACAAACACACACACACATATTATCCAGGATCTAAAAATAATAGGAGGTATCAGAAAATGATTGATTTATTCTCTAGTGAAAATTTGCCCTCTATTGCTACCCAAAATTTTTTGAATACTTGTCCCTAGTTTTGGCAATGTTCTAAAAGTGTGAATCCTATGTTTATAATAGTGAATGTGAAAACAAATCTACTTTAAAGAAACCCTTGGGCTGGGCGCGGTGGCTCAGGCCTGTGATCTCAGCACTTTGGGAGGCTGAGGCAGGCAGATCACAAGGTCAGGAGATCGAGACCATCCTGGCCAACATGCTGAAAACCTGCCACTACTAAAAATACATAAAATTAGTTGGGTGTGACGGAGCATGCCGGTAGTCCCAGCTACTCGAGAGACTGAGGCAGGAGAATCGCTTGAACCCAGGAGGCGGAGGTTGCAGTGAGCCGAGATTGCACCACTGCACTCCAGCCTGGGCAACAGAGCGAGACTTTGTCTCAAAAAAAAAAAAAAAAAAAAAAAAGAAAGAAAGAAACTCTTGTAGCTGGGGTAGATATGTGACTTTGGATTTGGCTTTCAAATGCGTTTGGACAGAAAAGAGGAAGAATAGGTAGTTGGCATTGGTTTTGTGGTTCAAAAGCCAGCAGCAGTAAATTTCTGACTGGTGAGCTCCAAGAAAGAGAGGCAGGAGTTCCCTTACAGAGTAATTGTGTTGTTATGAGACATCAGCCTACAGTCTGTTGATTCAGGTTTTCCAAGGATTCCTTAACCTATTCTCTACCTCTTCAAAGTCTTCTCTTGATCACAGAAAGAAGAGTCTTTGTCTACAATTAAGAAGGAAAGATTTCACTAATTATTTGCAGAAGTGGTTGCAAGTAATAAATCTGTGCTGTCCAATCTGGTAGCCTCTAGTACTATGTGCTATATAAAATAAAAATTAATTTAATTGAATTAAAATTCAGTTTCTTAATCACACTCATTACATTTCAATAGCTACATATAGCTAGTGGCTACCTTATTAGACAGGATAAAAATAGAAAATGTTGATCATCACAGAAAGTTCTATTGAACAGTGCTACAATAAATTCTCCCTAAAATAAGAATATTAAATTAGTTATTTCGCCTAGGTATATTTGAAGGAACCAGTAATCCAGGCAATACTAGAGGATGGAACCATGTTAGTCCATGACATGCAGTGGTTAAACATTAGCCAAAATTATTACCTGTAGTTCTTTTGAATGACAGGCCCACTGAAAGCCCATCTATGGCAAGCTGAGAGGTATGAAGTATAATATTGTGGCAGAATAAGCTTGCTGCATATCACTGCACTAGATAACTTAAAGGAAAAAATGACAAATTCAAGATTTTAAGTTTTGATTTCAAATCAGTGAAAGACCCAACCAGAGAGTTACAATAAATTCTCTAAAGCAAGTTTTAACTCTTGCAGTTACAGGCTTGATATATTCACAAACCAGATTAAGAGTCTGAACATATAAGAATTCAGCACAGGTTGAACTCATTCACTGACTGCAAAAAGGGTGGAATTTAAAAATGGTATTGGGGAGGATTCTGATGACTCCAAGTCTTCTAAATCCCTAACCTTCACTGAACTTCCCTATTTAGGAGAAGCATCACTTTCTGTATTGTCTAAATAGACATAGTTTATGTTGACTGAAGGTCTTGAAATAACCTCACACCATGACCCATTCTTACTACATCTTATTGTCTCTAGATCTGATAAAGATGGACCATGCCTGTAGTCCCAGCTACTGGGGAGGCTAAAGTGGGAGGATTGCTTGAACCCGGAAGGTGGAGGTTGCAGTGAGCCGAGATGGCACCACTTCACTCCAGCCTGGGTGGCAGAGTGAGACCCTGTCTCAAAAAAAAAAAAAAAAAAAAAAAGGCAATTACAGCCAGGTGGCATGGCTCACGTAATTCCAGCACTTTGGGAGGCTGAGGCAGGTGGATCACTTGAGGCCAGGAGTTAGAGACAAGCCTGAAAACCATGGCAAAACCCCATCTCTACAAAAAATACAAAAATTAGCTAGGTGTGGTGGCATGTGTCTGTAGTCCCAGCTACTAGGGAGGCTGACATGGAAGGATCACTTGAACCCGGGAGGCGGAGGTTGCAGAGGGCCAAGATCATGCCACTGCCCTCCAGCCTGGGCGACAGAGTGAGACCCTGTCTAAATAAATAAATGAATAAATAAATAAATAAATATTTAAAAAATGAACAAAAAAGGGCAGTTACAAGGGAGAAGCTTAAACACTAAAGAATTCCAACATACTGTTAATTTTTATTGATGCATTCTTAGATAATATGTGTGGGTATCAGATAGCCTGCACTAAAGGAAGACAAATATAATTTTGAATAGGCTATTATATTTATTGGAGTATCAATTCAATATGCTGACCTGGAAGCTAGAATTTATTCTAATTCATCAATCCTTTAGTTAGCTAGAACCTGGACTCAGTGCTTTGTGATGCCAGAAATTCCTTAGTATAATAGAGGAAGAAATTCAGTGACTGTAAGAGAGGGGAATTTAGAATAGATTTCTGATTTGTGACCTGTGCATCTATCTCATAACTGAATACACTAGGGGAACCCAGTGGACACAACTTTCACCAACCATTAGGAAGTGTCGTGGGAAAGAGAGTATCAGCATCATGAAAAGACAGATGGGAGTAAGGGGATCATGGAATTACAGAGCCAGAGTTAGGCTTAGCCTTCTGATAAAGTTGTATTTATAAAAGCCTATAGGATCAAAGTTCCAAAATGAATGGATTGGCCTGATAAATGTCTATACATACCAGCTTACCCAGAACACTTTTGGCTGATAATATAGTGGTCCCTGAGTAATTATTAGCAATAGCCCCTGTTACATTCAAAGAGTCTCAGTTTCCTTGTTAAATTATAGATCATCTGGTCAATAGGGATGTTTGCTCTTTATTGGGTAATGTAACTTAATTTCTATTAATCAGATACATCCACATAAAATTTCTATTCAGAATTTAGTTATGTTAAACATGTACTGAGTAGAGCGCATCCATTTTTCTAGTGTGAATCCCAGCCAAGACACTATGGATTTGTGACCAGCAGCAACACTAACATCTGGATTCAGCTGCTCCCTCGTGTGACAAAGGTTCTGGAAAGAGTAGCAACAGCAACTTTTGATTACAGCAGAGACATCTCCCTTCACAGTCGAGTTATGTGTTATAGTTTTGGAAATCTTCTAGGTAAAGGGCCCACCTAGGATCTGTTACTTCAGCCCCCTGACAATTCAGTTAGCTATCTACATGGTGTGTTTAAACTTAGAATGGTGTACTCAGTGTAACAACCTGAAACTCTGACAGAACACACACACACACACACACACACACACACACACACACACCACACATAGTGATATAAATACTTACCAAATGCTGATCTAGGTGCTGGGGATACAGACTAGAAAAGGACATGGAACTCATACTGTAGAATGTGGAGACAGTCAACAAACAAGTAAACAAAATAAATGCTTCAGATAGTTAAAAGTGCTATAAACATTTTGAAAAGTTAGTAGGCCTGAAAGTGACTGTGGGTAACCAGCAGCTATTTAACATGAGCTATTTATGAAAGGCCTCTAAAGATGTGAGCTTATGGCAGAAGCACACAAAGATTTGGAGGAAACGTCTTTAGGAAGGCAGAACAAATTATCAACAGCATGAATAAAGGCTCTGGGGTTTAGATAAACTTGGTATGGTTGAGGAAGACAAGTGTGCAGATGAAGCACAGTGAAGGAGGGGTATGGGAATAAGGGACAGTGGTATGAGCCAAAATACATAAGGCCTTATAGATCATGGTAAGGAATATGCAGTTTGCTTTAAGTGTGATGAGACACTATTGGATGTTTTTAAATACGAATGTGACATACTCTGACTTACTCATTCATTAAACAAATATTTGAGTGCCTAGAATATTGCAGGCATAATTTTAGGGCCCAGGGATACAACAATGAACACAACCAAACAAAAATGTGTACTCCATGGAGCTAATACTTTACTAGGATAGTAAAGTAAATAAAATCTAAACATAAATTATATAATATGACAGAAGGTAACAAGTGCTATAAATAAATATATATCAAAAACTGTGACTAAATAATCAGACAAGAAAACAAAAACAAAGTCATATAGCTTGGAAAGGACGCCTTAGTACACTACTACAAGTGAACTAAGGACACTGAGTACACTATTTTAAGTTTAATACATCTGTAATTTATTTTTATTAGCAAGTTGAAGATGTAAAATAAGATTTGTATAGTAATAGAGGAACCAGAAAGTGTTGGATAAAATTCAAATAACATCCATAATAGAAATTCTAATTAGATAGTAATAAAATAGCAGGCATCAAAATAATCTTTGAAGTTTTATTTCTTATTGTTCCTCGATCACAGTTCTCTTTCTTCTATTCTTAAGTTTTCTAAATGAATATTTCCCTAGGTGAAGAAACTCATTATCCAAGCAGGAAATTGAGGAGAACTTCTAAGTGTTTCTGCCTTGTATTTCTTTTAAACTAGAGACAAAGAAATAACATTAAAGCAATTCAAGTTTAAGGAGTCATGTAGATTGATGCCAATAAAATGTTGGCAAGATGAACACAAATACTGAAAGTGGAATAGAAATTGTAAGGGCTCACTGATTAAACAAACAGTGGGGCATCAGCCACGTTTGTGTCCATGGGTTTTTATTGTTGTTGTTGTTTTTCATCCTTCTAAAGAAAAAATATAAAACACAACATTAAATACATGTAGTTTTATAAAGAAGTTACTGGCTTTGCATTTCAAAGTTTGAAGTAAAAATGATGTCATGAAAATGAAAAGACTGAGAAGTTAAGTACATATGTCCACTGCGCTCTTCAAAGCCAAAAATTACAAATCATCCATAAAAGCAGGGTTGATTCCCATCTGACAATAACCTGTCCATTCTTTCTACTGCAGAAAGCAATGTATAGGAAAGAAAATGGAATCTGCAATCACATAAGATCACAATCACAAATTAAATATGTAAGTTTTAGTATTTAAGCAAGCTCTTTGAGTCTCTCAATTTCCTTTTTTTAAAATTTTGAAATATTTAATTGACAAATAAAGATTGCATATATTTAATACATCTTAATTAAATATATATAATATTATATATATACACACACATACACAGTGTAACAATTACCACAATCAAATTAATTAATGCATTCATCTCCACCCATGTTGTAAATTAGATTCCCATGACTATGATCCTGTACTAGTCCATTCTCACACTGCTACAAAGAACTACCTGAGACTGGGTAATTTATGAAGAAAAGAGGTCTAATTGACTTACAGTTCTGTAGGTTGTACAGAAAGTATGGCTTGGAGGCCTCAGGAAACTTACAATCATGGCAGAAGGCAAAGGGGAAGCAGGCACAATCTTCACGTGGTGGAGCAGGAGAGAGAGATCAAAGAGGGAAGTGCTACACACTTTTAAACCACCAGATCTCATGAGAACTCACTCACTATTGTGAGAGCAGCAAGGGGGAAATCTGGCCCCATTATTCAATCACTTCCCACAAGGTCCCTTCCCCAACATTGGGAATTACAATTTAACATAAGATTTGGGTGGGGACACAGAGCCAAACCATATCATTCTGCCCCTTGCCCCTCCCAAATCTCATGTCCTCTTCATATTTTAAAACCAATCATGCCTTCCCAACAGTCCTCCAAAGTCTTAACTCCTTCCAGCATTAACTCAAAATTCCAAATCGAAAGCCTTATCTGAGATAAGGCAAGTCCCTTCCACCTATGAGCCTGTAAAATCAAAAACAAGTTAGTTACTTTCAAGATTCAAGGGGAGTACAGGCATTGGGTAAATGCTTCCATTCCAAAAGGGAGACACTGGCAAAAACAAAGGGGCTACAGGCCCCATGCAAATCCAAAACCCGGCAGGGTAGTCATTAAATCTTAAAGCTCCAAAATAATCTTCTTTGACTCCATGTCTCACATCCAGGCCACACTGATGCAAGGAGTGGGCCCCCAAGGCCTTGCACATCTCTTACCCTGTGGCTCTGCAGAGTACAGGAAAGAGTACAGCTGCTTTCCTGTTCTGGCATTGAGTGCCTGTAGCTTTTCTCGGTGTATGGTGCAAGCTGTCAGTGGATCTCCCATTCTGGGCTCTGAAGGACAGTGGTCCTCTTCTTACAGTTCCACAAGACAGTGCCCTAATGGGGGCTCTGAGTGAGGGCTCCAACCCCACCTTTCCCCTTTTCACTGCCCTAGTAGAGGTTCTCCATGAAGGCTCTGCCCCTGCAGCAGACTTCTGTCTGGACTTCCAGAAGTTTCCATAAATCCTCTGAATTCTAGGCAGTCTCCCAAACCTCAACTCTTGCCTTCTATGCACCCACAGGCCCAACACCACATGGAAGCCACCAAGGCTTGGGGCTTGCACCCTCAGAAGCAACAGCCTGAGCTGTACCTTGGCTTCTTTTAGCTACAGCTGGACCTGGAGCCACTGAAACACAGGGCACCATGTCCTGAGGCTGCACAGAGCAGTGGGGCCCTGGGCCTGGCCCATGTAACCATTTTTCCTTCCTGTGCCTCCAGGCCTGTGGTGAAAGGGGCTGCTGGGAAGGTCTCTGAAATGCCCTGGAGGCATTTTTCCCATTGTCTAGGCTATTAACATTTGGCTCTTTACTTATGCAAATTTCTGCAGCCTTGTATTCCTCCCCAGAAAATGGGTTTTTCTTTTCTACCACATGGTTAGGCTACAAATTTTCCAAAATTTTATTCTCTGATTCCCTTTTAAATATAAGTTCTAATTTCAGGTCATTTCTTTGTTTATGCAAATGAGCATATGCTTTTAAAAGCAGCCAGGCTACACCTTGAGCAGTTTGCTGCTTAGAAATTTCTTCTGCCAGGTACTCTAAACCATCTCTCTCAAGTTCAAAGTTCCACAGATCTCTAGAGCAGGGGCACAATGCTGCCAGTCTCTTTGCTAAAGCATAGCAAGAGTGACCTTTTACTCCAGTTCCCAATAAGCTCCTCATCTCCATCTGAGACCACTTCAGCCTGGATTTCACCGTCCTTATCACTATCAGCATTTTAGTCATAATGATTCAACAAGTCTCTAGGAAGTTCCAAACTTTCCCTCATCTTCCTGTCTTCTTCTAAGCCCTCCAAACTGTTCCCACCTCTGCCCATTACCCAGTTCTAAAGTCACTTCCACATTTTCAGCTATCTTTATAGCCGTGTTCCATTTTCTGGTACCAATTTTCCATTGTCACACTGCTATAAAGACCTACCAGAGACTGGGTAATTTATGGAGGTTTAATTGACTCACAGTTCTGCAGGCTGTACAGGAAGCAGCAGGAGAGAGAAAGCAAAGGGGGAAATGGTACACACTTTTAAACCACCAGATTTTATGAGATCCCACTCACTGTCACAAGAGCAGCAAGGGAAAAATTTGTCCTCATGACCCAATCACCTCCCACCAGGTCCCTGCCCCCTGCAAACATTGGGAATTACAATTTGACATGAGATTTGGGTGGAGTCACAGAGCCAAATCATATCAGATCACAATGCATGATATGAGGAGAAAGTTAAGGTACAACCCATTCTTTGCCAATCACTGTGCTAACAACAGTTATGAGAAAGCATAATGCAGAGCCTGTCTTCTGTTAGTTCATATGCTATGATAATTCCTCTATTGGACATAAGGATGCAGTATAGCGTAGTGGTTAACAGCATGGTTTCTGGAGCCATACTCCCTGAGTTGGATTCCTGGTTTCATTCTGATTAGTGTAACTTTGAACAATTTACTTAGCCTGTCTGTGCCCTAGTTTCCTCATTTATACTAACTATAATGCCTACCTCAGTGTTGTAATGAGGAATAGATGAGCTGATACATGTAAAGTGCTTATAACATTTAAGTTCCTAATATTTTAAAACTATACATGACTAAGACTTAGCTACATTGCAAAGAAAAATACTGAAATAAATTTCAGTGCTAAAGGATATCATAACTCTCCCTCAATATTCAGTTTAGTTACTAATACAGCAGTTGTTCTCAAAGTATGGAACTCAGACCAGTAGCATCAACCCCACTTGAGAAATTGCAGATTTCACCTCAAACCTGTTAAATCATAAACCCTTGGGTTAGGACCAAGCCATCTGGGTTTTAGCAAGCCCTCCAGTTAACTCAGGCACATTAAGGTTTGAGAACCACTATAAAGCATATCCTTGACTAGTGGCATGGTTTGGCTTTTTGTCCCCAACCAAATCTCATTTTGAATTGTAATCCCCACAATCGCCACCTGTTAAGAGAGAGACCAGCTGGAGGCAATTGAATCATGGAGGTGGCTCCCCCCATGCTGTTCTCATGATAGTGAGTGAGTTCTCACAACATCCAATGGTTTTATATGGGCTCTTCCCCCTTTCACTTGGCACTACTCCTTCCTACCGCCTTGTGAAGAAGGTGCCTTGCTCCCCCTTCACGTTCTTCCATGATTGTAAGTTTCCTGAGGCCTCTCCAGCCACGCTGAGTCAACTAAACCTCTTCCCTTTATAAATTACCCAGTCTCGAGCAGTTCTTTATACAAGTATGAAAATGGAGTAATACAACTATAGAGTATTTTTCAAGCTAAAATGACTAAAATGATCAATCAGTAACTAATGTATAGAAGTAATAAAAATATGTGTGGTGATCTATAATGCCAAGAAAAATAAAACTTTCCAATAACAAAACTGAAACTTGAGACTAATTTTTGACAAGGTTTTTCTTGCAATAGGAAATTAAAAACTTAGGAAGAAATGTAAGTATCTCAGACTCCCAAGCGCTATTATTATGAAGTTTAATAGTAAGCCACAAAAATGAGATTAATTTTTTAAACAAACATTGGTTGAGCTACATCAAAATAATATGCTTTTTACAAAGCACTGAACAGAAGTGTGGTTAAGTAGTATGCCCTCAATTAATAGTGTTTATTAGTACTAGTTACCTGGCACAGTTCTAGGCATAGAATTATGAGAAATATTCGAGTTAAAATCACAGAGTCAACTGGAAATCACCTGGGAATTTTGTGAAAATTTAGTCTATCCTAAATTGTATACAGAACCATATCAAAATCATTTTAATTTACATAATCTAAATAATATAAATCATATAAATAATTATGTATTTTAATTCTGTTCAATTATGGAAAATATAATAATCATTTATATTCATTACTACATTCTTTATTAATATTTAACTTGTATTCCATCTTGTTTATTTTTAAAAAATCAATATATTCCTTAAAATAATACATTTTTAAACTTCTAAAGAAGTATTATGTATACATGAGGCTGCAAGTTACATCAGTAATATTTAACTAAATCCTTAATTTAAATAAAATATAAAGACGCCATTCAGGTACATTAAATACATGACACAACTAACACACATGACTAAAAGCAGGAAAGAACAGATATAAATCAAATTAGAAAGCAATAAGTAACCTAAAAAATTATGCCTAAGTGTTATCTTTACAATGCTGAACAGAATAATAGCATACATTTCCAAAAGTCCTACATGTAGTACAAAATTGATAATTTCTCTTACAATAGAAAACACAATCAGTGTTTCTCTTTGGGGCTAATTCAAAACAATGTAGCACATTTCTTAAGAAAGTCTCATCATTATGTCTGTCTCATTTGGGCATTTTCCATCTTCACCTTTATTGGTCTTCAAATGCACATTTCTAAATTGAAATTAGACAGCAGCCATCATTAATAAAATATGGATATTTGACATCCCTTCTACAGATAGTCTTTTTTACTTGATTACAATGTATCCAAAGAAAAGCAGAAACAAAAAAAATAGAACAATTTCTCTCATTTGTAACACAACATGATCTGAGAACTTTACTTAAGTTGTTCTGGTCTTTCTTTCAGTGCCATGGTTTTGTTTCCTTAAAGGATTATAGATGAACTCTAATTATCAAGACTGTTCCTCTTCAATCTTAGGCACAAAGATTTATCAGTCCTTAAAATAAGATTTATAGCAGTAAAGCATTATTTATTTTAGCACATTTTATTTAATTTTTAGGTTTTGGTTTGTTAGTAAAAAGATAGATTGGTATTTGATACTTAAAATTAGAAAAATCAAATCATTATTTATTATACTGGAGATTTTTAAAATTTATTTCCACTGTATTCTCATAATAGGTGATATTTACAGAGTCAACAGATTCTTACACGCATATCTACTTTGATAAAACCAGAAATATTTTATTAAAAAAGTATTTCGGCCGGGCGCGGTGGCTCACGCCTGTAATCCCAGCACTTTGGGAGGCCGAGGCGGGCGGATCACGAGGTCAGGAGATCGAGACCACGGTGAAACCCCGTCTCTACTAAAAATACAAAAAATTAGCCGGGCGCAGTGGCGGGCGCCTGTAGTCCCAGCTACTCGGGAGGCTGAGGCAGGAGAATGGCGTGAACCCGGAAGGCGGAGCTTGCAGTGAGCGGAGATCGCGCCACAGCACTCCCGCCTGGGCGACAGAACGAGACTCCGTCTCAAAAAAAAAAAAAAAATAAATAAAAAATAAAAAATAAAAAATAAAAAAGTATTTCTACCAGCCTTTTGAGATGTACTGGGCATGGGATTAATAAGTTATTTTGCAAATATATGAATAAAGAAATTTATTATTTAAAATCTCAAAAACATGTTAATGTGCAATAAAAAAATAATAGCTCTATTCTAACTTTTTTAAAAGTATGATGTTAGTTTAGAGAAGATTAGCAATTATTACTTACCAATATTGATAATAGAAATCATATATGTTAGTTTCTTTCTAGGCATTTCTTCAATAGCAATTCAGTCACCAAATTAGGGCCTCTTAGCCAGAAATGTGAGGTCCTAAGACGATAATATATTTCTTTTAAAATTTCAAAAGTAATCATTTCTTTTCAAATTGTATACAACTTTAAAGGGAATCCACTAGATCGCAACTCATTTTCAGTTTAATTGAAGGGACATTCTCAAAAATCTTAAAATTTTTTTTTCTATTTTCTTTTTTCTTTTTTTTTCTTTTTTTTTTTTTTTTTTTTGAGACGGAGTCTCGCTGTCACCCAGGCTGGAGTGCAGTGGCACGATCTCGGCTCACTGCAGGCTCCGCCCCCCGGGGTTCACGTCATTCTCCTGCCTCAGCCTCCCTAGTAGCTGGGACTACAGGCGCCCGCCACCTGGCCTGGCTAATTTTTTCTATTTTTAGTAGAGACGGGGTTTCACTGTGTTAGCCAGGATGGTCTTGATCTCCTGACCTCGTGATCCGCCTGCCTCGGCCTCCCAAAGTGCTGGGATTACAGGGGTGAGCCACGGCGCCCGGCCCTTTTTTTCTATTTTCAATTGTAGCAAAATATACATAAAATTTACCATCTTAATCATCTTTAAATATACAGCTCAGTAATATTAATTACATTCATAATGTCCAAACATCACTACCCATCTATCTCCAGAATGCTTTTCAACTTGCCAAAGTGAAACACGAAATACATTAAATAATAAATCCCTGTTCCCCCATCTTCTGGCAACTGCCAGTCTACTTTCTGTCTCTATAGTTTTGATGACTGAAAGTAGCTCACATAAGTAGAATCATACAATATTTGACATTTGCAACTGGCTTATATCACTTAGCATAATGTCCTCAAGGTTCATTCATGTTATAGCATATGTCAGAATTTTCTTCTTTTTTAAGGACTTCATTTATGTCATTTTTATATTTGTTTTTTACATGTCTTCCAGCTTTTTTGTCTCCAGTTTCTGCATTACTGTTTTATTTTGTGTTTGGTTAATTTTTTTCTAGCAAAACATTTAAATTCCTTTCCCATTTATTCCTGTGTATATTCTATAGCCATTTATTTGTGGTTATCATGGGTGTTACATTTAACATCCTGAAGTTATAAAATTCTAATTTGAATTGTACCAGCTTAAGTTCATTAACATACAAAAACTCTGTTCCATTACATCTCTGTACCTACTCTATTACTAATGTCACAAAATTACATCTTTATACATTATGTGTTTGAAAACAATAAACCAATCATTTTAAATGTATTAGTTTCTTAAACTGTAAAAACAGAATGTGAAGTTACATACCATTTTTACAATAACAGTAGCTTTTTGACTGATAACTGTTTTTTTAAGTAAAAGTATTATCTTTTAAATTATGTAGAAAACAAAAAATGGAGTCACAAACCATTTTCACAATACTAGATTTTATAATTGCCCATATATTTACCTTTACTGAGATCTTTGTTTTTTCATATAGCCACTGGTTACTGTCTAGTGTCCTTTCATTTCAACCTGCAGGATTCCTTTTAGTATTTCTTCCAGAGCAGCCCTAGTAGTAATAAACTCCCTCAGCCTTTGTTTATCTAGGAATTTTTTTATTCTGCCTCACTTTTGGAGGACAGTTTTGTAAGACATAGGATTCTTGGTGGACAGTTTTTTTTTCCTTTTAGCACTTGGAATGTGTCAGCCCACTGCCTTCTGACCATCAAAATTTCTGATAGGAAATTTATTGATAATTCTGTTGAGGAATCCTTTTATGTGACAAGTTACTTCTCTCTTGCTACTTTTAAGATGCTCTCTTTGGCTTTGGCTTTTGACAATTTGATTAAAATTTGTCTTGATGTGGTTCTTTTTGAGTTTGTCCGAATTAGAATTTGTTGAGTTTCTTGGATGTTTACATTTTTTGTCAAATTTGGCAAGCTTTTAGACATTATTTCCTTAAATATTCTCTCCCCACTTTCTCTCACTTTTCCTTCTGGGACTCCCATAATGTACATGTTGGTCTGATTGATTGTGCTCAACAGGTCCCTTACACGCTCTTCAGTTTTCCTTAATCTTTTTTCCTTCTGTTACTCAGATTCAATAATATCTATTGTCCTATATTCAAGTTTACTGAGTCTTCTACCTGCCCAAATATTCATTTAAATCCCTCTACTTTTTCATTTTAGTTATCGTACTTTTCACTTTCAGAATTTCTTGTGGCTTCTTTTTCTAGTTTTCTATCCCTTTACTGTTGTTTTTACTTTTTTATTATTATTTTCTTGACTTTCTCCATGTCTGGCTTTAAGTGTCTTCAAGACAGTTATTTTGAAGTCTTTGTGTAATAGATCCATCATCTGGCCCTTTTCACTGACAATTACTGTTAGTTTATTGTTTTTCATTGAATGGGCCACACTCCTGTTTCTTTGCATGCTTTGTGATTTTCTGCTGAAAACTAGACATTCAAATTTATTACCATGATAATTCTAGATATCATATTCTCCACCACCCTCAAGGATTTGCCGGGTGTGTTTGTGTCTGTGTGTGTGTTGTTTTGTTTTGATTGTTGTAAACTGTTTCTTTGCTGAGAATCAGACTAATGTGTTAAGTATAAGTGTTCTTGGGTCTTTTCTTAGCTTACATCTTTCTTTTGACATGCACAGTGATTTTAATTTCTCTGTATATGTGGTTGTTTTTGAATGTCCTTGTCTTTAATAGCTGGCTCTCAAAAAGGGAAAAAGAAAAATGAAGGGAAAGAAAAAGGATATCCTTTAAGTCCTCTGGATGTAACTTTAGCTGGAAGATGAGACGCTTGTAACTAGGTGCAAAAACAACAGCCATTGCCTTGTTGTCTACATTTCTGTGATAAGAAGCAGCCATGAGCTATCAGGACACAGATCCCCAGTATTTGGATAACAAGGTCCTTTTGCTCATGATGGCTCTTCCAAGCTGCATGCAAGTTGCCCCAGGAATGAATGCATAGCTTCCTGCCATATGGTATGGGTTGGGAGATGGGTAGTTACTACTGGGCTAAGCACTGAAATTGACTGAAATTAACCTCAATTTGCATCCAAGTTTTTCTTTGTAAGTTGCAAGCCTTTTATAGGCTCCAGAGTTCCCAAAATAGTTGCAATAGACAGATTCTGCCACTGCAATTACTGTCTAGGTGAGAAGACAGAATACTGGTGCTTCCTACTCCGCCTTCCTCCCAGAATCCTCCCCTCAGATCTTAAATAATTTTGTGTGCTGTAACTCCTATGTAGATGCTGAGCACATAGTAAGATTTCAATAACTATTTACTGAGCAATTTTTGCTACTCAGCAAGTAAAATAAAATTCTTAATAGAAATTTTAATTATTTACTTTGTTCCGAATTTGTCATTTGTGATAATATTAAATTCCTTTAATGGATGTGCCTAGCACGGTGCTTAATATAGTACATATATTTCTTATAATCCTCACAAAAATCTGGGGAGATATTTATTATTATTTTTTTTAATAGATGGAGTTTTGCTCTTGTCACCCAGGCTGGAGTGCAATGGCACATCTTGGTTCACTGCAATCTTTGCCTCCCAGGTTCAAATGATTCTCCTGCCTCAGTCTCCCAAGTAGCTGGGACTACAGGCATGCACCACCACACTCAGCTAATTTTGTATTTTTGTAAGCAAAAACTCAGTTGTATGTAAGAAAAACCAATCCCCCCTGAGGAAGAGAAAGAGCTGAAGTCCTTCAAAAATTGACTGCCTCTTTTTCTGTGGCTAGTGAGCCTTATGTCTTCCTTTCCCAGGCATTGTGAAGACTCTGCTTTTCTAGTTGTGCAGCTGCAAGGTCACTAAACAGATAATCTCAAGTCACAAAACATGTTCCTTGAAAAGTAAGAAATAATGTAATGCATGTCTTAATTGAATAACTGTGTTTGTTTCTCACTTCTGTAATATGCTTTCGCCTGCACAGATCTCCCCCTGCCCCACAAAATGCTTAAAAGGTAACCAGATTCTTTGTTCGGGGCTCAGTCCTTTGGATGTTAATCCGACTGGGTCGGTGCACCTAAATAATTAAATAATTCCTCCTCAACCCCTCAGTCTCTCTGATTCCTTAATTACCCCGCTGCATTTTTAGTAGAGATGGGGTTTCACCATGTTGTTCAGGCTGGTCTCAAACTTCTGACCTCAGGTGATCCACCCGCCTTGGCCTCCCAAAGTGCTGGGATTACAGGCATGAGCCACTGCTCCAAGCCACTTATTATTATTCTTATTTTACTCGGAGAGAAATCAACTACATTTCTCAGGCTTGCACATCTAGTAAAAGTTTTCAAACACAGATCAGAGTTCTTGAATTTAAAATTTTTATTGGAAAGAATCACTATTCCAGGCTGAGATCTCAGGGTATTTCTACATTGTTCTGATTAATGTATCACAAAGTATTTTATAGGGAATAACTTTGCTTTTAGCAATAAATTATTTAATTGTATCAACACAGGGCAGATATAACAGAGTAAAATACTTGGGAAATATAATCACTTTATTTTGCCACATCTCACTGGTAATATCTGTATGCAACCTTGTCTATAAATCTCTCTTTAGGGTCCTAACCACTTACCAACTGCAAACAGTATTTAGTCTAAATTTGTAACTGAAATTTACAACATAAGTAATGCCTATACCAAAGCCAAGAATCACATTTTAGAGACAATGAATTCTGACTTCTACCTCACAAACACATCAACTACCCAACTTTCTATAAAAAAGAATCACTATGAGTCATTAACACATCCAAAATAAGTTTAAAACCTCTATTTTTAAATATTTTTTAAAAAGTCAAGAGTTAAGCCAGGAGACTTTCACTATGTCTGTATTTAGAAAGAATTATTAAATTAAATTTGCTAAACAGCTGATAAAATTGGTGAATACAATCTGTCACAAACTAGTTATTGAGTTTCAGTGGTCATCAAAAAAACCCTACGAACCACATAAACATGGCTGGATGTGTTAACTAATGTTCTTCCCATCATCACATTCATGGCACTTTTTCACCAGATTCTCATTGTATAGAATTTTTTTCTCTCGTAAAATTAAATATATAATGTTTATAATCAAATATTCTAAATTACTCATCAGCTCAATATGACCTTCTAAGGAATGATGAGTGTCTCAAATGTACTTTGTGTTCTAGACATCTACAAAATTAATCCTTTACAGCTCAGAATTTTTGTATTAATTTATTTAACAGCAATATTGGGAGAAGAAGAAAACTCATTATCTGCAGACCATTTGAGACACAAATGAAAACTGAACTGAAATTAGAATGGTAGTAAAAAATGATCTAAAAGTCTTCTCAATTATTAGATTATCTATCAATACCAGTGGAATTTTTAATGTTTGCATAGTACCCAATAAATGAAAAAGTTAAATAAGTATTTTCCTTAAAAGGTTTTATTTATGCAACATTAAAAAAATTGAAAACGGGCTCTGAATGTACAAAGAGATTATTTCCCTTTCTTCTCTTTAGCATACCAGTAGGCATGCTTCTGTCCCAATCCATCTATAACTCTGGACTTGATTTCAACATTAAGCAACAAATTAGATATTTTTAAATATCTCCCCCTAAATGCCTAAGATGCATCTAAAACTTCATATTCTGCAACTATAAGTGTTCTTGGGTCTTATGTTCTGCAAAGGGAACTATTGATCTTTACCTTGCTTATAATCCTGCTTCCTTCAACCTTACATATCTCAGTAAATGGTACCAAACCAAGACCCATAATCCAAATTTAATTCATCTCTTTCTTACAAGCCCCATATCCAAGCACATTACTAAGATCTGTCAATTTTCACATTAAAATAGATTTGAATTTGCTCAGGCCTCTATCTCCATCTCTGCTACTCTCAAACTGGGCCGACACATTCTCAAATTCTTCAATTGTTTTTCTCTTCTGGTCTTGCACTACTCCACCACCCATTCTTCCTACAACAGCAAGTATGATATTCTTGAAATATACATTAGTTTCTATCACTCGTGTCAATGAATTTGAATACAACACAAACTCCCTACTATGTACTGTGAGGTCCTTTATACTGTGGTCCCTTTCATCCTCTCCAAATTCCTCTCAGCTACTTCCCTCCTCACTCACTACACACAACCACCCTTTCCTTCTTTCAATTTCTTAAATATGTCAGACCTCTGCTACTTACTATCTTTTTTATACTAGCTGATTTTCTGCTATTCACTGAAAAACATGCAGAAAACAGGACACTTACCTTAAAAAAAAAAAGAAGCATCAACAAGCTTGACAGCTAACCTGTCAAGAAATGGTGGAAGATAAAAGACAATGGAATGGCACCTTTAATGTGTTAAAAGAAAATAACTGCCAACATCGAATTCTACAACTAGAGAAAATATTATTCCAAAATGACGGTGAAAAAAGGCATTTTTATACAAAAACTGAAAGAACTTTTTCTTAGCAGACTTGCACTGAAAGACAATCTAAAAGCAGTTTATAAGGCAGAAAGAAAATGAGCTCATCTGGAAATATGAAAATGTAAGATAGAATAAGATGCAATAGGAAGGGTAAATGTGACTAATATTAACTACGTAGAATATGATAATAACATGGAATTTTAAATATATGTAGAATTAAAATGTGGAAAGAGTAAGCCAAAGTACCCTAAGGCTTAGTAGCCTAAACACATTAACTAATGGAGGTAATGTGTTTCATTATTTTATTTTATTTTAGATTCAATAAGTACATGTGCAAGATACATTGCCTAATGGTAGGGTTTGAGGTAATATGTTTTAAAATCCTAGCATTTCCTGAATAGAACCTAACGATTTCATTCTTAGGTAAATATCCAGTACATTTCTTCACCAAAAGACAGGTACAAAAATGTTTACTGCAGCTAATAACCAAATATTGCAAACAATCCAAATTGTAGAATTTCTATTTATTCTCCAATAAATTTAGTTCACTGTCAACAAATCTGGCAGACCCAGGTAAATGTTCTGACTATTTTTTAAAAGTCAAGCAAGGAAGGTTCTATTTTCATGTCTCCCCTTTGTTTCTTCTCTGTTTATCTGTCTCTGGACAACAAATCTTCTAATCATAGCTTTCTAAATCCTTGGGAAATATAGATTGCTCCCTGAAATTCCATATTGGTCTTGAAGATGTGATTCTCTCCTACCATAGGTTGGACACTTTTAATTAAATCCAAGCTTCATCTAGGTATGGAATCAGCCAAGTAGGTCTTTGGTTTAAAGAAAAACAAGCAAACAAAACTAAGTACTTTAAAGTACCTTTCTTACAGGAATATATACCGGACACTAGATTGTCTCTATCTAAATCTTGCTCCTGACCAAGGGGATCATAGATTTTTCTGTCCATGTTTGGCCTTAGCTCTTTGAAACCTATATCTATCATAAGGCAGAATTTGATGTCCTTGATCATCTAGTTTATCTCTCAACATTTTCTAATATTTTATTCTTTCTTTCCTTTTTAAAAATATTTTTTTGTTTCCTGCTTTTCCTGCAGTTTTGCCTTACCTCAAATCCCAAAGCCCTGTCAGGCTTGTCATTTAAATACTACTTTTTTCCTTTATCTTAAAGTTCCTCATGGGAAATATAAGTTTATCTCACATAAAGTGTACGACTTAAAATTTATGAAAAAATTTTATTTGCATGAGTATATAATCAAGACTCCATTTATGTTTTTTAGTTAAAAAGGCAATATCTTTTTCCTTCACTAGTTAACACCTGAGTACTAAAGGGTGCCAGCAAAAATTTTATTAGTACAAAAGATTGTGCTGGAATGGAATATTTTCCACATGAATACAATGGTAGAAAGCACATTAATAACATTTTCAGTCTGCTAAACTGAGAAGAAAATTGGTACCTTTAAAAGCCCCCAAAAGATTAAAATGTCAGATACACGATATTCTTGCCAATTCCCTTCTCCTCAGTGATTGTAAAAGAATATGGGAAAAAAGTGTTGAGGAAAGCAGAATATTTTTGTAGGAGGTACTTTTTAAGCTGCATAGATATTCTAAAAATTCTAAACCACAGGTGGAGGCCCCATTTAAGAACCTTTATGTGCAATGAAAAACATTACTGATGATAATGTGTTGCATTTGTCCATAGCCAAGAAGCAGACTAACACTAAGAGTCACTATAGATTGCTATATCTTTGAAAGTATAATTTTCAGCAAGGCTAACCATATACATAATAATGGCCATATATATATGGTCTATTATATATAAAATATCTATTATATATATAGAAGTTGTCTATTTACATATATATTTGTATAAATAGACAACTAATGAGTAAAAGGAAAAGTGTCTATTTACTTATATATATATATATATATATATATATGATGAGTTATTTTAATTAAAAAGTTCCCAGTTCTCCTCTTTACTACCCCAACCAATTTGCAGAAACCAGGACTCTCACAGTTTAAATTTTATCTCCTCTGGCTTAATTCAAAAGGGACATTGTCTTTTTTAAAAAATAAAAGTTTCTGTAGAGTAATTACAATAAACTCTTAGCTTTCTACACCAGAATGTAAAATAAACCAAGAAAATTTTTCAAAGGAAGAGGTTTGCTAAGATTGAGTGTGGCAGAATAAATAGAACGGGTTATAAAAAAAAGTAAATGAGGGCTATTGATTGAGAAGAGAATAAAGAAAGGAGAGTTGTCTGATGTCACTAATAACAAACTGCTTACCTCACAGCACTGCTAGCTTGTGCCACTGGGGACAGGCAGGAGGGTGCTCTGACTGAGACTGTAAGGAGAAGATTACTAATATGGTTTGGATCTATGTCCCCAGCAAATGTCATGTCGAATTGTAATCCCCAGTGTTGGAGGTGGGCCTGGTGGGAGATGATTGGATCTTGGGGGCAGATTTCTCATGATGGTTGAGCACCATCCCCTTGATGTTCTCATGATAAGTCCTCACAATATCTGGTTATTTAGAAATGTGTAGCACCTCCCCCTTCGCTTTACTCTTGTCCCTGCTCCTGCTGCATAGGACAAGACTTAATGGCTCCCCCTTCACTTCTACCATGATTGGAAGCTTCCTGAGGCCTTCTCAGAAGCCAAGCAGATGCCAGCACCATGCTTCCTGTACAGCCTGTAAAATTGTGAGCCAATTAAACCTCTTTTCTTTATAAATTACCCAGTCTCAGGCATTTCTTTATAGCAATGTGAGAACAGAATAGTACGATTGCTTTTCTGGTTCTACCTAAAAGTAATTTAAAAGACACGTGAAGAATAAAGATACTGATCCATTTGTACCATTTGTTTTATTGTAAACAGTTCACTCTGTAATTATAGTGACCTTGAGCGGGTTAATTTAATTGTATGAAATTGTTTATTTGTAAAAATAAGAATTAGAATGGTACCTATTTTCTATCCAAAAATTAAATTAAGTGGGACAAATACAGAGTGCACATTCCTAGCACATAGTAGGTGTTCAATAGATGCATGAAGTAATTAATTGAATAATTGATATAGCAGATTGACTATCTGCTATAATCTATTAATGGTTGGGAAAAAAATTAATGTAGTGTGGTAGAACAAGCTTTAGATTAGAAATAGAAGGCTTGATTTTACTCTATTTCTTCATTATATAACTCTGTCAGTTTGGGCAAGATAACATCCATTATCAGTTTCTTGATCTGGAAAATAGACCAGATGATCAATATGATCAATTCCGGGTATCACACTATATGTTTCTGATCATACCAAACATGAGATATATCTATAAACTGACAAAGTAGACTTAGGAATACTAAAAATAAAATAAAAATAAAGAACTTTATAGGAAGGATTAAGAGAGAAGTTAGGAAGGAAAGGTGTGAATCTCCAAGTTAGTTAGTGCACACTAAAAATTTGAGTTTTTAAGAGCAATTACAAAACAGAATTATGGTAGTAAATTAGCATCCAGAAAGAAAAACAGAAAATAATTATCATCACAGCTTGCTTCTGTCCTAGGCATGGCTACTTTTGCTCAGAAATTGTGTTTCAACTATGTTTAAAGTGTTCTCTTAAAAAACAAAAAGGAATGCTATTAAACAGATGGGCAAAGGATTAATAACCTATGCTTTGGGCCATCTAAATTACAAAGAAAACTAAAACTTACAATTTGTTTCCTACTAGCCACAAAGTCACATGTACCATATTCAGTTTTCCTTTTACTCATGAGTTGTCTATTTACTTATAAGTTCAAAACTGTGTTATAACATAGTAGTATTAAAGGCTGAAAGTGCAAAGGGGACATGAAGAAGAGAGCCTGTGAGATAGATTAGGAGTGCAATGCGGCTCCTCCTTTATATATTCTTTTTTCTTCTTCTTTTCACAAAACCCACATCAATAACTTGCTGATGCTATACCCACTAACGCCAAGGCTTTAGTCAGACAAAGAAAATAGCCATTTTTCTGTGCTCTAATAATTGTTAACCATGCTTTTTACTTAACGAATTGAAGAAACTGGCTGTGGAGTCCCAGTTAGGGGAAAAAAGGCTGGCAGGATCAAGGGAAAGCAGAAAGAGAAAGCAGATAAGTTATAAGTCTGCTTTTCTTCATGGTCCAGGATACAAACCCTCCTGCTCAAATAACTGACAATCTTCCTATGCCTAGCTATCACCAGATCCCCAGCTAATAGAAAAATGCAAGTTAGCTTAGCTCACTGCAACCTTAGCGTTGTCAGTACTGCACGTAGCACTCTTCAGCACAAGCACCATTCTATAAAATCTCCAGCAAGACTTTGTCTCTTTGTAGCCACCTTCTGTCTTGCTGGCCTGCCCATTGCACCCTAACAACATATTTTCATACTTTCTCTGATAAATCTGCCTTTCTACACCCACACCACTGGCCTGGATTGTTGCGAATCACCTGTGTCACCGGCCTTAGGAGATCCAAAATTGAACCAAGGTTGCAGAGTGTCCTGCCTTGGGAAGGAATCCTGGACAATTGGTTACAGTCTTATTGCCACAAGCCAGACCACCAGGTGGCCCATTACTCAAGATAACCATCACAGTCAGATATGCTGTCCTGCATACCCTACCCCTCACTTGCTTTGCCCAGCCCAACCTGCATACCCTACCCTGATGTCAATTCTTATGCTCAGATTAAAATTTTTTTAAAAAATTACTGTTTTTTTTTTTTTCCAGAAAGTCAGCTGGAAGAGCTTTGTGCCTCATCTCCATTGTCTCCTTGTGATTGAGCACAAGACCTGAAATAAAAGCCTTGTCTGGGAAATCTGCTTGGCCTTATGTCAGTTTCTATTACATGGAGAGGTAAAGAGCCTGTGGTCTGTAACAGATTCTCTCGTGACCGTGGCAGGACCACAGGACATGGGAAGCATTTTCCTCCCCCATGTCCTAATAAGGGGCAGGCTTATGAGCCAGCAGAACTGCCGGACATAAATGCTTTGTAGCTGACAGGGAGCTACCTAAATCTTTGATTCAGCCTCTCGGCAACTGGAGAGTTTTCCTCTAGCCTCCCAGACACTCCTCACAAAGCCCCAACATGAAAACAATGCATTTCTTTTCCTCCTGTCCCATATTTGTTTGTCTTTCTTTTTTCTTCTTCCTTCCTCCTCCCTTTTATTCACTTTTCATTAACTTCAGGCTCAGCCTGAATAGACACCTCTGTGGGACTGGTCAATTGGCACAGCCTGAATAGACAGCCATACAGGAAGGATTGAAATGGCCCCTCAGTTCAGCTGGTAGGACTCTGTTACTTTTCAAACCTTCTAGGTACTTTCCCCCTGTTTGCCACACCTTGTGGGGAAGGGAAGCCTGTGAACTTTACTGCCATCTGTCTGTTTGAGCATGCGAGCCTAACCACTCCGGGTATTATCTCTGTGAGGCAACACTTGATAGCACCTGGGTCCAGAGTTTGCCTTGCTCACATCCTGATCCATTTTTCCTTTTTGTGTGTTTAATTCAACACTTCATCCTCCTGTGCAGCCCGTTGGGTGGCATGTTGAAAAAAAATGAGAGGCCTTTGCCTATAGTTCCATAAAATGGAGAAAGATGCTGTTCTTTTATAATGCTGTTTGGCCCCCAGAACTATGGTACAGTGAGTAGGGTCACCAAAGCTGCACAGAGAAAGAGAAGCCAGAAACCTGGCAAGCTGGCAAAAGGCTAAGAATTTCTTACCAGCTAGGCTTCTGGCCTTGCTCTCTCCATGCAAACCAGTTGAATGAACAGTAAAAATCACTGTTTGTCTCTTCTGCAAGGTTTTGATTAATGGGAAAAGGGATTTGGGTGACAAGTCTTAGGTTATAGTGCAAACCTGGTGTACTTTGTGCTATGAATTTGTCTGTTTGTGACATTCTGTTGTAAAGAGTAGGGTTCCCTAGGATAGAACGCTAGCCTAGGTCCCCTGTAAGCCTGCTGTTCAAGCTGGCCCTGCAGACTGGTTGGTTACAAACTTTGCCTCAGGTCTGTGAAATAAAAACCAGAGGAGGTTTCCCTCCCATCTTGTTTTATGTCTTTGGGAGCTTGACCTTGTGACCTTCTGGGGGTACTCTTTTGGCATCCACCCGTCCAGAGAGTGGGAATTTTCAGGTTCATGTCGGGCAGCCAGTCTGAAAGGTCCAGGAGTCTGAAATGCATCAGCGCACTCTTCATCCTGAATGTGTCAAGCCAGTAGGTGAGTTTTATCTTAAAAGGCCTCATCCCTATGGGCCTTTTGTTTATCTTTTGCTATCTTAAGCCCATTTCTGAGAATAGATTCTCACAGACCATGAAGATGCCTCCTCTACCATCTCTCTAGAAATACCTCTTGCTTGTATAGTAAAAATCTGGAAAATTAACATCTGGGCTTTAAATGGCTTGTGGATTGAGTAGCCCTTTTGGCTAAGCACAACATTAAAAGAAAAAGGACCAGACAACTCTATTGAAATTAAGTTCTGTTAGGAAGAAATGTTTAAATCTGTATTTGTTCTGAGGATTCAAGAGAGTTTATTTTGATGAGCAATCAGAACCAGCAAACCTGACATAGACCATTCCACTTTATTGACATCTGGTCAAATGCCCTGAGATATTCTCACCACTGCAAATCAGTAACCCCAGAAAGGAAGAAAAGCAATAGCCACCAGGGAAGAAAAGCTCATTTCCCAGCTTGAGTTAAGTTTTGTTTTCAGATTTATAAGAAAGTATCTCCAAGTTATTTTTTATCTATTAATAGTCTAAATTTTCAGCTTCTTTGTTCAGGATGCCACAACTTCTCTCTGTTTCCAAGATATTCTCCTTTTGTGTTTGTGGAGCACAAATCACATGAAACAATTAATCTTTATGGGAAATAAGACAATGGTAAAAAGTGTCCATGCTAAAATTCATGATCACATCAACGAATGTGAAAAAGCCTCCACAGGGTGTTGACTGGGGGCTGGTATTATTGAGCGGGTCATTTCTGACTATTCAGGGGTTTAAGGAATTGCTGTGCTAACCAGGCACTTTGCTCCCTGGTACACTTACTGTGCAGCATCACTCAGTATTCACAGGATTGGTGTCTTTAATGACAAACAAGTCAAACTTTACCAACTAGCAAACTCCAAATTCCAGACTAACACAAATTAAATACTGCTATGTTGTAATAACTGTAAATCAGTCCCTGAACAACTATTAGAAATCGCAAGTGAATATCAACTCTTTCATGCTCTTTCTTAAATTGTAATTTTATTCAGTTGAATCACTTTGATATTGGGGGAACCTGCCCCCAATATTTCAACGTAGGTTCTTTCTGTTTTCCATAAGTGTCAGCCAGCTGCGAAATAAAGAGAGACAGTACAAAGACAGGAATTTTACAGCTGGGCCACTGGGGGTGACATCACATATCAGTAGGACTGGGATGCCTGCCTGAGTCTCAGACCAGCAAGTTTTTATTAAGGGTTTCAAAAGGGGAGGGGGTGTAAAAACAGAGAGTAGGTACAAAGATCACATGCTTCAAAGGGCAAAAAGCAGAACTACTAATAAGGGTCTAAAAAGATCACATGCTTCTGAGGGCACAGGACAAAGGGCAAAAGCAGAACTACTGATAAGCGTCCAACAAAGATCACAAGGCAAAGGGCAAAAGCAGAACTACTGATAAGGGTTTATGTTCAGTGGTGCATGTATTGTCTTGATAAACATCTTAAACAACAGAAAACAGGGTTTGAGAGCAGAGAACCAGTCTGACCACACATTTACCAGGGCAGAGTTTCCCAACCCTAGTAAACCTGAGGGTACTGCAGGAGACCAGGGCATATCTCAGTCCTTATCTCAACTACATAAGACAGACATTCCCAGAGTGGCCATTTGTAGACCTCCCCCCAGGAATGCATTCCTTCCCCAGGGTATTAATATTAATATTCCTTGCTAGGAAAAGAATTTAGCGATATCTTCCCTACTTGCACATCCATTTATAGGCTCTCTGAAAGAAGAAAAATATGGCTCTTTTTGCCCGACCCTGCAGGCAGTCAGACCTTATGGTTGTCTTCCCCTGTTCCCTAAAAATCACTGTTATTCTGTTCTTTTTCAAGTGCACTGGTTTCATATTGTTCAAACACACGTTTTATAATCAATTTGTACAGTTAACACAATTATCACAGTGGTCCTGTGGTGACGTACATCCTCCACTTATGAAGATAACAGGATTAAGAGATTAAAGTAAAGACAGGCATAAGAAGTTATAAAAGTATTATTTGGGAACTGATAAATGTCCATGAAATCTTCACAATTTATGTTCCTCTGCCATGGCTTCAGCCAGTCCCTCCGTTCGGGGTCCCTGACTTCCCACAACACTTTGACCTGAATTTGAATCCTCCTACAAATAGGCATAAAGCATAAGATTACAAATTAGAGAAAAATTAAACTTTCTGTAAATAAATTTGAACCTTTTCTTCTTACTTTAAGCCAGTAAGCCTAATTACTACTTTCCAAGGGATCAATGAACACTACTTAATTGTACCTAGCCAATTAGCAAAATGATTAATACAATTGGACAGACCTTCATGTCCAAAGCAGAGAGGACTGCTGTCCTTCCTAGTATGTTAGGGATATCTGTGAACTTGAATAAGTGTGATACACAAATACTGATCACATCTACCTATTCTTGGATTCTTCATCATTGTACCTAAGTTCAGTAACAGTGATGAAAGACACTAAGATATGCTATTTTAGTGCATAGGCAAAATATAAGCCAGAAGCAGAGATACATTAGAATCCAAATTTTGAAACCAAAATTTTTTAAATGGCAGTATTGGTGAAATCTTGATAATGAAATAGAAAGTATGAATTTTAAGTGGTAAAGAATAATTGTCTTCTTAATATAGTGTACTTGAAAAATTATAAAGACTCAACTATAGCTGTTACGTACATTTTGAATAAATGAATAGTATTTCATTTTGATCTTTAGCCTGCCAGAGGCAGGGAACACTGTGGGCATAATTACTATAATATGTCAATTCTAAAAAGTTAAATATTAGATTTCATACTCTATGTAGGTTGAAAAAAAGTCAATGATATAAAATACTACATAGAATAAAAATCATATTATTTATTTACATACTTTCAAAGAAAATCCTTCAAATGGTTACTTTGTAAAGTTTCTTGTTTGCAGCAACCAAATTAAATACTAATTCTATAATGACCTTCAACAAACTTTTTTATGTTCAACTTTATGAACATCCCTGAGATTTAAATATAAGGAATAGCTTAAGAATGAAGCAAACTCTACAAAAAATGCAAATATATATATTTAATTTGAAAAACTAGATGGCAATAATAGTACATTTTGACACTGAATACTAAATGATAACTTGGTTGAGTGGCCACATAAAGTCTAAATAAGTAAGATTTTTGTGTTGGTTGCTATGTTGTATTAGGAATATAACATCAAGGGCATAGAAAGGTTTATTCAGGCAAGCAGACTTTCTCATTTGAGGCATCAAACAAAATCCTTTACCCAGTTGCTGTGCTTTATGAAATGAGTAAATTAGATAAGAACATAGGCCCAAACTATATAATGAAATGATTGGCAGCCAACACTGAAGAATAATTCTAAATTATTTTCTGCATACAAAAAGCATTTGCTGAGCTTGACAATAGTGACTGGCTTTTGCTGTGTTGCATATGAGACAGCTGAAGGACACTAATGTGAAAGGAGACAGAAAGATTAAAGCAGAATATTTGGAAAAATCACTGTTAGAAAATCTCCTTGAAGTTTCTATTGTTTTTATATTATTACCAATAATAGTTGACACTATATATATGGGGATTTCTTTTGAGTTATAGTTTATCTAGAATCTTCAAGGGAACGTTTTTGCTTTGTGTTGCTTTTGCACCCTCCCCACCCCAAGCTGATTGTGTCATTGTGTCTCTTTCATGCAGTTGGTAGAAACCACTGAGATCTGAACACCCCACAGAAATCCAGGATCCACATGTCACCAATCAAGTAAATGTGTCCTTATGCTTTTATTTACTGTTTTATTTTTATGTGACTACTCATTTATGATGCATGTTCATTTCCCTGAAATTCAAGGGAACCCAATAGAATCACTATGTTTGGCTTAAATATAAAGGGCATGGGGAAGAAAAATGAATAGAGGAGCTTCGTATCTGAAAACCAAAAGAACCTGACTTCGATTCCATAGGTTCTTACTCAGGGACTGGAAGCAATCATTCAGTAGGTTTGTTATTCTCCTATAAGTGTGTGCAAACTTAGTGGCTAGTCATTTGTGGAGCTTTCTGAGTCATGAGTTCCTCAATTCAATACATTTTCAAAGGCAGCTATGCCCTACAAATAAACATGATCCATATAAATACAGAAAAAAAAAGAAGGAAATGAAGGCAGGCAGGCAGAAAGGAAGGAGGGAGGGAGGGAGGGAGCAGAGTAGAGGGAGACAGGAAGAAAGGTACAAAGACACAAAGGCAACAATACAAATAAAAGAGAGAGTATGTGTACTCTGAGACACACTTATAACAAAAGAAAAAAGATGTGGTAGAACATATAAAAAGACCAGTGAGGAATTAATTGTTACAATAAAAACATTAAAATAATGACAAAATCTATATGTGTTTTTACAAAACACATATATTTTTACAAAATCTATAGGTGCAGGTATTTTACTATGATTCAATCCTATAGAAACCACTAAGAATACTTTTAAGTCCTGTACCAAATTGTACATATATCATTCTGCTACAGATTGCATACTCTAAGGGATACAAAAATAAATGAATAAAAGTAGCAAAATAAATGTTTTAATTAAAATATTAACAATACTTTATTAGGTAGTATTTCATCTGGTTATTGGATTTTATTTTATTTATCAGAAATAAATGTCTAACCTCTGTGTTACTGATCTCTCTTGAACATCTGAATATTGGCAGATTTCCAAGAGCTGTACCTAGCTGCCAACTGCAGAAATTGCCCTTTCCCAGGGGTCTTACTACAAAATTAGTACTGTGAATTCTGTTGTGAATTAGTTCTGTTAAAGTTTTTCTCCATGAAGCTATAAAACAGTTATATTGAAATCAAGTACACTGAATTCCATTCTCAAAAGTGTTATGGACTGCTTATCTTGAGCCCTTCTACACTAATTTTTTAATGCTGCATGAAGTAGTTTTTTAAAAAAGAATTTCGACTTTTATTTTAGATTCGGGGGTACATGTGTAGGTTTGTTACATGGGTATATTATGTGATGCTGAGTTTTGAGATCTGATTGATCCCATCACTCAGGTAGTAAGCATAGCACTCAGTAATTAGTTTTTCAACCCTTGCCCCTCTCGCTCCTTTCTCCCTAAACAGTTCTAAAACACCCTTAAATACATAGATTGGCTCACATGAAAATGTTCTGTGCTTAAAAATGGTAATTTGGGGAGACTGATAAGCACTAGGGGGACTTATTGGCTCAGGTAGGATAGGGGGCTTTTTTTTTTTTAATGATCACAAACATGCAAGAAGATATGACACAATACCTTGCTTGTAATGGGGTAAGAATAAGATTGGAAGCCTCACATAACCAGGGTATCTTCAAAATATTTCCCGCTTATAAAAAGAGTCAGACAAACTACAATACAGAGAGGCAACTTTCAAGAAAACCTGTCTGTCTTGGCATTGCCTCTGAGTAGAAAGGAAATGTGTTTCTTTTGAGAATATGACCCCACAACAAGCTCACACAACTTTGGAAACTAAGTTCATGTTGTTTTTATGACTTTTAGTGTAAAAACTGAGTATTTTAATTTAAGCTGGAATTCTGTTTGCTTTAAATCTGAATACTGGCAGAAGCAAATACAAGTCCAGTCTGGAGAAAAAATTCCAAGTCAGTCCTCTGAAAACTCTGATAGAGTTTCAAGAATAAGCTCACAAACCCAAATTACAATGCACAAAAGATCTCAGAGGGAAAGAAAAGATGAGAAAGGAATGGAGGTCAAAGAGAAAGAAGGTATTGGTAAAACTCTTCTCAAAAATTATGGTTTAAACAGTAATGATATCATCTAATATATGGGATTAAATTTTTAAGATAAAAATTTAAAAATGGGGGGCAGAAGGGGGAGCAGCATGCACTCTAGGAAAGGGATGACTAGAACCAAATATTCTAAGATCTTTATACTTCATGTTCTTTGGGACTAGGATGAGACACCATCAAAAGACACTTTTTAAAGTGTTTAACATACAAATTATTAGAAAAATAAAATGAGCATGGAAATAAATTTAGAAAAAGATCAGAAACAATCAAAAATATAAAAGAGAAAAAATAAAAATCACAATATATGATGGTAGAGATAAATCTAAATGGATCAAAAAGCATAACTGTATAAATATTAAGCTCTGTAAATAAATGGAGAGACAGCCTGGGCGATAAAACGTTAAGACGTCATGGCTGGGCACGGTGGCGCACACCTGTAATCCCAGCACTTTGGGAGGCCAAAGCGGGTGGATTACCTGAGGTTAGGAGTTCAAGACCAACCTGACCAACATGGAGAAACCCCGTCTCTACTGAAAATACAAAATTAGCCAGGCGTGGTGGCACATGCCTGCAATCCCAGCTACTCAGGAGGCTGAGGCAGAAGAATCGTTTGAACCCGGGAGGCGGAGGTTTCAGTGAGCCAAGATCACGCTATTGCACTCCAGCCTGGGCAACAAGAGTGAAACTCCGTCTCAAAAAAAAAAAAAAACAAAAAAAAAAGTCACTTCACTGGTAGCTTCTCAGCCTTTTGGCTAAGATCAAGTGCCTGGTGGTTTCTGTTTTTAGTTTTTGGTTTTGTTTTATTCATTTCACAACTACTATTAGAAGAAATGCAATTTTTATCTCCTTGTTAAATTTAAGTATTTTCTTTTCAAAAGGTAAGGGGAAGGAAAGATGAGCAGAGTACTTTAGAGAAATACATGTTTTAAATATGCTTTTGCTGTTTACATTTATAATTCTGCTCAGATTCATCTTATTTAATAAAATATATTCATTTCTTAATGTGTTTCCCTCATTGCCATTCTAATTTCACAATATTCTCCAATTTTGTGGAGAATTGTGGAGAACCAGTATTCCACTGGTACCTCTGTAGTTTGAAGTGAATATAGGGATAATCCTTTTTTTCTTTCAAAGAATGACATGTATTACTGTTTTCTAGAATATTAAAGATGATTACTTTGCAGATTAATTGCCAGCTATTTCATATTTCCACTAAGTTTCCAAAAAGGTAAAGGAATAATGTTATTAAAAATATGTATTTAGATAAATATTATCAGAATAAAATTTTCAAAGCAATAAGATAAAATTTGGGAAGGAAGTATTTCTTTTTGGAAATCTCTATAATTATGATGCATGAATGCTTTCAAATAATTTATGTGAAATCCATTTGGAGTGAGAGGAGAGATAAACACGATTATTTACTGACTCCAAAAAGTAGCAATGTGGTAACATTTATCATTACGCATGCTTACAGAAAATTCTTTTTAACAAATTTTGTAAAATTTCATAATTTTTATGAACATTTGATTTTTTAATAAATTAAAAATTAATTTTATAGAAAAATAAATCATTCTGTTAGTAGTTTAGAAGTGCATTTCTAACACTTAAGTTTTTCTTCATCTTTTCTCTTAACATATAGGTAACCACAAAATGATGCTTATGATACTTATGTGCATGAGCAAGAGTGGAGATATTTGCTGCTGTTGTAGGACTTTCTTCTTAGTTCAGCTAAAACCCAGGTTCTTGTCACACATCGAGGAAAGATTAGGCTCACAGACACTTCGAAGAGTGAAGGGGAATGGAATTTATTGAGCAAAAAGTCAAAAGGAAAAAACAACACAGCAAAGTGAGATGAGGTCCTACTAACAGGCTCTGCACCTCACCAACCTGGAATCCCAGATCACCATCCAAGAACAGGAGAGGCCAGGCTCCTCCCCCTGCAAACAACATGAACTTTCAGAGGCTCCACCCACTCCTCCCAATGCACGGGTGGGCATTATTCAGAAAGAATCAGTCGAGAAAGGGTGGGCTTCATCTGGGATGGGTAGTCTGGTTTTTCTGCCTTCAGAATGTTTTAGACTTGAAGGCAGTGGGGTTCTGTTGAAGGGGTAGATGGTGGGGGCCTTGTCTCTATCACTGTCATGCCATTTTTTCTCATTTCTTCATTTTTTTCTTACTATACAATATGGTCAATTTATTAATCACTCACCAACTTGTGCACAGCAGCTCTTTTAATAGATTTTAGTCTTATGGAATAAATATTTTCTCTTTTGCATCTGTGGGAACTGACAGATTCATAACAACAACAATAATGGTAATAAGAGAAGCTGGTATTTCTTGAGGATTTCCATAGTCCAGATGCTAAGAACTATTTCATTCAATACTCACAATGGTCCTATTGTAATGATTATTATGATGATCTCATTATCTAAGTTTACCTGGGTAGTAAGTACAAGAGAAGCTATTTTTATTCAGGGCTATCTTACTTAGAGCTAACATACTTAACCACATTGATATATGTTTTCTCCCAAAGACATCATGAATAAACATCAATTGTGGAGAGCCTCTTATGGAGAGCCATAGTCTGTGGTTTAGCAAGACCAGAAAATATATAACCTAGTACTGGATATGGAATACAAATATGATGCACAAATATCTAGAAGCCCAGTTAAGCCTTCAGCACCAATGGATACCTTCTACATTTGTTTAGAATTTACATAGACATTACCAGATCAATTTCAGATCCAAATTCAAATTGACTTCATTATTTTACAGATTCAAGAACATATATGGAATTCCCTTTTAGGTACTAAAATTCTCTAAGATACCCCTATCATAATTTTACTTTCCAAAGGAAGCATAAATTAGACATGTAATAAAAATACATTTTTAATTGACTTCAAACATATTAATAGACAAATCAATGTACGTAAATAGATAGTTACATGCTCATAAGCAGGCCCTAGTGCCTGCTCAGTATACCATCATTTTGACTGTGCACACTCTTTTAATTTCTTTTTAGAATCCTTCAGGGACATATAACAGAGCATGAAATTTCAAATAAAATAAATGGATAAACATTGTATTCAACATATGCACACTTAAGGTACCAGAATATTGCTTATTAACTAGTTCAGTGGAGATGTAAAAAATTAGACCACTTTTGGTGACCACTTTTTAAATTTTTTTATTTTCTTAAAAAGGCCAAAAGTGATCTAAGTCATAAGAGTTTGATTTAAATGTGGAATTTTGATGCAGATAACCTACAGCATTTTGTACACACTTTACAAGTAATTTTTAGTTCATTTGCGTATTAACACTTTTGATGTTGTTAAATAAAAAGAGAGAGACAGAGAAATGTACTCACTTGTCAAAAGGCTCAGATAGGAAGGATGGAAGATGGAAGTGCTCTGCCCAAATTCAAAACCGTCACTGGGACTATTCACATCCCTGATGGGATCTGGCAAGTTCTGTTATTCTTCAGAACTTTTCTTTTTAGTGAATCCATGTCCTTGAACAAAGGGGGTGTTTGGTGGGAATTCCAAATGAAACAGAAGAATAGAATTTAGTATATCTTCCCAAAGCTCACCTCAAACTATAAAATACCAGGTGGACAGATTACATGAATAGGAATGAAGATAATTTTCTAGCTATTTCTTTATTTTATTTTATAACTTTAAGTTCTGGGATACATGTGCAGAATGTGCAGGTTTCTTACATAGGTATACATGTGCCATGGTGGTTTACTGTACCTATCAACCCGTCATCTAGGTTTCAAGCCCTGCATGCATTAGGTGTTTGTACTAATGCTCCCCCTCCCCTTGTCCCTTAACCCCCAACAGGCCCTGGTGTGTGATGTTTCCTTCCCTGTGTCCATGTGTTCTCACTGTTCAACTCCTGCTATGAGTGAGAACATGTGGTGTTTGGTTTTCTGTTCCTGTGTTAGTTTACTGAGAATGATGGTTTCCAGCTTCATCCATGTCCCTGCAAAGGACAAGAACTCATTCTTTTTTATGGCTTTTGTGGTATTCCATGGTGTATATGTGCCACATTTTCCTTATCCAGTCTATCATTGATGGACATTTGGGTTGGTTCCAAGTCTTTGCTATTGTAAATAGTGCTGCAATAAACAAACATGTGCGTGTGTCTTTATAGTAGAATGATTTATAATCCTTTGGGTATATACCCAGTAATGGGATTGCTGGGTCAAATGGTATTTCTAGTTCTAGATCCTTGAGTAATTGCCACACTGTCTTCCACAATGGTTTAACTAATTAACACTTTTAACAACAGTGTAAAAGCATTCCTATTTCTCCACATCCTCTCCAGCATCTGTTGTTTCCTGACTTTTAATGATCACCGTTCAACTGGCATGAGATGGTATCTCATTGTGGCATTGATTTGCATTTCTCTATTGACCAGTGATGATGAGCTTTTTTTCATATGTTTATTGGACACATAAATGCCTTCTTTTGAGAAGTGTCTGTTCATATCCTTTGCCCACTTTTAGATAGAGTTGTTTGTTTTTTTCTTGTAAATTTGTTTAAGTTCCTTGTAGATTCTGGATATTAGCCCTTTGTCAGATGAATAGATTGCAAAATTTTTCTCCCATTCTCTAGTTTGCCTGGTCATTCTAATGATAGGTTTTTTGTTTTGTTTTGTTTTGTTTTGCTGTGCAGAAGCTCTTTAGTTTAATTAGATCCCATTTGTCAATTTTGGCTTTTGTTGCAATTGCTTTTGGTGTTTTAATTATGAAGTCTCTGCCAATGCCTATGTCCTGAATGGTATTGCCTAGGTTTCTTCTTGGGATTTTATGGTTTTGGGTATTACGTTTAAGTCTTTAATACACCTTGAGTTAATTTTTGTGTAAGGTATAAGGAAGGGGTCTAGTTTCAGTTTTCTGCAAATGGCTAGTCAATATTCCCAGCACCTTTTATTAAATAGGGAATACTTCCCTCATTGCTTGTTTTTGTTAGGTTTGTCGAAGAGCAGATGGTTGTAGATGTGTGGTGTTATTTCTGAGTCATCTGTTCTGTTCCATTGGTCTGTATATCTGTTTTGGCGCCAGGACCATGCTGTTTTGTTTACTGTAGCCTTGTAGTATAGTTTTAAGTTAGGTAGCGTGATGTCTCCAGCTTTGTTCTTTTTGCTTAGGATTGTCTTGGCTATATGGGCTGTTTTTGGTTCCATATAAAATTTAAAGTAGTTTTTTCTAATTTTGAGGAGAATGTCAATGGTAGTTTGATGGGAATACCATTGAATTTATAAATTACTTTACTGTGGGCAGTATGGCCATTTTAATGATATTGATTCTTCTTATCCATGAGGATGGAATGTTTTTCCTTTTGTTTGTACCCTCTCTTATTTCATTGAGCAGTGGTTTATAGTTCCCCTTGAAGAACTACACATCCCTTGTAAGTTGTATTCCTAGGTATTTTATTCTCTTTGTAGCAATTATGAATGTGAGTTCACTCGTGATTTGGTTCTCTGCTTGTCTATTATTGGTGTAAAGGAATGTTTGTGATTTTTGCACACTGATTTTGTCTCCTGATACTTGGCTGACATTGCTTATCAACTTAAGGAGTTTTTAGGCTGAGATGGTGGGGTTTTCTAAATATACAATAATGTCATCTGCAAACAGAGACAATTTGACTTCCTCTCTTCCCATCTGAATATGCTTTATTTCTTTCTCTTGTCTGATTGCCCTGGCCAGAACTTCCAATACTATGTGGAATAGGAGTGGTGAAAGAGGGCATCCTTGTCTTGTGCCTGTTTTCAAAGGGAATACTTCCAGCTTTTACCCATTCAGTATGATATTGGCTATGGGTTTGTCATAAATAGCTCTTATTATTTTGAGATACGTTCCATCAATACCTAGTTTATTGAGAGTTTTTAGCATGAAAGGGTGTTGAATTTTATCAAAGATTTTATCTGCATCTCTTGAGATGATCATGTGGTTTTTGTCATTAGCTCTGTTTATGTGATGGATTACATTTATTGATTTGTGAAAGTTGAACCAGCCTTGCATCCCAGAGATGAAGCCAACTTGGTCATGGTGGATAAGCTTTTTGATGTGCTGCTGGATTCAGTTTGCCAGTATTTTACTGAGGATTTTTACATCGATGTTCATCAGGAATATTGGCCTGAAATTTTATTTTTTCATTGTGTCTCTGCCAGGTTTTGGAAACAGGATGATACTGGCCTCATAAAATAAGTTAGGGAAGTGTCCTTCTTTTTCTATTGTTTGGAATAATTTCAGAAAGAATGGTACCAGCTCCTCTTTGCATCTCTGGTAGAACTCACCTGTGAATCCATCTGGTCCTGGGCTTTTTTTGGTTGGTAGGCTATTAATTACAGCCTCAATTTCAGAACTCATTATTGGTCTATTCAGGGATTCGACTTCTTCCTGGTTTAGTCTTGATTTGATTTAGTTGATGTATGTGTCCAAGAGTTTATCGATTTCTTCTAGGTTTTCTAGTTTATTTGCATAGAGGTGTTTATAGTATTCTCTGATGGTAGTTTATATTTCTGTGGGATCAGTAGTGATATCCCCTTTATCATATTTTATTGCATCTATTTGATTCTTCTCTGTTTTCTTCTTTTTTAGTTTACCTAGCAGTCTATCTATTTTGTTAATTTTTTCAAAAAACCAGCTCCTGGATTCATTGATTTTTGAAGGGTTTTTTTGTTTCTCTATCTCCTTCAGTTTTTCTCTGATCTTCTTTTTTGTGTTCTGCTAGCTTTTGAATTTATTTGCTTTTGCTTCTCTAGTTCTTTTAATTGTAATGTTCGGGTGTAGATTTTAGATCTTTCCCACTAGAATAACCAATATAGAGAAGAATGTAAATGACCTGATGCAGCTGAAAAACACAGCACGAGAACTTCATGAAGCATACACAAAGCAGGGCGTTTAGTGTGGTATTTAGTGCTATAAATTTACCTCTTAACACTGTTTTAGCTGTGTCCCAGAGATTCTGGGATGTTGTCTGTTTGTTCTCCTTGGTTTCAAAGAACTTATTTATTTCTGTTTTAATTTTGTTATTTACTTAGTAGTAATTCAGGAGCACCATTGTTCAGTTTTCATATAGTTGTGCGGTTTTGAGTGAGTTTCTTAATCCTGAGTTCTAATGTGATTGCACTATGGTCTGAGAGACTGTTTGTTATGAATTCTGTTCTTTTGTATTTACTGATGAGTTTTACTTCTAATTATGAGGACAATTTTAGAATGAGTGCTATGTAGTGCTGAGAAGAGTGTATATTCTGTTGATTTGGGGTGGAGAGTTCTGTAGATGTCTATTAAGTCTGCTTTGTCCAGAGCTGAGTTCAAGTCCTGAATATCCTTATTAATTTTCTGTCTCGTTGATATGTCTAATATTGACAGTGGGGTGTTAAAGTCTCCCACTATTATTGTGTGGGAGTCTAAGTCTCTTTGTAGGTCTCTAAGAACTTGATTTATGAATCTGGGTTCTCCTGTATTGGGTCCATACATATTTAGGATAGTTAGCATCTCCTGTTGCATTGATCCCTTATACCAATATGTAATGACCTTCTTTGTCGTTTTTGATCTTGTTGGTTAAAAGTCTGTTTTATCAGAGACTAGGATTGTAACCCCTGCCTATTTTTGCTTTCCATTTGCTTGGTAAATATTCCTCCATCCTTTTATTTTGAGTCTATGTGTGTCTTTGCATGTGAGATGGGTCTCCTGAATACAGCAAACCAATGGGTCTTGACTCTTTATCCAATTTGCTAGTCTGTGTCTTTTAATTGGGGTATTTAGCCCATTTATATTTAAGGTTAATATTGTTGTGTGTGAATTTGATCCTGTCATCATGATACTAGCTGGTTATTTTGCACATTGGTTAATGCAATTTCTTCATAGTGCCATTGGTCTTTGCAATTTGGTGTGTTTTTGGAGTAGCTGGTACTGGTTTTTCTTTTCCATATTTAGTGCTTCCTTCAGGAGCTCTTGTAAGGCTGGCCTGTTGGTGACAAAAATCCCTCAGCATTTGCTTGTCTGTAAAGGATTTCATTTTTCCTTCACTTATGAAGCTTTGTTTGGCTGGATATGAAATTCTGTGTTGAAATTTCCTTTCTTTAAGAATGTTGCATATTGGCCCCCCACTCTCTTCTGGCTTGTAGGGTTTCTGTAGAGAGATCCACTGTTAGTTTGATGAGCTTCCCTTTGTAGGTTACCTGATCTTTCTCTCTGGCTGCCCTTAACATTTTTTCCTTCGTTTCAACCTTGGAGAATCTGATGATTATTTGTCTTGGGATTGTTCTTCTCAAGGAGTATCTTAGTGGTGTTTTCTGGACTTCCTGTATTTGAATGTTGGCCTGTCTTGCTAGGTTGGGGAAGTTCTCCTGGATAATATACTGAAGTGTGTTTTCCAACTTGGTTCCATTCTCCCCATCATTTTCAGGTATACCAACCAATGGAAGGTTTGTTTTTTTCACATTGTCCCATATTTCTTGGAGGCTTTGTTTGTTCCTTTTCATTATTTTCTCTCTAATTTTGTCTTCATGCCTTATTTCATTAAGTTGATCTTCACTCTATGATATAGTTTGATACCTGTGTATGCTTCATGAAGTTCTCGTGCTGTGTTTTTCAGCTGCATCAGGTCATTTATGTTCCTCTCTATATTGGTTATTCTAGTTATCAGTTCCTGTAACTATTTATCAAGGTTCTTAGCTTCCTTGCATTGGGTTAAAACATGCTTCTTTAGCTCAGAGAAGTTTGTTATTGCCGACCTTCTGAACCCTACTTCTGTCAATTTGTCAAATTCATTCTCTGTCCTGTTTTGTGCCTGTGCTGGAGAGGAGTTGCAACCATTTGGAGGAGAAGAGGCATTCTGGTTTTTGGAATATTCAGCCCTTTTGTGTTGGTTTTTCCTCATCTTCGTGGATTTATCTACCTTTGATCTTTGATGCCGATGGCCTTTGGATGGGGTTTTTGTGTGGGTGTCCTTTTGCTTGCTGCTGATGTTACTGCTTTCTGTTAGTTAGTTTTTCCTCTAAGAGTCAGACCCCTCTTCTGCAGGTCTGATGGAGTTTGCTGGAGGTCCACTCCAGACCCTGTTCACCTGGGTATCACCATCAGAGGCTACAGAACAGCAAAGATTGCTGCCTGCTCCCTCCCCTGGAAGCCTTGTCCCAGTGGGGCACCTGCCTGATTCCAGCCAGAGCTCTCCTGTGTGAGGTGTCTGTTGACCCCTGCTGGGAGGTGTCTCCCAGTCAGGAGGCATATGGGTCAGGGACCCACTTGAGGAGGCACTCTGTTCCTTAGCAGAGCTCAAGTGCTGTGCCTGGAGATCCACTGCTCTCTTCAGAGCTGGCAGGCAGGAACACTTAAGTCTGCTGAAGCTGCACCCACAGCCACCCCTTTCCCCAGGTGCTCTGTCCCAGTGAGATGGGAGTTTTATCTATACGCCTCTAATTGGGGCTGCTTCCTTTCTTTCAGAGATGCCCTGCCCAGTGAGAAGGAATCTAGAGAGGCAGTCACTTTGCTGCACTGTGGTGAGCTCTTCCCAGTCCAAACTTCCTAGCTTCTTTAACACTGTGAGGGGAAAACCACCTACTGAAGCCTCAGTAATGGTGGATGCTCCTCCCCCCAACCAAGCTCAATCGTCCCAGGCCTACTTTAGACTACTGTGCTGGCAGCGAGAATTTCAAGCCAGTGGTTCTTAATTTGCTGGGCTCTCTGGGAGTGGGACCCACTGAGCAAGACCATTTGGCTCCCTGGCTTCAGCCACCTTTCCATGGAAGTGAATGTTTCTGTCTCACTGGGATTCCAGGTGCCACTGGGATATGAAAAAAATCCTCCTGCAGGTAGTTCAGTGTCTGCCCAAACAGCCACCAAGTTTTGTGCTTGAATCCCAGGGCCCTGGTGGTGTAGGCACACAAGGGGATCTCCTGGTCTGTGGCTTGTGAAAACCGTGGGAAAACTGTAGTGTCTGGGTCAGAAAGCACAGTCCTTCATGCCTTCCTTTGGCAGGGGTAGTGAGGCCCCCGGCTGCTTGCAATTCCCAGGTGAGGCGATGTCCCACCCTGTTTCTGCTCACTCTACGTGGGTTGCACCCACTGTCTAACTAGTCCCAATGAGATGAACCAGGTACCTAAGTTAGAAATGCAGAAATCACTCACCTTCTGCATTGGTCTCACTGGCAGCAGCAGACCGGAGCTGTTTCTATTTTGCCACCTTGCCAGATCCTCAATTTTCTACTTCTTCCATAGAAACTAAGTCAACACAAAAATGATCAAGAAACCTCGCTGATTAGAATTTACAGAGATAGAAATTCAAAAGTAAGTCCTGGTGTCAGGGAAAAATATTTCTCAATCCATTCTCAGTGTTCCACAACTCTGTTTTAGCTAGCAACTCTGTAACTAAGTGGACCAAAGTATGACCTGTGTTTGATTCATTATTTGTACTTAATCTAAAGCTCACTATCTGATTTTGATACCCATAAAGGTATGTACCTTTCCCAGATCAGATACATATAGACATAGATTTGAGAATTAATGAAATACTTGAGAATTTGAAATATATATATTTGGAAATTAATTACTTTGATCAAGTTTAAGAAATTTTCCACTTCAGGCTTTTTGAAGCACTAAATCAAAATATTTCCTTCCTCTTGAAATCTTATAGCAATAGATGGATTGTGTTGAGTCGATTGAGATACATACAAACACAGACACACACACGCACACACACACAACTTTCTTCAAAACTAGCTCTTTTCTCAACCCAAGTTGTGACACATCACAAGTTTATGTCTCCCCCTTTACACATCCAGGAATGGGACAGTATCTTACAGAACATGAATGCCTTAAGATCTTATGATATGATAATGATCCCTCAATATTGTACTCCACAGTTCCCTCCAATCAGTTTTCTACTTAGTTTTAGTTATCTTAAATCTTTCTATTTCATTTCTATTTAGTTTCTAAAAACTAAGTAGAAAGATTTAGGCCTCAAAGACCTAAGCTGGCAAATTTCTTAAACTTGGATTCAAGTCACTAATTCTCAAGGTAATCCCAAGGGAACTCCACGATACCTAGTGTTTTTCAAAAATGACAAAATAGTAACAGTAGGAATAGTAGTAATTTAGCCTTGACCTCTTCTCTCCCTAGCTTACCTCAAGAGTCAGGATTGTTTTTAGACTGACCAATGAGAGTGAATCCTCAATTTTGTTTACGTTTTGAACTCATTGCCTCACAAGACATCTTCATATTTGCTATAGAACAAATCTGATGTCCTAAGATAGTTTAGTAGTTTTCAACATGTTAGTGGTTTCAAAGAGTTCAATGGGTTCCCTAGAGGTAACTCGGAAATTATCAAAAGAGATAAGAAAGACCAGTTGGGGATTTCTTTACTTCTCCACTCCAGATTCAACCAGAAGAGTGCATATCTTATCAGTTTTACATATCTAGCTTTAGTTTAAGATTTTTGAAGAAAGCACAGTTTAAGAAAACTCAAACTTTCTGGCTTTAGATAATGGAACTAAGACACATCAAAGGGATCCTTAATTTGTCAGAAGTTGTCAAGTGAAGTTAGGCTTCATAATATTTATCTCTAAAATAAATACATGCAAAAGACACATCTACCTACCTGCTGATTCGGCAAAATGCACCTTAGGGGTAACAAAAGCAAAACAAAATAGTAACTATTTTTAAAGAAGAAACTGCATCCATCTCACCAATAAGACAGAAGGTTAGGCCATTCTATTTTACTATTTTCTTAACAATATAACTGTTACTGCCCCATTTACCTTAATAGAGTTTTATACAGAGTGCGGAGTTCCCAAATTCCTACCAAAAACCAAACAAAATAAAACAAAATGAAAAAAGACCCATGGGTGTTGCAATTTATCATGTCTTTTTCAAAGGAGGATAAAATGGGTCATTTTTATACTATCTGGTCCACAGTGCAAGAAACTTCACTTGTTATCTTGAAATGAAAATGTGTCTCTCTTTTTTTTAACAATCTAATGATATTTTAACACTTTAATCCCTAGAAGTTACTGGGATTAAATATAACAAAAGTTACACTGAGCAGAAAATGGTTATCAAAAAGAATTAATCCTAAGCTGAACACATACTCACTACGTATGTTGAAAAGTTATTTTCAAAAAAAAATGTAATTTAAAAAGACCAAAAAGCAAAATAAGATGAAAACATTTTCAAGATCAATTGAACATAAATGCATGGGTTTATTTTCAGGCTTTCCTTCCTATTCCATTGGTCTCTGTGTCCATTTTTATGCTAGTACCATACTGTTTTGGCTACAATCACTTCATAATATGTTTTAAAAGGGAGTGTGATATCTCCAGCATTGTTCCTTTTGCTCAAGATTGTTTTTAGCCATTCAGGGTCTTCTGAAGTTCCATACAAGTTTAAGATTATCTTTTCTATTGCTATGAAAAATGACACTGGAATTTTCATAGTGATTGCACTGAAACTGCAGATTGCTTTAGGTAGTATGGACATTTTCACAATATTAATTCTTCTAATCCATGACCATAGGACATCTTTTCATCAATTTGTGTTTTCTTCATTTTCTTTTATCAGTGTTTTGTAGTTTTTAGTATACGGATCTTTTATCTCCCTGGTTAGATTTATACCTAAGTATTTAAATTGTATTTGGTTGCAATTATAAATGGTATTGTTTTCTTACTTTCCTTTTTTGATAGATTATTATTGGTGATTACAAATACTAGTGATTCTTGTATGAATGTTGATTTTGTATCCTGCACCTTTACTGAATTCATTTTAATAAAAGAATTCATATATTTTAATTCATTTAAATAAATTAATTAGTTCTAACAGTATTCATTTTATAAATGAATTTAGTTCTAACGGTATTTTGCAGTCTTTAGGATTTTTCCATCTGTAAGATCACGTAGCCATCAAACACAAGACAATTTTACCTTTTCTTTTCCCATTAGGATGACTTTTTTCTTTCTTTTTTTTTTTTTTGGCTATAATCCCAAAAGCATAGGCAACAAAAGCAAAACATAAAAATAAAAGAAAAAGACAAATGGGGTGACTTCAAACCAAAAGTTCCTGCAGAGCAAAGGAAACAATTAACTAAGTGAAGAGACAACCCACAGAATGGGAGAAAATATTTACAAACCATACATCTGGTAAGGGGTTAATATCCAAAATATATAAGTGATATGGTTTGGCTGTGTCTCCACCCAAATCTCATCTTGAATTGTAGTTCCCATAATCACCACATGTGGTGGGAGGGACCCAGTGGGAGATAATTGAATCGTGAGGGCAATTTTCCCCATGCTAGTCTCCCGATAGTAAGTTCTTGTGAGAGCTGATAGTTTGATAAGGGGTTTCCCCATTCACTCAGTTCTCATTCTTCTACCTACTGCTACCATGTGAAGAAAGACCTGTTTGCTTTCCCTTCCACCAAGACTGTAAGTTTCCTGAGGCCTCCCCAGCCATGCTGAACTGTGAGTCAATTAAACCTCTTTCCTTTATAAATTACTCAGTCTTGGGTATGTTTTTATTAGCACCGTGAGAACAAATTAATACAGTAAAAAACTTAAACAACTTAATAGCAAGAAAGCAAATAACCTGATTTAAAAATGAGCAAAGGATCTGAACAAACACTTCTCAAAAGAAAATATACCAATGGCCAACAGAAATTTGAAAGAATGCCCAGCATCACTATTACTAGGGAAATGCAAATTAAAACCACAATGTGATATCACCTCACACTTGTTAGAATGGTTTTTACCAACAAGACAAAAGATAATTGTTGACAGGATGTGGAGAAAAGGGAAACCTTGTACACTGTTGGTGGAAATGTAAATTAGTACAGTCAATATGAAAAATGGCATGAAGATTCCTCAAAAATCTGAAAATAGAACTACCCTATGATCCAATAATCCTACTTCTAGGTATATATCCAAAGGAACTGAAATCAATTAGTTAAAGCAGTATCTGTACTCCTATGTTCATTGCAGTATTATTCACAACAGCAAAGATGTGGAATCGATCTGTCTCCATCAACAAATGAATGGATAAAGAAAATGTGGTATATGTGAATAGATATACACACACACATACTAAATATATACATACTATAGTATGTATATAGTACATATATGTATATGTATATATTATATATATAGTGTGTGTGTATATATAGTCACATATACCACTATATACACACATATATATAGTGTGTGTATATATGTGTGTGTATATATATATACACATATATATAGTGTGTGTATATATGTGTGTGTATATATATATACACATATATATAGTGTGTGTATATATGTGTGTATATATGAAACAATTATAGTTATATATAATATATGTGTACATATATATATAATACAAATCCACACATGTACATACATGTATGTATATGTGAAGGGTACATTTGTAGATGAAATACTATTCAGTCTTTAAAAACAAAGAAATTCCATCATTTGCAACAATGTAGATGAACCTATAGGACATTATGCTCAGTGAAATAAATCAAGCACAGAAAGACAAATGTCATGTGATCTCACTTACATATGGAATCTAAAAAAATTGAACTTGTAGTAGACAGTAGAATGGTGGTTACCAGAGGATGGGTGGAATGGGGGAGAGGAAATGAGGAGATGATCAAAAGGTACAAATTTGCAGATAGGAGATTAGGTCTTGAGATTCATTAAACAATAGGGTGACTATAGTCAATAATAATGTACTATGTATTTCAAAGTAACTAAAAGTGTAAATTTAAAACATCTTAACATTTTAAAAGATAGGTAAGGGAAATGATGGAGAGGTTAATTAGCTTGATTTGATCATTCCACATTTTATACATATATCAAAATATCACATTGAACTCCATAAATATATATAATAATGATTTGTCAATCAGAAATAATAATAAAAATAATTTTTTTTAAGTAACAATATTTTCTTGGATTATTCTACTGAAAATACCCTGGATTCAAAAGAGCTTCTATTTTATATATTCTCCATTTTTCTAATAACCTTTCATAATCTTTCCTATTAACTCAAAGGCTCAGAATCACAACTGTTAAATTGCATTATTATTTAGCTCCCTTATGTTCAAATTGATTATGATCATACAGAACCAGGATTAAGAAATGGTTTGTTATCGAAGCAGTAGCCAAGTCTCTCCAAAAGGAGTCTCGGTACACCTGGAGGTATGAGGACATAATTTTAGCAAACTGAGTTTTCTATAAAAATTTTAAATATATGTTTCATCTCTGAGAGAACCCGAAAATTAAAAGAAGCATATTCTGAATCAATTGGGTGACTTACAGATTACTGGACATTGCAGTGCCTCAGGTTGAATTTGATTTTAGCAATTGATCTACTACCAGGCAATACTTCATTAATTTGTCCAGGCTAACGAGAAAAGAACAAGGAGATTATCACACAGAGGATGCATTTTGTGCTGAATGAAGGCTAATTGACTGCCACAGTGATTTAAAACAGAAAGTGGTGACAGAATTGAGACATCACAAGGCACATGTTAAAAGGGGTGTGCTAACTTAAGATAAAACACAAGAAGAGATTTAATTTCAGAAAACAGCATCATGTATCACACCAAATATATATAATTTATTTGCCTGTTTTGGTTTTGTAGTCTTTGTTTGTATTTAATTTCTAAATTTGTTTGGATTTTATAGATTTACCAGAGATTTATAAATGTAAGGGAATTCTAATTAGTTCTGTTTATATATTTTTAAATAAATTACAGTAAAGTAATTTTTGCTGTCTTTAATAAACCTTTATAAATTTTTCAATGCATAAACAAAATATATTATGAAGATTCATAAACTTTTTTCTTTTAAAGAGATTTATCAATAGGTACACATGGATATAAAGATAAAAATAATATTCACTAGGAACTCCAAAAGGGGAAGAATGGAAGAGAGGTTGAGGGTTGAAAAATTACTTGCTGGTATGATATTCACTATTTGGGTGATGGGTACCCTGGAAGCCCAAACCTTGCCATTGTGCAATATATCCATGTAACAAATCTGCACATGTACCCTCTGAATCTAAAGTAAATGTAGTGATAATAAAGAGGTTTGTGAATTTAATCATGCTTAAGAAACACCATTATAGGTGAATATCTTTTCATAAAGGCCACAATATTTTAATCTTTTTCTTACCACGATGAATATAAGATCCATTTTCTTCCCTAAATCTGATAACACTAAAAATTAAATGATAACATTCATCTATAGCTTCTACAGCTTACTGTATGGTATTGACTTTGTGATGCATCAAAATGGTATATGAAGTCTTGCCTCAATACTTCTTTTGAGGTTCTGTGCAATTATCCTGCACTTCAGAGCCTCAGGATGTGGTGTGAAATATATTGAATGCTTGCTATGTGGTAGTCAGTGGAAATTCAACAGTGGAAAGATGTAAACACTCTACTGTTAAAAACAACATCTAAGCAGAAAATGTATGAGAATCTGGTGTGGGATGCTGTAAACTGAGTAACCAGAAGTGTTATGCTGGGTAATCACAGGAAGCACAGGTACAAGTAGCTCCTACTCAAACATAATAGATCACAGAGGACTTCTCATAGAAGATGGCATCTAAGTATATATACGAAGAATATATGTAAGAGTTAGCCAGGCAAAGGGAGTTTGAATTGAATATGCACATTTAAAAGGACTCTTAAAGAAAAAGTGATCTTCACAGAGGTCTAATATGAATCGATTATATACTTCCTAAATACCAGTATGAAAATTAGTACTTTTCTTAAGTTCTGGAAATATTTTTGGCTATTATCATTTCAAATACCACGCCACCTTTTTGTATTCTACTACTCCTTTTGTAGTTTCTACTTGATATTTGTCAGATGTTCTCATTCTGTCTTCCTTATCTCATAACTTCACGTTCATGTTTTATATCATTCTATAGATTTGTGTGACGTTGTGTGTAATTTCCATAGTACCTTATCTCAACACACTAGTTCTGTCTTTAGCTATGGCTAATTTGCTATTTAATTTGTCCACCATATACAGAGTCTTTTAAAATTTCAATACGATTTCTTATTGCTGGGCTGATCTGGTTCTTTGACAAATATGCCTTTTGTTAAAATGTACAACTTTCATATGGTTTTATGATTATTTATATTTTAAAATAACTCTAAACTTAATTATTTGTCACCTCTACAAGGTTTATCTAACACCTTAGATTACTGGGATAAAGGATGAATAATTCTTTGGTCTACTATATATCCCATGTCTCTCTCATATTGGGATATTTTTCTATATTTTGTTTGTAATTTTTCAGTTTGGATCTCATTTTAGGGTAGTCTATTTTTGTGAAAGTCCTATATACTCCGGATTGTAATAACTATTCCTACAGAGAGGTGTGGTGTTTTTTTGGTCAGTGTGAAATCCCACAACTCCAATTATACTGAAATCTTAAGGTCTCCATGGAAATACAAAAAAATATAAAAGATCATCTACAAAAGAAAGAGAAAGGTACAGGCATTATGCTCTTCTCATTCCAACACTATATGATGCAAGACAATGGAGCAATGTCTTTAATGTTCTGAGAGAAAATTAGTTTGAATATAAACTTCCACATGTAAAACAAAATAAAAATATGTAAACACTCAAAGTTTACTATCAGTTTCACCCTTTTGAAGAATTTTCTTGAAAATTGATTCACACCAGGCATGGTGGCTCATGCCTGTAATCCCAGCACTTTGGGAGGCTGAGGCAGGTGGCTCAGAAGGTCAAGAGATTGAGACCATCCTGGCCAACAAGGTGAAACCCCATCTCCACCAAAAATGCAAAAATTGGCCGGGCATGGTGGCGGGCACCTGTAGTCCCAGCTACTCAGGAGGCTGAGGCAGGAGCATTGCTTGAACCCCGGAGGCAGAGGTTGCAGATCGTGCCACTACACTCACCTGGCGACAGAGCGAGACTCCGTCTCAAAAAAAAAAAAAAAAAAGAGAGAAAGAGAAAAAGGAAAAAAGAAAATAAAATAAAATAGATTCCCATAAAAGTATATGCAAGGAAGAAGAAAACATGTAGGATACAAGAAACAATGGCATTAAACCAAGACTTCCCATGGAAAAAAAGTATATTTATAAGAATAAGAGTTTAGCAGCAATCCTGGAACAGTATCCAAATTAGAACAGAAATACAATAGGCTCCAAGGAAGTCTTCAAGCAACAGGATACGGATATGTTGTGGTCTAGTAATAGTTGTCATTAATAAAGAGATGCATATATTCTTGGTATCGTGAAGAAAGCATATATTTCCAGTCAGCAAGGAAAAAAAATATGAAATGCCAAAATCAGAAATGAATGTAGTAAGGCAAAACAAAAAAGAAGGAAAGCATTCAGAAGTTATGGAGTAACCAAAGCAAGAAAGGATGATGGCCTGAACTAAGAGAGTGGCCTATATGGAGAAAACTCAAGACAATAATGAGATAGCATCAATAGTTCTGTTATGGGAAAGGGGTCCCAGTCGAGCCCCAAGAGAGAGTTCCTGGATCTCACCCAGGAAAGAATTCAGGGTGAGTCCACACTGCAAAGTAAAAGCAAGTTTATTAAGAAAATAAAGTGGTGAAAGGACGGCTACTTCACAGACAGAGAAGGACATTCCTGAAAGTAAGAACGCATCTGCCCTAGGTACAATGCATATATATATGTATATGTATGTATATATGTATATATATATATACAATGCATATATATGCATTGGATATGTATATGTATATATACATGATAAAAATAGATCTTAGGGAGATGTGCTCTGCTACAAGGGTTTGTGATAAAGAATTAATTTCCTTAATTACTATATTTTGCAAGAATCGATATCATGATCTTTAAAGTAAAATTAGGAATGCCCTTGTTCTCCAGATATCAGGATATCTGGACTCACCCAAGTCTGGGTCTGTTTCAGTAAGCATCATTAATTTGTTTCCTTAACCATAAACATCTAGAGGCTAGGAATGCCTAATTTTCTGGAATGCGGCCCGGCAGGTCTCAGCCTTGTTTTCCTAGCCCTCACTCAAAGTGGAGTTGCTCTGGTTTGAACACCTCTGACAGTTCCTAGTGACTGAATGTAGGGATATGGAGGAGTGACAGAAGAGGAATCAAGGATGATGCCAAGTTTCTGATTTTAACAACTAGAAATGACTATTTCATTCATTAAAGAGTATAAAAAGAGTGACATATTTGAAGGAGAAAATATTAAGCTGAGATTTGTGGGTATATCAGTGGTTATTGGCCCTCTTAGCAGCCATGGTAAGCACCTTATTTTGCCCCTATAATTCATTGTTCAAATCACAAAAAAATAACAGTGCACAAAATAAATCTTGGAGGTGGAGAGTAGAAAAGAATGGTCAAGCCTCTGTATTTCATTCCAAAAAGGAGAATAAGATGGTATATGTGTTAGTGCGTTTTCTCTATGATCAGAGCTAAAATACATATTATTTCCTCTTGTGTCCTGGCTACAGCAAATAAATTGGTGTTCAACAATATGTATTGTAAAATTAAAATAAAAATTATTATAATAAATAAAATGTATCACAGAATTAAGTGTTGTTCAAATATAACAATTATCATTTTCATACCTTGCTCCTATGACAGTCTACTTTTCTATTTAAATTTTATAAACCCAATACTATTTTTATAAAAAACTGGGCATGTATAGAGAAGTTTAAATTTTGAGTAGCAAAGGAGAGTACAAAAATACAATCAATTGCTGTAATATTCAAATGTTTTATTCACCTAGAAATGTGCCTGGTTCTTTCTAACCCAACAATTCACATCTGGCCAAAGAAAGTATCTCTTCCTTCATGTCCTTGGTTTGTTCTAATGAAACTGCCACTCAAATGTACATACAGTCATGAAAAGCCAGGGACGGAGGAGAAAATTAAGACCCTTTTCCTTACGAAATGAGCTCTTTGATTCTCATCAAATCCTGATAGGATTTTTGACCGGTAGCAAAACTGCGTGTACAAACATAGTTATTGCCAACTATACAGGGAGCACCCTACAGACAGTTCTTTTTCTTACGTCTAGTTATAAAAGTAACATGCCTGAGAACTGACATGTAAAGGGAGTGCTGGTTTCCTTCTACATGCATATGAGGGCATTGGTGGGTATCTTTCCTACTTGGAAGAAGAAAGTTCAGCTCAACAATATTTTATTTTTATAGACCACTTTATTTTTAACCTGCAGCATTCAATTGTGAAAGAAAATTAAATTTGGGGACCCCAAACTCATTTAACCAAAGGGAAATGTCAAGCTGGGAACTGGGTCACTCAAACCTGCTTCCCCCTTTTGGTTCCTAAATGAGATGGCTACAAGACGAAAAGCTACAAGCCTCCCCCATATTTTCCCCACAAGGAAATTCCTAGTGAGCTGTTAAAACTTCACCATGGCAATGCAAATTGATAGCTTATCTTTACAGGTGCAGTCACCCCAGCCCACCAGACACAAATGCACATCTGATTGTTCCCCTACTCCATTTTGTCTGTGTTATCTTATGTAAAATGCAGATTTCCACATTTTCCCTCTGACCCTTTTGTTTGTGTCATCTTATGTAAAAAATGCGATTCTCTGAGCCAGACAAAGGCATGAATGACTACTTTTCCCTAAGCCCCCTCTTACATGAAAACTGTGTACTTCTCAATATCCTGCCCTTTCCCCTTTAAATTTGGAGCCCTCAAAATCATCTTCAGAGAAAGGCATAGACCTGTCTTCCTGAGCGAGCCCATAACTTTGGCAAATAAATTTCCTACAATGATTGAGACTTGTCATTTTACTCAATTGACACAATATATCTACTCAAACAGTATCACATATATGTCTGTAGCAGGTCAGAGAGCACAGTTCTGAATCCTGACTTTTCTACTTGCTGGCTGTGAAACCCAACGCAAACTAACTTGAGCCTTTTGAGCATAAGGTTCCTAATCCATAAAATATAAGGTAACAATCACAACTTTCCTTGCAGAAACTGAATTAACCCTCAAACTCAACTCTTATTCTACAATCAGGGCCAGTTAGGATAATGAATGTAAACTCAATTTTTTTTTTTTGTCTTTTGTCTTTACCTGGGAATGTCTGATGCATTTATCTATTCATTTGTAAATCACGCTCTGTTGCCCTTTCTTATCCCAAGCTGCCTCTATGAAAAGTATATTTTTACTAAAATTAAATTTTTTCTTTCCTTAATGGACTTTAGCTTTGAAGTTAAAGGATTTTTTTTTATTTTTTATTTTTTATTTTTTATTTTTTTTTTGAGACAGAGTCTCGCTCTGTCGCCCAGGCTGGAGTGCAGTGGCGCGATCTTGGCTCACTGCAAGCTCTGCCTCCCGGGTTCAGGCCATTCTCCTGCCTCAGCCTCCCGAGTAGCTGGGACTACAGGCGCCCGCCACCGCACCCAGCTAATTTTTTGTATTTTTAGTAGAGACCGGGTTTCACCGTGTTAACCAGGACGGTCTCGATCTCCTGACCTCCTGATCTGCCCGCCTCGGCCTCCTGAAGCTAAAGGATTTTAAATGAACTTCCCCAAATCATGTGTAGATTTATATTCTTGTAGCTTCACTTCCAGAATGAGCTTTGGAATGTTTATGTGAGAGAAGTCTAATATTTTAGATTTGGCTTGTCAGTGTTTAATGTCTGTTATAAAGTGTAACTATAAAGTAATAAAATAATCTTGTTTTGCTTGCACACTGGCTCTAAATTCCATTCAAAAAGAGCATCAAGGGCATTTTGAGCAATTAAATACCTGCTGAAGTGTACAGGAGTCCATGATTAGAATTCTATACAACACTTTAGGGTATATCAGTGTGGCCATATATGCATGTGTGTGTGTGTGTGTGTGTGTGTGTGTGTGTGTTTATAAAGCCTCAGTACTTAATAATAGAAGAAATTCACATTTGCATGACAGTTTAAAAAAAGCTTTTACATATAAATATATGTATACATATATGTAGCTCCTCACAGCAATACTGTACAGTTTATCACAAGTAAAATTCGAAATAGAAGTTCAGAAAATCAGGTTTTTCAAAAAATAGAGTTTATGGAGAAGCCAGGACCTGACTGCAGGCACTGTGACTCCAAATCCAAGGCTATTTCCATCTAATATAATTGTAAATTGCTTCAGACACAGGTTATTTCTAACTACAAATATTTTTACTATTACTTCGATTTTACAGTTAAGAAACTATGGTTCAAATAAGCTAAACTACTTGCTAAAGTCACACTCTTACTTTATAAGGAGAAGCTAGATAGAACCTCAGACTTTAAAAATTTAATTATAGATCTTAATTTCTGCGAGATAGATACAAAGGTATTTTTTGGTAGTTCTAAAGAAAGATATCTTCATTTATATTATTACCCTCAAATAGTTCAAGAGATATAGTAAATCACTTGGTATTCACATTCAATACAGCCACAGACTATATCTCAAAATTCCAAATACCTATAAAATTGCCAACAAATTGGTCATTTTTGTTATGGCTTCACTTTAATTTTATGAGCTGAATTGAGATGATCAAAAATCAAAATATACTGGAAACAAAAATCTCTGAATGGAAGGAAGGAAGGAAGGAAGGAAGGAGGGAAGGAAGGAAGGAAAGGAAAGGAATCAGCACAAACCCTAAACAAAGGGAGACCTCTATTTTTCTCTAACTGAAACTCTATACCCTAGTGTGGATTTATTACCACATTAAGGGCTTTTAAAAGTCAGCAGCAAGATGTAATTTACTGCTAAGGTTGTTGGTTGTATGCAAATTCAAGTCCAGGAGCATACGCATAAATTATTTCTTGAAGTTTGCCCCGTGTTTCTTGATGAAAGAAGCACACATAACTTGAAAGAGCTATTCCTCACTCTTTGGATCTGTTTTTAATCACCTATATTTTTAGCACTTAGTGCCTTTTCCTACAGTATTTCAGTTTCTAACTAAACATGATAATCCTTAAAATCAGAGAAAGCTATCTATTCCTTTCATACCCAGGAGCTATATTTTATTATCTCCAGAGTTCTTATGCCTTTGTCTACAACATGGACAAATTTATTCTAAAATTTAGTAGTAAGAAAAAAAATGGTACAAAGGCCTACATTCCATATTTCCTTTCCTTTTTTTCTCTTGTCCAAACAATGAATATCTTACTTAGTCATGCAAATTACAGAATACTAATAGGCCATGTGCATACACAACAATTGGGATATTCACACATACCACTAACATACCCCAGTCAGGGAGTAAAACAAATATGAAGATGGATAAAATTAAAATTCAGTTTAAATAAGCCACATGGTAGGTAGCAAGCACCTGATTTGGAATCAGAATATGAGAACTCAAGTTCTGGCTTTGATTCTTGCTTCCCATGTTTTCTCTTAGCCCCCCATCCCTTGCCTGTAAATGAAGAGATTTGTCTAGTACCAAAAGCCCCTGGGATTCCAGTTCAAGGTGGCTGACTAGAGACATCAGACACTTGCCCTTTCCAGAAAGAAGACCCAAAATTGCCATTAGTTTATCGTATCTTGAAGAGAGCATCTTAGTGAGAACACTAGAATCCAACAGAGAAGTATGAGAAACACCTGAGGCACAGAATGAGGAGGAAGCCAGCAGCCAGCTCAGCCAAGATTTGCTGGGAGCCCAGATGGGGTCTGTATTATGGGAAAGGAGTAAGTGAGGGAACTTCATTGGTCCACATGCCCACCACAGACTGCTGCAATCCAAACCATGAGAGAGCTCTTCTACCTACATGAACCCTGACACTAGCTAGCATAGGCACTCATTTGGAGACCCCAAATCAGGAGAGCATTGCACCAAACAGGAAACTTGAGCTGCTCACTCACATCCTTATGACCTAAGCAGCTGCAGCAGGTGCCACTGTGAGAGCACAGAGATTATTATGAACAATTACATGCTAACAAACTGGAAGACCTAGAGGCAATGGTTACATTCCTGGAAACATACAACTTACCAATATTGAATCACAAAGAACTAGAAAACCTGAACAGACCAACAATGGGTAGCAAGATTGAATCAGTAATAAAAGTCTCCCAACAAAGGAAAGCCCAGGACCAGATGGATTCACTGTGCAATTCTACCAAACATACAGAGAAAAACTAATACCAATCCTACTCAAACTATTCCAAAAAACTGAATAGAAGGGACTTGTCCCTAACTCATTCTACATCCAGCATTACCCTGATACCAAAATTAGATAAGGACACAAGAAATAAAGAAAACCTCAGCCAATATCCCTGATGAACATAGGTACAAAGGATCTAGCAAACCAAATCCAAACCACATCAAAAAGACAATACACCATGAACAAGTAGAACTTGTACTAGAGATGCAAGGATGATTCAACATACACAAATCAATAAGCATGATACATCACATCAACAGAATGAAGGACAAAAACCATATGATCATCTTAATAGATAGAGAAAAAGCATTTGACAAAATTCAACACTGCCTTATGATAAAACCCTTCAACAAACTAGGCAAAGAAGGACCACACTTCAAACTATAAAGACCATATATGACAAACCAACAGCTAACATCATACTAAATGGTGAAAAGTTGAAAGTCTTTTATCTAAGAACTGGAACAAGACAAGGATGCCCACTTTCACTTCTCCTATTCAGCATAGTACTGGAAGCCCTGGCCAGAACTAACAGGCAAAAAAGAAAGGAAAGCAAGGAAGCAAGGAAGGAAGGAGGGAAGGAAGGAAGGAAGGAAGGAAGGAAGGAAGGAAAGGAGGAAGGAAGGAGGGAAGGAAGGAAGGAAGGAAGGAAGGAAGGAAGGAAAGGAGGAAGGAAGGAAGGAAGGAAGGAAGGAAGGAAGGAAAGGAGGAAGGAAGGAAGGAAGGAAGGCAGGCAGACAAGGAAGGAAGGGAGGCAAGGAAGGAAAACAAGGAAGGAAGGAAGGAAGGAAGGCAGGCAGACAAGGAAGGAAGGGAGGCAAGGAAGGAAAACAAGGAAGGAAGGAAGGAAGACAAGGAAGGAACGAAGGCAAGGAAGGAAAACAAGGAAGGAAGACAAGGAAGGAAGGAAGGGAGGGAAGAAGGGAGGGAGGAAGGGAGGGAGGGAAGAAGGAAGGAAGGGAGAGAAGAAAGGAAAGAAGGGAGGGAGGAAGGAAGTAAAGGAAGGAAGGAAGGGAGAGAAGGAAGGAAGGAACAAAGGAAGGAAGGAAGGGAGAGAAGGAAGGAAGGAACGAAGGAAGGCAGGAAGGAAAGAAAATGTATTCAAATTGAAAACAGGAAGTCAAATTGTCACTCTTTGCAGATGTCATAATCTTGTATCTAGGAAAACCAAAGGATCCCACCAGAAAACTCTTACAACTGATGAACAAATTCAGTAAATTAACAGGATACAAATTTAATACATAAAAATCAGTAAACTTTTGTATGCCAATAATGAAATAACTGAAAAAGAAAGCAATCACATTACAATAGCTACAAAAAATAAAATAAAATACCTAGGAATACATTTAACCATGGTGGTGGAATATCTCTAAAGGGAAAATTACAGAATACTGATGAAAAAACTGAAGAGGACAAATGAAAAGACATCCCATGCTCATGGATCAGGAGAATATCATTAAAATGACCATATTACCCAAAGCAATCTACAAATGTAATACAATCTCTATAAAAGTATCGACATCATTTTTCATACAAATAGAAAAAAAAAACCTGAAATGTATATGGAACAAAAAAATAGCCTGAATAGCTGAAGCAATCCTTAGCAAAAAGGGACTATATTAAACTATAAAGCTCTGCACAGCAAAAGAAACAAACAGAATGAAGAGACAATGTCTTGAATGGGAAAAGATATTTGCAAAGTACTCATCTGACAAGAGACTAATATCCAGAATATACAATGAACTCAAACATCTTAACAGTGAAAAAAAAAAAAGAAAAGAAAAAAATCCCATTAAAAATAGGCAAAGGACGTGAATAGACATTTCGCAAAAGAAGACATACAGATGGCCAACAAGTAAATTTTCAAAATGTTTAAGTCATGAATGTTTAAGTCATCACGGAAATGCAAGTCAAAACCACAATGAGATATTATCTCACCCCAGTTGGAATAACTATTATTAAAAAAACAAAAAATAACAAGTGAGGATAAGGAGGAAAGGAAGGGGAACTCTTATACACTGTTTGTGTAAATGTAAATTAGTACAATCACTATGGAAAACAGTATAGAGATTTTTCAGGAAACTAAAATTAGAGCTACCATAAGATCTAGCAATCCCCCTACTGTGTTATCTACCCAAACAAAAATAATCAGTATATCTAAAAGATACCTTTCATCCCTGACAGGTCTGATAAAACATTTTTTAAAAAAACCTAAAAAATTAAAAGAATAAAAAAAAAGGATACCCACACTCATATGTTTATGGCAGCACTATTCACAATAACTAAGAGATAGAATCAACTTTAGTGCCCATCAACAGATAAATGGCAAAGAGAGTGTGGTATACATACACAATGAAACACTATTTGGCCATAAATTAGGAATCAAATCATGTCATTTCCAGCAACATGAGTGGAACTGGAAGTCATTAAATGAAATAAACAAGGCACAGAAAGACAAATATTGCATGTTCTCACTCATTTATGAGATAAAATCCTTGATCCTGTAGACCCAATCCATATCAGAGACTGGGTAGGGGGTTAGTTGGGAATGGAGAGAGGTTGGTTATGGATACAAACATACAGTTAGTTAGAATAAATAAGTTCTAATGTTTGATTGAAGACTAGAGTGAATATACTTAGCTACAGTATTATGTATATTTCAAGGTAACCAGAAGAAATGAAACGTTACCAACACATAAACACGATAAACACTCAAGTTGATGAATACCCCAAATACCCTGACTTGATCATTACTTAGTCTATGCATGTAACAAACACTTGCATGCACCCCATAAATATGTAAATTAGTATACATTTATAAAAGGGAAAAATAATTTATCTGCCTTACTACCTACCCCTCTTTTTCCATTGTTTTCTTCTACTGATACATTATACATACAATGGCTAAAAAATTATATATGTCATGTTTTCTCTTAAAACCTACAGTAACACTGTATACTTTTGCCATAATATAATGGAAAAAAATAAGAGAAATAAATCTGATTAGCCAAAAAAAAAGGGGGGGAGCCCTTATGCTACTAATGAGCTAACAGTCTATTTTCCTTGGTTGAATACTGTGTGTTTCTCTTATTTTGCTGGTTTTTGAAACATGAGCCACCACCACCATTTCCTTTGCTCATTGCTAACTATATTTAAGTTAATAGGGTTACAAACATAATGCCTGGTTATAGTTATATTTTTATTTTGGCTTTCCTTACAAAGCTATTGTTTTCCCTTTATCTTTTACTTTCTTTAGGATTTGAAAAGCTGTTAATCTCATATTCTTTTGTCACATTCTATTATAGTTTATTACATCTGACATTACATTCTATTAAACATTCTGGAAGGTACTATTTGTAAACTAGTTTGTAAATGGAGCTTTTCTTCTGTAGATTACAGTAAATCTGAGACGTGAAAAAGGTAGAATCAGGATATATGTTACAATGAATAGGAAAAATCTAGGACTGAATCTATAAATTCATTTTCTTTTTCAAGGAAGAGAGAAATGTGAGATGAAACAAAGAAGAGATCCTCAATGAATAATTAAATTAGCAATGAGTAGAAATTGAAACCACCTTGACTGGACTCTACTTGACAAATATACTTAGTTCATTCCAAATATAGACTGATTTTTTTTCACAAATCACTGCAGTAAGCAGTAATTTCTCCTCCTGTTGCTAAGATACCTTTATGTTACCTGAAGGCAAGCACTTACTTTCTGATTGAGGATATCAAAGGGTTTTATAGAAACTGTTGCTACAAAGAAGATAACTTTGAAAAGAGCTGCATAACCACATATGGGCTAATCTTTATGCACAAAGAACATTATGTCACATGGGAGATCATCAGTGATCATCAAGGCATGTTAAACACCAAGATAATGACTTAAAGGCTTGAAGTAACTTGCCTGGGGCTTTTCCAAACCTAAAGGACAAGTTACTGACTCCCTTGCTTGGCCTTTAATTTTTGACAATTTATTTCTGCTTCAGAGACTGCTTTGTACTTAACAAGTCGAGGATAAAAAGAACAATTCATGAGTCAATCAGATTGTAAGTAATCTGCACAGGAGAAATGAGCAAGACAAATTTGCTTTTAATTTTGGCCCATGCCAAAATTCTAACAGAATAAAATTTATAAATGTGTTTCAAAGACCTTAGCAATATGTCATGACGGTGATAGTTCCATAAGACAAAGAACTCACGTATTCATAGAGTTCCTGTCATTGAAATCAGCCTTTTCTTAGATTGCCAGAACAATTTGACATTCTGACTTGCATGAATTGAATCATCTACTCTGTCAAGTAAGAATAAAAATTAACTGATTCACTTACAACAAAATTCAACTAATACATATATGGGTGAAAGCTTTTGTTAGTGGAGCAGGCATGCAGCGAACTCATAAATAAGATGTAGAGAGTCATTTATTTTTCCTATTTGAAGCTTGTAACTTCAAATCATTGCAACAGTATTTGGAATGACTTCTGTTTAAAGAGAAGTATAGTACTTTAAAACAGACAAAACTGCATACTATAATAAAAGCAAAATGGTTTTTGCATATAATGCTCACCAAGCTAAGAGCAGACATGGATAAATCACATGATCTAAACATGTACTTGGGAGGAGGTTTCCCAAAGGAATGAAGAGTGGTCATGACATAAACTGTAAAGAAAATGAGCACAGGAGAAGATGTATCTTGACTACTTTGGACAGAAATAAAAGATGCATTGATGTAAACATTATGGGTCATAACTCAGTCACTCTGGCAAGGGTGACTTATCTCTGTGTCATGTAGGCCCCACATTCTGTAGTCACACTGAAAATGGCAACAGAGAAAAGCCCTGTACCATTTCAAAGAGAATATGTATCACGTTTATTGAAACTAAAATAGTCCAGTAATATTTACAAAACAATTACTTAAAAATAATCGGCCAGGCGCAGTGGCTCACGCCTGTAATCCCAGCACTTCGGGAGGCCGAGGCAGGCAGATCACAAGGTCAGGAGATCGATACCATCCTGGCTAACACGGTGAAACCCCGTCTCTACTAAAAATACAAAAAATTAGCCAGGCGTGCTGGCGGGTGCCTGTAGTCCCACATACTCGGGAGGCTGAGGCAGGAGAATGGCATGAACCCGGGAGGCAGAGCTTGCAGTGAGCTGAGATGGCGCCACTGCACTCCAGCCTGGGCGACAGGGCAAGACTCCGTCTCAAAAAAAAAAAAAAAAAAAAAAAAAAAAAAATATATATATATATATATATATACTTATTTGTTTTAACATATGATACTAGAAAAAGTGGACATCTGAAAATAAGCAAAAAAGTAACAAATATATAGACTTTTTTTTTTTTTGAGACAAAGTCTCGCTCTGTCGTCCAGGCTGGAGTGCAGTGACGCAATCTTGGCTCACTGCAAGCTCTGCCTCCCAGGTTCAGGCCATTCTCCTGCCTCAGCCTCCCAAGTAGCTGGGACTACAGGTGCCTGCCACCACACCTGGCTACTTTTTTTGTATTTTTAGTAGAGACGGGGTTTCACTATGTTAGCCAGGATGGTCTCCATCTCCTGACTTTGTGATCTGCCCGCCTTGGGCTCCCAAAGTGCTGGGGAATACAGGCGTGAGCCACCACGCCCGGCCAATATATAGACTTAAATGTAAAATATATAAACCATGAATCTTTTCCAAAATATATAAAAGAAAAACTTCAGGATGTAGCTCTAGGCAAAGTGTTCTTCGTTTTGACACCAAAAGCACAATCTATAAAAGAAAACATTGATAAATTGGATCTCACCAAAATTAAAAACTTCTGCTCTGTGAACATGAAATAATGAAACGACAAGCTGGAGTCACAGAGAAAATATTTGCAAACCACATATCTGGCAAAGGACTAGTATTTATAATATATCTTAAAGCTCTCAAAATTCAACAGTAAGAAAAGAATCCAATTAGAATGTTGGAAAAAGATGTGATAGACATTTCACTAAATATGATATACAGGAGGCAAATATGCACATTAAAAATTGTTCCATGTCATCAACCATTAGGAAAGTGTAAATTAAAACCACAGTAAGATATTTCTATATACTTATCAGAACAACTAAAAAAAAAGTGATGACAACACCAAATACTATCGAGGATCCTAAGAAACTGAATCACTCACATATTGCTGGTAGAAACATAAAATGGTTCTGCCACTCAGGAAAAAAAGTTTATGTAATGGTCAATTTTAGGTGTCAACTTGACTGGATTAAGGGATACCTAGATAGCTGGTAAAGCATTATTTCTGGGTAAAGTCTGTGAGTGTGTTTCTAGAGAAAACTGCTATATGAGTCAGTGGACTGAATAGAAAAGATCCGCCGTTAATGTGGGCAGGCAGCATCCAATCAGTTTGGGTCCCACAGAGTACAAACAACAGGAAAAACATGAATTTGCTCTCTTTCTCTTGAAGCTGGGACAACTTTCTTCTCCTGCCCTTTGACATCGAAAATCTAGATCTAAGTTTTCTGGCCTCTGGACTCCAGGACTTGTGCCAACACCACTCCCTCCAGTTTTCAGGTTTTCAACCTTAGACCAAGAGTTATGGCATCAGCTTCTGACTGAGTGGTTAAGTTAACCACTGAAGAAGCCAATGCCCTTATGCAAATGCTGGAATGTAACAAAAGCCCACGGAGAGTTTTGCCCAGGCCCTTCCTAGGTCTTGAAGCATGACAAGATAATGAAGGAATTCTTAACCGGACCCATTTAGGATTAAACAAGTTTTATTGGGGGTCTGAAGAAACTCTCCAGACCTCCACAAACAAGTTTATTGGGGTCTGAAGGAACTCCCCAAACCTCCAGGATTTAGCAAGAGACAAGATAAGGGTAATCACCCCAGCACCTAGACCCATTTAGATTAAGTAAATTTACTGAGGCTCCAGAGGAACATCTTCAGGACTCAGATCTTAGTTACAGATTAGAAGTTAACCACTTATGTCTTTTGATGAATGCACACCTACACGTAAACATATAGCATAGAGGGTACATAAGCTCTGAAAAACTTTGCAATTTTGAGTTGGTCTGGCAATATTTTCCAAGCCTTCTCCCTATACCCAGATACAGAAATAAACTCCCTTCTTTCCCAGTTCATCTGCATCTTGTTATTGGGCCACGAGAATAAGCAGCACAGTCCTCGGTTTGTCCGGGAAGACCCTGATTAATACAATTTCAAAGTTTCTTATAATATTCAACATTAAATTACTATGTAAGCTAAAGGAAATTTGTTTCATACAACAAGCTAAAGTGTTGAAAGTAGCTTTATTTGTAATAGCCAAAAACTGTAAATAACGCAGATGTCCTTCAACAGGTAAATACTTAAACTGTGGTACATTCACACCATGCAATACTAAATCACAATAAAAGTGAATAAATTATGGAATTGTTGATAAACTCATCAACATGAATGACTCTCCAGTGAAAAAGGTCAATTACAAAAGTGTACATACTATATAATTACACTTATATAAAAAATTTTTTTTAATGACACAACTTTAGAAATAGAGGGAAGATTAGTGGTTGCCCGGGGATAGGAATGAGGGAAGAATAAGAGGGAGATGAATGTGTTTATAAAAGGTTAACATGCAGAATTTTTGTGGTGTGAGAATTGTTCAGTATCTTGACTGTGGTGGCAAATATATGAACTTAGATAATAAAATCATATAGAATATAAAACACACACCCAAGCACATGAGTACAAAAAAAAACCTGAGGAAATCTGAGTAAGACTGGTGGATTGTATAAACGTCAGTGTACTTATTGTAATATTATACTATAATTTTGCAAAATGTTACCATTGGGAAAAACTGGGCTAAGTGCACAAATGATTTCTCAGTACTATCACTTTAAACTGCATGTGAATCTACAATTGTCTCAATACAAACTAAAATTTCAATCATAAAAATGTAAAAGAGATCAAGAACATGTGATCTAGAGTCAGCTCACTGGAGACAAATCATGGTTTTACTAGTCATGTTATCTTGTCTTTTAATTTCTCTGATAGTAAGTAGGTCAGTAATAAAATTGTCAACCTCCTAAGACTGCTGTTAGAATTAAATGAGATAATTCACATAAACAGCTTAACATATTAAATGGTGGCTAGTAAGCAATAAATAAAAAATTCTAATGCTTACTATGATTATTTTGTCATTAAAATATTATTACTACATAAAGCATCCTGTGAGGTGGAAAGATAAAAACAACCTGATCTTAAAATCAAACTTTGGGTCAAGTCTGCTTACCATCTGATTGCAGATCTCTTTTGGGGTACGACATTACCAAATATTAAGGGTCTTGTTGAACAGTATTTATGCCTGCTTGTTCACATAATGTCTTTTTTCCTCCTGTGTCAGAATCAGCCTCTATGGAGACATTTTTTTAAATTTTATAGCCAATTGACCATAGCAAATCAACAGCCACTCCCAACCCAAGTCCCCTATAGCCACTAATTATCCTTCACTTTAAATGATCAATGTCAGCCCTTCTGCTTTCCACAACTGCAATATTTAATAAGAATAAGGAGTAAATCACTGTATGTATTTCATACTTATTTACTTCTGCCACAGATTCATCTATTTTATTCAGAATTTAATTTCAACAGCTTTTTTTTATCATATATAGTTCTATATGTATTTAAGTCATATTTCATCTATTTGATTCCCTAGAAAGTGTCATTTTAGAAAGATTTCTTGATAAATTAAATTTTCCAAAAAACTCATTTCTTCTTCATGATCTCATTTCTATGTCATCAAGATCTCTGAGGATAATGAGATATAAAGAAATAATATTCAACAGCTATAGGAAATAAAATATGATATTGGACTTAATTAAGTATTATATTTGGTATTCAGTGAGGGAGTACATTTTTCATTGCCAAGGAGAGAAAGGAAAAACAATTCAATGTTGCTGCTGTTCACCAATATTTAAAGCTGATGATATAAGTGGGAAAGTGATAGCTATGACTATGAGCACCTCAGAAAAAGCCAATTACTGCAACACACCAGCCTCTCAAGTGTATAGACAATAAAGGGCTCAGTTTCAAATATGAGAAACATTTCTTATGGCCACAATATTATATAAATGTACTGACATCTTTGGGGAAAAAACAGCAGAGAAAAACCAGACAGATTTGGAATTTACTCAAAAAAGACATAATTCTAAAACAGAATGTTTCAAAGTGAATTTTAAAATCAGCAGAAAAGGTATCCTAACTGAAAACTTTAAGATATTTCTTTCGGTTGTCTCTACTCTCATTCATTTTATTTAGTCCAAGTACATTATTAAATGTCACAGTTTAAATAAGCCTTGAGAAAGGAAATGGAGTTTCTCAAGGCTGGGAAGTCCCAGGTTAGGCTGCCAGCATGGTCAAATTCTTGGTGAGGGCTTTCTTCCTGGTTTACAGATGGTTGTCTTCTCACTATATTCTCACATGGTGGAGAGCAGAGAGGAAACAAGCTCTCAAGTCTTTTCTTATAAGGACACAATTTGATTATGACAGCTCCATCCTCAAGGCTTAATAACCTCCCAAAGGCCCCATCTAACAAATGGTTGAATAATACCTCATACAAACAATTAAATTAAGGAAGTTACATTTTCTTTGCTAATACTTACTCATCTAAATTTAGTGTACAAAATTAGACTTTAATGCCAAAGGAAATGAAGCATTTTCAAAAGTTCAACTATAAAAATACAAAAAACATCTAATTGCAGTGGCAATATACTGAAACTCAGACATAAAAAAATGTGGTTTTTAAATAAATTTTGCTTTTTTAAAAAAAAAAAGCAAAAAGATTTCCCTAAACCACACACACACACACACACACACACACACACACACACACACACACACATACACACACACACACATATATTTTTTAATGAAGAGCTATGATTATGTGGTGTGGGTAAATTGAAGGAAACTAAGCAACAGGACATTTTGTAGGATAAACTAGATCTAGAAATTGTGTTGCTGATCAAGAACAATTGCTCTTCCAACTGGAAGTGAGAATGACAAGAGTTGGCTATCCCATTGATCATCCCCACACCTGCCTTTTTTTTTTTTTTTTTTTTTTGGATGGAGTCTTCATCTATTACCCAGGCTGCAGTGCAGTGGTACCATCTCAGCTCATTGCAACCTCCACTTCCTGGGCTCAAGCAATTCCTGTGTTGCAGCCACCTGAGTATCTGGGATTATAGGAGTGCACCACCACACCCAGCTACTTTTTGTATTTTTAGTAGAGACAGGGTTTCACCATGTTGGCCAGGCTGGTCTCAAACGCCTGACCTCAAGTGATCCACCCACATCGGCCTCCCAAAGTGCTGGGATTATAGGTATGAGCCACCACGCCTGGCCCCATTGATCCTTTTTCTATCAAGCAAAGACTCCTGAACCACAGCAATGGACACACTGCCTGTCTTCTCCTCTAAGAGTTTCAGTGCTAATCTTACAGTACCATATACTTCTTGTGTATCTCAGGAACCACTGAGTCTCAATCATTAACTTTGTAACTTTCATTCTCACACTGCTTTGTACTTTTTGTTAATCTGATCCAATCCCTCTTCTCTCCCTCTGACTTAATCTGTTAGGGCTGCTATAACAATTACCATACACTGGGAGGCTTAAACAACAGATATTTACTTCTTAGAGTTCCAGAATCTGAGAAGTCTCAGGTCAGGCTGCCAGCATGGTCAAGTTCTTGTGAGGGCTTTCATCTTGGTTTACAGATGGCCATCTTCTCACTGTATTGTCACATGGTGGAGAACAGAGAGAGGAAGCAAGCTCCCTTACGTCTCTTCCTTATAAGGGCACAATCTGATTATGTGGGTTCCACCCTCAAGACTTAATTACCTACCAAAGGCCCCATCTTCAGACTTTGGAGATTAGGGCTACTACATAAGAATTTTTAGAGGAAATAAACATTCAGTCCATGGCAACCTCACACTCTGCTCTTAAACATTTATGTGGTAAGTATATTCCTGTGGCCCATCCCCTTCTCAGAATGTTACTTTCCCTTTGACTCAAATTAAAACTGATTGTTTCATATAAATTTTCAAAAATACTACTTTTCTAATTATTTAGACAGCAATTCATCTTTCAATCCTCTCAAATGGAGGTGATGATGGTTGTTTTCTTTATTTGGGCTTAGATGAGTACTTACTTTTTAAATAACCTTAAAAGAGCATCAAAAGTTAATGTGTTTGTATTAACCTACATGATCATTTAATCAAAGTGTTTGAAAAAGTTTGAGTATAAAACTAAATTGTGTGAAATTTTTAGTTTCAATAGGATACCTTTGGCTTTAATGGATTTTAAAAAATCTGATAGTGTCTATTTTGTAAACCAAAAATAAAATTCTAAGGCCTCCCAACCATCTAAATGGACTTCCTCCTAGGTCAGAGCACCCTAAAATTTAACCCTAAAGACTGGATCAGGCCAAGACAGGAAGTTGGAGTCAGACATGCCTAGTTATACCCTCTAGCATTAACATCAACACAGACCTTAAGTCTGATAAGAAACATTTACAATCTATTCCCTCTGAACCCTTTACCTGAAGCCTTCATCTGCATAAGAACTTTGATCTCCACAATCTCTCATCTTACCCTACACATTTCCTTTCTATTATTGATCCCAAGTCTTTAGATTAACTCAACCAATTGTCAACCAGGAAATTTTTAAACCTACCAATAACCTGGAAACCATCCCCTCCCAGTTACTTTGAGTCATTCTGCTTTCTGAACTGAGCCAAACCAATATACATTTTAAATGTACTTAATTGATGTCTCTTGTCTCCCAAAAATGTATAAAACCAAGCTATGTCCCAAACACCCCAGGCACATGTTCTCAGGACCTCTTGAGTGCTGTGTCATAGGTCACTTGTATGTTGCTCAGAATAAATATAGGTCATAGGTCACTTATATTTGGCTCAGAATAAATCCTTACAAATATTTTACAGAGTTTGACTCTTTTCATCAACAATAATTTGGTGGCCAAACATGTGGGGCCTCAGAAAACACTTGGGACCCTGAAGAAGTTGCTCAAACTTGGAGCTAAAGTAACATCAGGGGCCCATTGAAAGCCTCCCTAACTTTGACCTTCTCCTCTGGTGGAACTGGTGAGTCCTCCTGAGCCCCAAACTTCCCTTTGATTGATGGTCCTTGGTTTATTCTGAGCTAGTTTTTTTGTTTCCTGAGAAGTTGTTGTTTAGGATTCTCATTCCAGTTCACAGATGCATTCTAAAGGGTCTTCTCTATTGCTGTATCTCCCAATATTAATCTCAATTTGGCTTGTGTGTGCATTTGCATGAGAAATTGAACTGTCATTTTCATATATAAATGAGAGACCGAGTTTTCTAAGCTCTGAAAAGAAAAGGCATTTTGCTCCTCCAAGCTGAAAGTCACACCTGAGTGACCAGGGGTCGAGTGGGAGTGTCTGGGGGATTGACCCCCATGAGGCAGCAGTCCTACCGGGAGCCCCCAACAAAATTAGTTTAAAATGGCTTGTCTAGGAATCACAAATAGGAGCTGGTCACTCTGTGCTTTGAGCCCTCCTGGAGGTGCTTAGACCTCTGGAAAGAGAAACTGAAACACATAAGAGGGCAGGCATGACTCAGTGGTCACACATTGTGGAGTCCTACCCACAACCAGCATACCTTGACCCAGCACACTAAAACCCTAGACCACAGCTCAGTTATTCCCTTAAAAAAAAGTGGGAAACACTAAGAATGAGGAGAAAAAAAGGGAGAATAACCCTCTTTGGGGCACTCTGTTGGCCTTATGGCACCTCTATTTGCAAGTGTTTGTGTTAAATGTACATATCATGGTCTTTGTCCACATTTACATCAAGGAAAAGGAGGCTTAAGGTCATCCTGCAACTATAGAGTTCCTAAATTCTCTTTTTCTCGATTTTATTTTTTGCCTGCTATAAATCGGCTGTTTCTTTTCTACTGAGATAAAACCCATAGTTTTAATCTTGTTTTTTTTTTTTTTTATTTTTTTTTTGCAAGTCTATGAATCTGTATTAATATCTTATGGCTACAGTTCTGAAGTAAAAGCTATAGGATGATTGTGTGTATGTATGTTTGTGTGTGAGTGTGTGTCTGTGTAGGTATGTGTGTATATGCCAAGACCAGCTCAGTCGTGGAGACCCTAACCCAGCGGCACTAGAGGAATTAAAGACGCACACACAGAAATATAGGGTGTGGAGTGGGAAATCAGGGGTCTCACAGCCTTCAGAGCTGACAGCCTCAAACAGAGATTTACCTACATATTTATTGACAGCAAGCTAGTGATAAGCATTGTTTCTATTGATTGTAGATTTACTAAAAGTATTCCTTATGGGAAACAAAGGGATAGGGTGAAACAAAGGATGGGTCTGGCTAGTTATCTGCAGCAGTAACATGTCCTTAAGGCACAAATCACTCATGCTATTGTTTGTGGTTCAGGAACACCCTTAAGTGGTTTTCCGCCCTGGGTGGGCCAGGTGCTCCTTGCCCTCATTCCGGTAAACCCATAACCTTCAGCATGGGCATCACGGCCATCATGAACATGTCACAGTGCTGCAGACATTTTGTTTATGGCCAGTTTTGGGGCCAGTTTATGGCCAGATTTGGGGGTCCTGTTCCTAACATGTCCCCCTTCTTTGTTTTGCAAAGTGATAAAAGCAACTGCTGCTAATCTGTCTGCAGCTCCTTCAAGCACTCCATTTCCTGGCATTAAAGTCAGGTGTGCCTGGGATGCTTTAAATATTTGTTATTTTAATTTTGCAATATCCAAAGACAAAGTTTGTAGAGTGTCCTTCTAGACCAAATAATAATGATGTCCTTCTAGACCAAATAATAACAATTCCATAGGAATCATTGCTCAGCACCTCTGCCTGCTCTGTAATGCAATCTTCCCAAACAAGAACATTCATTTTTTCTGGCCAGGTTCAATTTTATTTACAAATAGGTTTTTGAGGGTGGTATGCCTTAATTATGAGCAGATTTATTATGGTAAATACTGAGATCAGAGAGCATGTGTAACTGGGTCATAGAGCGATTACATCCAGGCATTATTGCCAGCCAAGATTGATAAATATGCCCCATAAGTATAATTGTTTTCTGTGTCAGCCAGTTTATGGCAAGATTTGGTGGTCTGTTGCCAACATGTATGTGTGTGTGTGTGTGTGTATATATATATATATATATATATATATATATATATATATATATATATGTGTGTGTGTATATATATATGTGTGTGTATATATATATGTGTGTGTGTATATATATATATACACACACACATATACATAAGGCCTTTATGTTTTTTGGTTTTTATTTTCTCTCCTATGACCTTGTTCTTCAGAAAGCTTTTCTTAAATAGTTTCTAACAGCCTGAAATTCCTTAAATAAAACAGAGAAGGCACCAGACACCTTTCTGGGGAGAAACTTCTTTTTCTTTATGGAATCCCAAGAGAAAACACACAAGTTTCTTCTCAGATTTTAACCTGCTTTCATTTGTAATGTGTTGTCTGATTTTTTACACTTAGATGTTTAAAGTAAGAAAGAGTGTAGCTTAGACACTTAGAGAAATGTCTTCATTAAAAAAAAGGGAAGGAAAACTGTAAAAGGATGGTCTAGCCTTATAATAATTCTCTATTTGGAGACCCAATACACAGTGTGAGTTCTCTGCAGAGCTCAGATGTCCAGTTAAAAGATAGGGAGTAAAATTAGAACTACCTGTACAAAACAATTGGTGTCCTTGTACAATCCTATTATAGATTTCTAAATTTTATGTTTAACTTGACAATTACATCCATTTTAATTTTCCTCCAGCTGACTTTCTCTCTGTAATTTGAGATGTAAATTTTGCTACATGATTTTTCACCTAAGAGTTTTTCCTTTAATATGCAAATTTAGGGCTACATAGCTGACAACTGCCTAGGGTAATGAAACAGGTTATGGAGAATCTGGGAGTCTAAAATAGGAAATAAAAAGAGGTTTTATGAATCTATAAGATGTACTTCTATCAGCATGCCTAATATGTCTATGTATTTATGTGTTGTATACATAAAGTTTCACTACTAAATATATATAAAAGAGCTCTAATTAATTGGCTTAAAGAAAAATAAAAATGCTTAAATACTTCATTAGAAAAAAGACTAAGTTAAATGCTTTTTTAAGTTCATATAACTTAAGTAAAATCTTTAATAAATAAGCTGGCTTTAAAATTATTGGTAAAGTAATATTAGAAATGCCTTAAGAATAGTTAGCATTTTTGTTTGCATTTATTGATCAATCAATGGTTTCATACTTATCCCTGCAGAATACTATAAGGTGTCAAAATTTGCCATAAGAATTATAAAACTATAAACCCAGCCCAAATTAGAATGATCTTTGCTGGTGTAATTTTTAATAAATAAAGTATTTAATATTGTTAGTTAACTGAAAACAGCTAAATCCTGAGTTATTGGTAAAAACAAGTACCCTTCTACTTAACCATAAGTCTGTTTATTTAGATAAACACCTGAAATTTGTAGGTTATAAAAATGGTTATATATAGGTTACAAAAATGGTTAACAGCCAGGCATGGTGGCTCATGCCTGTAATCCCAGCACTTTGAGAGGCCGAGGTGGGTGGATTGCCTGAGGTCAAGAGTTTGAGACCAGCATGGCCAATATAGTAAAACCCCATCTCTACTAAAAATACAAAAAATTAGCCAGGCCTGGTGGTGAGCACCTGTAATCCCAGCTACTTGGGGGGCTGAGGGAGGAGAATCGCTTGAACCTGTGCGGCAGAGGTTGCAGTGAGCTGAGATCATGCCATTGCACTCCAGCCTAGGCAACAAGAGTAAAACTCTGTCTCAAAAAAACAAAATGGTTAACAGGGAGTTAACTTTCATAAATAATCTAGGTAAACTATTAAATGAAGTAATAAAGTAAACATAATAAAATAAATTATTATAAACAAATTTGCCATATAATTTAGATACTAAGGTTATATTAATAGATACTATTTAAATGTCTGGGTAATTTCCCGTTTAAAAATTATAAAAAAACATTTTTTTAAAATGTGTGTTCTTATTGAAAGGTGAATATTTTTTGTCTAACTCAAAAGTTATTTAGAGGTTACATACAAAACAAGGTAAAAAGAACCAGGAAATAAGAGGGAGGTAAAGAAAGTTATAGATATAAAGAGGCATTTTTGGTCAGGAAGGTTAAAAGGAAAGTGATCTTATATGAGAATCTTCTACAATGAATTTTTGTCCTAAAATAAGATGACTGGTTCTTCAAGAAAGAGGGATATTTAGGACAAAACAGGGAGTCCAAGCATGTCGTGGATGTTCTATGTAAGTCATAAAAAGGTTAGTAAAAGAGGTATTTTTTTAAAAAAGGTAGTATAGTTCAGTTGGCTATCATTAAAGGAAATTATCATAGACTTTCTAGAGATGGGTCTTTGATATTAAAAATACACAAATCAAAATGACAGAATTAGTTAAAACAAGATCTTATTAAAAATATTGAGTTACTTTTAATGCAAGAAGTTTTTAATTTTTAAATTCTATAATCTGTTTCTTTTTGACATTATTCAGATTAATATCTCAGGTCCACCCTGCTGCTTCAGCTCCTTTTTTATTTTATTTTATTTTATTTTTTGAGATGGAGTTTCACTCTTGCAGCCTGGAGTGCAATGGTACAATCTTGGCTCACTGCAAACTCCTCCTCCTGGATTCAAGCAATTCTCCTGCCTCAGCCTCCCGAGTAACTGAGACTACAGGTGGCCACCACCACGCCCAGCTAATTTTTGTATTTTTAGTAGAGATGGGATTTCACCATGTTGCCCAGCCTGATGTTGAACTCCTGACCTAAGATGACCTGCCCACCTTGGCCTCCCACAGTGCTGCTATTATGGGTGTGAGCCACCACACCCACCCCTCAGCTCCTCTCTTTTAAAAAGGCCTTGTATGGTAACTCTCTTTCACCTTTGGTTGGCTATTGTAACTTTTTAAAATTAATAATCTAAAGTAAGGGAGATAATATTTTTTGAAAACAGGCAAATTAAATATCTTTTAGACCTGCCTTTTTTATTCTGCATACCTATTATAGCTCTAGCCTTATAATATGTCATGTGGAAGTAGTATTTCACTACTGAACTATATGAAAGAGCTAATCAATTGACTTGAAAAAAAAAGTAAGTGCTTATTAGACTGGTAGGCTAATAGGGCTAACTCGGATGCCTTTTAATTCACATGACCTTGGCAATCTTTGATAAAATTAATTTGGTAAATTTGATCTCAACATTCTCTCCAATAATTTAAAATCTTAAAAGTCATGTTATGGTAAGTTAAGTAATCTTGTTTTTGTATTTTTTTCCACCGAGATTTGGGTTACTAAGTTAAAATAGTAGGAGAGTAACGTGGTTTTTGGTGAGGTTTATAAAACACAAAGATATCAATTTTGCTAAAAAAATATATTTTTTCTAGTTAAGAAACTAAGAGTCACTTTAAAGTGAAGGAAAAATGATACAGCTAAAACTAAATGGATGAAAAGAAAAATTAAGCCAGGGCAACAATAGTTACCTCTGAGACCTGTGGTTACCAAGAAGGGGGAAGGGCAAAACCAAGTAACTATCAAAAACAGAAGGTATAATGTAAAAGAATTTTTCCATTTTTAAATTGGTGTCATCAGTTTCTTGAAAAATCTATACCATAGTGGATTGTAAAAATAACCACTTTAAGGACAAAATTCTTAATTTTAAATACTATAGAATTTAAGAGATTGTTTGGGTTGATGCAGGACCCACAGCTCAGTATTTAACAATGACTAATGAGTGTATGTGATCCAAATGCACAGGAGGTTATTCTTGGTTATTCCAACCAGCCTAGTGGACCAGATAAATGCCACTGTAAAATCTGTTTTCCTTGAGAAGGAGACTGCCCTATAAAATTCCAAGTGGAACACCCCAGATGAAGCAGTTAACAGGCCTCATTTGTGAGCCATGTGGGACTGGCTTTATGATGACTGGGATATCCTCCCACTGAATATGCCTATTACCCAGGCCATGGTAAATTTGGGGGTTAAGAGGGCCCCTTGTACATGGGTGCCCACCTCCCCCCTCCACCCCATGGAATCATACAACTGTTTGAGAAGCCTTATCAAATTTGCTGTCCCTCATGGGTCCTACAGATGCAACTCCCTGCTGGGAACCCAAACCCTTTTTCACCAGAAAAGGCAAAATATTCTAGGGGGTAGGAAAAAAAAGTTCCTGAGACCAGGACATAAAAATATGCATGTTAATAAAATTATGATATTTAAGATGTTTGAACAGGGTTTATGTAAGGTGGTTGTAACCCCTTTACCTAAATGTCTTATAAAAATGGGTTTTGTATCTGACAGGGAGATGTTTTCTCTATCTAGTACTATAAAACTAAAAGCATGGAAATCTGCTCTTTGAGAAATGTTAATTGGACACACTAAATGGGAACTAGTAAGATTGCCTGAGCTCACAGAATATAGGGTAGAAGCTGAAGTACAGTACTAGTCAGGACAAATTCTCTACCTCATAGCCCTTTGTGGAGCATGTATTGGGGGTTATGGCAAAAGACTGCGAGTATTTCCCAATGACAACTACTAGACTAGAGAATTTCCACTTGAGGGTATTTATTATCTTGCTATGGAACGTTAACTGAAGCTACTCCTGTGCTAATGAAAATAATGGTGCCCAAAAGAGTTCCATGATAAAATAAAAATGGTTTACATAGGATCTTGCTACCTGGGAATACAAGGAGTAGACTCATGAGCAGGAAACCTTTTTTTTTTTCTCCCAAGGACTGTAAGGTTAGCCGAGAGAAAGGAAAAATAGACCCAAAGTCAGGCAAGCACGTTTTTGTTAACCTGCCGGCTGCCCCCTTAACAGTCAGAGGAAGCAGCCCCAAGCTTACAGAACAAGGGTTTTGTATTGAGGAGGGGAGTTTGAGGGAGTTCTTTGGTATGGCCACATCCTGGGATTGTTTGCTGGTTAATTTTGCCTCATATCACCTTGAGACATTTATAGTAGCAGCTAGACGAACAGGAACTTACAGGAGGGTGTAGGTAAACTTTGTTTATGCTTCCCAAGACCTCCCCCTGTGCGATCAGGTTGGTTTATAATTGGAGTTTGCTTATCGCAGAAAGGCCTGATAGGTGAAGTCTGCTGGCTTCACTGCAGCACCTAGATAAGGGCTTAGGAATGTAAAGAGGCTTGGGGGAAGGGTGGGCAGCATGGAGAAGAGTTGCAGAGTATTAGGGGGAGGGGTGGGCAGCACCAAGAAGCTTTCCTGAGGCAGTTTGTCCCTAACAAGGACTGTCTCTAACTATGCAAAGAGCTGCTAAATTCTACAGCGCCTGATAGCAGCTCTCCTGTAACAAGAGCTGTTTAGCACGTAAATGGCAGTTCCAAGGTGAACAAACTCTTGTTCGGAAGGCTGCTGCTCTGATTAAAGAAGGCTCAAAAAACTCTTTTTTTCTTTAGAGTTATTTGGGTGAAGTATATTTTTTATAAGCAAATTTACCTTTCTCTCTGAGTTCTGCAAAAATTTGGATTATGATTTTATGACAATATAAATATTTGCATAAGTTTAATAAGAGATTTTAAAACAGAACAATTGGAGACACTGATTGTTTTACCAAGACTTTGACCAAAATATCATTTTTAGGTAAAGTTCCAGCAAAGCCAACTTAAAAGAAGCCTATATGGCCAATCAATTCTTGCTGCATTTTATGCAAATAATCAGGCTAAGTATAATAAGCCTAAAACTTATTTTGCACACAAATTGGTCCTATTATAGTTTCTCTTTAATAGAAAAGGAGGGCTACAGAAAGAAAAATTGTTTCAAAGATAAAGTGTAACACTTGATACTAGATTTCAGCCCTAACTTTTGTTTTTTTGAGTGCAGATTGAATCATAAATTATTTCTTAGCTACAATAATCTCTAGAAAGTACCCGATTATAATTTTTGTTCATATCTTTAATTGGTGCCCTAATAGAATAAGTTCCTTTTTCTGTTTCTGACACACACATATTCTTTTGATTGTCAAAATATTAATGTTGTTTATTTATCCTTGTTTTACTTCCAAGGAAACAAAAAAATCATTGTATTCTGAAGGTCAGAGATTCAAGTCTCCCTCATCTGGCATCCCACTGTTTGGCAGCATCCCTGCTGCTAAAACCTTACAAGCACCCTTCCTTTGGGCTTAGGGACTGTCACAGAATAGATGGGTGCATGAGATTGTAAAGGCTGGTTTTGAGGAATAGAATTAGGTCAAGGTCCAAATCAAGGAGGGGTACAAAGATGCCTAAACAGCTCGCAAAAGAAGAGATTTTTCCATCTAAGCTATTCTGTGGCACTTTTGCATTCAACCCAACCATCAAGAATTTTCTGCTTCCTGTAGAATTAAAAGAAAATATTTACTGGCAGGATAATGATACTTTGTGACAAAGCCTCCTGGGTATAATACTCCCAGATATGAGTTGTAGAGATAGACATATTGTTTTAAATGTCTTTTTCAGAACAGTGCTTATGTTTTTGTACAGCTCATTGCTATAAGTCTGTACTAATACCAAGATTACTGTAGCTGAATGCATAGAAGTTAAGGATAAGTCAGTTTTTGCCTTTAGTTTTTGTTTGTTGGCTTTTTACTTAAAATAATAATTTTAAGAGGTAGTAAATGCCTGTCTACATCTATTCCTATCTGGCCTAGAACATTTAATTGGCTAAAAGCCTTTAGACTCTAAGACCCTTGGCCATGGGAAGTCCCACCATATAACAGGATGGACCTGGAGCAGCAGCCATGCCACACTAGCAACGTTATGAGACAAAATAAAGATTTGCTGGCCATTGATGTTGTCCCTGGCAAATCTTGCCAGAAGGAGGAGAATGTAACCAAAAATAAAATTCTAAGGCCTCCAACTATCTGAATGAACTTCCTCCTAGGCCAAGGTACTCTAAAATTTAACCCTAAAGACTGGTTTAGACCATGACAGGAAGTTGGGATCAGACATGCCTCATTACATCCTCCAGTATTAACATCAACACAGACCTTAGGTCTGATAAGAAACATTTACAGTGCATTCTCTCTGAAGCCTGTTACCTGAAGTCTTCAGCTGCATAATAAGAACTTTGACCTCCACAAACCCTTATTTTAACCCAGATATTTCCTTTCTGTTGATCCCAAGTCTTTAGATTAACTCAACCAATTGTCAACCAGAAAATGTTTAAATCTACCTATAACCTGGAACCCCCACACCTCGCCTTCCCACTTCAAGTTGTCCTGCCTTTCAGAACCTAACCAAACCAGTATACATCCTAAATGTATTTGACTGATGTTTTATGTCTCCCAAAAATGTATAAAACCAAGCTGTGCCCCAACCACCTTAGGCACATGTTCTCAGGATCTCCTGAGGGCTGTGTCACAGGCCATGGTCACTCATATTTGGCTCAGAATAAATCTCTTTAAATATCTTACAGAGTTTGACTCTTTTCGTCGACAATTTGAAAATTAAGAAATTTGCTTTAGCAGTTTAAAAGTTCAAATGGACTAGATACCCTATAAAATACTTTGGGAAACCTTCATTAAAATTAATTCAGATTGTTTGAATCCAGTTGTCAGAATTGTTCAAAATAATTGCCACATTTACATGTTTATCTTTTTACGCACTTTCCTTTTTCTTTTCTCTAGGTTAGTGGGGCAGGAAAAGGCAGAGAAAAGGCATTTTTTTTTTTCTGAAACTCAAATCTTCCTGGGATCATTTTCCTTTTTCTAAAGTACATTCCTAAAAATTTCTCTTAGTGAAGGAGGCTGTTAGTAGTAAATAACATCAGTTTCTGGGGGGGTGATATTCTTGAAATATGCAAGTGTTCACCTTCTATCAACATTTCACTTAATAGTTTTAACACTGATTTTTTATCCATTGCTGAATCAATTCTTTCATAAGAATTTTCAAAAATAGTACTTTTCTAATTACTTATTTTTTTATAATTTTTAGCTGGCATGATTCTTACATATATACACATAAACATGCATATACATATATGTACATATGTGTTTACACACATATACATTTGTATATCTTTTTATATATTTATAGTATATTTATATTTATTATATATATAGTTTTCTTCATCTTCTGGTGGTATCTACTTCCCAGAAATGCCAATTTTCAGAATAAAGAATTGAATAATAACCTTAATTGAAGACAAAGGAGATAGTAACCTCAAATGAAGACAAAGAATTTTTTGTTTATTGGTGTTTTCTCTCTCTCTCATATCATTAATGAATTTCTTGATTTTTATATATTAAATTAAGATTTCCTTATTCACTAATAAAATGAGTTCATAATGAACCTAGAATTTTCACTCCTTTGTGTCTAAAAGGAAAAGGCTTTTAAAAGACAGCTGATGGTAAGTTTGTTTTGACTAATAAATTATGGAATTTGTAGAAAAGGCCATCTTCCTCAGGTGTATAAACAAATAAAGAATTTATGTTCTGTGCTATAGCCTTTTAGTGAAAACTATACTTCCTTACTCTTTCATTACATTTCCAAGAGCACTTGGAAATGTTCTATAGTATTAGACTAAAATCTATATCTATATCTACTTTATAGGTAGATTTTGAAAAGTGTATTCTTATAGGACTAAATACTATACGTAGAATAACATAGAAACAGAACACTTACCAATCATTTGTATACATTCATTAAAAATAATATATTAGAGAAATTATTTATGTTATTGTCCTATAAGTAATATAATTAGAATGGTTAATAGAGTTACAGAGTTTTCCATATTTTTAACTAGGATTATACTCAGCCAATCTCATACTGTTACTATTAAAAGAATCTCTAAGAAACCATCTACATTCTGAAGACTATAGTGTTACATAAATTCCATATTACTTGAGGTCACATATATCTAACCTGTTTCATAACTGGGAAGGAATTGGCCAATTCAGATCAAATCCAGGTGGAGAGTGTAACTGGTAATTAGAGAAAAATTTCTTACCCTCCCCAGTCACATGGAAGCAAGAAATCCACCACCAACAGTAAGAAAGTATTATTTAAGCAGCTCTGAAATATCACCGACTTACCAGAGAATGTGCTACAGAGAATTTCTTGTTTATGAGTTGTAAATGTAAAATCTTTAAAGTAAAACTTTCTGTGCTTGGGTGAACAACATATTTAAAGAAGGAAGTTGGCACATATGCAAAAAACATTCCATTGTATATTTATTACTTCAATGATTATAGTCTTGTTTCCTCAAGAGAATAATATTATTCCTACTGCAAACTATAGTTTGGTGAGAGAGTTCCTCTCCTTAAAGAGTCTCCTCATTCTTTTTAACTGTAGAACATTCTGTTTTTAATTGTATTTATCTTTTCTTTGATTTACAATTATTTCCTAATATATTATAGATTTGCCTGACATACTAATAAAGTCCATGTTTTAATCAAAAGACATAGAGTGGCTAAATGGATTTAAAAAAATCCAGCCATATGCTGCCTATAAGATACTCATTTTAATTTAAAGACACACATAGGCAGAAAGTAAAGGGAGAGAAAAAGATATTTCATGCAAATAATAATCAAAAGAGATTAAAAGTGGCTACACATATCAGAAAAAAGAATATACGTCAAATACTGTCACAAGAGATAAAGGTAACTACATGATGGTAAAAGTGTCAATTAATCAGGAGAATACAGCAATTAAAAATATATCTGCACCCAGTGTTAGAGCATCAAAATATATACAGCCAATTTTAACATATATGAAGAAATAGACAACAATACAGTCATAGTAGGGACTTGAATACCCCACATTCAACAACGGATACATCATCCAGACAGAAGATCAATAAGAATGTAACAGACCCCAATAACACTATAGACCAAATGAACCAATGAAACAGACATATATAAAACATTCTATCCAACAGCAGCAAAATACACATTTAACTCAAGTGCACAGAGAAAATACTCCAGTTCAGATAATAAGTTATGCCACAGGTTTTCCGCAATTTAAGAAGACTGAAATTGTATCAAGTATTTTTTCTGACCACAATGGTATAAAACTAGAAACTAATAACAAGAGGATAACTAGAAAATTCACATGTGGAAACTAAGCAACACACTCTTGAGCAACCAAAGAGACAAAGAAGAAATAAAAAGGGAAATTAAAGACATATTGAGACAAATGAAAATGAAAACACAACTATCAAAACTTATGAGATGCAGCCAAAGTAGTTCTAAGAGGGAAGTTCATATGAATAAATGTCCACATGAAAGGGAAAAAAACCCCAAATAAACAACCTAACATTACACCTCAAATAACTAGAAAAAGAAAAGCAAACCAAGCCCAACATTAGTAAAAGGAAGGAAATAACAGAATCAGAGAATAAATAAGTTAGAGGCCAGAAAAATAAGAGAAAAGATCAATGAAACTAAGAGGTTTTTTTTTAATTAAACAAAATAGACAAATTTTAGGCTAGATTAAAAAAAAAAGGAAACATACAAAATCAGTAATGAAAGAGGAGACATTACAACGGATTCAAAAGAAATCCAAAGGATTACAAGAGACTGCGCTGAATAATTATGTGTCAACAAATTGGATAATAAAATCCTACTTATTATATAATAATAAATAAGATCAATAATAATTGAGAAGGTTGAATCAGTAGTTACAAGTCTTCCATCAAAGGAAAGCACAGAATCACATGGATTTACTGCTTAATTCTACTAAAATTATAAAGGAGAATTAATGTGTCTCAAACTCTTCCCAAAAAATGAAGAAGAGGAAACACTTCCAAACTCATTTTATGAGGCCAGCATTTCCTTAATACCAAAGCCAGACAAGGATACTACAAGCAAGAAAATTTCAAGCCAACACCTCTGATTAGCATAGATGAAAAAAATCTCAAGGAAATACTAGCCAACCAAATTTACCATCACACTCAAAGGATCATACACCATAATCTAGTGGGATTTATCCCCGGGATGCAAAGATAGTTCACTACATATATAAGTCAATAATGTTGTACACACATTAACAGAATTAAGGACAAAAATTATATGATTAAATAAATGCAGAAAAGTAATTTGACAAAATTCAGTATCCTTTAGTGATTAAAAAAAACTCTCAACAAATTAAGTATAGAAGGAATATAACTCAACACTGTAAAGCATATATGACAAGCCCCCAGCTAACATTATACTCGATGAAAAGCTTTCCCTCTAATATCAAGAAGAAGTCATGCTTCTATGTCTGAATGTTCCCCCAAATTTATGTGATGAAATTTAATCCCCACTGTGGTGGTATTAGGAAGTGTGGCCTTTGAGGAAGTGATTAAGTCAGGAGGGCTCCACCCACATGAGTGGATTAGTGCCTTAGAAAAGGGCTGGAGGAAACTAATTATGCCTTTTCCATCCCTTCGTCTATGTGAAGACACAGCATTTATCATCTCTGGGGGACTTAGCAAAAAGGCACCACCTTGAAAGGAGACTGGGTCTTCACCAGATACCAAAACTACCAGTGCTTTGATTTTGGACTTCCCATCCTCCAGAAGAGTCAGAAATAAATTCATATTATTTATAACTGCCTAGTTTCACTCAGGTACTTTGTTAGAGCAGCACAAACAGACTAAGACAGATACAAACCCTTGCCACTTCTATTCAACATAATACTGGAAGTCCTTGTCAGAGAAATTTGGCAAGAAAAAGAAATAAAAGCCATCCAAATCAGAGAGAAAGTTGTAAAGTTTTTTCTGTTGGCAAATGAAATGGCCTTATTTATAGAAAAACCTAAGAGCACCACCAAAAAACAGTTAGAATTAATAAATGAATTCAGTAAAGTTGAAGAATATAATATCAACATACGAAAATAAGTAGTATTTCTAGACAACAACAAACTATCCAAAAAGGAACTCAACAATGCCATTTACAATAGCATCAAAAAATAATAAATACATAGAAGTAAGTTTAACCAAGGAGGTGAAAAATCTCTACACTGAAAACTATAAAGCATTGATGAAAGAAATTGAAGAAGATACAAATAAATGGAAAGATATTTCATGCTAATGATTTGGAAGAATTAATATTGTTAAAATGTTCATACACTCAGAGTGATCTACATACAGATTCAATGCAATCTCTATTAAAATTCCAGCGTCACTTTTCAGATAAATAGAAAAATAATCATAAAATTCACATGGAACCACAAAAGACCCCAAATAGCCAAACTTATCTTAAGCAGTAATAATTCTGGAGGTATCATGCTTCCTGATTTCAAAATATATTTCAAAGTTATAGCTGTCAAAAGAGTACAGTAATGGCATAAAAACAGATACATAAATCAGTGGAAAAGATTGATCTCAGAAATAAATACACATGTTTATGGTCAATTGATCCTCAACAAGTTGCTAAGAACACGTAAGGTTGCTAAGGTCACGGTGTAGCCTATGGGGTGGTAAGAAACACATAATAAAGAATAGTCTTTTTAACAAATGTTGTTTGGATAACTGAATATACACATGGAGAAAAATGAAATTAGACCCTTATCTCATACCATATATAATAGTCAACTCAAAATGGATTAAAGACTTGAAGGTAAGACCTGAAAACGTAAAATACTAGAATAAATAATTGTGGAAAAGCTTTGTGACACTGGCATGAGCAATGATTTTTTTGGATGTGATCCCAAAAGCACAGACAACAAAGGCAAATAGACAAGCGGATCGCATCAAATTAAAAAACGTCTACACCAAAAGAATCAACTAATAGAGTGAAGAGAAAACTTACAAAATGGTAGAATATATTTGCAAACTATACATCTGATATTAATTTACCAAATATATAAGAAACTCAAACAACTCAATAGCAAAGAGAACGAATAATCAACAAGTGAATGGATAACTAAAATGTGAAATACACACACACACACACACACACACACATACACACATGCATACTGTACCATTGTTCAGCTTCAAAAAAGAGAAAAGGATTCCTGCCATTTGTGACAACATGGATAAATCTAGAGGAAATTATGCCAAGTAAAATAAGCCAGGGACAGAAAGACAAATACTGCATGCTCTCACTTATATATGGAGTCTTAAAAAAACAAACTTATAGAAGCAGAGTAGAATAGCAGTTGCCAGGGGTTGGGATGGGGTGTGGAGAAAATGGGAAGATGTTGATCCAAGGGTACAATTTCAGTTATGTGGAATGAATAAGTTCTGGAGATCTAATGTATAGCATGGAAACTATAATTAATAATACTGCATTATATACTTGAAAATTGCTAAGCAAGTCAATCGTAAGTGTTCTCACTGCAAAAAATAAACACCAAAAGATTAAGCAAATCATTTTCATTTCACATTTATGTTTTTGGTTATTCCAAGTATCTATGCCACATTATTTGAATTTAAATGTTTTCTAAAAACTCAAAAATTCATATCTCGAAATAACCTGATTTGAAGTAAAAAATAATTGTCATTAGTTAATGGAAGCTTCTGTGGTAGTTATCATTGTTCAGGAGAATACAAGTCAATAATACCTAGAATACTATGACATTCTTTTTCATTTAATCTTGCTTCAAGTTTGCAAAATATTAGCATCTTATAATGAGATCATCAGAGGAATTCAATTTAGTTCAAAAAAAGAGATATGAAAATATTCTACCAAAAGTTGTACAAGCCTCAAGCTAGAAGGAGAGTGTTTTGGAGAAAAAAATTATTCCATTATATTTATAGTAAATGCTGAATAGAAAATGACTTGTCCACCTATTCTAGGGATTTAATATAATTTATCAGCCATGAGCTAATCAATAGCATATGGAAGCTCCTAGAACTCTTTAGAAAACATACAAGTACGTATATCTAAGAAAGATGATTCATGTAAATTGCTACAGTTACAGTTGTCCCGTGGTAGCCATGGGGATTGGTTCCGGGATACCCCACATATACCAAAATCTGCACATACTCAAGTCCTGCAGTAGGCCCTGCAGAGCCTGTGAATATGCAAAAGTTGGCCATTCATATACACAGGCTTCTCATCCCAAGAATACTGTATTTTCTATCCATCTTTGACTGAAGAGACAGAAGGGAGTGGGGGTGGGGTGGTCAGTGTGGACACTGAGGGCCAATTGTATTTATTGGAAAATGTCTGCTTAGAAGTAGACCTGCACAGTTCACACCCATATTATTCAAGGGTCAGTTGTAGATTTTAAAGGAGTAGAGCCACAAAAATGGGAGATGGAGCAGCTCAGAGAAATAATCTGAAGTTCAACAGATAAGTCTCACTGAACAACCAGAAAAATCAAGATGAAGACTTTTAAAAACTATAGGAAAACCTCATTTAAATATAAAAAAATTATTTTATGGATAGGAGAAAAGATTTCTGTTGTTTTTCGGTTTTTATTCTTTAAAAGCGCATAAAGCAATAAATTCCATTTTTTCCAATAGCTTATGTATGAAAGAAAAGGACAGGTTTTGCTATTTTGAAACATGGATACATTTTTGTGTGTGTCCATGGCTTACATAGCCTATGAATAACTTTGCTGAAATCTTACACTGAAGCAAGTAAGCAAAGCACCCCTAACCAGAAATGGTTCAGAATATTCTTTTAGATTTTCTCTCATGACAATGTTAATTTGGTTTCTGCTAGGACCTAAAAATGAAGGCTAAATGATGCCTTCCCACAGTATGCAATAATTTTTAAGCAAACCCAGAAATAAAGCAGTCGTTTTCACTTTGTATTTATTTTGATTTGGCAAAAGACAAATTCTACATTTTAATAACAGCCAGGAAGTTCATTCTCTACATCTTTCATTTTCACTGGTCTTCAGAAACTGTTGGATACTTGAAATTTAGAACTTAATGATTTTTCATTAAGAATATATTCAGGGGAAATCACCTAAACAAACATCATATTTAGTCTTAATCACTTTATAATTTTCATTATATAAAAAAACCTTTCCACATCATATTTACAAGGATATGATTGATTTTAAATATACTAATTTGGAAAGAAAACTTTCTTCATGTTAAGTTTAACTTAGCCCATTATATCTCATTGGCTATGGATGATTTCAGCATTTTCAATAATGCCTGTGATTGGCTTATTTGAGTGAGAACACGCTGTATCCATATAAAGATGAAGCAAATAAATGATATATTTTGAACCAAAATCTGACATTTTTAAGAAAGATATATTCAAGAATCAGCCAGAATACCCCTGTATAAACAAAAATATGCTTTTATTATGCACTTTCTGACAACATATCTAATTTCTTTTAAAATTAACCAAGAAAACTCAGAAATGGTCTTATACCCTAGGCAAAAATATATTTGATTACTTAAATATGTATATATTGTTCTCACTGAGAAGAGGATGAATGGATCCACACTCACATACATCACACATACCCCAAAAGGGTATGAACATTTTATTACTCACATAATGAGACTTTCTGGGGAGGATGAGACAGGTTCCCAAGCCTGCCCAAAAATGACATTAGAGGTCAGGGAGAGAAGACTAATTTGAAGTGTTATGGTTAAAAGATGGGGATGGGGTATGGGTTATTGCAAATGTGATTTGCTGGATTTGAACTTCCTGCCAACATAAAAGGAAGGAGCACCTGGGCTTTCTTATCAGATTGTTCAAATGTGGAACAAAAGGAGAAGAGAGAATGGTGAGGCTTGAAAACTGTTAGCAGACAAACATCAAAAGTGAAGTTTGACTGTTTATTACAATTCACCCTTGATGTCTAACTGATTACTAAAATGTGTCGTTTGATTTAAATCAATTCAACTTATTTAAGTAAACCATTGTGACACTCTATAATACCTATAGTGTGAGGCCAGTAAGAGTGGTGAAAGTTTTGTTGAATGACTGATTAAAGAATCCAGCGTTATATATTTGGAGAAGCAAAATGAATGCCTTCATCACTATCAATAATGTCTAAAACTCTTAAGGAGTGTCTTGGTGAGCACTTGTATTGTGATTTTAGCATCTTTATAGACCCATTGAATATTCAATGGGTAGATAAAAGGAAATATGACATTATTATATCCCAACATCAGAGCATCTATGTACATAAAACAAATATTAAATCATGTGAAGGGAGAGATGGACTGCATACAATAATAGTAGAGGGCATCAACACCCATTTTCAACAATTGTCAGATCATCCAGAGAGAAAATTAATAAGGGAACATAGAACTTGAACAACACTTTAGAACAAACGGACCTAACAAACATTTAGAGGGCCTGGTGTAGTGCTCACATCTGTAATACCAGCACTTTGGGAGGCCAAGGCAGGCAGATCGTTGAGGCTCATGAGTTTGAGACCAGCCTGGGCAACATGACAAAACCCTGTCTCTAAAAAAATACAAAAATTAGCCAGGTGTGGTGGTGCATGCCTGTAGTGTCAGCTACTCAGGAGTCTGAGGTGAAAGGACGGCTTGCGCCTGGGAGGCAGAGGTTTCAGTGAGCCAAGATCGCATGACTGCATTTCAGCCTGGGAGACAGCATGAGATCCCGTCTCAAAAAAAGAAAGAAAAATTTAGAAAACATTCATCCATGTGCCATGTTGGTGTGCTGCACCCATTAACTTGTGATTTATATTAGGTATATCTCCTAATGCTATCCCTCCCCCCTCCCCCCACGTTGTGCACGTGTACCCTAAAACTTAAAGTATAATAAAAAAAAAAAAGAAAGAAAACATTCATCCAACAACAGAATAAATATTCTTCTCACTTGTACATGGAACATAGTCCATGATAGATCACATATTAGGGCACAAAACAAGCCTCAAAAAATTAAAGAAGAAATTGCATCAAGCATCCTTACTGACCACAATAGTAGAACAACAGGAGGGCCTTCAGAAATTCACAAATACATGTACATTAAACAACATACTCTTGAACATTCAACGGGTAAATGAAGAAATTTAAACGGAAATTTAAAAATACCTTGAGACAAACAAGAATGAAAAAAAATACCAAAATATATGGGATACAGCAAATGCAGTTATAAGAGGAACATTTATAGCAATAAATTTCTACAACAAAAAAGAAATATCTCACATTAACAGCCCAATGTTACAGCTCAATGAACTAGAAAAACAATAACAAACTAAGTCCAAAGTTAGCAAAAGGAAGGAAATAATAATGATTACAGCATATATAAATGAAATAGAAACTAGAGGCTGGGCATAGTGGCTCATGCCTGTAATCACAGAACTTTGAGAGGCCAAGGTGAATGGATCACCTGAAGTCAGAAGTTTGAGACTAGCTTGGCCAACATGGTGAAACCCCATCTCTACTAAAAATACAAAAATTAGCCAGGCACAGCAACACATACCTGTAATCCAGCTACTCTGGAGGCTGAGGCAGGAGAATTCCCTGAACCCAGAGACGGAAGTTGCAGTGAGTGGAGATGGCACAACTGCACTCCAGCCTAGGTGACAGAATGGGACTCCATCTCAAAAAATAAATAAATAAATAAATTAATAAATAAATGAGACTAGAAAAACAAAGGACAAAGGATTAATGAAAGTAAGAGGTTTTTTTTTTAAAGATAAACAAAATTGACAATACTTAAGGTAGACTACTAAAGGAAGAAGAGAGGAGACTCAAATAAATAAAATTAGAAATGAAAGGTTAGTCATTACAACTGATACCTCAGAAATACAAAGGATCATAAGAAACTACTATGAACAATTATATTCCAATGTATTAGATAACGAAGAAGAAATGAATTCCTAGACAAATACAACCTACCAAGGATGAATCATTAAGAAATAGAAAATTTGAACATAACAATAATGAGTAAGGAGATTGAATCAGTTATAAAAAGTCTCTCAACACAGAAAAGCCTAGGACCTGAAGGCTTCTTAAGTGAATCTTACCAAACATTTAAAGAAGAATTAATACCAGTCCTTCCCAAGATCTTTCCAAAAATTGCAGAGGAGGAAATATTTCCAAACTTTTTATGAGGCTAACATTACCCTGATATCGAAACCAGACAAGGACATTACAAGAAAATAAATTAGTAGGTCAATACCCTTGATGAACATAGATGCAAAAATTCTCAACAAAACACTACCAAACTGAATTTAACAACATATTAAAAGGATCATCCACCATGATCAAGTAGGATTTATATCTTGGATGAAAGGATGCTTCAACATATACAAATCAAAAATTGTGATACCTCACATTAACAGAGTGAAATACAAAAACGTGTCCATTTTATCAACTGCAGAAAAATTATTTAACAAAATTCAACAGTTTTTCATGATAAAAGCTCTCACCAAATTAGGCATAGAATAAATGTACCTCAACACAATAAAGGCCATTTATGAGCAGCCCACAGCTAAAATTATACTCAAGAATAAAAAATTAAAAGCCTGTCCCCTAAGATTTGGAAAAAAACAAGGATGCCCATTCTGGCCACTTCTACTCAACATAGTATTGGAAATCCTTCTAAGAGCAATTAGGTAACAAAAAGAAATAAAAAACATCCAAATAGGAAAAGAAGAACTGACATTTTTACTGTTTTCTGACTACATGATTTTATAAAAACTGTGAGACTCCACCAGAAAACTGTTAGAACATATAAATGAAGACAGTAAAGCTGCAGGATACAAAATCAACATACAAAAATTATGGTACCTCTATACACTCTCAATGAACTATCTGACAAAGAAATCAAGAAAACAATGTCATTCACAATAGTTGTGAAAAATAATAAAATACTCATGTAAATGTAACCAAGAAGATGAAAGACCTGTACACTGAAAACTATAAAACATTGATGAAAGAAATGGAAGAATTCACAAATAAATGGAACAATAGCCCATGTTCATGGATTGGAAGAATTAATATTGCTAAAATGTTTGTACTACCCAAAATGATCTAGAGATTCAATGCAATCTCTATCAAAATTGTAATGTCCACTTTCATAGAAATGGAAAAAAAAATCTTAATTGATATAAAATCACACTAAAACACCCAAACAACTGAGATACTTGTAAGAAAAAAGAACAAAGCTGGAGTTAACAGACTATCTGATTTTAAAAGCTGTGATAACTAAAACAGCATGGTATTGGCACAAAAATAGACATAGCTATCAGGGAAACAGAATAGAGAGCCCAGAAATGAACCCACACATGTATAGTCAACTGATTTTTAACAAAGGTACCAAGAATATGGAATAGAAAGGTACAGTATCTTCAATCAGTGATGTTGGCAAACTGGATTTCCACCTACAGAGGAATAAAACCAGACCCTTATCCATGCCATATATGAAAAATCACCTCAATGGGAGTTAAAAAGGTAAGACCAGAAACTCTGTTACCACTAGAAGAAAATGGGAAAACCATACAACGCTTGTCTGGGCAACAATTTTTTGGATTTGAACCCCAAATTGAAGGAAAACAAAAGCAAATTTGCATAAATTTCTGCTACTTGCCATGACAAAGACTGTCTTTCACCCAAAACATTAGTCAGGCTTCTGAGTCCTTTTTGACTGGGCCTAACCTTGGGTTTTCCTTTCTATCTTTGCAGAATCTAGTTTGAGAAGAATCTTACTAAGTCAGTTTAGCAAAAATCCTCCAGTTTAGCAAAAATCCCCCACCCTTGGTATTTGACCACCCTCAATATCCTATTCTCCTGGCCTCCCTATAGCAATAATTCTTTCAAATTAGTTTAGCCAGAAATCCCTTATCTTGACATTTCTTTTTAGTAATTTCCCATCCACTGACCTCCACCCTGCTACTTGGTTACAAATCTTCACTTGTTGGAGTTGAGTCCAATCTCTCTCCCCACCAACCACTGCAAGAGCCCCTTGCATTAGCTCCTACAGCTATGGCCCCTTCAAATATTATACCTTTAACAAATGTCATAAATAACATTTCCGCTTAACACTACCAAAAATTGCTTTTAAAAAAAGAGCCATATGAACAAAAATGGCTTAGTGAAGTTTATCCATTTTGCTTTAGCTCTTTTACTTGCATAAAAAATCAAAGGAATAAATTTCTTTAAAGAACTTACCTTTTCCTATTAGGAACACTGTAATAATTTATTGTGAAAGTAACAAGCTTTAAGTTATTGTCTTTTTACATATAAAAAAGCATATATTCTAACACATTAACAGGCAATATCTTTTTATAGCCCAGAAGATAATAACATCAAGGAAATATGACTAACAACTAATAATCAATCATGAAATTAATATTTGCCATTAAGTACCGTGGGCTTGTTCATTTTTAGCTTAATGATCATTATTACTTCTACAAAGCATTTTCTAATAGAGCATCCTCTTTTTTTGCATTCCATTTATCTAGATTTATATTTTAAAAGTTGGAACTATGACATAATAGCTTAACTAATTCTGAAATTAAAAATTAGGACAATTAATAAAAAATAATAACCTTAATTGCCTCTAGAGAAAGAAACTTGCTAGCTGGGGGATGGGCTTAGGAGGCAATCTTGCTTTTTGCTCTATACACTTTTATATCTTTTGAATTTTTTTTTACCGTAGACATGTATGCCAAAAAATGATAATTTTATTTCAAAAGATAAATTTAAAAGATTAAATTTGAAAACAATATATTTTCTCTCTCTGGTATAAGCAATTATTTTAATATTTACAATACTATAAGGAAATAAAAATAATCTCTTATTCTCCTAAAATATTAAACAGTGTTAGGGTTATTAGATTAAGGTAATTAATTCATTCATATACTTGATTTCCCAATAGATACATAAAACAAAGAGGAAAGGAAATATTTATTTTATGCCTGAGTATTTCTGCTTATTAAAGCTTGTTGCCTAAAGCTAACACACACACATTACAATAAGAAAAGGCCTTTATAATACTTTAATAGTGATCTGACTATTCTTATTGCCCAAGTGAGAAAACTCCAGCAAAAAACAAGATTAAAGAGAACTATAGGAGGAAAAAATAAGAAGTTAAAAGATCAACAAAGGAGATATGTTTGCCTAATAGTTCAAAAAAGAACAGAGAAAGCAGAGTGGAGGAAACTATCAAACCAACATTATGAGAAAAAATTTTCAACATCTCCCCTTTCTATAAAGTGTTCATTTCCAAATGCTGAGCCTCTATTTTGGCACTGCATTCTACTTTCTCTCATTGATTAAAAAACTAGCATTCTTCCCCATAGCTCTATATCCTCATTACCTCCAACATGATTTGTTCCCTCTTACTCACCCTTTGCATTAGCATATCAACATGCTACTATTTCTCTCAGACCTCTCCAACTACTGTCCCATTTCTAAGCTCTCTTACAACAAAACCATTCAAAAGAGTTACTCTATTAACTGTCTCTAATTTCTCTCTTGCTAATCTTTCCTGAACTCATCCAATCAGGTTTCTGTCTCCAACTCTCCACCAAAACAGCTCTTACAAGGCTCACCAATGGCCTCCCTGTTGATCAATTTTACTATAACTTTTAAGTTCTTATAGTATTAATACGCAGCCCCAAAATTTCACTCCTGGGCATTTAGCTAAGAAAAAGCATGTTCACACAAAGACTTGTACACAAATATTTATAAGCTTACTCACAACAGCCCCAAACTAGAAACAACCCAAATGTCTTTTACTGGATAAACAAACTGTGGTATATCCATACCATTGGATAGTACTCAGCAACAAAGAACTATGGATACACACTTCTGGATGAATCTTCAGAGAATTATGCTAAGTAAAAAAACCAATACCAAAGCATACAGGCTGTATGATTCCACTTACCGAAATTTGTGATTCCACTGTTGAAAAAGGAGGGGTTGGGGTAAGAGTGGAGATGGGTGTGGTTATATACAAAAGGAACATAAGGAATCCTCTGGTGAGAAAAATGCTCTGTATTTTGACTGTATCAATGTCAATATCCTGATTGTGTTATTATACTATAGTTTTGGAAGTTGCTAACATTGGAGAAAACTGGGTAAAGGATCTCTCCATGTTATTTCTTATAACCACATGTGAATCAACAATTATCTCAAAATTTTAAAAAGGAAAAGGAGGTGTGTGTATGTGTGTGTGTGTGAGAGAGAGAGAGAGACCCAAAAAATTAACTTGGATTTTATTTTCTTCTGGAGAAAACTTGAAATTACACAAATGATACTGGGGAAGTGATTCACCCAGGTGATACAGTAACGGATTGATGTTCCTCTCACAGTGAGTAAACATACTTTTCATGAATCCTTGAACTTATTCAAACTCTATTTTCCAAAAAAGGATATAATAAAAAGGCTTCTACTTAAAATATTTAAAAAGGAGAATCTGCCCATCAGATATGAAGGATCCTGCCCCAACAACTGCCCAGATAGCCGTTTTACAATATTCTCATTGTCCAGGAGGGAAGCAAAAGACATAGTTTGCTTTCAAGGGCTGAAAATGAAAGCTACTTGACCCCAAAAGATCCCATGAACACAACTGGAGATCACCTCACACCACAATAAACCAAATGCAGGTACAGTGTGTCTGGATAGGCTGGCCCTTCATGGGGCAATGACTGAGGTTTGAAGAAAAAGGACTGGGCCCTAAGGTGGTACCCTGGAATTCTGTATGGAGCAACTGAGCTTATATCTGTGTTAATTATGGTTTTTATATTTTGCATTTTCTGATATTTTGACATCTCGGGTCTTGCTGATCCTGGAGATACTGCCCCTCCCAGAGCTAGCCAATTCGTAGAGACAGTAAAGGAGTCACCTCAAGTACATCTTTCCTGCCTAAACCAAAGCCAAAACCCCAACAAACTCCTTTATCTAGCTCTTACACTTCAAACCACTATCCCCCTCCTGCAATCACGCAAAGCCCAGGCATCAGGCAACTAGGGGCAGCCTTTGTACTTCACAGCCTAATTAAATTATTCAAATTACCCAATATTAAGTCTGCTTACCCTGTTTTGCCTGTGCTGTGGAAGCCACAATAAAGATTCTCGCCCACATTTTCTCCTTACTCCCTCTGACACTTGATTGGCCCCTTGTGCTTCCCCATGTGGTCCTGCATGGCATGCCCTGCCTTCAGTTTCTAGCAATCTGTGAGTATAAACTTCTTTCATGACAGTTATTTATGTGTGTGTGTGTCTTCCATACTCCATTACAACAAATGCCTAAAACATTTTAAGGAAATGTCTGACATTGAAAGAATACACTCCTCCTTAAAGTTGTATGTCTAAAAATGCTATGCTAGTCTATACTGGGAAGTGGGTCAGTGAGATATTGTTAGCAAGATTTTATATACTACAAATGACCATTTAGTCAAAGGAAATGCTATATAACAGGAAGAGGCCACAGCATCACAGGTAGTAGCAAACAGAACTTTGTTCATTGACTAAATCTATATACATTTGCCTCTGTCTTATCCAGGGTGCATAGAGCATTGATGCTCTCTGGTATTAAAAGAAAAGTCTCTAATCCCTAAGCCATTCACACAGCAGATATTACAAAATAGGGTAAAGAAAGCAAACCCCACCTTAAGATCAGTAAAACTAGCATCCACTGATGTTCCAGCTTTAAAACCCATGTACAGAAACCTCTGAGTTCATTTGAGATGATAGCATCTTTTTACCTCAGCTGTCATTCTTAACATTACTTTTTATAACAAATTATCCCACACAAGTCTAACTTTCTGTATTTGATCTATTAAGTACCTGATCTATGAAAATAGCTGGGTTTTCCTTCACTCACTTTTGCTGCATTCAGCTACATTGCCTGTTTAAAGAAACCATTCAGATTTCCTTGATGACCTGAAGGATTTGTACCAATTTACCATGTCCTCATACTCCACCGTAACACAGTGGTTCTCAATTCTGGCTGCACATTAGAATTGCTTGAAAGGCCTACAAATACAGGAATCCCAGCCCCAATCCAAATCAATTAAATCAAAATCTCTATGGGTAGAGGATAGGCATCAGTATTTTTTTAAAGTCCCAAGTGATTTCAGTGCACAATAAAAGTTCAGAACCACTGGCAGAATGAAGCACAAGTTCTCCAACTTGACAGTACCTAAGAATCAGCGGAAGATGATGATAAAAATGAAAACTCATGGATCTTCCAAATCTAGGATAGATTCTAGTATTCAGCATGCTTACCAAGCAATTGCAGGTAATTCTGATGCAGGTGAATGTGATCCTCAGATCACATCAGGGGTTCACTTCCTTAGGAATAGCTATAATGCAAAACTGAAATAAAAGAAAAAACAAAACTAGATCTAAAGATGACATGCCTTTAATTTACTGTTTATTGTAGAGACAATTTCTGCCTCTTTCTCAGTCTAAAATTGTTAATACTAATTAATATGAAAGAAGACTTATACTGCTGGCCATATGATAAACTATACATGTAAATATCTGATTCAATAGACTACATAAAATTTCTGAGTATTCAGAATAAAGTATTTTTATAAATAATTATTTAGAATACAGTGTTTTCTTATAAATGTAACTTAAGGGTAAAGTATGGAAAATATTAAGAAGTCAAAATAATTGTATTTCTGTCTTCTCTGATGGTTCCACCTCTTGCCTCAGACTCAATGTTGGAGTCCCACAGGGTTCAATGTCTTAGTCCTCTCTGTCAACACTAACTCCCCTGCTAATGTCATGCCATCCCATAGCTTTAAATATATTATCTTTGTTTATAATGCCTAACTTTATATTTAAGTCTAGTTATCTAACTTGAACTCTAGCCTCCATCTAATAGTTTTTCAAATTCAGGATGGAGAGACAAAGCAGCTACACGTCACAATAAAGAGGACAAAAAAAAAAAAAAGTGCCACACAGAGAGAGTCCTTGACATCTGCAGAGGGTGTACCTTGATTCTTCAACTGTGTATTGATCAGCATATGCACTGGAAGAAAACACCTAAAGGCAGGAAAAATGCCTGGGGTTCAGGTGGGGCTGAAAAAAATCCTGTTCACGGCAGATATTGAGACAGCCAGATGGAAAAGTCTCCCTGGCAAAACTTTAGCCAGACTACGCACTGGGAGGAATGCACACTGGGGTGGAGCCACAGAAGTTTGCGCTGTTTGCAGCCAGGTTGATCCTGGCCCCTCCTCTTCCTGGGTGGAACCTGGGATTCAGTCTGTGAGTCAGGAAGCCCACTGGCAGGAAGGACACTCTCTCACTTCACCAAGAGTCTCTGTTTCCCCTTTTTCTTTCTTTTCACCCAATAAACCCTGCCCTACTCACCCTTCAAATGGGCTGTGAGACTAAATTTTCATGGCCATCTGACAAGGACCCTGTCTTTAGAAGAGCTAATGAAAAGTCCTGCCACAATAGCACACAAAACCTCATTACTCATGAAGGGTCCAGTAGAATACTCAAAACAATTTTGCCTCAATAGTAGGGTAAAATTAGCCCAAACGAAATACTGTCCTATCCCACTTAAACTTAAAAGCAAGACCCAGAAGGATCAAAATGTTTCCTGGCAACATAGTTGCATCTGACACAAAGCTCAAGACTACTTATAAGAACAGGAATGTATCCAGCAACCAACAAGATCAAATCACTACGTCTAACCCCCAATAAAACATTACAATGTATACAAAAAGTAGAAAAATATGATCCATAATGAAAAAAGAAGTTGATCTACAAAACCCAACTCAAAAATGGTACCAATGATGTAATTAATAGACAAGGACATTAAAACAGTTATTGTAAGTATATGTCACATATTCATGAAGGTAGAGAAAGATGAATCGGATTAAGATAATATAATTTTTTGAAGACTCAAGTCAAACTTATAGATGAAAACTCAATTGGCTGAAGTGAAAAAGATATATATAGGATTAACAGCAGATTAAATATTACAGAACAAATGATTACTGAAGTTGAAGACATAGCAATGGAATCATCTGAAATGAAACACAGAAAGAAAAAGAGTGAAAAAAATGAACAAAGCATCAATTACCTATGGGATAAATTAAAGCAACATAATATGTAAGAAACTGAAGATCCCTAAATTGGAGAGGGGGCCAGAAATATTTGAAGATATGACTAAAAATTTTCCAAATTTGATGAAAGCTATAAATATATCAAAAATCTTAGTCAACTCTAAGCCCAAGGAGAATGAGGAAAACCACACCAAAGCACACTGTAATCAACTTTCTTAAAACCAGTGACAAAAAATTACAATCTTAAACATAAGAGAAAAATATATATAATACATACAGAGGGTCAAAAACAAGATGACTTCATGTCAGAAACAATGCAAACCAAAAGGGGATAGAGCAATATCTTTAAAGTACTGAAAGAAAAAATATCAACCTAAATTTCCACACTTAGTGATGAATTCTTATAGAAGAAAAGAGGGGAGCTCTTGAATAAATTACCTCAGCTTTGATCTTAAAAAGAATGACACATTAAGCTAAATTAAGAATCAGAAAGGGAATATAAAGATAAAGCAGAAACCACTGCTTTAGAAAATAAAAAATTATGAAAGAAACCAAAAGATGGCTCTTGGAGAAGATAAATAAAATTAATAAATCTCTAGCCAGAATAATCAGTGAAAAGCAAAAGAAGATACAAATTGGCAATATCAGGAATGAGAGTTGATACAGTTGCTGATGCTACCGATATTAAAAAGAATAATAAGGTAATATTATGACAGCCTTTATAGAATAAACCTAATAATTTGGATTAAATGAAGAAATTTGTTATAAGACACTGGCTGCTAATACTAACTCAAGAAGAATAGAAGTGTACCTATTAAAGACATTTAACTTGAATTTATAAACTTTCCAAAAACACAAAATCAGTTCTTAACCCGTCACTTCACTGTAAATTCTACCAAACATTAAAGGAAGGAATATTACCAATATTACACAGACCTTTCTAGAAAGTGGAAAAGGAGGGAGGACTTACCTAACTCATTTTGGAAGCCAGCATTATGCTGATACTAAAACCAGAAAAAAAAGACATTACAGAAAAATATCTCTCATGAATATGGATGCAAAAACATTTAACAAAGTATTACCAAATTGAATCCAAAATTCACAACAAGGGTAATATATCTGACCAAGTGGGGTTTATCTCAGTAATGCAAGGTTTACCATTATAATTTCAATATGTAACATTCCTTATTAACAGAATAGAAAAGGAAATATATAGACAAAAGATTTCTTAGCTTCTTCATTAAAGAAAAGATGGATCAAGTGGAACCTATCAAAATGTAAAATATCTGTTTTTAGAAAGATGCTGTTAAGGGAGTGAAAAGACAGGCCACAAACTAGGAGAAAAGATTAAAAATAATATATATGAAAAATAACTTTTATTCAGAATATATTTTTTTAAAAGAAAAACCTCTCAAATCTCAGTAATAAGTAACTAAACAATCCTCTACAACAATGGGCAAACGATTTGAATAGACATTTCACCAAAGAAGACAGAGAAATGGCAAATAAGCATGTGAAAAAATGTTCAACCTCACTCATCATTAGGGAAATGCAATTTAAGCCCACAACAAGATACAATAACACACCTGTTAAAATGTCTAAAACTAAGAAATCTGGCCACACAAATCCTTGTGCTAATGTGGAGCCCTCATCTACTGCTGGTGGAAATGGAGAGTGGTACAACCACCTTGAAAAACAATTTGGCAGTTTCTTAGAAAGTTAAACATCTAACATATGATGCAACTGTTCCACTTTGAGGTATTTTACCCAAGAAAAATGTAAGCATATGTCCATACCAAGACTTGTAGAACAATATGCATAGGAACCTTATTTGTTATAGCCCAAAAACTTAAAACAAACCAAAATATCTATCAAGAGGTAAATGGATGAACAAATTATAGTATAGCCACACAATGATATAATGACCAACATTAAAATAGAAAAAATATTGCAACATGGATGAACCTCAAATTAATTATACTGAGTGAAAGAAGCCAAACAAAGAAAGGATGTACTGTAAAAACTTTGTGTATATAAAATATTAAAAATGCCCATTGATCTTTAGTTACAAAAATGAGACTAGTGGGTAGCCTGTGGAGAAGGTGTGGAGAAGTAGGAGAAAAGGATTGTTAAAGGGCTAATGGGAACTTTTGAAAGAGAGATGTTTATTATTTTTATTTTTGTGATGGCTTCATGAGTATATACGTAGGTCAATCCTTATCTAATTATATGTTTTAAATACATTTGGTTTATTGTAGGTCAGTTATATCTCAATAAGGCAATTATAAAAAGTATGGAGTAGAAAATATAGGACAAATAGAAATAAAAAATAAGTTTATAATAAAATGTACATGATCAAAACCCACAGTAAATTGTATATGGATTAAACTCAACAATTAAAGGAATATTGATCAAAGAGAAATTAAAGGAATATTGACCAAAGAGAAATTCAGCAATATTCTATTTATTGCAGATATACTGATAAAACAAAATCATAGAAAATTTGAAAGTAGATTATTGAGAAAGCATATCGCAGGAAAACACTAAAGCTATATTAATATCTGATAAAAGAGCAAGCAAGTTTTCTTAGAAGTAAAAAGTTCAATGCATTTGATAAAATGTTTATTCCATCAAGATATAACAATTATAAAACTATGTATTGTAATAATGATTAAAGTCACATATAAAGCAAAAGTTAATAGTACCTCATAAAGAAATTTTCAAATCAACTAGGAAAATGGGGAGAATATTCACCCATTTGGCACATTAATAGACAAAACAAAGATTAAAATGATAGTAAAGATATAAAAATTTGAACAACCCAATTAAAATCTTGATCAAATGGTCATACATAGAACACAGCAATCAGTATATTCTTTTCAAACCCACATAAAACGTTTATGAAAACTAAACACTTTTTTGGCATTAAAGACTTCAGTGGATTTTACTTATTTAAAATAATGACCATATCTCAACAACAAATACAGTTCAAAACAGAAATATGACTGAAAAAACAATGGCATATACTTAGATTGACATTTGGACCCCACTGCCCAAATACACTGAATCTGAGAAATTACTCTTAGCTCCATGACTTAAGGATTCTGTGCTATTAAAAAGCAGATGATCCATGACTCAAAGACATAGTCAGAGGGAAGATGCTAGTGATACTATCTACCAGTGTTACAAAGGACTCTAAATCATCGCACAAACTAATTGAGGGTTGACAAAGTTGCCTCTTTAATTATACATATACACAGAGCGTGCATATGCATTTGAATACGTAAGTGCTCATTTAACTTTATTTTGTCTGTAGAAAAATGCTAGGAAGGAGCATGCATACTCTTACCACTTCCTAAAAATTGTTCTGAGCATTGTATCTTCTTGGAGATGGCCCTTTTAAATATAAGTTCCTATTTAAAAAAAAAAAAGTGCTTCCTAAAACACCTCTGTCTTAGTGTTACAGTAGGTTGTCAGGCAGACGTGAGCAGGGCAGGAGAGGACTTCTCCAGAAATGTCAGGCAACTATCAGGTGATGGTTAGACAGTTGTTAAACTGTCTTTCTAAAATGATAACTGGTCACCGCTGTCACCAGGGAAAGAGAGTTTCTCATTAGATAGAAAACATCTGAAGCTGTTGATCGGCAGCTTTATGATAAGATCTTAGGAGTTGGGCAAGTGGGGTCAAGCATGTACATTAAGGGGCAAAATGGCAGAAGGCTCAACTGGTAAGGGAAAAACACCTCATGTAAGCACAAGCACAACGTCAGTAAACACACTACGCATGTGGCCCCTCCCAAGTGCTGACAGGCCGCTGAGCATGTGGACAGCCTGCCACAAGGGAAGAATCAAGGGAGAAGGCACGCAAACCCCGGAACCATGCCAATGTATAAACGCCAACTCAAGGGCCGAACAGGGCAGGGCACTTGACTCTCTCAAGCCACTCACTTGGCTCTCTTCCAAGTGTCCTTTACTCCCTTTTGCTCCTGCTCTAAGACTTTTTAATAAACTTTCACTCCTGCTCTAAAACTTGCCTGAGTCTCTCCCTCTGCCTTACACCTACTTCTGCCCCTCAGCTGAATTATTTCCTCTGAGGAAGCAAGGATGGAGTTTGCAGCAGACTCTTACAGATTCACTGCCAATAACATTAGAGATTCACAATGCATTTTAAAATATTAAAAGTTTTGAAGTAGAGTGGTGGTTATGAGACAGTAGGTAGAGTAGTGGGAAAGGGGGGATAAGAAGGGGTTGGTTAATAGGTACAAGAATACAGTTAGGTAGGAGGAATAAGATCTAGTGTTTCAGCTGGGTGCAGTGGCTCATGCCTGTAATCCCAGCACCTTGGGAGGCCGAGACAGGAGGATGACTTGAGGTCAGGAGTTCAAGACTAGCCTGACCAACATGGTGAGACCCTGTCTCTACTAAAAATACAAAAATTAGCTGAGTGTGGTGTCATGCATCTTTAATCCCAGCTACTCAGGAGGCTGAGTCAGGAGAATCGCTTGAACCCAGGAGGCGGACGTTGCGGTAAGCTGAGATCATGCCAGCAGTGGGTGCCCACTCCAGCCTGTGTGACAGAGAGAGACTCTATCTCAAAAAATCTAGTGTTTGGTGGCACAATAGGGTGATATAGTTAACAATCATTTATTGTATATTTCAAAGTAACTAGAAGAATGAAACTGAAATATTCCTAACACAAAGAAACGATCAATTCTAATTATCCTAATTATCCTGATTTGATCATTACATATTGTGTGCTTGCATCAAAATATTGTTGCAGGATTCTTCCTTAGTTCAGCTAAAAACAGGGTCCTTTTTCATTCCACAGCCATGAAAATTTATACTTGCAGATGGTTTGAAGGGTGAGTAAAGCAGGGTTTTATTGGGCGAAAAGGGGGGGGAAAAAAGAGGAAACAGGCGTCCTCCTCAAGGCCAGAGTTCATCTAGAGTGCTTTGTGCCTTGCAGCTTGAATCCCTGGTTCCACCAGGGAAGAGGAGGGGCCAGGCTCCTCCCGGCTGCAAACAGTGCAAACTTCCCAAGGCTCCACTCCAGTGTGCAGGCTGGTTGGAGTTTTTCCTGGTACCCCCTCCCACCTGGCTGTCTCAATATCACACATATCCCATTAATATGGAGAACTATTACATATCCATTAAAAATTAAATTTTTTTTAAAAAGGAAGTACAAAAAAAGTTCTAGGAAGACCTACGTTTAACTTTGTTTAAACTAGAATTCCCTAATATCAGACCACAGAGCATATTGTTCGTGTAATATCTATTCTATTTGGCTAACTTAGTATTCTTAGGACCACATTGTGAAAAACCATGTTTTAGAATTCCTATCTGTATTTGGATTGATTGCAATTAAAATCGTATTTTTTTGCCCCTAAAAACAAGCTAGCCTTGGTCAACTCATATTTCTGATAGGTTTCCCAGTAGTCTCCTGGCTTTCAGGGAAACAAAGTCTGAAACAAAGAAAGGAGAAAGGAGGAAATTAGGGGAAATACCGTACTAACAGAACATTTACTAACATTTCATTCTTCCAAGACTAGTTCAACTGCATTATTTCAGTTTCATGCTATAATTACCGAACATTATTATTCATCTCTGAAAATGTATTCATCAGGAAGAGGTTTCAGCAATAATACCATTTTAAATCCTGACTTGGGTAGATGGGAGCTAGAATGTATTCAACGCTAGACTACGCATTTCAGCCCCATTTCACTGCTATTTGCATTCCGGATGTAACCGGCTGTTTTTTCACATTTTATTGAAAAGATTGCTAAAAAATTAAGCTAGCATTTTTTAATATAATGTGCCACTTTGTACTGTATTATAATAAGATTATCTTAAATATCTCAAAATTTCCACTGTCAGGTCTCCACTATAAATCTAGAGGAGAATCCTTACCTGATATAAAACAAAAAGCAAAAGTAAGTTGACACAAATAAATTTTTCCACTCTAAGAAACCTGGTGGTCTCAAGTGGGTAGAAGCCTAGCGGAATAGCAGTTGAATTAGCAAGGCCCTGTCTCGAAGTTTTGTGATAACCATTTGGATTTTTTAAAACAAACACACACAAAAAATGTTTATTTTAGAACACTAAGAACAGAGTGATGAAGACAGGGAGTGGAAGCAATGAGCTGCACAAGTTACATCCGAGAAAGGCCCGGGACTGGGGAAGAGATGATTGTAAATAGTTGTCATGTGAAAAAAGGGCAGCCTGGTAGGAGCCCATTGAATGTTAAAATGACTTGAACTGAAAGTGGCAGGTTTACCACTGACAACTCTGTGGTCTTGGACAGATCACTTAACTTCTGAGACTTAGGTTCCTCATTCATAACACAAACGTAAAGAAGAGAATACTACTCTAAGAAATTACAAGTGCTGGAAACTTTATATTTTATTTCATTTATTCCCATCTAGTTTCATTCTCACAACAGAGCTGTAATATAGAGATTATCTCCACTATGAAATGTGAAAATGGAACTGAAAATAAAATAATTTACCCAAGATGTCAGTGTTACTAAGCAGCGGAGGTAATATTCAAACCTTCAACTATCATTACTGTCTAGACCAAGGCTCAGCAAGTTGTGTCCCATAAGCTAAACCTGGCCATTGTTTTCATATGACTCATGAGTTAAGGAAAGTTGAAAAAAATCATAATATTTCATGAATCAGGAAAAATTATCTGAAATTCAAAAGTGAGTGTCCATAAATAACATTTTTTTGAAATATATTACTGTTCATCCATTTATGTATTGACTATGGCTGCTTTCATGCTACGACAGCAGAATTGAGTAATTTATAGAGACTTTATGGCAACCTCAAATAATTAGGCTGACTCTAGGCACACTGCCTATAGGTTAGCCCTGCTCCACAAGGAGAAAAAAAAATTGCTATTTAGTCCTTTACAGAAAAAGTTAGCCAAGCCTTCCTCTTGACTACATTACAGGGTATTGATACAAGTATCAGATGAGATGATATAAGCATAAATTTTACAATCTATAAGGCGCAATACAAATTGGAAGAATAAGCAGGGAATGAGTAATAAGCAGAGAATAGTAACATACAAAAACCAGACAACAGTAACAACAAAAAAGAAATTGTAAAAGAAAAATACCATAAACAGAAAAATTCTTTGTGCCGTGCAGTAAAACTTATTTTTGATTAATAGAATGCTTAGGCAACAGACTATTTTCTGAAGATTGGGTTGACTCTGTTACATGCCAGTCAATGAGGTACCACTATGAGGAAATCTTGCTAAACAATTGCTGCCTAGAAAGCACAATATACTAAAGGTAATTTAATCATCCTTTAAACAAAGAAAATTTTGCATTGGCTTAATGATTCTGAACTTCACCTTGTGTTCTCTCAATGAGCTGGTTTAGAAAGGTTAAAAACTACTCCCATCCTTTTGTGATCTGAGAAATGGCCCTTACATATTCTGCGAGAAGTATAACTCCTACTGTTTCTCAATGAATTAGATAAGATCCACCTCCCCACTCCCTCAATGACTCCCTTGTTTTATAAAACCCCTTTCTCCCTCTTAAGAGATGCTCCTAACCAAAACCACTTTAACATTCCTCTCAGTTTGATTTAATTTTAGGCAAGTTTCTACCTTACTATAGGCCCCTGACCTCCCTTTGCTTAGAGCATTTGTTTTAGAATACTTGCAATTATAAAAATGTTTCTGTGTCTCTTGGAGATATAAATCTTCTCTCAGCCTCTTGCCTATTTTACAACCCAAGTCTTTTTCAAAGAGCTGTGAACCACTCCTTTGAAACGTAATTATCAATAAAGATGCACTCATATCTCCCGTCTCTGTGAAAGGGTAGGAGCCTATCTTAGATAAGTGTCAATTAGCAAACACAAATGCCTGATCACATTGATCAACTTCCCTCTAAGGTTATCCAGCACTTTTCCACTAGCTCTCAGTCCACCACCTAAGAACTCAGCCTTTCTCCCCTATTTCAGTAGTCTTGAACAAAGTCTTTCTTGCCTATTTAATTCCAACCAGTAAATTTCTCTTTAACATTTCTCATCAATGAATATTCTTCTTATTGCAATAGCTTGAATAAAGCCATCTTGTTAGCTGTCCGATCAAAGTATTTGGTCTTTCACAACTTCAAGGTCATCATTATGAAAAGAAATTTTTATTGTACAAAATTGTGGATATAGATTTGAAGAGGCATAAAAAATAGAAGCATATCTGCACTTATCCAAAAATAAATCTTAAAAGTTGCTATTTTTAAAAATGAAAACCTAGAATATTATTTTTTTCTCTTGCTATCTGTTCCTTCTACCTATAGCTGAGTACTTTAATTCTGTTGTATTTTCAGCATCCTTTCTGTAATGAAGTTTTGCTGGACTTCAATAAGCCTCTAGTCTCTGGGATTAGTGTAAAAGTAGAAACCTTTCCCTACAGTAGTCTGGATGACAAAATTTGGGACAAATGCCAAAAATTCTAATAGCTCCATTTGCTTAAATCACATTTCCTATTCATATGTTAGAGACCCCCTTCAATTATTGAAATTCCTTTTTACAACAGAGGATAATGAAGTCCTCCATGAAATGTCAGGAATAGATGCAAATTAGGCTATTGTTAGACACACTTTTTTCTCTTTTAAAAAGGACAAAAGGGTGCTTTCCGTTAACACCTGAGTGGATTGAATTCTCTTCCTCTTGGGCAAAGTTAATTAACATGAACACTGTCCTCTGTATAATCAGTTGAAAGGTTAACAGTTTTCTCCTTAGCATTTTAATAAATGACAAGTTAATGAAGTGTTGGCCACCTTCCTCTACCATCTTATCATTATATTCGGTTGAAAGATGCTTGAGAAAAAAAAATAGCTAACATTTATTTCTGGGCATTTCTTGTACTTGCCATTAGACTGGAAACCAGTCACCATATACTGCAGCAATTAGCAGAACAGAAAATGAATCCATTTCATGCTAGTTTAATCAGATAACAATTGTAAACCAAAACTAAAAATCTAAATCCACCCAGTCATCTGAATGGGCCTCTTTCCTCCATCAAGGTCATTCCGAAGTTAACCTGAAAAACTAGTTGAGGCCATGATGGGAAGGGAGAGTCACACACGCCTCATTACAGCCTCCTTTCTTTTGGAATTCAGGCACTGCAGAACAAACATTAACATAAACACAGACTTTGATTAATAGCACAGACTCTTTAAGTCTTGCAAGAAACATTTACAGTCTATTCTCTCTGAAGCCTGCTACCCGGAGGCTTCATCTGCATGATAACTGTAACCCAGACATTCCTTTCTACTGGTTCCAGGTTTCTAGAGAATGAGTCTTTCAAACAATTGCCAATCAGAAAACCTTTGAATCCGCCTATGACCTGGAAGCCCCCACTTGCAGTTGTCCCACCTTTCTGGACCAATCCAATGTACATCTTACATGAATTGATTTATGTCTTATGTCTCCCTAAAATGTATGAAATCCAGTTGTAGCCTAACCACCTTGGGCACATATTCTTAGGAATTCCTGGGAGCTGTGTCATGGGTCACTGGTCACTCATATTTGGCTCAGAATAAGTCTCTTCAAATATTTTACAGGGTTTGACTCTTCATCGATACAGTTCATAATATTGACAACTCAACATTACCTTTCTGTTCAGCTGTGCTTGCCTTCAGTTTAAAATTTCTTTTGTAAATTTCCCTTCTGCTATTCTGACATTTTATATCTGTGCAAACAGTCCTCAGAAGAAATGGAGCTGTCTCAAAACCCAACTCTCTGAACTAAAAGACTATTGTTTCCTAAATGACCCTATTTTTATTTTTCCAAAGATTTTAACTAATGCACCTTATTTGCCTGGCTTGTTTCCCTTTATGTTATATAAGGTTATTCAGAGGGTAAAAAAAAAGTTTTAAATTATCTGGATATGATAAGAAAACTCTGCACCTCCTACCTCTGCTACAAAAATATATTCTCAGAATCTAATGACTCATTTCTGAGATACGAATATTTTCTGCCAACAGTTTTGCCATACTTTAATTTTATTAAAATGTCTGTAGGTATAAACTTTTAATCGGTCACCTTGAAAGTCGGTTGTTGAACTTTGCTTTTGAGGAGAAGTGACTTGTTGATTGAAACCAAATGACAACACACACATACACACTTCATTTCTTGTTATTTCTATGTCAACATAAATAAAGATAAGTTCATCATAAAGGATAGATAGGTTGCTGGGGTTTTGGTGGTGAATTAACTAATGGTCCACATACAATTAGAAGTAATATTTACAGCTATTTTATCTGCAAACAGTTTTATATAACATATAATGCATAATAACAACTATGATGATCCTCTGTTCAACAGTCCCCAAGGGAAACCCATTAGCTTAACTTCATCCTAATTACAAGGACTAGAGAGATATATCTCTAGGATATATACATTACAGCACTTATCCTTAGCAAGTTCATTAATGCCAATATTTTAAAATTTATACTTTATTAGATTATCATACTCGGTTCCACTGTGAAAAATGGAGTGGTCATTCTACATTGACACTTTCCTGTTTTTTCACTGTGAATTAGTGAAGTCAAACTAGAAATGGATTTGAGTCTTTACTTTGCACTTTCAGACTTTAACCCATCTAAATCTTAATTTCCTTAACTGTAAAAGGAAGAAAATAATAATGCCCATTCCATAGAGTTGTAAAGATTTACTTTGCACAACAAATATTTATTGAGCACTTCCGTGTTCCAGACATGGTGCAAGGAGCTGTGTGTACAACAGTTAACATACCTAAAGAGAATCCCTGACTTCTTGAAGCCTGAAATCTAGAAGGAGGGTCAGACATTAGGGAAATGGTTATACAAGAAAATATAAAACTATAAAGTTGGTGAGTGTTATGACACCCTGTATTAGATGGCTTTTACCTAATGAGGATCCCCTAAAGAAGTGATGTTTGAGCTGAGATAATTTGTATGAGTAGGCCTTAACAATACAGGGGCTAGGAGGAAACAGGATGTGTAAAAGCCCTGTGGCAGGAAGGAACTTAGAAGGATGTTAGACATAGAAGAAAAACAAGGTACTTGAAGTAAAGGAAGTAAGAGAGAGCATAGTGTGAAATGAGGCTGATAGTTAAAGCCTTACCAAAAAGGGCGTTTTACGCCTTACCAAGAAGTGTTATGCTAAATGGAATGGAAAACCATTAACGAGGAAAGATTATTCTGTTAGTAACATGGAAAATAGGTTGAAGAGTATCCAGGCTAGACTTGAATAGATGTGTTGGGAGGCCACAGCAGAAATCTACTCAAGAAATAATAGAAACTTGTACTAGCATGGTTTTGGCAAAGATAGATAATGCAGATGAACTGGAGAGGTATTTAGGAGGTAAAATGGAAAAAACCTTATGATAGCCTTGACAGAGAGTATGAGACAGCGAACTCCAACATTCTGGCTAGCTACTTAGATTCTGACTATATCTGTGACACAGAGATACTACAAAAGGCCAGGTTAGGAGACAAAAAGATGAACTGAGCTTTGATAGGTTAAGTTTGAGATTCCTTTGTTAAATTCAAACATGTTGATTAGACAATTGTTTATATAAGCGGGAGTTGGTTGGCTATAGAAAGGCTTGGGTGGTACATGTGTACTGTGTTCTTTAAAATAATAAAAGAAGCATTGAGCGTGACTGAAGCCATGCCCGCAGACAATCTGGAGTTAGAATACAGAGGGCCAAGACTGAGGTTTAAGTAATTCTAATATTTAATGGCCTGATGGAAGAGGATAAGCCTACAAAAATGTCAAAAAAGAATGTCACATCCTGGCTAACACGGTGAAACCTCGTCTCTACTAAAAATACAAAAAATTAGCTGGGTGTGGTGGTGGGTGCCTGTAGTCCCAGCTACTCGGGAGGCTGAGGCAGGAGAATGGCGTGAACCCAGGAGGCGGAGCTTGCAGTGAGCAGAGATTGCGCCACTGCACTCCAGCCTGGATGACAGAGCGAGACTCCATCTCAAAAAATAAATAAATAAATAAATAAATAAATAGAATGTGAGAGCAACAGATGAAAGTAAGCAGTGTCGTGCCATGAAAATCAGTTGAGAACAGTATTTTGGGAAGAAGAGATTTACCAAAAGGGCTAACTGCTCCTAAAAAGTCAAGTAACATAAACAATGCAAAAATGCTTGTTGGTTTTAGAAACAAGAAAATCATTGGCTAGGAAAGAGTAGGAGGTAAAGAAATGAATATAGCACACATAGATATTCGCTGGAAAAAAAATTGACTTTCAGAGAGAAAGAGAGTAAAGGTAACAATTGATGAAGAATAAGAGGTTGTTTTTATTTTTGTTTTTTTAAGAGACAAGGTCTCATTCTGTCATTCAGGTAATGCAGTGGCATAATCATAGCTCACTGCAGCCTCAATCTCCTGGGCTCAAGAGATCCTCCCATTTCAGCCTCCCAAGTGAGTAGCTATAACTACAGGCATGCACCACCATGCCAAGCTAATATGTTTTGTTTTTAATGGGAGATACTTGACCATGTAAGAAGCATTGGGATAAACACAGTTAAGGGGGTAAGAATGAATCTATAAGAAAGAATGGATGTAAATCCTGCAGAAATTGTGATAAAGCAGAAAGAAATGGAATATCGGTGCAGAGATTAGCTTCTGAAAAGTAAATTAAGTGACATAAGCAAGTGATGTTTTTCACAATGCCTAGCACATTCAATGGTAGCTATTTTATCAGGGAGGATACTTTTGGTTGCAACTAATCAAAAACAGCTCAAACTGGTTTCAACAACAAAAGAAATTTATTAGTACACATTACTAAAAATACAGAGTAAACAGGCGTCACGCACATTTTAAAATCAGAGTTCCAGGTCCATTTTCTCTGTGATTTTCTTGGTTCTGCCTGTTATCAAATATGAGGTGTGTCAACCCATAAACCATCTCTTAGTGCTGTCTCATCAGGGCCTTCACTCTGATTGGTTCAACTTAGGTTACCTACCCTTTCCTGAAACAATCACTGTGGGCAGGAGATTATTTTAAACTGTGGCAAAAAGAGGATTCATTATGCTAATAGGCTGGTACCAGGCAGGGTTTAGACATGGGACCAATCTTATCTGAATATCATGGTTGTTGTACAATGAATGGGGTGCTGAAATGGAAGCTGGTAAGATAACCAAAGCTGTCTACAATACCCCATGTAATGAACTATCATGATGGTGACAGGATTTCTCACAATAGTGATACATCATCAAACTTGCTTTCCTCCCCATTTTTCTCTTTAGGACAGACTGGAGAAAAAGAAACTCTTCTCAGTTGACTGGGATGACTAGAGGCTGGTAATGACAAGGGGCTGAAGTTTTCACTACCATGAGTTGTCACATCTAATGGACTTGACAGCCGGAGTGTTTTTAAACACTAAAGTTAGTATTTGCAACTTAAGGTTTTCCCATAAAACCTCATGGAAATGTAATGCAATGCAAATACTGCATATATTTTTGGTGGTTTCTTTCTCTTATAAACTTGATAATAATTAGATTCCCTGGGCAGTCAATTCAGTTCTTGTTGTTTTAAGGAGAGTGTATTAGCTCCTGTAACAGTTTCTGTTACAAGAGTTATAAGAAATAGAACATAAGTAATCAAGATAGAAAAAAGTTCTAATAGAGTACAACTTCTGCACTGATTACACATTGAGTAAATATTCTCATTCTGGTCCTTGTGTAGTAGTTTTACTATGTTTGCTATTGTTTTCATATTCCAACCAATTTTAAGGGTCCTATCAAAAAATCCCTTGAGGCTGTAGTTTAACACTGAAAAAGGGTTTTCATATGTTCCCTGAATATGGTCAGTCAATCATTTCATTATGTTTTTTGTCATGAACACTTCCTTAAGCTATAAGGACTCATGAATGTTTTAGAAGAACAACATTTCAATTTCTATCTATTCTCAGACATTGCTTGTTTCTATTCTTCTTTAATATTTGCTCTACATGAACATCAATTTTCTGTTTCTCCAGCCTAGCTGGGTGTTTCTCAACTCTGCTGCATCTTAGACTCATGTGGAAAATTTTATCCCAAAGAAGGGAAAGAGGGCAGTGGACAGGAGGAGAGAAGAGAAAAAGAAAACACCAATGCTTGGATCCCACTCCTGGGAGACTAATTTAATGATCTGGGGTAAGACACAGGAATGATTGATTCTACTGTGCAGCCAACAGTGAGAATCACTGCCCCAGTTCTCCAAAGACTCTGCTCATGCATTGTATTTTTAGACTTGGACTTTTGCTAGTCATTTGTATTTACCCTTATTCTTACTTCTCTTACCCTTTGAAATATATTTTGACAGAAGAATAAATCCTCAGATCCTTGCCCATGTGCTCACTTGGCTCCAGAGCCTATAACCGAGTGACATCTAAAAACAGAGTTATCCAAGTAAGAGATTCTTAACTGCCTCTGACATTTATATTTACAAATAATAAATATACCCGACAATAATGCAACAGTCTGTAGTAGTGGTGTTTTTATGGCCCATTTATAATTATCACAGAAAATAAGTAATTCTAATAATTCTAGTAATTCTATAAATTGATCTTCATACTTAAATTTTATTTTGATTCCAGGAAAAAGGAGAACTATATAAAATTAAATAAAATAATTTCCATTGAAACAAAAAGGCTTTAAGCTGCTTTCATTAGGCCCAAATAGGGTACCACAAATAGATCAAATGCCTACATTAGGATAAAGTCAATTCCTAATAATCAACATTAAACATTAAAGTCTGTTTCTAATAACGAAGAATTTTAAGAAGTGCTAGGGAAGCAGAGGCCAGAATGTATAAATTTAAAAGGTGCATTGGATTTAGGATTGTTAATATAGAATTCAAATAGAATTATAACTGCCCAATAGTTTCTCCTTGCCCACTGCCCAGACAGACCCAATTTATCAAGACAGGGAAATTTAGATAGAGAAAGAGTTCAATTTATGCAGAGCTGGCTGAATGGGAGACTAGAGTTTTATTATTATTCAAATCAGCCTCCCCCAAAATTCAGAGTATAATTCCTAAATATAATTTGATGGGTAGGGGGCAAGGGAGTGGAGAGTGCTGATTGGTCATGTCAGAGATGAAATCATAGGGGGCAGAAGTGGGTTTTTCTTGCTGTCTTCTGTTCCTAGGTAGGAGAGTAGAATTAGTTGAGCCAGTTTACCAGTCTGGGTGATGCCAGCTGATCCATCAAGTATAGAGTCTGAAAAATATCTCCAGCACCAATGTTAGGTTTTATAATAGTGATGTTATCTGTAGGAGTAATTGGAGAGGTTGGGAGTGTTGCAGTCTCTGACTGCATAACTCCTAAACCATAATATCTAATCTTATGCCTAATTTGTGTCTTACAAAGGCAGTATTATCCCCAGGCAAGAAGGAGTTTTGTTTGGGAAAGAGATGTTATTATCTTTGTTTTAAAGTTAAACTGTTACAGTAGGTAGTCAGGCAGACATGAGCAGGGCAGGAGCAGGAGGGCTCCCCCTCCCCTGGCACCAGGAACATCAGGTGACCATCAGGTGATGATCAGGCAGTTGTTAAGGTATCTCTCTACAATAATAATTGGTCACACCCAGCACCAGGGAAAGGCAGTCTCCCGATAGATAGAAAAACCAGAAACTGGTAATCAGCTTCCTTATAAGATCTCAGGAGTTGGGTGAGTGGGCTCAAGCATGTGCACCTAAGAGGCAAAATGGTGGAGTTCAACTGGTATATGACCTTATAGGAACACTCAACTGGTAAGGGAAGAACGCCTCAATTGAGCATGTGTACAACTCCAGTAAACACACTGTGCCTGCAGCCCCTCCCAACTGCTGGCAGACCACTCTACATGCAGACAGCTCACCCCAAGGAGAGAATCAGGGGAGAAGAGACACAACCGCCTGAAAGCATGCCAACATATTCCCCAAGTCAAAAGGTTCAAACCATACACTTGATTCTCTCAAGTTGCTTGCTTGGCCTTCTTTCAAGTGTACTTTACTTCCCTCCATCCTTGCCCTAAAACTTTTTACTAAACTTTCACTCCATAGGCTGGGCACATGGTAAACATTCCACTTTGGCTCAATGTCAGATTGATCAATGAAAGTTAATTGATCAATTAACTAAGATGTTAGTCTCTTTGCCTTCAAGTACTATAAGGGAAAATACAACATAAAAGTAAGAAGTTTAATGCTCCCTGTTGAAAATAAAGAAAGAGAACAAACCCCCACCCTTTTCTTAGGATACTTCCTTTACAAAACTTGTACATTCTCTCTTTGTCTCTTTGAAATGTAAGTCTCTTTCAAAAGTTAAATTAACCTCTTGCCAGCTTTACAACACAGGAATGTATTTCTCAAGAACCTGAGAACCATCTCTTTGAAATGCAATTATCCAAAAAGCTAGCACTCCTATCTTCCAGTTTTTGTGACACGGTATAAACCTAACTTCATTGGCTGCCTTGCTCCAAAACTACCTCCTTTCAGAAAAATATGAGTTTTTTTCCTTTAAGCAAAATTAATAAGCTAATGCAGATGTTCACTCTACCAGATAAAGTTCAAATGAACCATATGTGACAAATGGTGCTCTGAAGTCCTCTTACTTGAGGACTAGTTATTGTTTATCTTGAGAACATGTATGTAATGGGCTGTATCTACTTGGCTGGAGAAGGGGCTGAGATTTCTTTCTGTCTTCTTGATCACTTAAATGAATTGCATGATGTATGTTATATTCTGGCTTATTAATAATTCTGGTTATTTCATAATAAAATTGTTTTCTTTCTCTTCTGCCTTTGGGGAGAGGTTTTTCTGGGTTGGGAGAAGATTTTGTTTTTAGTCAGTTTCCCCACATCAGTCCCCCTGTGGTGCCTCCTGTACCCAGCCATAGTGAAGGGAGCTGCCCTGTGAGTAGGGGCAAGAGTTTATTTCAAGAGCTCTTATGCTACATGAGTCGCTGGCTCTCATTAGAGGTCTGGCTGCTAACTAAGAATACATAGTCATCCTTCAGTATATTCAGGGGATTGGCTCCAGGACCCCCAAGAATACCAACATTCAAGGATGCTCAAAGCCTAGTATTTGCATATATCCTACACATTCCTGTATACTTTCAATCATCTCTAGATTATTGATAATACTTAATACAATGTAATTGCTATGTAATTGTTATACTGTATGGTTTTATTTGTAATATGTTTATTACTGTATTGTTAGCTTTTTATTTTTTTCTTAGATATTTTCTATTTACAGTTCATTAAATCTCCAGAGGCAGAACCTGTGGATACAGAAAGTCTACTTACACTTCAATTGGTGTTATCTACAGCTGCTCCTTGATTACATTAAGTTTCTGAGCCCTCATCTGAGAAAACTTAGATTATCATAGGGAATAATGGAGTCTTTCATTCAGTCTTTCAACAAGTCTGGCATATTTATTGAATGTAAATGCTCTAGACAACTGTCCAGGTACTAGAGATAAAATAGTGAATAAAGCAAAGCCTTTGTGTTTAAGAAGTTTGCATTATTCTAAGGAATGAAAGGCAATAAAGAACTAAATATCTTGTTTTTCACATTTTAATATTTTTAAAATTGGGATGGCATGGCTGTAATAATCCTGATTATTAGCCAGGCAACAGGAATGAGGTAGTTGTCATTGCCTGCACATATGCCAACTTGGTCATATCTGTTCACACTGCCATTATGCCAGTTGAATCATGTGTAGTGCTAATACATGTTCTATTTAATTGCTATGTAAAGTGCCTTTTTTATAAGAATACACTAACACACTTGAATTGTCTTTGAAGTGAGAAGTTATTGTATAGGCCAAAAAGCCTGGAAATAAAGCTGCAAGGAACACATTTGAAGTAGTAAAGAAAATAGTCATCATTGTAAGTGTAACCATAATTCCATATTTTCTTTTCGTTAAATGATAAGCCAAGTGCTTCATGGACTCCAATAAAGGAAAATTACCTCCCTCACAGCTTAGCAGGGCTACTAAGCCATTAGCTCCAGCAGCTGATAGGTTGCAAGCTGAAATATCCTTTGGCAATACCTAGAACCTTCCTTAAGTGACCTTCCTCTGTCCCTTCATTCATCTTACTACCGGAAAGAGAAATGATGCCAACTTGGATTATGAAGGAGGCCACAAACAGCAGAATAACCCAGACCCTGACATCACAGAGCCATTGACAATCTACTAGAAATTTCATGTGAGAAAAATAAACTTCTATCGAGTTTAAGCTACTGTTAGTTGGAGTTTTTTGCCAATTGCCATCGAATCTAATTCTAACCAGAATAGGAGGATAAAATGAGGCAATAGTATATGCAAAGGTCCTAAGGCAATGTTTCTAGAATCAAAAGACCATTGCAGTTTAAAATTAGCAAACAGGGGAAGAATGCCATGACACTGGAGATTATAACTAGAATCCTGACCGCCAAGATAAGAAGGGAATGAGAAATCCCAGAACGACTGGGAAGGGGATAGAGTCCATTGTACTTAATATAAATTCACTCTGGATATCCTGTTGGAAACAGGCAGAGAAGGAGGCAAGAGGGTATACAGGAAATCCATTAGGAGGCTACTGCAGGAATCAAAGTAAGAAATGACTGGGCACATATTAAGGTGGGGACAAAGGATATGGAGGAGAGTGAATGGATTTGAAATGGGCAAGTTTCTTATCCTCTCAGAGTCTCAATTTTCTCTGCTGTAAGATTGAGATATTAATACACTCTTCCTTAAAACATATGTTAACCAAAAATAAAATTCTAAGCCTCCCAACTGACAGGCCAAGAGGAGCCAACAATGAGACTCATTATACTCATTATACGCACCTCATTATACTCACCTCTCTTTGGAGTTCAGGCATACTACTGACCACCATTAACATTAAAATAGAGATCCTAAGACCGACAGAAGAGACTCTATAACCATAAGATACCAAATTCCAACCTGACTCTGGTATAGCATAACATGACAGACAGCCGGGTACTTAAAGAAACATATATTTTGAAATGGTCCTGCAAAGCTGTCTCTTGGAGGTGAAATTTTGCATTCTGTAAAGAATCTCCTTCCTTTACTAGGTCTCTCTAGCAGTCTGACACCTTCAATAAGAGACAGTCACATCTATTCTTTCTGAAGACAACTACCTGGAGGATTCATCTACGTGACAAGAACCTTGGCTTCCACAACAACCCCCTTACCTTATCTCAAGCTGATTTCAACTCTTCAGGCAGAGCTTAACCCTTTCAACCAATTGCCAATCAGGAAATCTTTGAATCCACCCATGACTTGTAAGTTCCCCCACTTGCAGTTGCCCAACCTTTCTGCACTGAACCAATGCATATCTCACATATTGATATGTCTTATGTCTCCCTAAAACACATAAAACCAAGCTGTAACCCAACTACCTTGGGCATGTGTGCTCAAGGCTGTGGTCATGGATCATGATCCTTAATCTTTGCAAAATAAACTTTTAAATTCATTGAGACCTGTCTCAGGCACCTTTTGCTTTGTGCGTATCTGTGAGGATTAAATTAGATAATAACACATGTAAGATGATTATAAGCATCCTTGGCACAGAGAAAGAGACCAATAAATGCTAGCTACTGCCATTGTTATTATAATGACCACCTTGGAAGCAGAAATTATAGGACTTGCTGATGGCTTTTATTAAACATATAATCTGTGTGCTGGGCACTATTCTCTTCACCAGAGGTTGTGCAAAGCCTGATCAATTAGCTATAGTCTAGTTAAGCCCATTTGTTTTACTTGTGTCATAGCTTCTGAGTGTATATTCAGCTATTTATTGACATGTTTGCTACATTCATTTTTTTCAAACATAGCAGTTATGCAATTTATTTCTCAACTGTCAGAACCAAGAGCTGATATACTTATTTATCTAAATCTATTTAAATCTGTTCTGAATCTCTACACTGTTGACCAGCACAAAATTCAGTTTATTTTCCTCTGGAGGGACCTTCTCTAATGTTATGTAAGAGCTTCAGGGACTTATTTATTCCAAAACATTTACAAGGATTCCTCATCAATTTACATTTGACCACCTCTATGGTCACTGTAAAGCAGGGAGTGCTTCTGTTTAGTTGGGCATTTTAGGCACCATGATCTTTGCCAAGTAGTGGAGTCAGGTCCCTGGTAAGCAGCTTTCAATGCCCTCCGAGGTTCTACTACCTCCCTGTGATGCTGAATAAAAGCACAGAACTGAACCCCACAAGTCAGGTATCCCATATAATTTGATAATATCCCAGATTCTGAGGGTGAATTACCTATTGGCATCCCTTTTTATCTCCTCTATTATAAGCATGACAATCTCTTTCCTCAGAGAGTTTACAACAGAGCTCTGAGAACCCAATGGAAGTAATATTGGATAATTACGTAATGCTATGTTGAATAGAAAATGAAAGTACCGTAACAAACACATCTGGCAGATATCTGGCTTTTAGAGTTTTGAATCTCCTAAAAATATAGATTGTGCCTTATGAAAACAACGAATAGAAAAGAGCTTCCCCTGACACTTGGCCAAAGATTTTCCTAAAATATGCATCCATTTTTTCCATAAGTTATTGGGGCACAGGTGGTATTTGGTTACATGAGTAAGTTCTTTAGTGGTGATTTGTGAGATCCTGTTGCACCCATCACCTGAGCAGTATACACTGCACCGTATTTGTTGTCTTTCATCCTTTGCCCCCTCCCACTATCCCCCTCAAGTCCCCAAAGTCCATTGTATCATTCTTATGCCTTTGCGTCCTCATAGCTTAGCTCCCACATATCAGTGAGAACATACAATGTTTGGTTTTTCATTCCTGAGTTACTTCACTTAGAATAATAGTCTCCAGTCCTATCCAGGTCATTGCAAATGCTGTTAATTCATTCCTTTTTATGGCTGAGTAGTATTACATTGTGTATATGTGTATATATATATGTGTATATATATGTATATATATGTGTATATATGTATATATGTGTATATATATGTATATATGTATATATATGTATATATGTGTATATATGTATATATGTATATATATGTGTGTGTATATATATGTATATATATGTGTGTGTATATATATATGTATATATATGTGTGTGTATATATATATATGTATATATATGTGTGTGTGTATATATATATATGTACACCACAGTTTCTTTATCCACTCTTTGATTGGTGGACATTTGGGTTGGTTCCATGATTTTGCAATTGTGAATTGTGCTGCTATAAATATGCATGTTCAAGTATCTTTTTCAAATAATGACTTGTTTTCCTCTGGGTAGATACCCAGCAGTGGGATTGCTGGATCAAGTGGTAGTTCTACTTTTAGTTCTTTGAGGAATCTCCACACTCTTTTCCATAGCAGCTGTACTAGTTTACATTTCCACCAGGGGTGTAGAAGTGTTCCCTGATCGTCACATCCATACCAACATCTACTGTTTTTTGATTTTTTGATAACGGCCACTGTTACAGGAGTAAGATGGTATCGCATTGTGGTTTTGATTTGCATTTCTTTGATCATTAATGATGTTGAGCATTTTTTCATATGTTTTTAAACCCCCAAACCAGTTAACCCAGAGGGACTTTAAATGGTTCTATTAGGCACTCCTGTCTTCCTCGCCTCCTGCTCACTCAGACCTAAATAGCATTTTGGCCTCTGCCCTAGTAATTCACTGAAGCAGCTCTCACAAAGGTAAACAACAATTTAATCCTCCATAATGGGAATAAACCACAAAGCTCTTTACTTTTTCTGGGGAGCAAGAGAGGAAGGTATAAGAACAGCTCAGACCTTGGCTTAATTCTGTAAACAATCTAAATGTGGATAAATAAAATGTGTCATATCCACATAATTAAATGTTACAAAGCTGTGAAAATTAATGAAGTGGAGTTACTAGTATCACCTTAGTAAACATCAGAAATATTGTTTCCAAAAAAGAAAAGTCAGGCTGCAAAAAGTAGCATACAGTGTTCATAGCATTTGTGTAAAGTATAGAAGCATGCAAAACAATATTAAATATTATTTAGCAAATCACTCATTTAGGATAAAAATATTAAGACATTTATTTGCAGTATAAAGAAAAGCACATACACACACACAAAAAAAATCAGTATGCCAGTTACCTCAAAGAAGGAGGTAGAAGACTGCAATCAGAAGTGCTTCATTTTTATGTAATGTATACATGGATTTTAATTATATTATCCTCTTTACCTTTTCAACATGTTTGCAATAATTCATGATAAAGGGAAAAATTACAGAAACTAAATGTATACCTGTTTTTTTTTAGAAGTATGCACCCTCGGAGTCCCAGGAAAGACCCCTGTTTTTCCCCACAAGCTCAGGGGTGTCTGCTCCCACTGTCTGGCCTCTTCCCACTTCTGGTGCCCACTCTGATCTTGGAGCAGATTTGGGGCCAAGCACAGGTTGTCACAGCCCAGCTGGGTTTATACACACTCAGGGCAGCACTGAGATTCTAGCCCCCTGCTGTCTCAGCCCCCTGCAGACTTTGAGTGCCAATGAGCATGGTCGGGGGAAGCTGTGGGGGCGCTGAGGGCAGCTCAGCCCCAGCCTGCAGGTGCTTCTTGGTGTGAGCAACCTGAGCACCATGGACAGCAGCAGGAAGCAGACAGGCTCCTGGGCAGAAGGGGGCAAGTCACTGGCCAGGCCCCACCTTCAGGCCAGGGAGGGCCTGAAGGCTGGGGTTGGGCTGCCAGTCCCATGGACCAGAGTGGGGACTTGTGGTGACTTTTCTGAGCCCACTCATGTTTGCACACTAATTGGTGCACATTTCCTCCCCTCTGAGACCCATAAAAACCCCAGGCTCAGCCAGAGCTAGAAAGATGATAGGACAACCTGAATGCAGAGAGGAGTCACCCACTCTAGGCCCTCCTCTCTGCTGAGAGCTGCACAATGTGATGACCAGCTGCAGAGAAGAGCTACCCTCTTTGCTGAGAGCTGAACACTGGACTGGACACCCTGGCTGCAGAAAGGAGCTGCCCACTGCAGTTCTCCTCTGAGCTGTTTTATCACTCAATAAAGCTCCTCTTCATCTTGTTCAATCTTCCTCTGCGTACCTCATTCTTTCTGGTTGCAGGATAAGAACTTGGGACCCATGGAATGTTGAGGATAAAAGAGCTGTAACACAAACAGGGCTGAAACATGCCCCTTGCTTGCCACGTTGCAGGCAGAGAAGGAGAGAAGAGCTGCAGCCCTTCACGGATCCAAGATATGAGAACTCCCCAAGCCAGGGCTTGACTTCCTCTTTGGGACCCTGTGGTTCCTGGCATCTCCAAGCTTCCAAGTGACACTGTGTTCCCAAGTGCCAGCCATGGAAGCTGCTTGCAGTGCACCTGGTCCGGCTGAAGCCTCACAGGGAAAGAGCCCTGTGCTGGCACCTGGAGCTGGCTGCCCCATGGCAGCAGCTGGCACATCTGACCGGGCACTGGCTGGACCCCACACTTGCTCACACATCCCTCATCACTCCACGCCTGGCTTGAAGTCTCCCTTGGAGGCATGGGATCTAGGCTGGTAGTGTGAGCCAAGCACAGCCTGCCAGGTCGAGTGGGTGGAATGAGCCCAGTGAGGCTGAGCAAAACTTGGTCAAAGGCGGCACTGGCCACAGAAGTTTCTGGCCAAAAAAGCAACACCCCAAAGATCCCATAACTTCCGTAGGTTTAATCAACCTACATTTAGAGGACATACATGGAAGACTTGAATAAATAATTAACAATTGTTCTTCAGCCAAAGCTAACATAAAAGATATATTTGAAATGAAGCAGAGTAAGGCAGCTCAGAAACTTACGCATATGTAGTCAGTTTTTATTTTTTAATTTGGGTTTTGAGAAATATTATATCCTGCTCTACCCAATTCAAAAGGAAAGAGAAGATATGCAAGTCTAGCATAATCACAAAGCTATACAGTTTCTGCAGAAACCTCCAGACCTGTACCTAATATGTGTATTTTTATGTATTTCATGGATATATTTAAGAGAGAGAATGACAGAAAGAGGGAGACAATAACATAAGAAAATAAGATTTCGGCTTAATCTGAATGGATTGTAAAGAGTTGCCTCTACCATGTGGAAATACTTCAGAATTTAGTCATTTTTATTTTACAAATGATTTGAATTGCTACTTCTGTTATAGTGCCTTAATTTCTCTGTTACTTTTAAGACAAAAAGCTTGCATATCTAAGGTGACCAGTTGTGGGGAAACTATAGTCCATAAGAGCATTCTTATGAGAATAGTGCTAATAGGCTTAAGTTCTGTAATTTTTTTTTTTTTTTTTTTTTTTTTTAGTGGAGACGGGGTTTCACCATGTTAGCCAGGATGGTCTTGATCTCCTGACCTCGTGATCCACCCGCCTCAGCCTCCTAAAGTGCTGGGATTATAGGCGTGAGCCACCATGCCTGGCCAGGCTTAAGTTCTGAGATAGTGACCCCAAAAGTCAATCTTTCCAACTTCTACTTTTGTGACTTCCAGCTTTTTCAAGTATACATATCCTTTTTTGCTATCAAAAAATTTATTACTTTCCTCCATAACTACTTTTAATGAAAGTCTTTTAAAAGAATTTTCATTTTATTAATCAGAAGACACCTAAATATAATTTTCAAACAGTGGCTTGGAAAACATATTCCATTTACAGCCATTATTTACCTGTTGATAGTAGACTTGTGGATAGTAGAGCACTATCTATCCTATTAGGAATGGGCTCCAGATCAAAATGCTCAACTTATTAAATTCAGACTCAACTTACTAGAAAACTTTCTAAAACTCAGTTTTCTTATCTGTAAAAAAAAGATGATATATTTTATTGTTTGTTGTAAAGATTAAATGAAAAATTCATGTAAAGATTTTAGCATAATGTATATAGTACAAGTTGAGCTCTCGCTACATGTTAATTAATGTTTTTTATTAGTATGCATATGGATCTACTGACTATTTGCACTGACATTGATCCCTTTCCCCAAAAAAATTTGGGAAAAAATCTCTTTAACTAATGAATCTAGTCAGTCCAGGTTACTGAGCAAAGAATATTTAAACCACAATAGCTACAGAATCAAAATAGAGATATTACTATTAAATATCTGTACAGTCTTGGAAGTTATTTGGCTAGTCCATTGAGGATTTTATTTAAATGCTAGTCAACTTAATTGAAATTTGACAACCTTATAGTAAATTTAAGAATAACCCAAAAGATGAGTTGACAATTAAAAGTCTGGGCCAGGCATGGTAGCTCACACCTGTAATCCCAGCACTTTGGGAGGCCTAGGTGGGTGGATCACCTGATGTCATGAATTTGAGACCAGATTGGCCAACATGGTGAAATCCTGTCTCTACTAAAAAAAAAATACAAAAATTAGCTGGGTGTGGTGGTGGCTGCCTGTAATCCCAGCTACTTGAAAGGCTGAGGCAGGAGAATGGCTTGAACCTGGGAGGCAGAGGTTGCAGTGAGCCGAGATGGCACCACTGCCCTCCAGCCTGGGCAGCAGAGCAAGATTCCGTCTCCATAAAAAAAAAAGGCTGTTTGAAAAATAATCCTCACCGTTTCTCACACTAGATTATAAATAATTAATCCTCTTAGTAAGAATTACATGTATATATGATAATAACAACCCTTCTTCTTTAGATAAACATTCCTTTGAAAAAATTAAATTTTAAGCATTGTACACATCTTAGGTAAAACATCATGAAGGCAACATAAGAGATGAAGTAGAGAAAAAAAGCAATAAAGAAAAATGGTCATTGCTATGTTTTCTCTTTTAGCACACCACTCCCCTCAAAAACTTGCTTCATCTAATATTTATATACTTTTCATAGTTATTCCCTGTTTTTCTTTATGCTGTTAAATATAGGATTGGTTTGTTTTCTGTTGTTGCTGTTGTTGTTTGGCTTTTTTTCCCATAGCTCTTCCATTTTTTATTTTTGTGGTTAAGTTAGAAATATTGTTGATTGACTAGAAGGGTAAAAATGAATACAGCATAATCACAGATCTAATTATCTGTGGTATTCAGTGACTTTGCAATAAGAATGGCATAAAACTTGAAAAAACAAATTGTTTTGGTATGGGCTGCTCACTATAAAACAATTTCCTAGGGCAACAGTGACTTCTTTATCCTTAGAATTAAAAAATAGTGTATATTTATCTTATAACATTATGTTATATCCCTCAAACACATACAGTAAAATTTTTTTAAAAATTTATATGATTGTATCTACTAGATGACTGTGAATACCAGGAAAGTTGTGGTACACACAATTGAGAAGGAAATGGGTGCCTCCAGTTTCTATAGGTGTAATTAAGAGATTCCACTGAAACTTTTGTATTAGAAAGCAATAAACAATTACCTAACATATAATTGTTTATTAAAATACAATTATTACCCATTCTATCCCACTAAAATTGCGCTCCATGAGGGCAAATATTTTTGTCTATGTTTTTGTTACCTTAACCTAAACACTTAGAACAGTGTCCAGATCAATAAAAATTTCCTTGAATGAATAAATGAGTGAATTTATTATTAATGTTAGTCAAATTACTGGAATTAACCAAATAATAAAGAATATGATATAAACAATATTACTATGCTTATACCACATGACTGCAGACTAGGAAGAGTTGCATTTGAGAAATGGTAAGGCTTGTTATTTTACTTCTTCCTTTGACTTATGACATCCATCAACATCTGTAGAATCCAAAGATTTAACTCACTTTTCATAAATGAGTTGTGATTGAGAAAAATGATGTATTCAAAAAAAATCCATAAGTTATATTAAATGTAAGTGTTTTGAATTGATTTTTTTGTACTTAGCTAGGTGCTTTGAAGAAATTATTCCATTAACCTGTTATCATTAAACCTATTTTATATATAATTGCAGGAGATGCGTCAGAGTGGTGGGAGAAACTATAGGGAAAGGAGCAGGCCTTCTGAAAGGTTACAAGACTCTGCACAGCTTTGGGGGAAAATAAGCTGAAGGCAGCTGTTCTCCAACCCTGAGGCAGAGGGCAAGGAGTGGGTTCAAGGAAGGGTAGGGGAATTTATCTTAAACAGGTTTGTTTACTTATGTTGACCAGGGGCTGACCTTTGATCATCCATGCTGCCTGACTGCTCCCTGAAAGGGGGGAATAATGCTAATTACCCGCAGATTGTGTTTACTCCAGGCTTTCAGCATTATGTCTCTATTGAATAAAAGCAAGCAGCCCCAGCTGTTTGGGACTGCTCATTCTTCAGCCACTAGTGCTGGACAGTCCCCTAGCTTCTCTTACACTGCATACCTGTGTCTGAGTACTCCTTTCATCAGTCACTCAGCCAGGGTCTGCAGCATGAACCCAGCAGCTGGTGTCCCCTATGAGGAACTCAGCAACAGATTGTGACAGAACCCTTGAGAACAAAGGTAAAGTGACTGCCCAGTCAGTAAGTAATGGGTGCCTGCTTGGGATTTCCAAGTTTGAGGGAATTTTCAAGCTAGGGTTTCATCATGGGACAACAGTTATCAGCTCAACAGCAAATATAAAAGTATTGAAATAGCTGCTTAAAGCTAGTGAAGCCTGGGTTTCCCAGGCTCAATTAAGGGACCTAATGCAAACTGTTGTTTCCCATAACCCATGATTCCTGGAAGAAGGCATGCTAGACCTAGAGCTCTGGGAACAAGTGGGCAGAAATCTTAAACAATATCATGCACAAGGGCAATGGGTACCAGTAACATCTCTAACATTATGGGCCTTAGTTAGGGCTGCTTTGGCCCCACTCGACTCAGAAGAGCCTAAACAGGGAAGGGAGGAGGAACCATCACCTACCTTACTGCCTCCTCCTCCTCCTCCTCCCTCAGCCCCGCTGTTACCAGGTAAAGATACAAACAAGGAAACAGAGGTTTTTCCTGACCCCCCTCCCCCAGTAAACTGGAAAAAAGACAAGGGATACACAACAGTTATGGGACCCTGTCTTAGGCAAGCGGCATTAGAAGGGTAGCTCTTGGCCTGCCCAGTGATGCAAGACGAACAAGGCAATTGGGTATATGAACCCATTACTTTCCACACTTTTAAAGAGAAAAGGAAAAGCATTAGAGAAAATGGAGCTGCTAGCCCATTTATGAAAGGATTAATTGAGGCCATAGCAGATAACTTCCATATAACCCCATGGGACTGGTCAGTGCTAGCTAAAACAACTTTGGAGGCCAGTCAATACCTCATCTGGAGGGCAGAATATGATAAGTTTTGCAAACAACAAGCCAACCAGAATCAATTGGCTGGCAAAACATAAAGGCTGCAATGCTTCAGGGGAGGGGTCCATCTGTTAATATACAACCTCTAATCATGCCCATCCCTGTTAATCTTTGGGAACAGGACCTATTAGCCCAATGGGGTTGGGGGGTGACTCTGCAGACCCCTTTCTAATAATGGCCACGGTTGTAATTACTCCCCTACCCCTAACATGGCTCTCTTAAAATCCAGTTTGGGTAGAACAGTGGCTATTAAAGGGAGAGAAATTACAACAAGCCCATGAATTAGTTGAGGAACAATTAAAAGCTGGCCATATAGATATATATATAGAACCATCAAACAGCCCTTAGAATTCACCCATTTTTGTCATTCCCAAAAACTCTGGTAAATGGAGACTTTTGCAAGACTTACATGCTAACAATGCTAATTTGCAACCTATGGGGCCCCTTCAACAGGGGCACCCTTCCCCTGTGGCAATTCCTCAAGATTAGCCTATAGTCATTATTGACTTAAAAAAACTGTTTTTCTACTATTCCCCTTGCAAAACAGGACAGAGAAAAATTTGTGTTTCCAAAACCAGCTATCAATAATGAAAGGCCAGCTTGCCGATTTCATTGGAACGTACTTTCTCAAGGAATGCTGAACAGTCCTATCATGTGTCAGTATCATGTAATCAGGCTTTGCTTCCCAGTAGAAAAGAATTTCCTGATTGAAAGATCATCCATTATATGGATGACATCTTACTTGCAATCCCAGTGGAGCCAATACTTTTAAATTTATATGCCTCTGTCAAAAGGAATACACAGTTAAGAGGTTTAATGATAGCACCTGATAAAGAACAGATGTCCTCTCCTTGGAAATATCTTGGATACGTACTACCATCCAGGTCAATAAGACCTCAAAAGATTAAACTGAACACTGACAATTTACACACCTTAAATAATTATCAAAAATTACTGGGTGATATTAACTGCCTTTGCCCCACCTTGAGTATAACTACTAATAAATTACAGAACCTGTCTTCTATCCTAAAGGTCAATGCAGCCCTAGACTCCCCCAGGTGTTTACCCCCTGCTGCAAAAAGGAAAATTGAGGAAATAGAGCAAGCTATTTCTTAGAGGAAACTAGATTGCATAGACCCACAATATTCAGTCCAATTGTTTGTTTTTCCTACTAAATATTCCCCAATAAAGTTAATAGGACAGACGGCCCCAGGGCTGCACTTCCTAGAATGGGCTCTTTGCACACACACTGGGACTAAAACACTATCTCCCTATGTCCAGCTAGTTAGTAAAGTCATCTATATAGGCTGCAAATGATGCAATCAATTGCAAGGTTATGACCTTCATGTCATAAAAATACCCTTAAGTAAAAAACAATTCGAAGCAGTCCTGCCCCTATCTCTTGACCTTCAGAAAGTGCTCTTATTATGTGGGCCATATAGAACATGGCCTTCCCACTGACAAATTACTTTAGTTCTTATCTCATACTGCTGTAGTAATGCCTACAAAGGTAGTTTACTCCCCCATATCTAACGCTTTAATGATTTTCACTGATGGCTCTGGTAAAAATGGAAAAGCAGCTATCTGGTGGAAACTGCGTAACTAACTCCCTCAGCCGATCTGGATTTACTAGCACTCAGAGAGCTGAGGTTGGAGCCCTAATATTAGCCCTGGAAACCTTTCCCTTTCAGCCCATCAATATTGTTAATAACTCTGATTACTCCATTTATTTATTGCAGAACCTTGGAACAGCCCTCATTAAGTCCACTCTTGAGCCCACCCTGTGTGCACTTTTTCTTTGACTTCAGCAATTGCTGGATCAACGAACAAATCCTGTTTGTATCACACACATTTGGGCCTACAGCTCACTGCCTGGCCCATTGGCTTATGGCAATGATGAAGCAGATCTGCAAGTTATAACATCACTGCTTGACCAAGCCACCCAATCACATCAATTTTTCCACCAAAATTGGAGAAATTTATCTAAACAATTTCAGTTAACCCAAAGTCTAGCTAAACAAATTATTTTACAATGCCCAGATTACTAGCTCACAGGCACGTCCCCTTCCTCAACAGGTGTTAACCCTAAGGGACTAGAACCTAATCAGTTATGGCAAACAGATGTTACATACGTCCCTGAATTTGGAAAACTAAGATATGTTCATGTATCCATTGATACCAATTCCCACCTAATTAGCACTCATGCTCTTCCTGGACAGTCCACCCAATATGTCATTAAACATCTTCTCTTAACTTTTGCGTTTATGGGGCGGCCCACAAAAATTAGAACTGATAACAGTCTGGGTTATACCAGCTCAACATTTTCACAATTTTGTCACACATGGGATGTCCAACATTCCATTTTAGCACTTTGCTAAAATCACTCACGATATAAAACCTTTGGTGTTACGGAAAGATGTAAATAGTAATCTATGGTGTGGTCCAAATGATTTGCTAATGTGGGGAAGAGGATATGCTTGTATTCACACCCCCTCAGATCCTCTTTGGATTCCAGCTCAATGCATCAAACCATACCACGATGTGGCTGGGACTCAACCCAGTACCAAAAATAAAGGAAATAACCCTGCAGGACCCACCACCCCAGATGATGCAGCTTCCTCGGACAACACAGGCCCTGGACACGGTGCTGAAGAAGACAACTCAGGAGGCTGAGTGAATCCTACTCTGGACACAGACACCATTCACTCCAGATAATTTGTTCCTTTCTATGCTTTCTGTTGTACATTGCAACTTTCATAGGGTATTAACCTTTCTTATTCTCTCACTTTGCCTGCAACTCACACCTGCTACCCTCTATTGGGCCCATCTTCTAGATCCCCCTTTCTTCCACCCTGTTACTTGGGCAGGCACCCCCTTCCTAGCCTCTAACAATGTGACTGATTGGCTAGGAAGGATCGACATATCCCCAGTGGGGGTCCTTCAGGAATGGCACACATTGGACTGAGGTGCCAAGTAACACTACATATTACTCCTTGATTGGAAAATAATATTACTGATCATACTCATGTTTGTCTTATGTTATTTACTAATTCTAGGATGCCAAGCTGGAACACGAGCTGTAACCACTGCACCTGTCAAACCTGTCTCTGCACACATCTTTACTCTTCAATCAACAAAACCTGATGCAAAAAACAGAAAAGGGGGAGATGTAGGAGACTGGTGAGAGTGGTGAGAGAAACTATAGGGAAAGAGCAGACCTTCTGAAAGGTTACAAGACTCTGCACAGCTTTGAGGGAGAATAAGCTGAAGGCAGCTGTTCTCCAACCCTGAGGCAGAGGGCAAGGAGTGGGTTCAAGGAAGGGTAGGGGAATTTATCTTAAACAGGTTTGTTTACTTATGTTGACCAGGAGCTGACCTTTGATCATCCATGCTGCCTGACTGCTCCCTGAAAGGTGGAATGATGCTAATTACCCGCAGATTGTGTTTACTCCAGGCTTTCAGCATTATGTCTCTATTGAATAAAAGCAAGCAGCCCCAGCTGTTTGGGACTGCTCATTCTTCAGCCACTAGTGCTGGACAGTCCCCTAGCTTCTCTTACACTGCATACCTGTGTCTGAGTACTCTTTTCATCAGTCACTCAGCCAGGGTCTGCAGCATGAACCCAGCAGCTGGTGTCCCCTATGAGGAACTCAGCAACAGATTGCGACAGAACCCTTGAGAACAAAGGTAAAGTGACTGCCCAGTCAATAAGTAATGGGTGCCTGCTTGGGATTTCCAAGTTTGAGGGAATTTTCAAGCTAGGGTTTCATCATGGGACAACAGTTATCAGCTCAACAGCAAATATAAAAGTATTGAAACAGCTGCTTAAAGCTAGTGAAGCCTGGGTTTCCCAGGCTCAATTAAGGGACCTAATGCAAACTGTTGTTTCCCATAACCCATGATTCCTGGAAGAAGGCATGCTAGACCTAGAGCTCTGGGAACAAGTGGGCAGAAATCTTAAACAATATCATGCACAAGGGCAATGGGTACCAGTAACATCTTTAACATTATGGGCCTTAGGGCTGCTTTGGCCCCACTCGACTCAGAAGAGCCTAAACAGGGAAGGGAGAAGGAACCATCACCTACCTTACTGCCTCCTCCTCCTCCTCCTCCCTCAGCCCCGCTGTTACCAGGTAAAGATACAAACAAGGAAACAGAGGTTTTTCCTGACCCCCCTCCCCCAGTAAACTGGAAAAAAGACAAGGGATACACAACAGTTATGGGACCCTGTCTTAGGCAAGCGGCATTAGAAGGGTAGCTCTTGGCCTGCCCAGTGATGCAAGACGAACAAGGCAATTGGGTATATGAACCCATTACTTTCGACACTTTTAAAGAGAAAAGGAAAAGCATTAGAGAAAATGGAGCTGCTAGCCCATTTATGAAAGGATTAATTGAGGCCATAGCAGATAACTTCCATATAACCCCATGGGACTGGTCAGTGCTAGCTAAAACAACTTTGGAGGCCAGTCAATACCTCATCTGGAGGGCAGAATATGATAAGTTTTGCAAACAACAAGCCAACCAGAATCAATTGGCTGGCAAAACATAAAGGCTGCAATGCTCCAGGGGAGGGGTCCGTCTGTTAATATACAACCTCTAACCATGCCCATCCCTGTTAATCTTTGGGAACAGGGCCCATTAGCCCACACTGCGTGACTGCTCCCCAAAAGGGGGAAAAATAATGCTAATTACCCACAGATTGTGTTTGCTCCAGGCTTTCAGCATTATGTCTGTATTGAATAAAAGCAAGCAGCTCCAGCTGTTCACACATTTGATTACAGCTGGTCCAGCTGTTCAGGACGGCTCATTCTTCAGCCACTAATGCCAGCCAATCTCCTAGCTGCTTTTACACTGCATACCTGTGTCTGACTATTCCTTTCATCCATTGCTCAGCCAGGGTCTGTGGGACAGACCTGGCATATAATTAAGCTTATTGGTGGAGCTTGCATACAAATCTTTGTCTAAGACCAACGTTGATGCTCTTTTCACTGTTTTTTCAAAGAGATTGCTTACTCCACCAGGAGAATGATATCTACCTATTCTACCACTGGTGATGATCTGGACTAGTCCAACTGGTAGGAAATGCTGTGGTCTTGGAGTGAGGTACTGCGTTCTAATTCCAAATAATTTCAAGTTACCATTGGTACTCTCTGAGCTTTAGTTTCCTTATAAAATGAATTTACAATGTTCTGACTACCAACACAGAGGATTTCTGTGCAAAGCAAATAAAATTAAAAATATAAGAAAGTGATTTCTCGATTGTCAAGGAATATTGATGTGTATGAGAACTGTTAGTGGTATTAGCTCTCATCTATATCCATTCATATTTCCAAAAGACAGAGTATGTTGAGAGCGATGAGTTTATACCAAATTTTCTGAGGAAATGAAATAGAATCCCAAATCTCTGAAGTAAGATCACCAAAAGTAAATAATACATAGAATACCAGAAATACCCGGTATTTTTACTGCACTATTGCCTTTTATATTTAATTGGATTCATTTCTCTGAGTGCATCATCATATAGAACTCAAATGACAATACCTTGAATAAAAAAGAAGTTTGTAAAGTTATTTATCATCATTGATTATGCATTAACTTCTTGTTTAAAATTTTCACATTTGAAGTGAAACTCATGTGTACTTACTACCAGGGAATCAACAGAGGTTCCACTTTTTAAAGGAAGTAACTGGATTAGAAATAGAATAAGAATAAAAACAATTTTTCTGTTACTAGAAAACAACTTTCCTTTACTAGCTCTTTTTATGTTCAGCCAAATCAGAGTACAGGTATGGCATCACACAAAGAGTTTGTTAAATCTTTGGATTCTACAAATGTTGACTGATATAAGTCAGAGGAAGAAGTAAAATAACAAGCCTCACTCTTTTTAAACATAACTCTCCCTAATCCTAGTCATGTGGTATAAGCATAGCAACACATTATTCATAACATATTCTTTATTATCAGACTGTAAGTTCACCAGATCCCTTTCTTTCTATCTCATTCACACATTTGAATACAGACGGTCCCTGACTTATTATATAATGGTTTGACTTACAATTTTTTGACTGTGATGGTGTGAAAGCTATACATACTCAGCATGCTCTTCAGTGTAAGACAGGGTTGTGGCTGGATTAAACTCATCATAAATTGATTATATCATTAAGTCCAAAGCACACTTTTGACTTACAATGTTTTCAATTTTTGATGGGGTTATTGGGGTGTAGCCCCATTGTAAGTTGAAAAGCATCTATATTTCAGATGATTGTTTCACTGAATGAGGTAGCAATTTGACAGCTATCCAATCAATTCAATAAAAAGAATGACTTAATGGCACAAATTAAACTCTCAGATATCAAGAAAGAGCAAAGAACTTGATAGTACAAGTGGTTCCTAACTGCAGTGGTTCAACTTAATGACTTTTCAACTTTAGGATGGGCTTATCACAGTATTAAATGCATTTTCAACTTATGACATTTTCAACTTGTAATGGGTTTATGGGCATGCAGCCCCATTTTAAGTCTAGCAGCATCTGTATTGTATGCGTTAATTTTTAAAAATTCCCTATTAATATTGCAAGTGCTAATTAGGCTATCCTAAAGATCTTGTTTTTCTCTAAAAGATTGTATGGGCCTAACCTAATCAGTTCGGACATATCTCTGTGCAGACTACCAAATCTCGTTTTGCATGTGCATAATCCTAGAAGGTAAATGTCAATCCAGAAAAAGAAAAGGATACACAAAAATAATATGCAGCTTAAACCCCAAATAAGCACTAATTGCATTGATTAAAAGCACTAGATAACCTAAGACTATTAAAATAGTGAAATGTTAACTGGAATAGATAAAAACAAAATAATTTAAATGATAAATTAATGATGCTATTCACATAATGGTTTATATCTGATGTTCAGAAGCAAGATGAATAAAATCTACTGTCCAAACAAAGCAAGAAATAATGGGGTTTTAAAGGCTATAGTAAAGTCAATAACTTCAAACAATTCAATATTTTGTTCACTTCCACAAAATTAGAGAATAATTAACCTGGCATTTTCAAACACTTAGTCTTTCCAGTACTAATACTAATTTTTAATCTAAGCATTGTAATTGACTTCCAGGGCAGGCAATAAAAAAAAAAAAAAGAAGAAAGAAACAGGAAAAATAGGAAGGAAGGAAAGAAAGAAAAAATTACCATGAAGTTTAGAGAAGTGGAAATATTTAAAAAGTGACATCCAGTTATTTTTAAATTTCAGAATAAAATATGCTAGTTAAATTTACTCTTAGATAATTGCTTCATTATTATTATTCATTTTTATAGGCAAAGTTTATATATATTTTAGGTATTTTAAAATTGTGGGCATGTAGAGTATTTTCTCTTTTAGGTATGTGCCATACTAGAGTTTCTTCCATAAGAAACCGTTAAGGAGGTCCCTGTTTTCATGTGTTGGACAGCAGGTGATATAAGTTTGAGATTTCTGTGAGTAAGGAACTTCATAAAGTGAGCCCCGAAGTTGCCCTGGCTCTCTATGTGTCAAAAATGTCCTGACCTCAGTGTACCAAGCTGGAATCCAAGCATAGCACAATGGTCCCACTGAGCCGAGGAGGCAGAGGAGTCTACGGCAGCAAAACCAGTGGAATTTGCAGGGCAGAGTATTAGAGGAGAAGTCTGCATGGGAGTAGGAAATGTGCTCAGAAGACTATGGAGGATTTAATTTATGACTTTGAGACTGTAGTCATTCTAATAGGTGTAAAGCGATATTTCATTTTGGTTTTGCTTTGCATTTCTTTACCTCTAATGAGGTCAGACTCCTCCATGTGCCTATTGGATTTGTGTATCTTCCCTAGAGAAATATCTATTCAGATCCTTTGCCCATTTAAAAATTTGGATTATTTGTCTTTTTTATTGTTGGGTTATAAGAGTTCTCTCTTCTGGATATGAGGCGCTTATCATATATGACTTGCAAATATTTTCTCTCAATCCGTGGGTTGTCATTTCACTTTCTTGATAGTATCCTATGAAGCATAAAGTTTTAATTTTGATAAAGGCCATTTTTCTATTTTATTTGATATTCATTCTTTTGGTATCGTATCTAAAAATCCATTGCCAAATTTGAGGTCATGAGGAGTACCCCAATCTTCTAGAATTTAGTTTTCTTAATTTGTTCTAAAAATGTAATAGTGAAATAGAAAGTGTAAAGTGTCTGATCATTAGAGAAATGCAAATCAAAATCACAATGAGATACCATCACATGCCAGTCGGATGGCAATCATTAAAAATTCAAGAAACAACAGATGCTGGCAAGGCTGTGGAGAAATAGGAACACTTTTACACTGTTGGTGGAAATGTAAATTATTTCAACCACTATTGAAGACAGTGTGACAATTCCTCAAAGATCTAGAACCAGAAATACTGTTTGACCCAGCAATCGCATTACTGGGTATATACCCAAAGGAATATAAATCATTCTATTATAAAGATATATGCACACGTATATTTACTGCAGCACTATTCACAATAGAAAAGACATGGAACCAACCCAAATACCCATCAGTGACAGACTGCATAAAGAAAAGATGGTACATTTACACCATGGGATACTATGCAGCCATAAAAAGGAATGAGATCATATCCTTCGCAGGGACATGTATGATGCTGGAAGCCATCATCCTCAGCAAACTAACATAGGAACAGAAAACCAAACACTGCATGTTCTCACTCATAAGTGGGAGCTGAACAATGAGGATACATGGACACAGGGAGGGGAACAACACACACCGGGGCCTGCCAGGGAGGGTGAGGGGAGGGAGAGCATCAGGACCAATGGCTAAAGCATGCAGGGCTTAATACCTAGAAGGCGGGTTGATAGGTGCAGCAAACCACCATGGCACACATTTACCTATATAACAAACCTGCATGTTCTGCACATGTATCCCAGACATTAAAGTAAAATTAAAAAAAAAAAAAGGAAGTGAAGTGTCAGCTATAAATCTCCATGAATTGTGTGTTGATTGTTCTATTGTTTTCATGAATGTCCTGTGACATAAATTGCTTCAAACACTGATATCATCAAATTTGGCCTCCTTGGTAGTGATAGCTCCTGAGGCCAGTGTTTGAGATTTGTTCTGACCCCAGGAGGGCTCCTCACAGCTGTGTCTATCCCTATTCCTTTCCAGCAATCTAGCCACACTATGGCTTAGACTACATCTCCAATGAATCTATCAACCTCCCTCCCTAGTTGCCTTTCACCACAACCTTCACTGCTTTTTTGTTGTAAATGAAATCAGTTTCTTTGGGAAGAGATTCAGAGCTCTCTATGCTAGAGTATGCTTCTCCTCCCAGGTAAAATCTTCAAGACGTTGGTCTGGTGTTGTCTGCTGGTAGGCACAATGTCATGCTTCTCTCTAAGAGACCCCCACACTTTAGAGCTGAGTACTCAGTGGAGGGGGAAGCCATCAGCCCCAGGTCCCCCTGGCTTACCTCTCCTGACCTAGGACTCCTGCCAAAGCAAGAGCAATCAGGATTTAAATAATCTCAGCAGTGTCATGCCCAAGGTTGAACCTACATCTTATGAGCTAGGGTTAGACAGAAAAGAGCACTGGTGAGCCACACTCACCAGGAACTTAGCCTCACCAAAAGTAGGTGAGGGCAGGAGAAGAAAGGCTGTCATCCTGCCCATCTTGGGAAGATAGCCCTCCATTGAGAGATGGGGGTAAACAGAGTCCTGTTCTCTCAGTTATATCTGTCTCGCTGAGCTGGGAGGCAAGAAGGGAATGAGTGGATCTTGGTTCAAATATTGCAGATTTACTTTTCTTACCAAGTGTGGTAGATTTTCTTGAGTAAATGCTTCATTTGCTATATGCCCCTAGAACCACTTCCAGAGACTTGAAATGATTCCTTTTAAGATAATTTTCACCCATTTCACTATAGAATAAGTCCATGAAGCTCCTCACACTGTCATGCCAAAAGGGGGAACTACGGGGTTTCTTTTGGGCATAATGAAAATGTTCTAAAATTAGACATAGTAATGATTCCCAAATCTGCAAATACACCAAAACCCATTGAATTTCATACTTTAAAAGAGTGAATGTTTTGTATTTAAATTATATCTCAGTAATTCTGCTTCTTAAAAGTAAAAGGATATATGAGACTTGCCTAAAAGTGGCTAATAAGGTATTGAGAATAAAAAAAGAGAGACTACAAGTTAAGTAGTGCTAAAAGACATTGACACTCCCATCCATCTATAGTGGAAAGACCTCATTATGAGCTTTTTTACACCCAAGTATCCAGCTAAGACTCTGGAAAGACTAGACCTTGGAAGACTATACCTTAATACACTAATAAAGAAAGGCTTTTTGTAGACTCACTCTTATAAAGTCTAAAATCCAAGTCCTTATAAAAGCTATAGGAGATTGGGTTTGGAGAATGAGTCCCCCCAGTTAGAGGTGCTTGGGAACCATTTTGTGCCCTTCACACAACCACCCTAAGAAAAGACAAATCTAGCTCACACAGGTTCAAGATGATTAACCAGTAACTGAAGCACCAATAGAAAGAAAAGTCAAAGTTTTACAGTAAAATAACAGAACACAGAATCTTTGTAATATATCTTTAACAATGTCTATTGTATAGTAAGCAAAATTACTGCACTTGTAAATAAACAAACAAAAAAATGTCACTCATAGTTCAGATAAAAATCAGTCAACAGAAACCAACTCTGAGATGCTGCAAACACAGTATGTAGTAGACAAAGATTTAAAGCAGCTTTTATTAATAAAATGAAAACTTTAAAAGATAATATGTTGGAAGAATTAAAAGCAAATATAGTCAAGTGAATAGATAGGGAACATCAGCAGCAAAATAGGAACTATAAATTAAAATCAAATGGAAGTTCTGAAATGAAAAATGCTAAAATAATCTAATGAAATTGGATATATCAGAAGAGCAATGAACTTGAGATTAATGAATAAGAACTATCCCAACTGAAGAACAGAGACAACAAAGGTTGAAGAAACTGAGCAGGCACACATGGGATAATATCAAGTGGTCTAACAAAACATTGGGAATATGTGTAACTAAAGTTTTAAAGAGAAGAAAGTGAGAACAGGGCAGGAAAGTCATCTAGAAATAATGGTTGGACATTACATAAATTTGATTTTTAAAAAACCATTGACTTATGAGAAGCTCAATGAACCCTTATCAAGACAGATATAAAGAGAATCATATGATCTTCATTCAAGATGGCCGAATGGGAACAGCTCTGGTCTGCAGCTCCCAGTGTGATTGACGCAGAAGACAGGTTATTTCTGCACTTCCAACTGCGGTACCTGGTTCATCTCATTGGGACTGGTTGGACAGTGGGTGCTGCCCATGGAGGGCGAGCCAAAGCAGGGCGGGGCATCACCTCAGTCAGGAGGTGCAAGGGGTCGGGGAATTTCCCTTTCCTAGCCAAAGAAAGCCGTGACAGAATGTACCTGGAAAAAAAAGGACTTTTCCCTCAGTCTCAGCAACCAGCAGACCAGGAGATTCTCTCCCCTGCCTGGCTCGGCAGGTCCCATGCCCATGGAGCCTTGCTCACTGCTAGCGCAGCAGTCTGAGATTGAACTGCGAGGCTGCAGCTGAGCGGGAGGAGGGGTGTCCCCCATTGCTGAGGCTTGAGTAGGTAAACAAAGTGTCTGGGAAGCCATTAAACTGGGCAGAGCCCACCACAGCTCAGCAAGGCCTACTGCCTCTACAGATGTCACCTCAGTGGGCAGGGTGTAGCTGAACAAAAGGCAGCAGAAACTTCTGCAGACTTAAATGTCCTGTCTGAACAGCCCTGAAGACAGTAGTAGTTCTCCCAGCATGGCATGTGAGCTCTGAGAATGGACAGACTGCCTCCTCAAGTGGGTCCCTGACCCCGTGTAGCCTAACTGGGAGACATCTCACAGTAGGGGCTGACAGACATCTCATACAGGCAGGTGCCCCTCTGGGACAAAGCTTCCAGAGGAAGGATCAGGCAGCAATATTTGCTGTTCTGCAATATTTGCTGTTCTGCAGCCTCCACTGGTGACACCCAGGCAAACAGGGTCTGGAGTGGACCTTTAGCAAACTCCGACAGACCTGCAACTGAGGGACCTGACTGTTAGAAAGAAAACTAACCAAAAAGAAGGGAATAGCATCAACATCAACAAAAAGGACATCCACACCAAAACACCATATGTAGGTCACCAACATCAAAGATCAAAGGTAGACAAAACCACAAAGATGGGGAGAAACCAGAGCAGAAAAGCTGAAAATTCTAAAAACCAGAGCACCTCTTCTCCTCCAAAGGATTGCAGCTCCTCGCCAGCAACGGAAAAAAGTTGGATGGAGAATGACTTTGACGAACTGACAGAAGTAGGCTTCAGAAGGTCAGTAATAACAAACTTCACCAAACTAAAGGAGCATGTTCTAACCCATCACAAGGAAGCTCAAAACCTTGAAAAAAGGTTAGATGAATGGCTAACTAGAATAAACAGTGTAAAGAAGACCATAAATGACCTGATGGAGCTGAAAACCATGGCAAGAGAACTTTGTGACGCATCTACAAGCTTCAGTGGCTGATTCGATCAAATGGAAGAAAGGATATCAGCGATTGAAGATCAAATTAATGAAATAGAGTGAAAAGACAAATTAAGAGAAAAAAGAGTAAACAGAAACAAACAAAGCCTCCAAGAAATATGGGGCTATGTGAAAAGACCAAATCTACATTTGATTGCTGTACCTGAAAGTGACGGGGAGAATGGAACCAAGTTAGAAAACACTCTTAAGGATATTATCCAGGAGAACTTCCCCAAACCAGCAAGGCAGGCCAACATTCAAATTCGGGAAATACAGAAAACACTGCAAAGATACTCCTCAAGAAGTGCAACTCCAAGCAACATAATTGTCAGATCAGATCCACCAAGGTTGAAATAAAGGAAAAAGTGTTAAGGGCAGCCAGAGAGAAAGGTCGGGTTACCCACAAATGGAAAACCATCACACTAACAGCGGATCTCTCAGCAGAAACTCTACAAGCCAGAAAAGAGTGGGGGCCAATATTCAAAATTCTTAAAGAAAAGAATTGTCAACCCAGAATTTCATATCCAGCCAAACTAAGCTTCATAAATGAAGGAGAAATAAAATCCTTTACAGACAAGCAAATGCTGACAGATTTTGTTACCACCAGACCTGCCTTACAAGAGCTCTTGAAGGAAGCACTAAACATGGAAAGGAACAACTGGTTCCAGCCATGGCAAAAACATGCCAAATTGTAAAGCCCATAGATGCTAGGAAGAAACTGTATCAATTAACAGGCACAATAACTAGCTAACATCATAATAACAGGATCAAATTCACACATAACAATATTAACCTTAAATGTAAATGGGCTAAATGCCCCAATTAAAAGGTACAGACTGGCAAATTGGATAAAGAGTCAAGACCCATCAGTGTGCTGTATTCAGGAGGCGCATTTCACATGCAGAGACACACATTGGCTCAAAATAAAGGGATGGAGGAAGATCTACCAAGCAAATGGAAAGCAAAAAAAGCAGGGGTTGCAATCGGAGTCTCTGATAAAACAGATTTTAAACCAATAAAGATCAAAGAGACAAACAAGGCCATTACATAATGGTAAAGGTATTAACTCAATAAGAAGAGCTAACTATGCTAAATATGTATGCACCCAATACAGGGGCACTGAAATTCACAAAGCAAGTCTTTAGAGACCTACAAAGAGACTTTGACTCCCACACAATAATAATGGGAGACTTTAACATGCCACTGTCAATATTAGATAGATCAATGAGACAGAAGATTAACAAAGATATTCAGGACTTGAACTCAGCTTTGCACCAAGCAGACCTGATAGACAGCTACAGAACTCTCCACCCCAAATCAACAGAATATACATTCTTCTCAGCACCACATCACACTGATTCCAAAATTGACCATGTAATTGGAAGTAAAACACTTCCTAGCAAATGTAAAAGAACAGAAATCACAACAAACTATCTCTCAGACCACAGTGCAATCAAATTAGAACTCAGGATGAATAAACTCACTCAACACTGCACAAGTACATGCAAACTGAACAATCTGCTCCTGAATGACTACTGGGTAAATAACGAAATGAAAGCAGAAATAAAGATGTTCTTTGAAACCAATGAGAAAAAAGACACAAAGTACCAGAATCTCTGAGACACATTTAAAGCAGTATGTAGCGGGAAATTTATACCACTAAATGCCCACAAGAGAAAGCAGGAAAGATAAAAAATCAACACCCTAATATCACAATGGAAAGAACTAGAGAAGCAAGAGCAAACAAATTTAAAAGCTAGCAGAAGGCAAGGAATAACTAAGATCAGAGCAGAACTCAAGGAGATAGAGACACAAAAAAACCCTTCAAAAAATCAATGGATCCAGGAGCTGGTTTTTTAAAAAAATCAACAAAATTGATAGACCACTAGCTAGACTAATAAAGAAGAAAAGAGAGAAGAATCAAATAGATGCAATAAAATATGATAAAGGGGATATCACCACCAATCCCACAGAAATACAAACTACCATCAGAGAATACTATAAACACCTCTATGCAAATAAACTAGAAAATATAGAAGAAATGGATAAATTTCTGGACACATGCACTCTCCCAAGACTAAACCAGGAAGAATTTGAATCTCTGAATAGACCAATAACAGACTCTGAAATTGAGGCAATAATTAATAGCTTACCAAACAAATAAAGTCCAGGACCAGACAGATTCACAGCCGAATTCTACCAGTGGTACAAAGAGGAGCTGGTACCATTCCTTCTGAAACTATTCCAATCAATAGAAAAAGAGGGAATTCTCCCTAACTCATTTTATGAGGCCAGCATCATCCTGATACCAAAGCCTGGCAGAGACACAACAGAAACAGAGAATTTTAGACCAATATCCCTGATGAGCAATGATGCAAAAATCTTCAACAAATTACTGGCAAACCAAATCCAGCAGCACATCAAAAAGCTTATCCAGCATGATCAAGCTGGCTTCATCCCTGGGATGCAAGGCTGGTTCAACATAAGCAAATCAATAAACGTAATCCATCGCATAAATAGATCCAACAACAAAGACCACATGATTATCTCAATAGATGCAGAAAAGGCATTTGACAAAATTCAACAGCCCTTCATGCTAAAAACGCTCAATAAACTAGGTATTGATGGAACGTATCTCACAATAATAAGAGCTATTTATCACAAACCCACAGCCAATATCATACTGAATGGGCAAAAACCAGAAGCCTTCCCTTTGAAAACCAGCACAAGAAAAGGATGCCCTCTCTCACCACTCCTATTCAGCATAGTGTTGGAAGTTCCGGTTGGGGCAATCAGGCAAGAGAAAGAAATAAAGGGTATTCAATTAGGAAAAGAGGAAGTCAAATTGTCCCTGTTTGCAGATGACATGATTGTATATTTAGAAAACCCCATCGTCTCAGCCCAAAACCTCCTGAAGCTGATAAGCAATTTCAGCAAAGTCTCAGGATACAAAATCAATGTATAAAAATCACAAGCATTCCTATACACCAGTAATAAACAGAGAGCCAAATCATGAGTGAACTCCCATTCACAATTGCTACAAAGAGAATAAAATACCTAGGAATACAACTGACAAGGGATGTGAAGGACCTCTTCAAGGAGAAATACAAACCACTGCTTAACAAAATAAGAGGACACAAACAAATGGAAGAATATTCTATGCTCATGGATAGGAAGAATCAATATTGTGAAAATGGCCATACTGCCCAAGGTAATTTATAGATTCAATGCCAACCACATCAAGCTACCAATGACTTTCTTCACAGAATTGGAAAAAAACACTTTAAAGTTCATATAGAACCAAAAAAGAGCCTGACTTGCCAAGACAATCCTAAGCAAAAAGAACAAAGCTGGAAGAATCATGCTACCTGACTTCAAACTATGCTACAAGGCTACAGTAACCAAAACAGCATGGTACCCGTACCCCAACAGAGATATAGACCATTGGAACAGAACAGAGGCCTCAGAAATAACACCACCCATCTACAACCATCTGATCTTTGACAAACCAGACAAAAACAAGCAATGGGGAAAGGATTCCCTAGTTAATAAATGGTGCTGGGAAAACTGGCTAGCCATATGTAGAAAGCTGAAACTGGATCCCTTCCTTACACCTTACACAAAAATTAATTCAAGATGGATTAAAGGCTTACATATTAGACCTAAAACCATAAAAACTCTTGAAGAAAACCTAGGCAATATCATTCAGACCATAGGCATGGGCAAGGACTTTATGACTAAAACACCAAAAGCTATGGCAACAAAAGTCAAAATAGACAAATGGGATCCAATTAAATTAAAGAGCTTCTGCACAGCAAAAGAAACTACCATCAGAATGAACAGACAACCTAAGAATGGGAGAAAATTTTTGCAATGTACCCATCTGACAAAGGGCTAATATCCAGAATCTACAAAGAACTTAAACAAATCTACAAGAAAAAAAACAAAGAGCCCCATCAAAAAGTGGGCAAAGGATATGAACAGACACTTCTTAAAAGAAGACATTCATGCAGTCAACATGAAAAAATGCTCATCATCACTGGTCATCAGAGAAATGCAAATCAAAACCACAATGAGATACCATCTCACGCCAGTTAGAATGGTGATCATTAAAAAGTCAGGAAACAACAGATGCTGGAGAGAATGTGGAGAAATAGGAATGCTTTTACACTGTTGGTGGGAGTGTAAATTAGTTCAACCATTGTGGAAAACAGTGTGACGATTCCTCAAGGATCTAGAACTGGAAATACCATTTGACTCAGCCATCCCATTACTGGGTATATACCCAAAGGATTATAAATCATGCTACTATAAAGACACATGCACACATATGTTTATTGCAGCACTATTCACAATAGCAAAGACTTGGAACCATCCCAAATGTCCATCAATGATAGACTGGTTTAAGAAAATGTGGCACACATACACCATGGAATACTATGCAGCCATAAAAAAGGATGAGTTCATATCCTTTGCAGGGACATGGATGAAGCTGGAAACCATCATTCTGAGCAAACTATCACAAGGACAGAAAAGCAAACACCGCATGTTCTCATTCATAGGTGGGAATTGAACAATGAGAACACTTGGACACAGGGCGGGGAGCATCACACACAGGGGCCTGTCAGGGAGTAGGGGTTGGTGAAGGGATAGCATTAGGAGAAATACCTAATGTAAATGACAAGTTGATGGGTGCAGCAAACCAACATGGCACACATATACCTATGTAACAAACCTGCACATTGTGCACATGTACCCTAGAACTGAAGGTATTAAAAAAAAAAAGAAATACTTAGGTATAAATCCAATGAAATACATACAAGACCTATGTGAGGGAAACTACAACCTCTGATGAAACAAATCAAAGAATAAGTAAATAAATGTAGAGATATTTTAAGTTCATGGATAGGAAGATTCAGTACTGTCGAGGTTTACGTTCTTTCCAACTTGATCTATAGATTTAATGCAATCCCAATAAAAATCCCAGCAATTAAAAAGAAAAGAGAGAGAATCATACAGTGCATATCTGAGGATAATCACTGAAAAACAAAGGTAAAGTAATCATCTTAAAAGCAACCAGAGGAAAAAAAATACTACCCACAGGACAGCAATGAAAAGAATAACTGTCAACTCCTTATCAGAAGATAATGAAAAATCATGTTTATAGTGCAAAAAAACTTTTAAGCAAAAATAATAGCTTTGAAAGAAAAGTTTATGAAGCCTGAATAAACAAAAGGTATTTTAAAAATAGTACAAACAATGGGATTGGTAAATGATATACTGTTGTAAGCTTTTTAAATGTAGGAAATGTGATATAAAAATATGATGTATGAGGTGTGAAAATGTGAAGAAAAAACTGTCAGGTATAAAATAGAAAGTGAATTGCATTTCTCTGATGGCCAGTGATGGTGAGCATTTTTTCATGTGTTTTTTGGCTGCATAAATGTCTTCTTTTGAGAAGTGTCTGTTCATGTCCTTCACCCAGTTTTTAATGGGGTTGTTTGTTTCACACTCTGGGGACTGTTGTGGGGTGTGGGGAGAGGGGAGGGATAGCTTTAGGACATATACCTAATGCTAAATGATGAGTTAATGGGTGCAGCACACCAGCATGGCACATGTATACATACGTAACTAACCTGCACATTGTGCACATGTACCCTAAAACTTAAAGTATAATAATAATAAAATTAAATTAAATTAAAAAAAAGAAAGTGAAAAGTGTAGGATGAAAAACCAATAAACTTGGACATGTTAAAGATAAAATATTATTAGCCCTAGAGAAACCATTACAATTTAACAAAATTAATAGCTTAAAAATCACAAATATTAAAATAAAACAATAAAATATTCAACTGAGACAAAAGAGTCAGAAAATGAACAAAAAAAGGAAAAAATACAGAAGAAAAAAGTAGAAAGCAAACATATGAAAAAATAATCAGAATGTACATTCAAAACCAATTATAGCAATAAGAACATTAAACATAAATGAACTAAACACTCCAAGATTATGTCTTGATAAAACAAGCAAGATGTTTGAATGGTTCTTTTCAAGAGATTCACTTTAAACCCAAAGGCACAGCTAGATTGAAAGTAAAAATATGTAAAAAGATGTACCATTTAATCATTAAGTATAAGAAAGTTGTCATGGCTATATTATTAGGTTGTTGCAAAAGTTTTTTTGGTTGGTGCAAAATGGTTTTTACCATTGTAAGTAATGGCAAAACTACTAAATAAGAACATGACTTTTAATGGCAAAAACCACAATTACTTTTGCACCCACCTAATAGTATTAGACAAAACAGATTTCGAGACAAAGTATTATCATAGATAAAGAAGGACATACTGACCAAAGGAATAACTTATCAGAAAGATAATCATTAAAATTCTGTATGTGTATAATAACAGAGCTTCAAATTTCAAGAAGCAAAAACACAATAGACTAAAAACTACAAGGGGAAGTGCTAAAATTCTCAATGGGAATTGGAGATTTTAACACTCCTTTCCATTTTCTTGCCCTTTCCAGCATCTAGGGGCTGCCTGCATTTCTTGGCTCACAGATTCCTTCCATCTTCAAAGTCAGCAATCCCATCCCTCCAACCTCTGCTTTCTTTCTCACATCTCTTTCACTCTGATGTTCTGCCTCATTCTTCTACACATAAAGGACCTTTGTGATAACATTGAGCCCACCCTAATAATCCAGGAAAATCCCTGTATTTTAAAGTAAACTGATTAATTTTATCTGCAACCTCAATTCCCCCTTGCCAGGTAACATAACAGAATTACAGGTTGCAGGGATTAGGGTGTGGGCAACTTTGGTCGGCCATTATTCTGCCTTTTCCTGACTTTATAGATGGCTCTGAAAAGAAATTCCTGAAAACTGAGAAAATTCATTTCTCCTTCAGTATAGAGAATCTATTAGATCATCTAATATTTTAACTTATTTTGCAATATGATCCTGAAAACTTTTTAAAACTCACTCATATAACCCAAGTTAAGGGTCAGCTTTATTTATTCAGATTGCCAGTCCTTCCTCTTTAGAGTCCTGTTCATTAGAGAATGTACATAAAACAGCATTATTAGAAGCTCTTAACAAAGATTAGCCAGGCTATGAAAATTAACATTTGTTCTATTTTTTAGGACTCCATTCTATTCCTGGAAATATATATATTTAAAATCTAAATGTATATATGTACATTTGGGGACATCTATCAGGGTGGTTCACATATGAATGTTTTAGGATATATTGGCTTATTTTCTCATTCTCTCACATATTATATTTTATCTTTTATTCTCTTCTTTTCTCGATTCTCTCATTTTCTCTTTATCACCTTCTGCTTCTCTTTCTCTCTATACATAATGCAAAAATATACTACAATTGTCAATACTTGTAAAAGTAATTACACAGTTTTAATATTCAGACCTGTTTCTACAAATTACCTGGCTTCAGTGTTGGAAAATAGTTCATTAAAAAATTATTATAAAACCATTTTTTAATTAACTGAACCTAAATATTTTTACTTAAGAATACTAAGAACCTAAATATTTTACTTAAGAACATTTAGCTCACAGTTAACTAGTTATGACTATATATTTAACAGTGATTATTATGGCATTCTGCATTCCATTGACCAATAAAGGTGGAAAGAGGTGTAGCTGCCTCTCTGTGATTATCAGCTAAGTCTCATATAAACCTTGTTCCTGCACTATTTTTTAAATTCTATTTTCAATTTCTTTCTTTCTTTCTCATTCTTTCTTTTTCTTTTTTTCTCTTTCTTTTCTTTCTTTCTTTCCTTCTTTCTCCCTTTCTGCTTTTTTTCAAGCAGAAGATAAAATCATTTGCATCTAGTCTGAACCATCATTTCTCTTAAATATCTGTTTCTCTTCAGTGATGTATATTTCTTTATGGAAGTGTTTTTGGGAAAGTTATGGTTATTTGGCAGTTTGTTATACAAGACCTCATAAACTACTACAGCCTTAGTAAAGAGCATCATGGCAGAAGACAATTTATCTCTAATTGTTCCTCAAATTTTTATTTTAAAATAAATGAAACCATTTGGTTAATAAATTCATTTATATTTGTCAGCATTTTCTGAACTCCTGCACTCTGTGGAATATATTTCTATAACCGCCCCTATTGTTTTAAAATATGAATAAATCATTTGCAGATTTTCATGAAAATCCAAGTAAAATTAAAAATGAATTGGCTGGTTCATGAAAACCATGATTACTCAAATTATACCTGGATTTCAGTGAGCATAAACGAATTACAGAATTCTAGCATGTCTTTCATTTTTAAATCCAGGGTTGATAAATTTCTCTAGGCATTTAAATTCCTTCATTAAACTGATTATGACTAGTGTTTACTACATTCAGTTTCTATCTGTGCTAGCTGTGCTAGCTGTTGGGAATACCAAAATGAAGGTGATTTAGCTATAGTAGGAGCACTGTGGGAGAGCAAAGCACAGAGGAGGTGGACTCAGCACAACCTGGAAATTTGGGTGTCTTCCAAGCTCCAGAGTCATGGACCCAGCTGCCTACTCAAAATTCCACCTGAAAACATCTTCCATCAGACTGTGTGTCTTCTTCAGTGTCTTCTATTTTGGATATTGGCATTAATATCCATCCACTTGCACAAGCTAGAAACTTGGGCATAATTTCTCACTCTTCCCCCCTCAGCCAAAGTCTAGTCAATTACCACTCTCTGATGATTCTGTGTCTTAAACCATCTCACGCCTCTGCCAGCACCACAGGCCACACTTCTGTCATCCCTTGCTTGGACTTCTAAAGCAGTCTTCAAGCTACTCTCACTGTATCTACTCTTACCCCTCCCATTCTCTGCACCCTCACAACTCAGCACACTTGTCATTTTGTCTTCAACATCTGTCTTCCCAGCTAGACTAAGAAGGTCCATGAGGGGAAGAGCCATGTAGATCTTTTGATATGGTAGTACCAATAGCTTGCATGTTACTTGGTACAAAGTGGTATGAATTAAATATATGTTAAATGAATAAATGAAAGACTGACAGACGAGGGACAACAGACACGTAAAATAGAGTAAGGGAAGAAAGAAGAATGTGAACAAAGACAGTGGAAAGCTCAATAGCACAATGTGTTCAGTGAACCACAAGTAGTTCAACCGTACCTAATTTTAATGTACATACACAGCAAAGAATCCTTTTTAGAGGTAAGTAGGATTAATTTATGAACTTTAAGCACAGGCATTGGCCTAAGTCATTTTAAATAGGGAGGCAGAAACACAGTCTTATTTGCATTTTTGATAAATAATGACAGTAACAGAGGGGAGAATGATTTAAAGGTAGGTTAGTTAGAATGCTTTTCATTGCAAATTCAGCTAGAATAAGCTTAAGTAAAAAGAGATTTATTACAAGGATATTGGAATTTCTCATGGAAGTCAATCATAGCTAAATGGCTGAACTATAAGAATTTTCTGAAACCTGGATTGTGTTCTGTTCTTCTCTGTACATCAACTTTAAAGATATTACTTCGATCCACTAATATCAATTTTGTCAGGTCATTTATCAGGAAAAGATACTGATAATGCATTTTAATAGTATAAAGAGAATCTGAACGAAGAGAACACCAGACAAAATCATTCTGAAGAAGGTCATTTCTACAGGAGTACTGCAAGAGTTTTTAGAAGACTGTCGCAGCATTAAAGGAAGGTACTGTTCTGATAAAGAGCAGTTGTCAGTGTTATCTTTTAGTAACTAAGGTTTACTGAAAGAAGAGACATGGGATAGAGAAAAGAACTAAAGACAGGCTTTATCTGCCTCACAATTTTGCCTGGAACTAGCCCTAGTTAGGAAGAGATCTGCATTTCCTCTGAAGCCAATGGCAAGATGGAAAAAGAGGAAAGAGGGAAAGAGGCTACTTCAAATCAGTTTTTTACAGGAAAAACAGCTCCTGCAAAATTCTACTGCTTATGTATTCAATAAATAATTCTTGTTAAATATATATATTCAGTGATACATTTCTAGTTGCTATAACTGCTGCTATTATAGACAATGTGAGAAGGTTTGATTTGGTCTTTTTCACCCATTTTTTCCCCATCTGACTTACTAGAGTAATCATTGTCACATGAGGCCTCTCATTTAGGCCAATTATGATTATTTCTTCCCAGTTTTAGAATCACAGTAAGCAATCAACATTTGAAAGATTAAGGAAAGTTACATAAATAAGACTGAAAAAAAGGCTCATATATTTAGCTACTAGCCTGTTTTGCCGAATTTCAGTTAGAAAATTCAGCCAAGAGAATGCATTTGGCAGCTCGTATAGAGATTTCTCAAGAGGGCATCTAAATGAGATGTTGCAATTCTTGCTACATGTAGTTTATCATTAAACAAACGTGGTAAATATTATTGCAAAAGCAGAGATAAAGTTTAATTTTTTAAAAAATGAAAGAATGAGCTGGTCTTAAACTCTGTATCAAAATTCGTAGAAAATAATCTGAGTGTGTCTTTTTGAATGAACTAATCAGAAGATGACGAAATACAGTTGAATAAAAGGGATACAGAAGTATAAATACAGTGTATTATCTTAAAGAAAAATGAAAACTGTATCAATATGCTAATGTGTTACCTACCTCTTTTGAGTTCCGGGGTTCTGAGTAGTTTTTAAACTTTTTCACACTCATTTGGAGTATCATTTCCAAATAATTTGCCATAGAACTAAAATACATTTTTAAATTAACTTGCACAGTAAACTAGGAATTCAGCCAAAGGGAACTGAAAATTTAGATTTATAGTAATCAGGAAGTTGATCCTTGAACAAGATAGAGTTGGCTCTTGGACAGGAAAGCTATCTCCTTGACCATATGGATTTCCACTGGCCTTACAGAAATACTTGTGCTTTGATCTGGCATAGGTATCTTTTTCCAACTAGCTGGACTCTATTTTCTGAACCTAACACCCAAGGATTTTCAGTATAGATAGAAAATCTGACTAAACATGTAACTACCTAAATTGGTTTACTGAAATTTTGATAGACTCTGCCCATGTAGATAATCCTTGGCTACTGAGTTGATAATGAAGTTTTAAATCACTTATCTGCGGGACCCTGGACACAGGGCTGTCTTTAAACTCTTCCACTGAGTTCCAATGGCCTCATTAGTTTCATTGACCTTCACAGATATTATAAATTTGGAAAGCCAGTGGGAGAACGTGGCAATAACTAGAATAAGAGTAATAGGTGACATTAATCCATGTTACTATGTGATGGATGTTACCATGAGCCCTGCACCCAGATTACCTTAATTAACCTCATAGCAATGTTGTGTCAAATGTACTGAGTTATCACCACATTGCATATGAGGAAAATGAAACTTAGAGGGGTAAAATAAATTTCCCAAGGTTACACAGCTATGAAAGCTGAGTAGGGATTTGATTTTAGAGCATGTGTAACAACCTGTACCTGACCATTTCCTGAAAATAGGGCTACTGCAAAAACCAGGAGTGGAACTCATCTAATTCCAATGAATGATCTACCTATGACTCTCTAGACAAGTCACAGAATTTACCCAGTGCTCAGTTCACTCTTCTGTAAAATGAAGATGTTGGATTTCATGTCCTACAGGGCCTCTCTGAGCTCTCAAATTACATGCCCATAAAATATACTAGTTGTAAACTATTAGTAGAAGGAGCTTTAAAATCACTGTAGGGAGTCCAAGATTTGCCACTAACTTTTTATGATTGGCAGTGGTGAGCCATTTAACCTCTCCAGTTATTTGCCTCACTTCAAAGGTTATTTTTCATATATATGTCAGTGCTTCACAAAGTGCAATACAGCATAGAAATACAAAGTACTATGCCATCATCTAAAATAAGATTACTTCATAGCATCAGAATTATGGATTTAAAATATTATGTTGAATTGGCTTCTCACTCTTTTTCCCCTTTTACTTAGAACATCTGGTCTGCAATATTTTAAGGTAATGCTTATTTGTAGTAGATTTAAACAAAGAGAGGAAGAGAGGTAAAGACAGAGTTTCCGATTTTCCACTTACATATGAGAAAGGTGGGGTGTCCAAAGAAGACACACAGCCCTATACAGGGGGAGAAGGTGTGCGTTACTAACATATTAAGTAAACTTTAGTGAGGAACAGCAGTGGAAAATAATCTATATACCTTGGCTCTTTTGCAGTTTGACAAAGTTAATGATTAAAATCTCCTAGATTTTCCACTACAGTATCCCCAGGGTGTCTATTTACCTTGATTGATATTATTTTATCTCTTTTGGGCCAAAGATAACAGCCCCTTGCTTCTGTGTTTAATAATAATTCTGTGTTGCTTCTGAGATTAATAATTGATTAATTCATAGTCAGGAATCTTTGTAAAAAGGAAACCAATTACTTTTGGCTACCACTTTTACATGGTCACCTACAGGAGAGAGGAGGTGCTGCAAGACTCTCTGGTAGAAAAATGAAGAGGGTCCTGGTACTACTGCTTGCTGTGGCATTTGGACATGCTTTAGAGAGAGGTAAGATTTCTTTTGTTGTGACCATTTACAGGAATTCTTACTAGTTTAATTTTATATTATCACTTAAAAAATGAAATAAAAAGTAAGAAACAGAAGAACTGGTGAATATGTTGGGGAGAGGGATAAGGACCAGAGAGGCATTAATCAGAGCTCCACGATGCCATGTAATGTTGAATTGGAATTGACAAAAAAAATCAACACAAGAATCTTGTTAAAGAAAGTAAATGGAATGATATAATTTGTCAATTATCTCTTCCTCCTTTGTTGATAAGCAAGACCTAGAGAGAATAATTTAAAATTAGACATTTGCTAATTGTTACAAGATAATGCAAATAAAGACTGTGATCCACCATTAAGCATTTATTCAGACTTCAAATATTTATTACCATTGAGTGTAATATACCATGCCAATGATGCATGATGTCAACTTAGAGATTTCTTTGATCCCCTTAGAGGAATCTTATACATGCAGTATTTGAAAATGCATTGTATTTTTAAAAATATCCCTCACATAAAATTTTTCTATAGCTATGAAACATAACCACAAATAAGATAATTCAGTTATATTTTTCATTGAAATTATTCTTCAGATGGTGTGTTCATCTTTGGGCAATGTTTAAAAATTTTTTTACATGATAAAGACTGAGATTATGGGAAGTATACAACTTTATGAATTCTACAGCTGGGAAACTTTTCATCATTAGCTTCAATTTACTTTTCTGGCTGATTCTTTAATGTTCACAAGGGACATCTGCATTTATCCTGCTTTGTAAAATTAAGGTTTTCATTTAGTGCTGTCAGTTAACAGCCTCACCTAATTCGTACATTATTATTCATAATAGTAATGTGTTTTGCCAGTGGAATAAAATGTGTGTTCCCAAGAATTATCAGTTATTAACTGTAACATGAATAACCTTACTCTTGACTTTTTATTCTTCTTCTTACATTTACTTTTCCTTGGTCTTATTTCATCATTCAAATTATTTTAACTCGTCTTACCCATCAATTCTTAAGTAAGCTATGCGTCCTTAGGTAAGACTACAAAGTCTTTCCCAGACAGCATAGGGTATAAAAAAGCAACATAAATTGTGTCCCTTATAAGACCTCTGAATAGGCCATGTTCCAAGAAATCCCTTTAAGTCTTATTCTTTTGGCCAAGGATTTGCTGGGGCAGATCTGATCCTGAAAAATCCTACTGAAGCAGGTTCAGATCAGGGTCTTCAAACACAGAAGGTCCAATAATGGCTAGGAATTGGAATTATATATGGAGGCCATAAGCAGGAGCATGAATCACCATCTTAGACTGCTGACTCAATAGGTGCACATTGGCTTCACCTCAAAGAATGAAAGTGTCCTTTGGAGAATAACAGAGCATTCTGCAATCTATATTTCAACATTCTCAGCAGTCCTCAGATTCTGATGAAATGGATGCTAAAAACCTCCAGTCAGTCCCCTAGAAGATCTAAACTTCATTCTTATAACCCATGTGCCATATGCCAGATGATATCTTGAGACATACATAATACACTTGTAAGCATTAACTTTCAATATTTGGGGAGAGTAGTCCTGATCTATCAATTCTCTATTCTCTAATACCTGAGCATGACCCAAAGACCAAGTCAGCAGTTTACTTAGAAGCTAGCTGTGTTCTTCCTGGCAGGAAGTTACAAAGTGTACAGATTAAGGGAGTTCTGAGAACTCTTAGGTTCTGAGTAGCCTTGTATTGTGGGGGATTGGTTTGAATTGCAGTTTTCTCTGCCTGTTATAGTTCTAGAGAGCTGACCACCCACAGCATTTATTTAAGCACCTGTTTCAAAATATATTACACTCAAGACTTACCTTGAAAAGAAGTTTCTGTGGCCAAATATATTTAAGAAATGAGCCATAATTTATTCCTTCTTGGTGGTTTCACAATTCATGCCTTTGTCGTCCTAAAGGTTCTGAGAAACACTACAGGAAAGAAATCTTATCTAACTCAGAGTATCTAAACATATTGACCCTTTTCTACAATGTCTATACCTGTGGAACTATTCTTTGGAAACCTTGGGTCTAAAATGGATACTGTTACAGATGACCCTTTACTGGACAGGTTCCAATTAAGCCAGCCCTCTCCTATCAAACAGCATTGGGAATCTTGTTCCCAAGCCACTGGGTACATCTTGGAGAAGAGAGCTTACCAAATCTGCTAAATCTGGTTAGTACCATAAGAAAATGTCCACTTTTGCTACCCTATGAAAAGCAACAAGGCAGTATTTCCCAGTTGCCTACAAGTAGCTTCTTCCCCTAGGACTGAAATGGATGAAATACTAATATACAATATATCTTTCCCTCTTCCCTTCCAAAGAAACCAAGTAACAAAGACTGGTGATACAGCTATAAAATTTTTTTTTAACTTGCAGATAGAAAAGTTACCTTAATGACCAGGAAACATTTATAAAAATTGATTTTTTAAAATTAAACTACAGCAAAAAAATTCTCAGTTTTAAGTTACACACTGTTAACAGAGCACTAAAAATATTTTTTTTGCATTTTTTTCTTTTCTTTTTTTTCGATTCAAGTTTTCTTTTTTATTATTGTTATACTTTAAGTTCTAGGGTACATGTGCACAATGTGCAGGTTTGATACATATGTATACATGTGCCATGTTGGTTTGCTGACACCCATTAACTCGTCATTTACATTAGGTATTTCTCCTAATGCTATCCCTCCCCCTGCTCCCCACCCCATGACAGGCCCCAGGCTATGATGTTCCCCACCCTGTGACCAAGTGTTCTCATTGTTCAACTCCCAACTATGAGTGAGAACATGTGGTGTGTGGTTTTCTGTCCTTGTGATAGTTTGCTCAGAATGATGGTTTCCAGCTTCACCCATGTCCCTGCAAAAGACATGAACTCATCCTTTTTTATGGCTGCATAGTATTCCATGGTCTATATGTGCCACATTTTTTAAATCCGGTCTATCATTGATGGACATTTGGGTTGGTTCCAAGTCTTTGCTATTGTGAATAGTGCCACAATAAACATACATGTGCATGTGTCTTTATAGCAGCATGATTTAAAATCCTTTGGGTATATACCCAGTAATAAGATGGCTGAGTCAAATGGTATTTCCAGTTCTAGATCCTTGAGGAATAGTCACACTGTCTTCCGCAATGGTTGAACTAGTTTACAGTCCCACCAACAGTGTAGAAGTGTTCCTGTGTCTCCACATCCTCTCCAGCACCTGTTGTTTCCTGACTTTTTAATGATTGCCATTCTAACTGGTGTGAGATGGTATCTCATTGTGGTTTTGATTTGCATTCCTCTGATGACCAGTGATGATGAGCATTTTTTTCATGTGTTTTTTGGCTGCATAAATGTCTTCTTTTGAGAAGTGTCTGTTCATATCCTTTGCCCACTTTTTGATGGGGTTGTTTGTTTTTTTCTTATAAATTTGTTTAAGTTCTTTGTAGATGCTGGATATTAGCCCTTTGTCAGATGGGTACATTGCAAAAAGTTTCTCCCATTCTGTAGGTTGCTGTTCACTCTGATGGTAGTTTCTTTTGCTGTGCAGAAGCTTTTTAGTTTAATTAGATCCCATTTGTCAATTTTGGCTTTTGTTGCCTTTGCTTTTGGTGTTTTAGACATGAAGTCCTTGTCCACACCTATGTCCTGAATGGTATTGCCTAGGTTTTCTTCTAGGGTTTTTATGGTTTTAGGTCTAACATTTAAGCCTTTAATCCATCTTGAATTAATTTTTGTATAAGGTGTAAGGAAGAGATCCAGTTTCAGCTTTCTACATATGGCTAGCCAGTTTTCCCAGCACCATTTATTAAATAGGGAATCCTTTCTCCATTTCTTGTTTTTGTCAGGTTTGTCAAAGATCAGAGGGTCGTGACACAGCTACAAAATTATTAAGGTAATCATGCCAACAGGAAATAAACCACTGCAGTTGATAAGAGCTGTTGGCAAAAAGAGGTTTTTATTATGAACATTTTCCTTTTTGCTTTAAGCATTTCATTCACAGCATTTTTTTTTATTAAACATGATATAAAACTGCAAGAAGAAAGTTCCCTTTGGGTTGGTGGGTGAGCTACACTTTTCCTTCTCTTCCTTCCCTGTCAAAACAGCCCTACGCAAGGGCTGAAGTCATACAGCTCTCATCACTGAGAGCAATGTTAACCTCCCTGAAAATCAATAGCAATGTTTCATCTTACTGATATCAGGTGCAATGCCACATATGCAGTCACCAATATGTAATATAAGGAGAAGTGTGCACACTCTGTAAAACACCACCAGCTTAATCTATTTAGGACAGGAGAAAATGAAGAAACCTCTAAAAGGAATTGATGATGCCCTTCCCCAGTATTTTTGGTCACCTAACTTCTTCATTCTACCCATTGCTTCTTCTCTCTCTCTCCTATTTTTCTCATTCATTCTGATCTGACCACACTGGCCTCCACATTATCTCACACTCTAAGTCCTTTGCACCCCAGGGCTTTGCATTAGTTCTTCTCTATTCCTAGAACATTGATTGTCCAGATATTCTCATAGCTCCCTTCCTCACCTTCTTCAGGCATCTACTCCAAGTCCATTTATAGAGGGGGCTTCCCTAGCCAACCTACCACAAATAACACCTACCAGTCCATTATCTTCTATCCCCTTATTTGGATTTATTTTTTCTTCTTAGCACCTAGTACCTTACCTTATCACTGGTTGTTCATTTGCTTATTGTAACAAATATAGAATGCAAGCCTTGTGAAATTAAGAACTTTTGTTATTTCCTGTAATTCCCAGTAATAGAACATTACTTGGCATTTAGTAGGTGTTCAAAAAATTATTGTGTAATATTACAAAATTGGGTTTTTGTATATGTATGTCTACCATCAGACTCAGGTTCCTTAAAGATTGGTGGCTTTAGAGTTTTCTTTCATATGATGCCATGCTCCCAGGAGATAGCTGATGTGTCTGTGTGTGTTTTTGTGTGTGTGTATAAATAGGTATGTACATAAATATATACACTCATATGTATAAAAATGATCATGAACTGGATTTAGCCAATAATAATAATAATAATAATAATAATAATAACTGACAGCAATATTCTGTTTCCTGAGGATACAATCTTCATTTTACAAATGAGAAAACTGAGGAAGAACAGAGAGGATAAGCAACTTGCCAGCGGTCTCACTATCACCTAGGGTAGCAGGAATTCAAATCCAGGTGGTCTGTATCCAAAGCCTCTATCTTAAATCATGATAAAATACATCCTCATATGGATGTTTTCTTTGGCCCTCATGGTTTGGGCCAACAAAGTTTCTTTAAGTCTGTCTTTAAAGTCTCATTTCACTTGTCAACATTTTAAAACCTGGAGATTCCACAAAAAAATCTAGATTTCTAGCTTCTCTGGAAACACAGGAATGTGTGGTAATAAGGGCCAAATTTTCACATGGCAATGATGAACTGGAGCTGAATTGTCACTCCTCCTTTTGGACTAAACCCTCAGTTTTCACCACTGAGCATTTAATGCTTTCTTCCCTTGGATCAAATGTAAGTTGTGTGGTTCCTAGATCCTATGAGCATTTGGGTTTGCTAACCTGGGTGTCATGGTAAAATAGTAACTTGAGGTTTAACACTACCTAAAGAAAATAATATTAACAAATAATTGTATCTTTACATTTAAAATAGGCAAAATAATTAGTTACCAGTCATTTTTATTCTCTATAAATGAAATCACATATGAATTGTTTAAATATGTTTACATTTAACAAATTGTGTTTTTCATCTTAGAGAAGTGAAACTTACATAACTTTTTTTTGAAAGCTGATTTAGAAAGATTTATTGGAATATACAAGGAGTGTTATGTAGTTATACATGTCTTTCACATTCATATCTGCTGATGCAGCTGAATTCCTATGTGGGTTTTATTTTGTTTTTTTTTATATATATATAAACTTTAAGTTCTGGAATACATGTGCAGAACCTGCAGGTTTGTTACATAGGTATACATGTTCCATGGTGGTTTGCTGCACCCATCAACCCACCATCTACAGTAGGTGTTTCTCCTAATGCTATTCCTCCCCTAGCCCTCAACCCCCGACAGGCCCCAGTGTGTGATGTTCCCCTCCCTGTGTCCATGTGTTCTCACTGTTCGACTCCCATTTATGAGTGAAAATATTTTTATATGGAAATAACTGTGATTTTTTTATCTATTAAAAAATACAATAGCAAGAGCACAGTCTTAGAATAACCATTTCAGTCTTCAAATTTTACTACACGAAAGTAAATTTGTTATTTTGATATTATCAGTTCTGCTGCAAATGTTAGGTAATAATTGGTTTTAAAATGAAAATACTTTTATTTGACAATTGCATACTAGATTTTAAAAAATATAAATAACAAAATACATGGTTGGATTGTTGACTAGGCTAACATTGAAGTGAGTGTTCCTTTTAAGTTTTCTTAGCAAATATATCTAAGGAATTATATCCTGGTGGCAATTGGAATGTAATATCTAGTATATATCCTATAGAAAACATTGGCATTCCATTTTCCATCTACATGATACTGCAAAGCTCATTATTAATTTATTTGTTTAAAAGGCTCTCTTTAGCCTTACTAAGACAAATGAAGTGCTATAAAAGCACTTAAAGCAATGTATATCACAATGGTTAACACAAAATAGCATTGAGTACTTGATAGTGAAATTTCCCATTTAAATTACAGTTCTTACAATTGTCCAATAATAAGCCTTCAGTTTCTTACTGGGATTTAATAAGAAAATTAGAAAATTATATTCCATTCATGAAAAAAAAATTCTTGCTAACACATCACTATAGCAGACAAGCACCATAAAACTCTTTTGGCCATACTAAAAATTAATATATAAATATCTACTTTTTATAATTTTAAAAAGATAAATTACTAATCTTTGAAATAGAAATTTTCCTATACAAGATAATGCAATCTGTTGGACTTCAAATGCATTTAAATGGCTCGGGGATCTGTTTGACAAAAACATGTGTGATGATAGAGACATAAATAATGATACACATCCAATATATCCTCTCCATTAGATTGCATAATTTGATTTCGGTTTATACAGTATAACTTCAGTAGTCATTAAGACGTGTATTTTGTTAGGAAACAGTGAAAGAAAATCACCCATGTACAGTGTTTTCTGGTTTAAAATGTACTGTTTTTTAATTGGCAAATTATAATTATATACATTTCTGGGGCACAATGGAATAGTTTGATATCTATATATAATGGGGAATGATAAAATCATCAATGAACTCCTCTACCATCTCACTGCTTATCATTTTTTCTGAGGCATTTGAAATTTACTCAAGTTATTTTGAAATATAAAATACATGATTAACTATAGTCACCCTGACGCAAAATAGATCTCAAAACATTCCTCCTGTCTAACTGAAATTTTGCACTATTTTCCCAGCAGCTCCTCATTCCCTCCCTCCTCTTCTCCCTGCAGCCTCTAGTAGCCATCATTTTACTCTTCTGTGAGTTCAACTTTTTCAGATTCCATATATGATATAATGCAGTATTTTTCTTTCTGTACCTGGCTTATTTTACTTAACATAATGTTCTCCAGGGTCATCCATGTTGTCACAAATGACAGAATTCCCCTCCTTCTCTTTTTAAGGCTGAATAGTATTCAACTGTGTAAATACATCACATTTTCTTTATCCATTAATCTGTTGATGGACACTTAGGTTGTTTCAGCATCTCGGTAGCTGTGAATAATGCTACAGTAAACATGGGAGGGCAGACATCCCTTCAACCTGTTAATTTATATTTCTTTGGATATATACCCAGAAGTGGTATTGTTAAATCATATGGTAGTTCTATTTTTAGTTTCTTGAGAAACATCCATACTGTTTTCCATAATGGCTGTACTAATGTATATTTCCACCAACAGTGGAAAAGAGTTCCCTTTTCTCCACATTTTTGCCAATGCTTATCTTTCAATCTTTCTGGCAATAGCCATTCTAACAGGTGTGAGGTGATATCTCATTGTGGTTTTAATTTGCATCTCCTTAATGATTCCTGATGCTGAACATTTTTTATAAACCTGTTGGCCATTTGTATGTTTTCTTCTGAGAAATGTCTGTTTGGGTTCTTTGCTAATGTTTTAAATCGGTTATTGGTTTTCTTGTTATTGAGTTGTTTGAGTTCCTTACATATTTTGTATATTAACCTGTTATCAGATATGTGGTTTGCAAATATTTTCTCCCAGTCTGTGGGTTGTCTCTTCACTTTGTTAATTTTTCTTTTGCTGTGCAGTAGCCTTTTAGTATGATGCAATCCCATTTGTCTATTTTTTGCTTTTGTTGCCTGTAATTTCAGCGTCATGTCCAAAAAACTCATTGCCTAGACCAACATCATGGAGCTTTTCCCCTATGTTTTCTTGTATTAGTTTAACAGCTTCAGGTCTTACATTTAAGCCTTTAATCCATTTTGAGTTGATATTTTCTCAAGTTTTAATTGAGATAGATCATACATGGCTAGCCAGGGAGGCAGAATCACCACCACTTACTGTTTATATCACCTTATCAAAGGAGTGCCATGTGGAACTATGACTGTGCCAGCCCTTGTTGAATGATACTTTCTTCAGATTTTATAATACTTGCTTAATGAAGTGACTTTTATGGGAATGTCCAGAATTGTGCCAGGCATCCAGGACCTAAAAATTTAGACATGATCTTTGCCCTGAAAGAACCTTCATGGAAAATAAAGACAATTTTGCTTAAAGGCAATATTAGTATATGCTGCCTTTATAAGATCTATTAGCAAACGTCTAGTGAGTATTACTTCAAGTCTCTGTCACTACTAAGACCAAAGCGCCTGAGTCTTTCAACCAATCTGCTCACCTTTCTATTTTCCTGTGCCAAACCCTGCAAACTTTTTCATTTAAAAAAAAAAAAAAAAAGGGCCGGGGAAGAAAATGAAGAATAAGAATGACTTTTTTCCAGGACTGATAGTCAAAGATAAAGATTTTTAAACAGGCATGAATAATAATGAATCTTTCGATACCATAAAAAGAATATCACTAAATTTCAATAGAGTAATTCTCTAACTCATGGACAAAATGTACTCAAAAAGTTATATGTTATTTAGAAGTTAAAGTACAATTTTTCATAGAAATAATTTAAATATGAGATGAAGTTCTTAAAATGATGCATAAAAATAGGTAGTAAACATGGGATGTAAACTGTGATAACCACAAACCTCATAAAATTTTTGTGAAGATTAAAGCAAGTAATACATGTCAAATATTTAGAACAGTACCACCAAATTGTTGGCACTCAAATTTTAATTGTTATCATGATATTATTATTATTTATATTTATATTGCTGTAGAATCTAAGTGCTTCAATGTGTTCTAAGCGTCCAAATTAAATGCAGGGGATATCACCTTTACCCATCCCAAAAGTGGAAGAGGCAAACCTCCCCCTCTATCTTTACCCCTACAAAAGCAATTACAGATGAGGAGGTAACCAACCCACAAAAGGAAAGAGAGGTGGGATGAAATGCATGGAGAAAAAATGCTTCCTCTGGAACTTTGGTAAGTGTCACAAAGGACAGGCTACCACCCGAGGTGAACCCAAGGACATTAGTTTGAGTGAGTCTGTGATGCTGTCTCCTATTGCAGTTGCAGTTTCTGAGTAATTAACCCATTGACTATATATCTTTTGCTGTTTTCGTTTGTGTTTGAATTTTCAAAGTCTGAAAGGACGCTCAATTTGTTGCACTGATATCATCCTAAGAGGTACAGTTAACTTCTAGATTAGTTTATCTATAGATGTCATGTGGGTCTCTGGGTTTAGTATTAAAAGGGTTGAATTTCTTTTCATTGACTCAAGCTCAAACTTTTTCATTGGCAATATTTTTAGTGATACAGAAATCTCTTATAACCAGATCAGCTTCCTAAACCAGCTCAATAATGTTTACTATTTAAGTCAATTCACTACTGTGAAATGAACAATATCATGCCTGACTAGTTTGAATAAACACTGCAAACCATATTCTTAAAAGGTAAATTTATTTAAAAAAATACTAACAAATATACTGAGCTTTTCTGACATGGATGAGTCTGTCAGTACAGAATAGAAATAAAAATGCCAAAGAAATGAAATTGTGAAAATATAAAATGCCCAACAGAGCTGTTAAAGCCCATGATTCTCCAGAACACAATAGGAAAACAGCAACTTGAGATAGTTCCTAGCATCCTGTACGAGCACTTATTTATGTCAATGATATTTAGGATCCATTAATGTACTTGGTATACGAATAACTGTTCTAGGGAGCCAAATTAGGTTTTAGTGAAAGACTAGTAATAGTGAAGGCATCCAAATACCTACTTTAATAAACTTTGTAACAAAGCAGTATCTTATTAGCTATCCCCATTACAACGAAAGTTACATGAGGGCAAGGATGTGTCTATTTTGGGTTCCATTGTAAGTTCAAATTCAATATTGAACCCAATGCCTGGCACAAAGTAAGCCTCAAAAAATATCTGTTACATGTATGAATGAATATTGTCAACTCTGTTGGCAGAGGTAAGGTGCCTGAAGCAGCAAAGATTTCCTGAAAATAAATCACACTGGCTTTCAAAAGTTCAGAATTAAACAAGACTTACCAGAATGTTTCACAATATAGATAAAAAGTGAAACATGCTATTGCAGAAAGCAAAAATTCTGTTAGTGAAATTTGTAAACACTTAGTACTGTGGGGGGTCACTTCATGTGAAAGTGATTTCATCAGAGTCACTAAGATTATGCCAATATTTACTAGGGCCATATCAAAGTCCAAATCACCTTCTTTATAACCGAATGGTACATTTGAAAACAGAGCGTATAATTTTACAGTTCATTTGAGACAGGAATTAACTATATGAATTGGAGTGAGCTCAACTGGTTTTACACCAAAAACATTTATTAAGCAGTATTCCATGGAATGGGGAATCAATTAGTAATAATCACATTGCAAATTAACTTTAGTATTTATTTGCTGTATTTGAAAATTGAGACAATGATTGACATACATTGGCTTTGTCTTGTAAGCTAGATATCTTCTCTTTGGGCAAATGAATTTATAAAATTATTTTATCAGAAGTACATTTTGGGTAGCTCACCTGAAAGATCATGGTGCAACAGCTTCCTCTACAGGTTATTTTTATATTTTAATTCTGAGCTTTCTCAATATCCCTCTTGAGCTTCCTCCCTTGCTTCCTGTTATGCCCAAGGCTGAATGTTCCAGCAAAAATAGTTTCAAAACCTCTTTAAGCCTTATTCATTCCATCTAGTTTCCCACTTTTCTCTCATCAGTTTGCATTCTAACTAAAGCAGTATATAATGCCCATGAATTCTAAAGTGCTGTGTGCAAACACAAATAGTTAAATAAATTCAAACTATTTAATGGGATAACATGCAGTGCCCAGTTACACTACCTTCACATGCACACTCACATTCCCATAATATATGAAATGAAACTTTACATTTTTAGTGAAATGAGAAATCAGAATCTGGAAGGTTAGAAACAAAATATTTCTCAAAATGTTCATCGGGGGTACCCCATTTGAATACAGGATTTCACTTTGCATGTTATTGAATGGTCACAAGAGAAGTACTAATAAAAATAAACTCTTCCATTTTGTAGGGGGGAATTTAAACAAACTTAGCTCCTATTTATTATAAGGAAAAGAAGTTCTTATTAGGGCTATTTTGTGTATGTCTTAAAATACAGTAAGCCTTGGGAAAAAATATTCCTTATAATCTCTCGCTATTTTTAAAAGAGACTAGATTATAATCCCCAGCAAGTGATCTTATAGATGATGAGGATACATTGTACTAAATTCAGGGATCTTTACAATATATGGTTATTTAAATCTATTTTGATATTTACAATGATAAAACAAACTCACCTCTTCAAAAGGCTGCTTTCATTTCAGTTATAAAATAGACACAGTTGGAATAAAGATTTCTTACTAGAATCTACTGCCATGTAACTGCCAGACATTTCTCCTAGCTCTGCTTTAGGAGCAAACTAAAAACAACTCTTGACATCGTAAGTACAGCTCATCACCACATGAGGACAGTTCTAGCCCTAATTATTCTTCTCTGTGTTCTAGTCTTCAATTCCATAAAATACCATTAATGATTAATGGAAGTTTTCTGCCTTGCTTAACCTTTTGAACGTGTCACAATATCCAGCCTTGTAAACTAATCAATACATTTCAGAAAATGTACAAGATGTGAAGGTTCTCAGACATTACAGAGGTTTGTTGCAAGTGGTTTTTTTGGTTCCACTAACAATTAGCTTTATCAACTCTACTGCCTTGTCCTAGTTGCCAGAATAACATCAGATTCAGGATTCAGGTATGTGGGTTATTTTCCACCTTCTGTGTGGTTTTGAGGGTGTTTGAGTAGGTCTCTTGTTAAAAAGTGCTGCTGAAGAATGTCTTTTTCTCACAATTATCAAATCCGACTTTTCTCACCTCAAAAATATTTTGGGGGGGTATCCATCCAAAAAAGTACATGCTGCGACTGCTTCCTCTACAGGCAATCTGACATTAAACAGGTGACATTAATCTGATGAGTCCTAAAGAGAATCTTTAAAAAAAAAAATACAACCCTTTCAAGTCTGTATCTAATCACCACCACCTCCACTGCAAGCCATCAAATAGAAATTTCCACCCAGGCATATGTTTACACTGTCTTCCATAAAATTGTAACTGTTAGAGAGGAGAGGAAATCTTTGGGATTAAAGCCTGACAGCAGTTACCATCATATCACCTGAGATGACTTTCCCAACCCTTAAAGTGAGAAGGATAAACCACTAAAAGTTAAAGCCACTTAAAACAGAGTAAGCAATTTATATACTTCCTACATTTTTTTCCAAAGATATAACATCACAGGAGGGAAATTTCCTGGGCTTATTTGCATAAATGATGAGTCAGGTTAGGAGAACACTGACTGACTTTGATGTGTCCGCCCTATTACATATGTGATGGACATGTTGAACAAGGGGGTCTCATGATTAGTAACTAGCTCTTCCCTGTAGCGTGAATGAACTCAAGAGCAGGTACTGTGATTTTTCTGTTCCCTCTCAAATACCAATGTCATTTCATCATGAGAATGGCTAGTTACATTTAATAGTCAAAAATGTTTTAATTCATTGAAAGTTGAAGCTACTACCCCATTCAGGCCTGTTTCAGTTCTATTGCCTGTGGTGGGAAAGGAAGACACAGATACCTGCCTCTTGTCTCCTTTGCCTGTTCTCTTTTCCTCCTTCCTCCTACGCTCTAGGCTGCTTCTACCTCCTCCAGGGCTAACACAGGAAAGGAGAAGCTAGTAAGAGAGATAGCAGCAGGAAAAACTCAACTCAATGGGCAAAAAATTCAATGGGCAGCATGGTGAGCCAAGGTTGTCTCCTCTGGTTACCAAGATGTGTAAAGCTGCCGTTTTCTCTTACTGTGTTCTTCTGTGATCTCTCTCCCTTGTTATTCCTGGAGATCTCTCATATGCAGCTGGCACCTTAAGACTCTCCTCTGGGCCCCTGGTTTTCAAATTGTCTACCTCCACACAGAGACCCAACTGTTGGCAGTCCACTGCTCTGTAGATAGCACTTTGTTGGGGGTAGAGCTGGGACTGGGGGAAATATATTTAAGACAACTCCTAGCCAGCTCGCTCTCTTGCTTGAGCTACATCAGGTCTGCAGGTCACATGACAACTTCCCACCCAGTCCTCTGCTTTGTTCTCCAGGCCACTTAGCAAGCCCATCACCCTCTAGATTTCTCCAGCCTGAATCAGACACCTGTCCATTACACCCCAAATTCCAAGAGCTCCCTGTCAAGCGCTGAGTGGTTTCTTGAAGCCCTTGTCACTATGTGAAAGTGAAAGGAAACACTTCCCACCATCCCCCAGACTCACCACACTTTGTCTAAAATATTCTTTGCCTGATTTCCACCTTGTCCCCAGCTGAATTCCTAGCCTTCCCTTAGACAGCCAGGAGCCAAGTAGCAGAGCATGGGTGGCAGCACTAACTCTCCTGTACCTCCTTTAAAGTCCTGCATTAGTGGCACCAGCCCCTCACCTTGGAGTGGAGACAGTCTCCAATTATTTGTAGTTCTGTTTTTCTTTTCAGGCCTTAGGTAAAACTGAGACATTAAAAGAAGGAAGGGAGGAAGCAGGGTGGGAAGGAGGGAGGGAAGGAGAAAAATTCTCATTTTGGTATCATTATAAAGATAGGACCTAATAGTTGCCATATCAATAGCTTCTGACTCACTAGTTGACATGTATCATTTGACTCACTTACGTTCAGTATTAGTTTACTCTCTCCTTTTGTTCTGCTGGTGACTAAAATATAACAGAATGTCATAAAATTGTGGCCTGTTATGAGAGAAGAGCTAGAAAGGCCCCCAAAATATGAAATTGCATATAGACATTGAGAAAATACGACTTTCATTGTAGGCCACGTGGAAGATCACTTTATACATGTACATGTAACATAATATTCATCAAAAGGGGACACATACAAATTTTTCTATTTCTGCCTCCTAGGCCGGGATTATGAAAAGAATAAAGTCTGCAAGGAATTCTCCCATCTGGGAAAGGAGGACTTCACATCTCTGTAAGTGTGCAGCAGCCACTCACTCTGTTGGTGATTTGATCTTGAACAAAACTGAGTGTGAGGTAACTTTGACTCAGCATGGAGGTTAATCCTTAATCCTTGCCAAGAGTAAGAGGACAGAGCCCCAGGCCCAAGGTAGGCACAGGAGTCAAGCAAATTAAGGACATCCAGAGATTCCAGATGACCTCTGATTACCACAGTCTAAGAATTTGTCACCAGTAAGTTTATGAATGAGTTCAAAGATAATACGTAAAGCATAGCTTTCTAAGGTCATTAAAATGCAATTGTACATTCTAGGAATCTGGGAAACCAAGGCAATGAGGTACAGAGCAAGTACATTTGGGGAGGCTTAAGAAGGACAACACCAGATTGGTTTGATGGAAGCCCTAAGTTCAATTTCTACTGCTTTCCAAGATAAATTTGCCTAGAACAAAAACTGCTTTTTAAATTAAACCTCATTTTTTTCATTAGCCAAATAAAGAAGTAAATGTGTACAATATTTCATTTAAACATTGAACAGGTTTCATATTTTAATGTGCCAAAATGTAAAAAGAAAGTTTCAGTTCTGGTCGGGCACGGCGGCTCACGCCTGTAATCCCAGCCCTTTGGGAGGACAAGGAGGGTGGATCGCAAAGTCAAGAGATCTAGACCATCCTGGCCAACATGGTGAAACCCTGTCTCTACTAAAAATACAAAAATTAGCCGGGCGTATTGGTGCACACCTGTAGTCCCAGCTACTCGGGAGGCTGAGGCAGAATTGCTTGAACCTGGGAGGCAGAGAGTGCAGTGAGCTGAGATCACACCACTGCACTCCAGCCTGGGTAACAGAGCGAGACTCCGTCTCAAAAAAAAAAACCTTTCAGTTCTAATTGATATATTGTCTTATTTTCCCCTCAGGTCACTAGTCCTGTACAGTAGAAAATTTCCCAGTGGCACGTTTGAACAGGTCAGCCAACTTGTGAAGGAAGTTGTCTCCTTGACCGAAGCCTGCTGTGCGGAAGGGGCTGACCCTGACTGCTATGACACCAGGGTAGGTTTCTGTGGCTGGCCGTCTCTGTGGCAGCCCAGAGAAGGAAGCCAAAATAGGCCTTTATACCACGTGTTGAAAAAATTTTAGACAGCAACTCCATTTACTCCTAGTTTGGGGGAAATATGAAGCCTGTTGTGTTTACAGCCTGGTTTATTCTAACATAATGAGTCAATATTACCCATTATTCCTACAAGGTTCAAATGAGAAAACTGGGTCATAGAGTAATTTAGTGATTTATTAAATGTACATTGCTAGCAAGAAGGAGTTATAAAATATAAATCCAGATATGACTCTAAAACCTAAGTTTTTATCACCATACATTTGATCTTCTCAAATATCAGCCCATGGATCATTATTCTAAGTGAAGTAACTCAGGAATGAAAACCCAAATATCGTATGTTCTCACTTATAAGTGGGAGCTAAGCTATGAGGATTTAAAGGCATAAGAAGGATATAATGGACTTTGGGAACTTGGAGAGAAGGGTGAAGGGGGTGAGGGATAAAAAACTATACATTAGGTACACTGTACACGGCTCCGGTGATAGGTACACCAAAATCTCAGAAATCACCCCTAAAGAACTTAGCCATGTAACCAAAAACAAAATAGTTTTGTTCCCCCAAAACTATTGAAATTAAATATATATGTATATATACATTTTATATATTATATAATTTAATATATATATATATATCAGCTCATGAACCTCTTGAAAGAATTCTAAAATATTGTGTATAGCTTAAAAACCTGATCATAGCTTTATCCTCTTTTATCATCATGCCAGGACTGGTACCAAGTGCTCCAGAATAATTTAGTGTTGGTTTCAAATTTGGAAGGAGGATTCAAAAGTTGCCCTGTATGCACATAACTGAATTCTAGGTTTCTCCCCTATAGCACTTATGCAAAAATTAAAATGCTGACATGTTCAGACAGTAGCTGAAAAGGGTTAAATCTAAGGAGTTTCAGCAATTTATTAATGCAGTCGTCAGGCCTGATGCAAATGACATTTAGATGCATTTTGATAAAGGCTTTTACAGACAGATTTGTCTCACTGTTCAAGCCTTCAGCAGATATCATACAGAAACAATGCTCCAAAGATCTGATTAGAATAGATTCTACACAATGAATATTCTTACCCATTAATTGCTTTACCTGTCCCTTATCTATTTTTTCAGAATTTTATAATCCTTTTCTTCCACCAAGTTCATAAATATTTTTTATTTTAACCTGAACTTCTGTACCACCTTAAAATAAGAAAGCGTCAAATCATCAACATGACAGAGCACATTTTTATTTTATTTCATATATTTGCTAATACATCCCTTGATCAGAGATATGATCTGTCTCTACAATCCTGGAGCATAAGAAAACAGATATGGCATTGATATTTTTTGCATGATATATTTCTCTTTCTCCTGCTTGTTCAAAACATTTTTGAAAAGTGTTTTGACATTTTGTCAACCTTTTTTTACTTGAAAGAAGATAACTTTAAAAAGGCAAAAAGAAGGGTTGCCAGGGAAATGAATGGAAAGGAAAAAGATGGACTGAAAAGAGAGATAGGATGAAAAAGAGTCTAATTTTTAACTTCTCCGAATCTGATGAAAGGATGGTACGGAAGATGGTGAGAAGTTAGTTTACATAAGTAATTCATCACGTTGCCATTCTTCACTGGTAGAAAAGATTTTTAGAAATTTTACCTTAAAAAGATGACTAACTTATAAATTAAGTATAAGAATGTCAAAGTACTGTTTCCCATATAAATCCCAAAGTAATTTTTTCCATGATGACTATTTCTATTCTTTTTTCCTCTATGGTGACTCTATTTTAGATTTTAATTTCAAATATGAAATTTTTCCAAAAAGAACATTTTGATGCTACGATTGTTTTGATGGTGCTTAGTCTGCTCACAGGTATCAGTGTATCATTGTTGAAGCAGTAAATGCAGGTGCATCAGTGGTTTTCAACCTACACTGCACCTGCACATAAATCTTGGAGCTTGGGAAAAACAGATTTTCAGGCCCTATTTTTGACCTACTGAAACAGAATTTCTGTGTTGTGCAACCAAAGCATTTTTTATTTTATGCACTCTATGAGTAATTCTGATGCAAAAGCCGGTTCAAGAATCATTAGGTAAGAGAATGCAAATAATGTAGAAAGTTAAAGGAACCAGCAATCAAGAGTCTACTCATTTCACAAAGGGAGGGAAGGAGAGCTCATTTAATAAACAGAGGGAGGTCCTCCTCACTCTTATTGGGGCATTTACAGCAGAAAGCAGATGGGAGATAATGACAGAATCATCTGTGGAGCTTTTTCAAATGACCCTCTCATCCTCAGAGATGTTAATATCCCCACGGAGGAACACTAGGCTAGAGAATACAATTCTAATGGCTCTAATCAGATAAACACTGTCCATTTGTTATTCAAAGTTCTATTTTTGTTCTACTCTGAGGAGTCATTTACTAACATAAATAAGATCCTATACTTGCCGATAATCACACAACTTGTCATGTTAAAAAATCACTTCATGGAGCCCTTGGCATGAATACATAGTTATAAATGAGAATTTTCTAATTATAGGCTAAGATATTATATTAAATGGAAGTCTAAAAGCCTGGAAATTTACATATATATATGAGTTTCCTTTTTCCTTCTCCTCCAGACCTCAGCACTGTCTGCCAAGTCCTGTGAAAGTAATTCTCCATTCCCCGTTCACCCAGGCACTGCTGAGTGCTGCACCAAAGAGGGCCTGGAACGAAAGCTCTGCATGGCTGCTCTGAAACACCAGCCACAGGAATTCCCTACCTACGTGGAACCCACAAATGATGAAATCTGTGAGGCGTTCAGGAAAGATCCAAAGGAATATGCTAATCAGTGAGTGCCTTCATCATAAATAGAACTTTAGGACCTAAAGTATCAGAAATGACTCTAATCTAACCCCCTACTCTGTGGAAACACCTCTTCTACAGCAACCTGAACAAATTCTGATAACTTGACTGTCATCTGAGACAGCCCATCTTCCCTTTGGTGCTGAGTTTTGTGAATGCCTTTCTCAGAGATAAAATCAATTTTCCCAAACTCTTACTAACCCTAATCCTATTATCTGAACCAGAATCACTTGAGTATCCTGTCCACATGATATATTTTCAAATATTTGACAGCCCCTGTGGTGATTTCCCTGATGCTAAGGATCATTGCGTATGTCATATGATAGAAGCAATTTTATTGCTGTACACATTTTAAATACTTAATTTCCAGTAAAGCATAAAAAATAAACAGCTTCTCTCTTCACTCCTATACATCCCAGAAACATGTGACGTGTACGTGTAAATATGACACATCTACTACATCAAGTAAACACGTAACCTTAAAATTTTTATGGTTTAACATGCACAAGGGGCCAGATTATACACTGAATCTTTATGTTAGTCTTGGAAGGTCACAAAAATGAACAAAACTGGGGGAAAATACATTTATTAAAGTAAGAAATATATACATATTCAAAAACCAGGAGCAATGTCATTCAAAGTGGTCACAAATTGTAAAAATTAGTAGGATTGCTCATTCCTGTCAATTTTCAAAGAGGATTTTGCCCAGAATTTCAGTCCCTTTTAGATCCATAAGGACATCTATTCCCAGAAATAGAAATTATTTCTTCCAAAAAATAAGTAATCTATACATAATAATTATCTAAAGTAATAAACTGAGATAGATAATGAAAAATTAATCTAGCAATTACATTCATTTTAATTAATTCAATTAGCAGCTTAATTAACAAGCAGATACCATGGGTGATGCACCTGACCAGACATTAAGTGAATAAAGGGACAAATGGCCCCTCCTCTCACACAAACCACATAGAAATTTGTAAATCTATTTTTAATGAATGAATATACTGATTAATAGTGGCCAGTATTATAACCTTTTCTCTAAATTCTTAGTGTTTTTTAGATATTAAAACTATAAATTAATGTAACATATATCCTTTGTCCATCAAAATACTTACTAAAAAGTAGGTTTTGGGGGCCAAGCATGGTGGCTCACATCTGTAATCCTAGCACTTTGAGAGGCTGAGGTCGGAGGATCACTTGAGCCCAGGAGTTCAAGACCAACCTGGGACAATTAGTGAGACCTAATTTATACAAGAAATTAAAAAATTAGATGAGCATGGTGGCATGCACCTGTAGTCCCAGCTACTCAGGAAGCTGAAGCAGGAGGATCGCTTGAGGCCAGGAGGTTGAGACTGCAGTGAGCTATGATTATACCATGTACTCCAGCCTAGATGACAGGGCAAGACACTGTCTCAAATAAAAAAGTAGATTTTGTTTATTCACAAATTTTTTGACCAATTCTATTTTTTCCTCCACAGATTTATGTGGGAATATTCCACTAATTACGGACAAGCTCCTCTGTCACTTTTAGTCAGTTACACCAAGAGTTATCTTTCTATGGTAGGGTCCTGCTGTACCTCTGCAAGCCCAACTGTATGCTTTTTGAAAGAGGTATGTCCCATTTTACTTATTATATGTTTACGTTTTTTTCTTCTAATAGCATTCCTTTTAGATAATGGTAGAAATTGAGATTTTGCAATCAGTAAAAGTTTCTAAAATGCCACCCTTGCATCTTCTTAATTGGAAAATAAATGTAATACCTCTGGAAAAGTAATATCAATAAGTTCCTTTCACCAGTGTTCAGTTTCCTATTCATTAAAAAATCATGAAATTAATAGTCCCTATTTTTGCCATTTATACAGTATTCAATGAGTCTTGACCATATAATGAGATTCTTTCACTTGTTTTCTAGAGACTCCAGCTTAAACATTTATCACTTCTCACCACTCTGTCAAATAGAGTCTGCTCACAATATGCTGCTTATGGGGAGAAGAAATCAAGGCTCAGGTAAAGATTAAGTGCTATTGTCATATTTAGATGTTTGGTTCTGCACTGTCTATCCATAATATTAGGGTTTTTTTAAGAAGCTGTCTATATTGAAAGATATAAAATAGACTTTTCAGCTCCAATAATCTCCAAAAATCTGGCCAAATTCTCGTTTTCTTTTCTCTATACAGATTATGAAAAATAAGGAAAAAGTTTATGTCATAAAACATGAGATTTGCTTTTAATCAATCTTTTCCATATAGTTGACCACTAGAAAATATTTTTTCAGTGTTCATATTAGCATATGTTACAAACAAAAAAGCAAAACAAGAACAAAAACAAACCAAAAAAACACAACCTTTTGTTTATTACCTATTATTTGCCTTGCCCAATTTTTCTTGGAATGAGACATCTGAATTCTTACTTGTTGTATGAAGACTTGTGCTATACAGTATATATCTCTTGCCCTTCATTAATTTATTCTCATTAGTTATCTACCTTTGTATTAGTCTATTTTCACTCCGCTGATAAAGACATACCCGAAACTGGGGAATTTACAAAAGCAAGAGGTTTAATTGGACTAACAGTTCCACATGGCTGGGGAGGCCTCACAATCATGGTGGAAGGCAAGGAGGAGCAAGTCACATCTTACGTGGATGGCAGCAGGCAAAGAGAGAGCTTGTGCAGAGAAACTCCTGTTTTTAAAACGATCAGATCTCATGAAACTCATTCACTATCATGAGAACAGCACAGGAAAGACCCACCCCAATAATTTAATCACCTTCCACTGGTTTCTTCCTATGACATGTGGAAATTGTGGGAGTTATAATTCAAGATGAGATTTGTGTGGGGACACAGCCAAACCATATCATCCCACCCCTGGCACTTCCCAAATCTCATGTCCTCACATTTCAAAACTAATTATGCCTTCCCAACAGTCCCCCAAAGTCTTAACTCACTTCAGCATTAACTCAAAAGTCCACAGTACAATGTCTCATCCAAGACAAGGCAAGTCCCTTCTGCCTATGAGCCTGTAAAATCAAAAGCAAGCTAGTTACTTCCTAGATACAATGGGGGTACAGGCATTGGGTAAATGCAGCCATTAAAAATGGGAAAAATTGGCCAAAACAAAGGGGCTACAGGCCCCATGCAAGTTCAAAATCCAGTGGGGCAGTCAAATCTTAAAGGTCCAAAATGATCGCCTTTGACTCCATGTCTCATATCCAGCTCACGTTGCTGCAACAGGCATATTCCCATGGTCTTGGGCAGCTCCACCTCTGTGGCTTTGCAGGGTACAGCCTCCCTCCCAGCTGCTTTCAAAGGCTGTCATTGAGCATCTGTGGCTTTTCCAGGTGCACAGTGCAAGCTGTCAGTAGATCTACCATTCTGGGGTCTGGAGAACGGTGGCCCTCTTCTCATAGCTCCATAAGGCAGTGCCCCAGTAGGGACTCTATTTGGAGGTTCCACACCCACATTTCCCTTCTGCACTGCCATAGCAGAGGTTCTCCATGAGAGCCCTGCCCCTGCAGCAAACCTCTGCCTGGACATCCAAGTGTTTCCATACATCCTCTGAAATCTAGGTGGAAGTTCCCAAAACCCAATTCTTGACTTCTGTGCATCCGCAGGCTCAACACCACATGAAAGCTGTCAAGGCTTGAGGCTTACACTCTCTGAAGCCATGCCCCAAGCTCTACATTGGCCCCTTTCAGCCATGGTTGGAGCAGCTGGAATGCAGGGCACCAAATACCTAGACTGCACACAGCACGGGAACCCTGAGCCTGGTCCAAGAAACCACTTTTTCCTCCTAGGTCTCCAGGCCTGTGATGGGATGGGCTGCTGTGAAGACTTCTGACATGTCTTGGATACATTTTCCCCCATTGTATTGGGGATTAACATTCAGCTCCTTGTTACTTATGCAAATTTCTATAGCCAGCTTGAATTTCTCCTCAGAAAAAGGGCTTTTCTTTTCTCTCACATTGTCTGGCTGCAAATTTTCTGAACTTTTATGCTCTGCTTCCCTTTTGAAACTGAATGCCTTTAACAGCACTCAATTCACCTCTTGAATGCTTTGCTGCTTAGAAATTCCTTCTGCCAGATATCCTAAATTATTTTCCTCAAGTTCAAAGTTCCACAGATCTTCAGGGCCGGGGCAAAATGTCACCAGTCTCTTTGCTAATACATAACAAGAGTCACCTTTGCTCCAGTTCCCAAAAAGCTCCTCATTTCCATCTGAGACCACCTTAGCCTGGACCTTATTGTCCATATCGCTATTAGCATTTTGGGCAAAGCCATTCAACAAGTCTCTAGGAAGTTTCAAACTTTCCCACATTTTCCTGTCTTCTTCTGAGCCCTCCAAACTGTTCCAACCTCTGCCTGTTACCCAGTTCCAAAGTCACTTCCACATTTTCGGGTATCTTTTCAGCAGCACCGCACTCCTGGTACAAATTTACTGTATTAATCTGTTTTCATGCTGCTGATAAAGACATACCTGAGACTGGGCAATTTACAAAGAAAGAGGTTTAATTGGACTCACAGTTTCACATGGCTAGGGAGGCCTCACAATCATGGTGGAAGGCAAGGAGGAGCAAATCATATCTTACATGGATGGTCGCAGGCAAAGAGAGAGCTTGTGCAGAGAAACTCCTGTTTTCAAAACTATCAGATCTTGTGAGACTCATTCACTGTCACGGGAACAGCTCAGGAAAGACCCACCCCCATGATTCAATCACCTCCCACCAGGTTTCTCCCACCACCTGTGGGAATTGTGTAAGTTACAATTGAAGATGAGATTTGTGTGGGGACATAGCCAAACCATATCAACCTTATATTTGCAACCTTCACTTTGATTTTTGTATGACTACTGTTAACTTGTATTTTAATTTTGATAGTTTCTATGCTGCACTTCTCTCATACTTTCTCAAACATCTAGATTTGCCAACTTTTTTTCCCTCCATACTTACAGTCTCTTTGATTCCTTCTACTATCCTCACAAGTTTTTTTCCTCTAATGATAATCAAAGAACTTCTTGCCAGCAATGCATAATAAGCTTCCGTAATGGGAATAGAAACTACTTTCTTGTCCAGGCACGGTGGCTCACACCTGTAATCCCAGCACTTTGGGAGGCCAAAGCAGGTGGTTCACAAGGTCAGGAGATCGAGATCATCCTGGCTAACACGATGAAACCCCGTCTCTACTAAAAATACAAAAAAAAAAAAAAATTAGCCAGGCATGGTGGTGGGCGCCTATAGTCCCAGCTACTCAGGAGGCTGAGGCAGGAGAATGGCATGAACCTGGGAGGCAGAGCTTGCAGTAAGCCAAGATTGCACCACTGCCCTCCAGCCTGGGGCGACAGAGCGAGACTCCGTCTCAAAAAAAAAAAAAAAAAAACTAGTTTCTTTAAATATAACAGTTCCTCAGAACTACTTGAATACTCAATGACAGTTTCTCTAGTCCTTTCTTTAGTTTTCCTTTTACGTAGAGATAGTAGTTTGACAGGCAGAACAGAGGGAATTTCTAATATAAAGCCACCATATATATTACTTATATAATCATTAAGTGATACTTGTATTCATGTCCAGAAATGTACTTCAAGGAAATAGCATTTGCTATGAACAGATTTAGCTATCTGATAAGGGTTTAATATTCGGAATATATAAGGAACTTCTATAAGTCAATAACAAAAAAACAAGTAGCTTAATTAAAATAGGGGTAAAAGACTTGAATAAACAATTATTGAAACAAAATATACTAATGTCCAATAAACATATGAAAAGATGCTCAACGTCACTAACCTTAAGATACATGCAAATCAAGTCTACCGCCATACCACTCTGAACACGCCCAATCTTGTCTGATCTCAGAAGCTAAGCAGGGTCAGGCCTAGTTAGTATAATAATTGGATGGGGGAAATGCAAACCATAACTACAGTGAGGTATCACCTTATACCCATTAGGATAATCACTATCAAAAGAACAGAAATTGGCAAATGTTAGCAAAGTTGCATAGAAATTGGAACGCTTGTACACTGTTGGTAGGAATGTAAAGTGGTTCAATCATTATGGAAAACAGTATGGAAGTCCCTCAAAACATTAAAAATAGAATTAACATGTAATCCATCAATTCCACTTCTGGGTATATATCTTAAAAATTCAAAGTGGGATCTCAAAGAGATTTGCACTTCCATGTTCACTGCAGAATTATTCACAATAACCAAGAGGTGGAAGCAACCCATATGTCCATCAACAGATGAATGGATGAAGACAATGTGGTATATACATACAATGGAATATTATGTAGCCTGAAAAAAAAAGAAAATCCTGTCACGTGCTACAAGGATGAACCTTGAGGACTTTCATTATGCTAAGTGAAATATGCCAGTCTGAAAAGGACAAATACTGTACAATTCCAACTCATACGAAGTATTTAAAGTAATCAAAATCATAAAGACAGAAAATAGAAAGGTGGTTGCCAAGGAATGGGAGGATGAGTGAGGGGAAGTGGGAGCAGAGCAAATCAGTGTTTAATGAGTACAGAGTTTTAGTTTTGCATGAGAAAAATTTCTAGAGATCTGTTGCAAAGCAATGTAAATATACTTAAATACTGAATGTATACCTTAAAAATGGTCAAGATAGTAAATTTAATGTCATTTTCACCACAATTTTTTAAAATAATATTTAATCATATTCATGATATATTAGGAATATTAATATTGAAAAAATATTTAATGTTATTCCTGGTATATTAAGTGAAAAAGGCAAATATGAGAATAGTATAGCATACCATTCACACATAAAATACTGAAAGGTTACACACCCAAAATGTGAACATTTGTTAACTCTGTGGTGTAAAGCTACAGGTCTCTATAGTTTCTAAAAGAATTTATAAAACACACTTTTACAACTCTGTGAGAGGCCACAAAAATACAACATTGGCCTTATGAATAGAAAGAGACATTTGTGACTTCTTCATTGATGCTTTAGATCTAACATTTTAAAGGAGTGCTTTCACTATGTATATCTGGCAAGAAGAGAAGCTGCATTTGGGTACTGAAAATTTGGAAAGATTCATTAGGGATCTCTTGATCTTGAGTCTGTGGCTTGGGTACATAAGATCTATCGCATGGCAGATGTGCTCCCATGCATCTCTTGAGGCCAAGGAGGTGAAATTGTGATATTATTTCTCCAAATAGTGCGTTCATCACGAAACCAAGAAAACTGAGAATGTTGATAAGCTAACATATTTATTTTTAACTGTTTAGCAATCTCATAAAGTTAGCCCAAAAAGTGCCTACTGCTGATCTGGAGGATGTTTTGCCACTAGCTGAAGATATTACTAACATCCTCTCCAAATGCTGTGAGTCTGCCTCTGAAGATTGCATGGCCAAAGAGGTAAGACAAGCTTTATTATCATTATCACCATGTGCCAGGTATTGAGTGCCAAGTACTGAGTGGCAGGTACTCTTCTAAGTTCTATTTCATATGCATTATCCTAACGGATGCTTACATGTATTCTATGAAATATAAATAATTATTAACATCACTGTACAGGTGAGAAAACAGAAGATTAGTAAGGGTCAATAATTTGTTACCACACAACTAGTAGGTGGCAAAGTCCATATGCAAAGATGAGATTATCTGATTTCCAAGACCTTATGCTACTTGCACTGTATGGTATTCATTACCACATATGGTCATTTAAATTTAATTATAGTTAAAGTTAAACATATATGTTTAAGTTGAATATGATTTAAAATTCAGTTCTTCAGTTACACTAACCACATTTCAAATGCACAATGGTATTGGATAGTGCAAATACAGATCATTTTCATTATTGCGTAAAGTTCCATTAAGCGGCACTTCAACCATTATACTAGTAGACGCTACTACTGTTTTTATTATACTTTTTATAATTTGATGCCCATCTCAATTTTTTTTACCATTTTTCATTTTCATAATCCTTTAAAACTATTTAAATTTGAATAATTGCTTTAGCTGAAGGTCAGTCTCCAAGATCTTGTCAATCTCTGTAGTAATAGATACATTGTGTTGCCTTGTCTTTTTCCATTAAAAATGCATGTCTGTGTTAATAGATGCTTTTCTATAAGGATTTATAATGGCTAAATAGGACTCTGTTGCCTATATCCATGTCATGTATTACATCTATCTATCTAGACACACCATATTTTTATTTTACTAATCCTCTATTGTATTTAGGTTGTGTTGGTTTTTTTAAAATATTTTAGGCAATCGTTGCACTTAATAGCCTTATAGTTGTTGTCGTTTTATCTACAATTATTTTCTGAGTATAAATTCTTAAAAATAGAATTGTACATTTTTAAGACTTTTAGTACATATTGACAAACTGCCTTTCCAAATATTGTACCAATTTTCTTTCTGAGAGTCTTCATACTGACTTTCATAAATGTGATGCCAAAGCTTGTAAGCCTATGTAATTCTTATTTTTAATTAGACTATCAGGAAACTAACAATGCACAAACTAACCATTCGTTTTGTAGCTGCCTGAACACACAGTAAAACTCTGTGACAATTTATCCACAAAGAATTCTAAGTTTGAAGACTGTTGTCAAGAAAAAACAGCCATGGACGTTTTTGTGTGCACTTACTTCATGCCAGCTGCCCAACTCCCCGAGCTTCCAGATGTAGAGTTGCCCACAAACAAAGATGTGTGTGATCCAGGAAACACCAAAGTCATGGATAAGTAAGTAGAGGTGATGTGAAAACGTTTTCCCATTTTAAGTTCATCTGGACAAAAAGTGGGGGCCAGCCAGATGGAGGGAAGGTATGCTATCACTCATTTCAAACATAGGCAAAGTACTACCTTTATGCTTTTCATGGACTTTAAGTATTTGTTAATTAATTGTAAATGACTAAAATTTTTAAAACACCATAATCGAGTGTGATAGAAAGATTTTGGGTAGTGAGAAAGGAGCTTAGAGTTCCTAATTGTGCCTTCTCTGTTTCCTGTGCATGGCCAAAAGAAGTGACTTGATAATTCTGAACTTCAGCCTATTGTTAATTAATTTGGAAATGTTAACTCTTGCCTTACTTAGCACACAGACTGCTAATGAGAAATGCATGTAGAAATGTAAGTGAAAGTAAATGTGAAAACACATATTTGCATACAATGCTGAACACATGTAAAATATATCATGCAACCAGAAATGTTTATAATATTATTAACTAGTTTTATCATATTACTTCTGGTTCAAAGTCACAAATCAAAAGCCTAAAGTATACTAAACTTTTGGACAATAAGCATTTGATACAAATAAAAGAGATACCAAGCACAGAATATTTTTTTCTTAGCATTATCAATATTCATTTTCATTAAATTTAAAAAGAGATTTAATGCAAAGAAATGGTAAACTTTTATCCTGTTTCATCCAACTAAAAAAAAGTAAGTTAAAAATATACCATGGTTTGAATAGATGTGTATGCATAATGATGGCATAAAAATATTTCACAAATAGTTTGAAGCAGCAGGTTGAAATATCAATTAGCAATATCAGATGGTAGAAGTTACATAGGACTGAAACTTTACATTTTTCTAAATGTGTATTGCTTTTATAAGTGCATAGACAGCAGTGGGGTAAGACATAATGAAGGAATTTACACAAACCAATTTTCACAGAAAAGCCTTTTGAAGTATCCACTTGATGCTTTATACAGAGTCAATTGCATTATGCTTGCACAAAGACAGTTCCATATGCATTTGAAGTAGATATGTTTACATATAATATATTTAAATGTATATTACATGCAAAGCTTTAATTCAGTATTGACTAGTCACAATAGCAAGTATTAATAGCTTGTATCTCAATGAAAGTATTTTATAATCCAAAGCCTGTTGATTTAGAGTCAGTCTGAGCTAAATCTCTTCTTTTTAATTAAGATGCAGAAACCAGGTGCTCTGCCTTTATGATAGATATTTCACATTTTAAAATGTAGGCCAGGCACAGTGGCTCATCCATCTAATCCCAGCACTTTGGCAGGCCGAGTCAGGCGAATCACTTGAGGTCAGAAGTTCCAGACCACCCTAGCCAACATGGTGAAACCCTGTCTCCACTAAAAATACAAAACTTAGCCGGGCATGGTGGTGGGCGCCTATAATCCCAGGTACTCGGGAGGCTGAGGCATGAGAATCGCTTGAACCCAGGAGGCAGAGGTTACAGCGAGCCAAGATGGCACCACTTCACTCCAACCTGGGTGACAGAGGGAGACTCTGTCACAAAAAATAAATAAATAAATAAATAAATAAATAGGAAATATATAACACATATCTCCTTTTCTCCCTCATGCTAGGTATACATTTGAACTAAGCAGAAGGACTCATCTTCCGGAAGTATTCCTCAGTAAGGTACTTGAGCCAACCCTAAAAAGCCTTGGTGAATGCTGTGATGTTGAAGACTCAACTACCTGTTTTAATGCTAAGGTATATTTGTTGGATTTTCTTTATCAAGCACATAGATCAAGGGTTGGAAAATTATAGTTCATGGGCCAAAACTTGCTCACTGCCTACTTTTTTATGGCCTACAAACTAAGAACAGAAGAATGGTTTTACATTTTTACATTGTTGGGAAAAAAGCAAAAGAACATCAGTATCTCATGACCCATGAAAATTATTCAAAATTCAAATTTCAGTGTTCATACATACATTAACTTCCACTGGGACACAATCATCCTCATTGTTTCTGCAAAGCTTACAACTGCTTCTGTACAGAGTTGAGTAGTTGCAACAAAGGCCACATATGGCCTGCAAACCCTAAAATTATTATCCGGCCTTCTGTAGAAAATAGTTGCCAATGCTTAATGATACAATATTTGGAATTTTGATTTAATGGCTTGATGGGACAAGGTTTCAAGACAAATAATTTTGTTATGCAATTATTGTTTTCTTACAGGGCCCTCTACTAAAGAAGGAACTATCTTCTTTCATTGACAAGGGACAAGAACTATGTGCAGATTATTCAGAAAATACATTTACTGAGTACAAGAAAAAGTAAGAAACTTGTTCTGGCTGTATCCTCCAAATTTATCAATAATATTTTCATAGTACTATGAATTGAAAGCATAGTTGAACACTTAAGCTTGTCTTCAGTGAACAACAACAAAAGGAGGTTCAATTAGGAGTTTTTTAAAGTAGTCAGAATCTCATAGAGTGGAATAATAGACACTGGAGACCCCAAAAGGTGGGAGGGTAGGAGAGGGGTGAAGGATAAGGAATTCCCTATTGGATACAATGTACACTATTTGGGTGATGATTATACTAAAAACCTAGACTTCACCACTATGCCATACATCCATGTAACAAAAATGCACTTGTACCCCCTAAATCATTTTATTTTTTTAAAAGTAGTTGGAATCTAACATCTGTATAAGAAGAAGCTAAGTTTTTCTGGAGGAAACATGTCATGTGTAGCAAGTGGGTGGCCAATTAAAACAGCCATAAAAATATAGATGACGAAATCTATCTGCAGGAACTTGAGTCAAAATGGCAAAATGAGCACATAGCTTAGCAACATTCTTACCCCAGAATTTTCTGTAGATATTGCTGTACAAAATTGAGGACCTATAAAACTGCTAAAAATGTTATCTAACTTCATGGCATATTGCCTGGCAAGAAGACCCAAACTTTCAATCAAGCATACTGTCAGCTATCACCAGCATATATTCCCTATAAATTAGAAATAGAAATGTTAACTACCAATAATGTTATATAATAGTCATTTTTCTCAATTAAGAGAAGGAAAAAGCATTTCTCTATAAATAGACATTAACAGTAAAATAATAGGCCACAATAAGGTAAGAAGTGGTACTGGGTTCTTGGGGAAAGTCTCCATTGAGAAGACCATGTCATTTTTCCTAACGTTAGTAAATTTCTCAGATCCTATTCCCTCCTCCCCCCAACTTTCTTTTTTTTTTTTTGCCTCCTTTGAGTCTCTTCTTGCCTCATTTGCACCCCCCGGCAGCTCAAACCTACTTGTTTCAACAATGCTTTTATGAACTAACTGGTCCCCCTTACCCTTTTGTCCCTTCCCAGCATCCACTCTTGCCAAGCCCAACTCTAGATTAATTTGAGTCTCCTTACCTCCCATTGCCCCCCGCTGGGCTGGCAAGCATTTCCTGAAGAAAGTCATAAAACCAGGCTGAGTTGTTCATGGGAGTGGAGAGACGCCGAGATCATCGATTGTACAAATTGAAAGAATCAGGAGATATCAAGTCTTATCACCATCCTGAAAGAGAAATGGAGAGTTCGTTTTTAGTAGAGCTAAAAATAAGAGCGAAAATTTCCTTACTCCTGTATTGGTGTTTTCCAACATAGTGAGTTGAGAAGTAGATAAATTGAGGGTGAAATTATATAAATTATGAGAGGAAAAAAAGGCATTAAGCTGGTATGAGGTCCTGTAAAGGAAATATTCTTTAAGGAATTTGAAATTTAAAACTGAAGAGAAGGTGAAAGGTTAGGATAAAATAGAAGAGGTACTCTTCCATTTTGAAATAATGAGCAAATGAAAGAAGACTGGACTTCCAATTCAGCAGCGATTTGTATGTTTATTTTTATGATCTCGAAGAGGCATGTTTCACTTTCTGATCTCAAATTGACTATTCTATACCACAGGTATAGAATTTTCTTGAGACAGGCAAGTATTTCTATTTTCATTTTTATTGTAAAAGATCTGAAATGGCTATTATTTTGCATTAGAAATTTGTATAAAATAAATACATGTAGTAAGACCTTACATTTAAATGGTTTTTCAGACTGGCAGAGCGACTAAAAGCAAAATTGCCTGATGCCACACCCACGGAACTGGCAAAGCTGGTTAACAAGCACTCAGACTTTGCCTCCAACTGCTGTTCCATAAACTCACCTCCTCTTTACTGTGATTCAGAGGTAGGAAAATGTAACCCTCCACTTAACATGGCAGAATCTTTTAAGAACGTATGCACTCCAATCTACTCATTTCTTTCCTGTTATTGAGATGCCATTATGTGACAGGCTTTTCCTGGTGTTATTGTAACTTGGCTGTCTTTGCAATGAAAGTAAGAAACATAACTGATTTCATGCTATGCTCATTTAAAAGCAAGTTGAGGTAGTTGTAAAACTTAGGAAATTTTATACTTTTTTTAAGAAACAAAAGAGTCTGTGAACACAGGCAACAAAGTATGTGTAGTGTTTTACAAATTGTGAGTTGTAACCTAGTAACAGCCTATTTAAATGAAAAAGAGAAGAATAAGAATACAGTGAGAACATCAGAGTTCATTACCTTCACATAGTGAAGGTAAATTGTATTTCATATATCTGTATGTGTGTTTATGTAGATACATACATATGCATATATAGGCAGGTAGATTGATAAAAATAAATACTTTAGAAAAATGGGGTCATATCATACCTTCTATTAATATGTTAATTATAAAAATATTATTTAACTTTGTTTTAATATGACATAAGAAAAAAATGCAACTGAAGAATTTCTAAAGGTCACATAAATGTTTCATTACTATAAGAGTTATTTTCTAAAAACTAAAAAATGATTTTAAAGAATATTAAAATTTTAGTCATTTTTTATTACGAATTTCTTTTTTAGACACTATCAATTGTCTCCAAACTCTGAAAGCTAAAGATATTAGAAGTCCTATATATCTTCCAGTTTCCCTCCCTACTCCCCTCAATTTTGGATAGTTCTTGGATTCATCTTTCTTTAAATGTCCCTTCCCCTCCTCCCTGTCTCCCCTTTTTCTTCCTTCCCCTCCCGCTTCCTGGTTCAGGTCCAATATTGTTAACAGTAAAATAACCCCTTCCCCTATTCCCCTCCTCCTTTCTCTCTTTCCCCTTCTCTCCCATAAATGTATTTGCATAATTGCCAGATCATTTATTTTTTAATTTGTGCAAAACACCAGCAGTTCTGGCCAAACCTTTTTGTTTTCTCTGATAGTATTAATAGATGAATTAGTGTTTATCTAATCACCACATCTGAGGCCTATTGGTTTTCTCCTATAAACCACAGTGTTAGGTTGGTATCTTGTATTCTGCCCATCTTTATATAGACTGAAGGTGTGAGAGAGGGGAGGAGACCTCAGGTAGGTTGTGTGGGCCCATTGTTAGTAGACCTGAGCTATGCTTCGACTTCTGAGATTTCAAGTGTCTTATGCTAAGATTTCTTTCACCAAGTCAGCATCTGCCCTATTTTCACGGTGAGGGGTGTATTTTGCTGGCCTTTTTCAGAAAATGTCAGCCCATACGTTCACATCCTCCATTTTACCTGTTACTCTCCAGCAAGCATTTCATTTTTTTAGAAGAGTCAAAAGATAAAAACAGCACTTCATTTCACTTTACTGCTTATTTGGAGACATTAGTAATAACTCCAAGAATTGTGTTGTCTTGCCCACTCTATTTCTGAAATATAGAGGCAGGGTTAGGAACAATTCTATGCCATACCAAATGATACTTAGGTTAAATGATTTCATGCCAATTAGAATTAGAAGCCCTTAAACCCGTTTTTTTTTTGTTTGTTTGTTTTTTGGAGATGAAGTCCCGTTCTGTCACCCAGGCTGGAGTGCAGTGGTGAGATCTTGGCTCACTGAAAACTTCACCTCCTGGGATCAAGTGATTCTCCTGCCTCAGCCTCCCGAGTAGCTGGTATTATAGGTGCCCACCACCACGCCCAGCTAATTTTTGTATTTTTGGTAGAGACAGGGTTTCACCATGTTGGCCAGGCTGATCTGGAACTCCTGACCTCAAGTGATCCACCCGCCTCAGCCTCCCAAAGTGCTGAGATTACAGGTGTGAGCCACTGCGCCCGGCCAGAAGGCCCTTTCTATAAGTGAAATAATTTAAGAATTTACCTGAAGTTTTGTTCATTTATCAGCCACGAAAGCAATAAAGCCCAGTTTCTATTAGACTGCATTTAAAAATACCCAAGAACTTAATTTTTAAAAAAGCAAGTCACGAAAGTATAAATGTTCAAAGAAAACTATAAAGATCATCTAGTGTAATTTCTCACTCAGTTAATTCCTTCTAGAGGTGCATTCAGCCTCCATTTAAATTTCTATAGTCAATTTATCTACTCCTAAGAGTAGAAATGGAAATGGCCTATTTCATTGCCAGGTAGCTGCATTATGAGAACATTCTTCTATAAATTAAGCTGTGATATTCCCTTTGTAATTTCTCCTGCAATCACCCTGGCTTTCTCTATCAACTAGAAAATGTCTATTCTCTGTTCGCAATAGCAGCTCTTTTATACTTGAAGTGACTTTTTAAAAATTAAGCTGTGTAAAGTATTTTTTTAAAGTCTTGGGCTATGCATTCCAAATTTCTTAATATCCATATTTTAGTAAAGTTTTATTTGTTTTGTTATGTTTTGTTTTGTTTTATTTTATTGTACAGTGCCTAAGAAAAAAGTCTTAGTTTGACAAATGGAGCTACATCTTTTTCTAATTTCTTCCTTATAACCTTAGGGATTCTGGTTTCTTTTCTAATTTCCATATTTACACTCTGGTCCCAAACCTATTTGCTAATCTTGTTTGTAACAATTTATAAAGTCAGAATTCCAGATGAAGAGAGTACGGTAGAATAAAAGCCTTTTCTTTAAATTCTCCTGACAAATATGCCATCTTAATCTTTCATTAAAATTCAAACTACTTAAGATTCTCAACATAAAAACAGAAGAAGCTGGATTGTCAGAATATTTTGGTCATTAAAACATTTTTAGCATAAAATAATTAATTAAATTGAACAGTTCTTTCTTTTCATACCAAGTTGCTTTTAGTAATCTAAATTTAGTTCCAATTTAGGTGGCCTTAACCTAGAAAAATAAAATCACCTTACATAGAAGTTGTTTGCTACCAGAAAAATTTTCTCTGAGAGTCTGTTATTACGAAAGAAGAAGAAAACAGTCTAAATGTCTTTTAGATTCTATAAGAAATATCACTTTTGAAACCTTTCCCTGTCCCTTTGTTATCTGTCTATACAGATATGCACTGTCCTGCCTGACACCATACAAGACAAACTGAGCTTTAAGCGCAAATTCATGCTTCCTAAAAGCCCCTGGTTTTTCATTTCTTTGAGTTGGTTTTCAATATAACATATTGCCATTCAAATCATTACAATGATGAGAAGACAGGTTTGTAGCTCTCTCACTTCTTGCTTTATCGACAGTAAATTTATAGCAGCTGAGTAGCCTTTCAGTAATTGCTAAAGTAGAGTGCGATGAATGGAGTTGTTGAGATACTTGTGCACATTTGATTATTCAGAGTACACAGAGATTAAATCCTCTGCTATTTCAATTAGCCCTCTGATTGCCTTTGTAAACTGATCTCATAGCTAGGTAGGCAAGCTCACCCCTCCTTTCTGACTTTACTTTAGTGCAACATCTGTTTGAACAGCATTCTCTTTAATTTCCAATGCCTAACGTGAATGTCCCATTTGTCCTATAATATTTGGATCCTAATTTGTGAGATCTCCTTGTCATACATTTGCTTGAAAAAACTTTTCCTTAAAAGTAATATCCATCTACTCCTTTCACTGCAAGTCACTTATATCCAGGGATCAGTCTCTACTTGTCATTCCAAATACACTTGGCACAACTACTGGAAGACTGGGAAAAGGGGCTTCTGAACCATACTTAGTGTTTCATTACATGGGTATCTACCCCTATCCTCACCCAATCTTGAAATGACCAGGAAATAGAACAATCAATGTCATTTTCTTTTGGCTTTACCATGGCACTCTTAGAAGTGGTTCATTTGTTTATGCCAAAAAAGACCCATTTGCCTACAGAAAAACCTATAGTTACAAAATTAGACTTGAAATCTTCTTTTCTCTTTCTACCATCATTCAGGCAGGGCATCCCTTTGGGCTCTTCTGAGAACTCATTACTATGCTTCCTTTAAAATGTTTCAACAGACTGCTAGTGAGCATCAGATATGATTTCCCAAAGTATTCCAAAAGTCATTGTAATATGCTGGAATTGATCACTAAAATCTTAAAAACACAGAGACAAATACAAATAGCCAAGTGGAAGCCGGGCAAAGAGGAGACTGACAAGTAGAGTGATATACTGTCTACCCCCCACCACCTGTCTTTCTTGTGTCAGGAAAAACTAGTATAGTCACTGTAGTTTGTTTTATCTCTCAGTATAACTTGATTTTATAATCTTCAGTGTCATAGCTATCATTGATTAAGCCATTGCTATTTGTTAAGCAGAAATATTAATAGCCTGGCATGTATGTATTTATAGAATAACCCAAAACAATTCTAGATGTTAATTAATATTTTAATTCCCCCTTTTACAGATGGGTTGAATGAAACTTACAGAGGTTATATGATGTTAGAAAAATCTAAATTTATTCTGTATTAGTCTGTTACTCTCCCTCAATGTCCTTGTCATAGACGTCAGCCCTAACTTAGCTAGTCATGACAAAAGCAAACTATTGATAGAAGACTATTGACTGAAAATCCAAAATTATTTTTAAGTAGCAAAAATGATACCAGGTTGGTAATATCGCTGTGAATTTTATCCATCTCACTTCCTTGGACTCTTCCTCCATTAGACATACTCTCTTCTTTTGTGTCAACATTTTTGCCAGCTCTGTCTAATTTGTATTAAAGTTACTCTTCTTCTTATCTCAAAAAATAATAAATAAGGCACTTTAGACACCTCTCTAGCTATATTTCTTTCTCCTCCCTTACAGCCAAGATTCTTGCAAGAATACCATATACTCCAACTCCTCACACCTCTTATTAATTCCTCAACCCTTTGCAGTCTGGCTTTTGATGGTACCATATGACTGTCAACAAAGGCACGCCAACAATATCCTTCTTGTTAAATCTAATAAACATTTTTCAATTCTTACCAGATTTCTCCACAAAACAGTTGATACCCATAAGTATACCTTCCTTCTTGAAACAATTTACTTAGCACCTGTAGTATTATTTTCTACTTTTTGTCTTTCTATGATTCCTCTCTTCTTGTTCTATTTCATATTGTCCTCTTCCTTTACCTGTCTCTTAAATTTGTTTCCAGAGTTTTTTCCTTGTTCTTCATTTCCATGGCACTACATTTTCTCAACTGTTTTCATCAATGCTTATGCTTTTAATCTCCAAATCTCTACCTCCAACCAAGATCTCTCCCTCAGCATTAGGATTTTTAATCCAACTGTCTAGGACTCTCTTCTCCCCCAATATCTTGTCCCATAAGAAATTGAAAATCAACATGGACAAAATATTTTTCCTATAAACTGCTCTTATGTTTTTTGAGTTTATGAATATTATCATCATTTACCCATTGCCCCACGATGAAAATTTAGTGACTCTTTTTATTTCTCCTTCTCTTTTTCCATATGCACCAAATAAAATTCCAAATCCCATCAATTCTAATTCTGCAACATCTCTCAATCTCCCACCCACATTCTTCTACATTCTTGGTATTTAGTTTCAGGCAATCTTTCACCTGGTTTATAGCCTGTCCATTGGTCTCCTCCCACCTCCAGTCTGCCCACAGTGCTTCACATTCCAATCCCATCTCTATACTGAGGTCAAATCAACCTTTTTAAAACACAAAAATGGTTAATACTCTTCTCTAATAGCTCTCATTGCCTCCAAATTAAAGTAGTTTTTTTTTTTTTTTTTTTTTTTACAAAATAGAGGTATTTTGGACCTTGATTTCTTCTCCAAGTAGTGACTTGCTATCATGACTTGTTGTGCCTCCTGCTTGGGTTCTCCTGAACTACTTGCAGTTTTCCAAACACATTAAACTTGCTTTTACCTCAAGGCCTTTGCACATAATGACTCCACCCGCTTGCCCTATTTCTCATCAGGCTTGCCGTGGCTGAATCATTCATCAGGCTTTAGAGTTCAAGTTAGAAGACATCTGCTCCGCTGAGAATTCTTCCCTGGCACTCAAACTTCTCTGTTGTCCCACAACATTCTGTTTGCACCCAATAATTAGCACTTATTAAACTCTACTGCCATTTTTTCTTGTCTACTTTTCCCAGCAGACTCTAAGCCCTTCAAGGGCAGAGATGATGTAAAGCTAAATAAATGCAAAGGGTGGCTAATAAAAAACTGCAATGTAACATTGCATCTTGGCAAGAATCCGCTCCCCTAACCAAGGTTTCAAGATTTTGTATACCTTCTGCATGATCTAGTAGCCTACAAATGAAATACTTCATAAGTTATATAACATTCTTTTTTCATTATCAGATTGATGCTGAATTGAAGAATATCCTGTAGTCCTGAAGCATGTTTATTAACTTTGGTAAGTATATTTTATAAATGCAGGACCAACGGATCCAGCATTGTAGGATGTATTTTAAATATCAAAGAATGGGAAGGAGACTTTAATAAATTTATTCTTATCTGTTCAAACTCATTTTACAGATGAGAATATTAAGCACCGAGAAAAGTTAAAGAGCTTACACTTATACAAGAGCAGCCAATTTCTGATATATGTAAGACTAGAATCCAGGTTTACTGGTCCCCTGCCTTGTGCTTCATCCATCATAATCTCACATGTAACATAATGATACCGTAAAGAACATTTAAAGGATTCTGATGCACTTCAATAGGAAGAACTCTGAGTTTAAAGACAGGGCTCATCAAGTCTTAAAAATAACACAGCAAGGACCTTAGGAGGAAAGGGACATTCTTATTCAAATGAAAACAATACTGTTGAAATATTATTACTTGCTTTTTTCAGTCACTATATTTTCACCTATTAAAAAATGCCAGATGAAGATATTAAGAACATAAAATAGTTTATTCCAACGTAAGTTCACATCTTAAACTGAAGAGCACCCCCGCCGAACTCTGCACATTTCAACAACAATATTTTCTCTCCAGATTCAATTGTATTTATGCTAAAGAAATTACACCTGAGACTTTTGATGCAAACTTGTTTGGATCTCAGTTCTTAGCTGAACTGAGGCTTTTCAATAATGTCAACGTTTATTTTGCTGACTTACTGACAACTCTGCCCAAAATAATGTGGAAACAAAAGCCTTCCAATCCATTCATTAATAACATTAAATCATTTCACCATATTCAGCTTTTCAACTATTATTTAAATCCTCTGAAGCTGTAAAAAAGAAAATTAACAGTCTGAGAACCAGTACAAGGGGGATGGTCAAGAAAACTTATATTTGAAATCACCCAACCTGAATTAGAATCCCCACTCTAACTATCTGTCTGTGAATTTGAGCAAGTTATCTATCCTGTCTAAAGATGAGTTTCCTTTCATGTAAAATGAAAATTTCCATATCTCCCTCACAGTGTTGTTACAATGATTGAGGTGATGTATATCAAATATTTAAAAAGCAGTAAAAATGAATATTAGCAGTAATACTAGCAAAGTTGTTGCACTGATGCTCCTACTACTACTGGTTGAATCTAAACTAAAAAGTTTTCCTGCCCATATATTTTTGTGCTCTGGTATACAAATATCATGTCCCAACGATAAAGTAAGTTCTCTAAATAATTTTCCAAGGAATAAAAATCAAAATGCAAGTTATTTGAAGTGTAAATATTCTAGAGTTAAAATAGTTTCTGATCTCTGTTGCTGCTAAATTATTACATCCTCCCCCCATTTGAATGAATCTTTCCTTTATCTCAATCCCCATATAATAATCTCCAAAGAGTTAAAATCCCAATATGCAACAGTGACCTCACCTCTCATCCTTCAAGATTTCTTAAGCTTTAATTAAGAGTCAGGGTTATTTGGAAAGCTATATGATAACTTTGATTTTGAATATGTTTTTCACTGGACTGTGTTATTATTCAGAACTCAGAGTGCATTTCCTTAGTGTTGTATGTTTTTAGGCTTTGGGAAAACTAATTAAAATAGGAGAAGATATCCTAAGGTAAGTAAGGAGGAAGTAATAATTTGATGGATTTCAAGAGATTTCTTTTCAGAACAAATGTCAGAAGTATCTTTTTTTTTTTTTTTTTTTTTGAGATGGAGTCTCGCTCTGTCTCCCAGGCTGGAGTGCAGTGGCGCGATCTCGGCTCGCTGCAAGCACCGCCTCCTGGGTTCACGCCATTCTCCTGCCTCAGCCTCCCGAGGAGCTGGGGCTACAGGCGCCCGCCACCACGCCCAGCTAATTTGGGTTTTTTTTTTTTTTTTTGTATTTTTAGTAGAGATGGGGTTTCACTGTGTTAGCCAGGATGGCCTCTATCTCCTGACCTCGTGATCCGCCCGCCTCGGCCTCCTGAAGTGCTGGGATTACAGGCATGAGCCACTGTGCCTGGCCCAGAAGTATTTTTGATGCTAACTCAATCAAGAGATAAACTTGGTTTGTCAGTGACAAGCTAATGAAGATTCTAATATACTGATTCTTCTGGTTCATGGTCATTATCTTCATCTGATAAGATGAAGAAATGAAATTTCTTATCATTTCTCCTGTGTTAGTCTACATTTTTCTCTGGCCTTTAATTAATCCTTTGATTTCTGTACCACTAAATTGTTTGGCTACCCAAATACATTTTGATCATCTGGATGGATTACTCACATATTCACATATTCCTTCCTAAAATTATTCACATATCCCTTCCATGGATTTTGGTAACATGCATTGAGTGTTTTGAGCTCAATTTTATCTACTGCTTGTTTATCACCATTGCATTCTGCAATGATGAAGGCCTACCAATGTTCAATTATTTCAGGAATAGTTACATGGCTTTGAAAAAGCAAATTATACCTTGTTCACAAAGTTATAGGTCTGAGGTACTTGATATCCAGAAATAATGAGACCACAACTTTACCACTTATCTTAGGTTTCCAGAACACAACCAACTCATTGCAGTTCCTGGGTTCCAGGGAGAATTTTGTAGTTGTATTGGACAATTATGAAGTCATCCAACTATCAGCAGCATTGCCCCCAAAATAACACAATCCTAGTCATGAGTTGCTCTAAATCCAGGTCTTAACGTAATGATTTCAGAGTAAGTGCTGAGTACTTTCCCTCAGATAGATCAGTCTTTTCATCATATATTAAATTATTCAAGTAGAAAATATCCATTTTCTTCAATGATTTTTCCCTTGTTGTAACAGGTGATCTGCAGAAGTGGCACATTGTTTAGAGTGAAGCAGTTCCTAAAACCATTAAGCCAACTTTGGTTGGCTATGTGTTTCATTTCCATTTAAGCCTACCCATCTCTAGTTAGAGATTTGACTCACTCATAGAAGTTGAAGCCTTTTGTCTCAAGGTATTCCGATCCCTAGTAATACCTACAATTCATGTCTTCCAGTCAACAGTTTCACGCTATTTCACTCTCAATTAGAGTCTTATTAAAAACTTCAGTTCTCATCTTGACAGTTATTGGTCTCCTTGATCAATCTTTTTCTTCAAGCCTTCAAGCTCCAAATTGATTGTGGCCACACTTGCATGCACTTTTGGAGACAGAATCTCTGTCTCTTACCCCCCACCCTGCCCACACCAAGACGGAATCTCACTCTGTCGCCCAGTCTGGAGTGCAGTGGCACAATCTGGGCTCACCGCAAGCTCCGCCTCCCAGGTTCACACCATTCTCCTGCCTCAGCCACCCGAGGAGCTGGGACTACAGTTGCCCGCCACCACGCCTGGCTAATTTTTTGTATTTTTAGTAGAGACGGGGTTTCACCATGTTAGCCAGGATGGTCTCCATCTTCTGACCTTGTGATCCACCCACCTCGGCCTCCCAAAGTGCTGGGATTACAGGCGTGAGCCACCATGCCCAGCAAATCTCTGTCTCTTAATTATCTCACAAAGCCAGGTATTTTTTATTGTTAGCTTTGGAAGCAAGTAGTAGTCCCTCTGGGTTGCCAAAAACATAAATGAATTGGCTCACAGTGTAGAATCAGATTGGGTGAAAATATTTTAGATACCAGAATCACACCCAGCACAGAGAGTTGCTCACACTGTGAGAGAAACATAGGAACTGAGGCTGTGAGGGAACAGATTCGTGTCCCTTATTGCATCCTCACTCCAAAGCATAAACTCGTTGAAGACAATGAAACATGGAATTTTTTACACCGTGCAAATAGAACTGTGACATAACTATATTATATTGTCTTGGAAGAGGGAAAAAATTAAGGGAGACGAATTGGCCCTAATACAAAGTAGAAGATGACTTGATAAAAATTCACACTTATGTTTTGCTAAAACTACTCAACTATTGTCTCAATTCCATGATGATTGGGGGCCTCATTATGCCACTGGTTGACAGTTTTGCCTTGGCCATAATTGTTATTACCATAGAGCAAAAAGTCACATTCATCACCAGTTAAAAATATAATTAAAAAAACACTGCACAATGTACAATGTACCCTGGTGTATGGCATATAAAGCCATCACTACTGGTATTTGGACTGTCTTAACATTTTTTTCTTATTCTGGACCTATGAGATGGGCCATAGTGGATATATGGGTCATCCTAGACAGAGTCATTTTTGGCATAAATATTAAAATAGCATGAGTTTATATGCGTCTGTTGAGCAATATTATGGTTGTTGCCCATTAGCTCTGTTTTTCTAACATAAAATTCATTTCATTATTCTCATAGACCAGAGTTGGAGCCACCCAGGGGAATGATCTCTGATGACCTAACCTAAGCAAAACCACTGAGCTTCTGGGAAGACAACTAGGATACTTTCTACTTTTTCTAGCTACAATATCTTCATACAATGACAAGTATGATGATTTGCTATCAAAATAAATTGAAATATAATGCAAACCATAAATATGACTGAGAATTATGTGGCTCTTCACAATGTTGATCTTCAGAACTATTCCTGTGTCTTTCACAAAAATGCTACAGTAGGCAATCTCATAAGGCCTGTTTTTGTCTAGATCTCTGCTGTTTCCTTCTAAAAGACTCAACATTAAGCATCCACTTTACAATTCCCAGTATGCTAAACTCCATTCCCTGATTGATTCTCAGGCTTAGTAGGTACCATTAAGAAAAAGTTAGGCTGGGCACAGAGTCTCACGCCTGTAACCCCAGCACTTTGGGAGGCCAAGGCGGGCAGATCACAAGATCAGGAGTTCGAGACCAGCCTGGCCAATATGGTGAAACCCTGTCTCTACTAAAAATACAAAAATTAGCCGGATGTGGTGGCATGTGCCTGTAGTTCCAGCTACTCGGGAGGCTGAGGCAGGATAATTGCTTGAACCTGGGAGGTGGAGGTTATAGTGAGGGAGATCACGCTACTGCACGCCAGCCTAGGCAACAGAGCAAGACTCTGTCTCAAAAAAAGAAAAGAAAAGAAAAAGTTAGACAGCCTTCCACTATAAAGCCTATAATATCTCACTTTTTAAAAACTAACAGCCAAAAACCAACAACAGTAACAAAAATACTCCTGAAACTACCTTCTTGCTTCCAGCCACAAGTTGCTTGGAATTAATTAAGTAGTATCTGTCTTGCAAAAAGAAAATCTTTGTAGCTTGGACAAGTTTACTTTTACAAAAAATTCCTGAGAGAAATTTATAGAGACAAAGTTCTAAAAACATGATTTTTCTGCTTAATTCAATATACCACATATAAAAACATATACAACATTCTACGTGCTCTCTTTGCCCAGGGAAAATGAAAGTGTTCTCTCTATTCTGCTTTAAAGGAAAGTTCATATGTTCGGAGTAAATACCTCTCTGAAACTACTAAAAACCATGCAACCTTCTATATGTAGAGTTAATTGCATCAGGGAATTTGAACTCACCTCATGTTAGATGTAGAGTTATACAATAGATGAAACAATTTTATGGCATATATAATTTGAGTCAAATTAACTAACATACCTGTCACTCCTCAAAATTCTAAGTCCCATGAAGGAGGATTTCATTAAGTGAGCCAAGGTCAAGTGACCATGCCTTTAGCTGCCAGGAACTGGGAAATAAAATGCCTGCCGCTTGCAGCTTCTACATAGAAGGTGCAGCCCTGCCTTTCACAAAGATTTCAAAATGAGAAATAAACCTCAAACAGAGAAGTTCTTTGGATGACAGAAAGTCAAAAAGCAACAAACTATCTGCTAATATTTAGGCAGCATTTTAGATTTTTAAAAAATTCTCTTTCAAAAATTACCTTACTGAAGCTTCAAACAACTCTGAGAAGTAGGTATCATTGCATTGATAAGACACAAGGAGACTGAGACTCCAAAAATGTGAATCAGTGGCTCTAAGTCACAGAGTTAGCAAATAACAAAACAAGGCCTTAGTTTTCAATTGCAGCATTCCATGGAAGGTGGATGGACATACCTGATGAATGTGTTACCTGATCAAATTAGTTTTACCATCAGTATAGTATATCTCTTCTTTGAAGAGTCCCAGTGTGCTGTATGTAATTCAGTGCTTCCAGATTTATTTAAGGGCTAACCCCTTTTCCTTTTTCTATTTCCCAGAATTATTCTCTATAAAATTAATTTTGGAAAATTCTTTTCTTATTTGAAAAATTACATTTATAAATCATTCATTAACTACTGCAAACTGGTCCATTTTGGTAAAGTATTTTCATGCTTGACCTGATGGAATTGGGTGTTTTTTTGTCACAAAGTAGTCAATAAATATACAATTCACTGAAGTAGGGTTTTCATAGTTCCCATGGATATATTTTCCAGCACACTCTAAACACATTTCACCATTTTTTCTTATATTAAGAATCGCTGACAGAAATATTGTAATTTTAGTAAAAGAGTTTTAATGTTAGATCTAATATGCATAATGATGTCATTTGTTCCATTTCCTAGGAAGCAGAGCTCTTTTGATAATATATTGCCAAATTTTAGGCCTGCTTCCTAAGTGCTGCTCAACATTAAAGAGATGCTTTTGAATATCAATTTACTGTCAACCATAGCTGATCTCACTAGATAATTTCCTTTGTATAAGAAGTCCTCAATTTTTTACACCTTACATATCACCTTCATCTGAAAACCTGGGTCCTCACCATGATTGAAAACAAACAAACAAACAAACTTGCTGTAATTTTGTATTAGTCTGTTTTCACACTGCTGAACAGGACCTACCCAAGACTGGGCAATTTACGAAGGAAAGAGGTTTAATGGAGAACTCAGTTCCACATGGTTGGGGAGGCCTCACAATCATGGCAGAAGGCAAACAGGAGCAACTCACATCTTATGTGGATGGCAGCAGGCAAAGAGAGCTTGTGCAGGAAAATTCTCCCTTATAATAACCATCACATCTCGTGAGACTTACTCACTATCATGAGAACAGCACAGGAAAGACTTGCCTCCATGGTTCAATTACCTCCCACCCGGTCCCTCCCACAACACGTGGGAGTTCAAGATGAGATTTAGGTGGGGACACAGAGCCAAACCAGATCATTCCAACCCTGGGCTCTCCCAAAACTCATGTCCTCACATTTCAAAACCAATCATGCCTTCCCAACAGTCCCCCAAATGTTAACTCATTTTAGCATTAACTCAAAAGTCCATAGTCCAAAGTCTCATCCAAGACAAGTCAAGTCTCTTCTACCTATGAGCCTTTAAAATCAAAAGCAAGTTAGTTATTTCCTAGAAACAATGCAGGTACAGGTATTGAATAAATGCAGCCATTCCAAATGGGAGACATTGGCCAAAACAAATGGGCTGCAGTAATCCAAAATCCAATGGGGCAGTCAAATCTTAAAGCTCCAAAATGATCTCCATTGACTCCATGTCTCACATCCAGGTCACACTGATGCAAGAGGTGGGTTCCCATGGTCTTGAGCAGCTTCAGCCCTGTGGCTTGGCAGGGTATGGACTCCCTCCTGACTGCTTTCATAGGCTGCTGTTGAGTGTCTGTGGCTTTTCCAGGCGCATGGTGTAAGCTGTCGGTGGATCTAGCATTCTGCAGTCTGGTGGACCATGGCCCTCTTCTCACAGCTCCACTAGGCAGTGCCCCAGTAAGGACTCAGTGTGGGGCCTCCAACCCCACATTTCCCTTCCACACTGCTCTAGCAGAGGTTCTCCATGAGGGCCCTGCCCCTGCAGCAAACTTTTGCCTTGGCATCCAGGTATTTCCATACATCTTCTGAAATCTAGGCAGAGGTTTCCAAATCTCAATTTTTGATTTCTGTGTACCTACAAGCTCAACACCACATGGAAGCTGCCAATGCTTGGGGCTTCCACCCTCCGAAGCAACATCCTGAGCTGTACCTTGGCCCCTTTTAGTTATGGCTAGAGTGGCTGGGATGCAGGGCACCAAGTCCCTAGACTGAACACACAGCACATGGAGCCTAGGCCTGGCCCACGAAACCATTTTCTCCTAGGCTTCTGGGCCTGTGATGGGAGGGGCTGCCATGAAGACCTCTGACATGCCCTGGAGACATTTTCCCCATTGTCTTCGAGAGATTAACATTTGGCTCCTCATTATTTATGCAAATTTTATGCAGCCAGCTTCAATATCTCCTCAGAAAATGGGCTTTTCTTTCTATCACATTGTCAGGCCGCAAATTTCCTGAACTTTTATGCTTTCTTCCCTTATGAAACTGAATGCCTTTAGCAGCACCCAAGTCACCTCTTGAATGCTTTGCTGCTTAGAAATTTCTTCCACCAGATACCCTAAATCATCTCTCTCAAGTTCAAAGTTCCACAAATCTCTAGGGCAGAGGCAAAATGCCACCAGTCTCTTGCTGAAACGTAACAAGTCATCTTTGCTCCAGTTCCCAACAAGTTCCTCATCTCCATTTGAGACCACTTCAGCCTGGACCCTATTGTCCATATGGCTGACAGGCTTCTGGTCAAAGCCATTCAACAAGTTTCTAGGAAGTTTCAAACTTTCCAACATTTTTCTGTCTTCTTCTGAGCCCTCCAAACTGTTTCAACCCCTGCCTGTTATCCAGTTCCAAACTTGTTTCCACATATTTGGGTATCTTTTCAGTGGTTCTCCACCCTACTGGTACCAATTTACTGTATTAGTCTGTTTTCATGCTGCTGATCAATACATACCCAAGACTGGGCAACTTCACAGTTCCGTGTGGTAGGGGAAGCCTCACATTAATGACAGAAGGAAAGCAGGAGCAAGTCACATCTTACATGGATGGCGGCAGGCAAAGAGAGCTTGTGTGGGAAAACTCTCCCTTATAATAACCTTCAGATATCATGAGACTTACTCACTATCATGAGAACAGCATGGGAAAGACCTGGCCTCATGATTCAGTTACCTCCCACTGGGTCCCTCCCACAACACACGGGAAGTCAAGATGAGATTTGGGTGGGGACACAGACAAACCATATCAAATTTGTTTCTAAGAATGATGTTTACAAGTTCTATCAGTTAGGATTCTCCAAGGAAACAGCAGGAGATAAAGAGATTTATTTTAAGAAATTGCTTATGCAGTTGTGAAGCTGGCAAGTCTGAAATAGTCTAGAAACACAGGCAGGATTTCTTTTTTTTTTTTTTTTAAACGGAGTCTTGCTCTGTCACCCAGGTTGGAGTGCAGTGGCACAATCTCAGCTCACTACAACCTCTGCCTCCTGGGTTCAAGCTATTCTTCTGCCTCAGCCTCCCGAGTAGCTGGGACTACAGGTGTGCACCACCACACCCAGCTAATTTTTTTGTATTTTTAATAGAGATGGAGTGTCACCATATTGGTCAAGCTGGTCTCAAACTCCTGACCTCATGATCTGCCTGCCGTGGCCTCCCAAAGTGCTGGGATTACAGGCATGAGCCACCACACCCAGCCCACCAGCAGGATTTCTACGTTACAGTGTTGAGGTTGAATTCTTCTTTTCTGGAAAAACCTGATTTTGCTCTTAAGGCTTTCAACTGGATGACATTCACTCAGATTATCACATTATCAATGGTTAGCTCCTTTACTTAAGGTCAACTTATGGTAAATGTTAATCACATGTGCAAAATCTCTTTCCAGCAATGTCCAGACTAATGTTTCACCAAACAAATGATTAGCATAGCCTAGACAAATTGGCACATACAATTTAACTATCTCACAAACTTTCTCTTGTCATCTATAAGGTCTAAAGTCTTTCAAGTTGCAGTATTGACTTCCTGTGTTTCTCTGGATTCCGAGATCATCCCACAAGTCGTTCTTATATATCACCTGGGAACCATCACCTTAAATGGTCTTCACGGGATTAGAGTATTAATATCTCACCTGGAAGTTCTAAAGAAACAAAGCTTCTTTTTATGATGATTTTAATTTAAAAACATAACAAGTGAAAGGCCTTTCTAATGTGTCATTTAATTCAATAGCAATAGGCCCTAATGAAGCAAGAATTTGATCAGCTTGAGAGTTTACCCAATTTCCATTTGGAGATAAATAGCTCAAATAGGAAGGCTTAGAAGGTTGTTTTTACATCTCTGGTCTCCCTGGTGTGCACTTCTCCCCAACACAGAGGTCTCATCCTTCCCCAACCTATAAATGTGATTCCCAACCCTAGCTGCATCTTAGAATTATATGGAGAGTTCTGGAAAAAATACCAGTGCCCAGGCACCCCCTCAGAGATTCAGATTTAAGCTATCTTGAGTGAAACATGCCCTGCAACCAAACCTGCCAATCACTGCTTTAGAAGCTTGGTGCCTTCACCCAAATTAGAAAGGGAAAAGCACTTTAGATTAACCAATTAAAGAGGTTGGCCACATAACTAATGAAACTGTAGCAAGTGTAAATTTCCAACATTGTATTATCTCAGTCTGCACTGCATTTTGAGTATTTTTGTCCTTAATTATAAAATAAACTCTTATTCCCACTAAACAGATCTCAGTCATTGATAATCAGGTCAAAAGATTCTCTTTCCCAGAGGCTATTTTATCCTTGTCCATTTTTTCCAGGACCTGAAATATTCTTTTCTCTCTATTAGGCCAAGAAAACATCTAATTGTTTCTTCCATGACAACCACCACCACAAGGCTACTAGTTTCATAGCTAAAGCATTCTGGAAAATTCTAGTTTGCAATTAACAATAGTAGTACCTTATTGCCCATCCATGGATAAGGCACTTGGGATTCATACAATGCTTCTACTCAAGTAAAAAAGTTTCTAACAATGGATTGACTGTCTATGTCTATTCTTTTCAATATCAAAAGTATATGAGTAGATTGCAAAAATTTTCTCCCATTCTGTAGGTTGCCTGTTCACTCTGATGGTAGTTTCTTTTGCTGTGCAGAAGCTCTTTAGTTTAATTAGATCCCATTTGTCAACTTTGGCTTTTGTTGCCATTGCTTTTGCTGTTTCAGACATGAAGTCCTTGCGCATGCCTATGTCCTAAATGGTATTGCCTAGGTTTTCTTCTAGGGTTTTTATGGTTTTAGGTCTCACATATAAGTCTTTAATCCATCTTGAATTAATTTTTGTATAAGGTGTAAGGAAGGGATCCAGTTTCAGCTTTCTACATATGGCTAGTCAGTTTTCCCAGCACCATTTATTAAATAGGGAATCCTTTCCCTATTTCTTGTTTTTCTCAGGTTTGTCAAAGATCAGATGGTTGTAGATATGCGGCATTATTTCTGAGGGCTCTGTTCTGTTCCATGGGTCTATATCTCTGTTTTGGTACCAGTACCATGCTGTTTTGGTTACTGTAGCCTTGTAGTATAGTTTGAAGGCCGGTAGCGTGATGCCTCCAGCTTTGTTCTTTTGGCTTAGGATTGACTTGGTGATGCGGGCTCTTTTTTGGTTCCATATGAACTTTCAAGTAGTTTTTTCCAATTCTGTGAAGAAAGTCATTGGTAGCTTGATGGGTATGGCATTGAATCTATAAATTACCTTGGGCAGTATGGCCATTTTCACGATATTGATTCTTCCTACCCATGAGCATGGAATGTTCTTCCATTTGTTTGTATCCTCTTTTATTTCATTGAGCAGTGGTTTGTAGTTCTCCTTGAAGAGGTCCTTCACATCCCTTGTAAGTTGGATTCCTAGGTATTTTATTCTCTTCGAAGCAATTGTGAATGGGACTTCACTCATGATTTGGCTCTCTGTTTGTCTGTTATTGGTGTATAAGAATGCTTGTGATTTTTGTACATTGATTTTGTATCCTGAGACTTTGCTGAAGTTGCTTATCAGCTTAAGGAGATTTTGGGCTGAGACGATGGGGTTTTCTAGATATACAATCATGTCATCTGCAAACAGGGACAATTTGACTTCCTCTTTTCCTAACTGAATACCCTTTATTTCCTTCTCCTTCCTATTGCCCTGGCCAGAACTTCCAATACTATGTTGAATAGGACTGGAGAGAAAGGGCATCATCCCTGTCTTGTGCCAGTTTTCAAAGGGAATGCTTCCAGTTTTTGCCCATTCAGTATGATATTGGCTGTGGGTTTGTCATACATAGCTGCTTATTATTTTGAGATATGTCCCATCAATACCTAATTTATTGAGAGTTTTTAGCATGAAGGGTTGTTGAATTTTGTCAAAGGCCTTTTCTGCATCTGTTGAGATAATCATATGGTTTTGGTCATTGGTTCTGTTCATATGCTGGATTATGTTTATTGATTTGCGTATGTTGAACCAGACTTGCATCCCAGGGATGAAGCCCATTTGGTCATGGTGGATAAGCTTTTTGATGTGCTGCTGGATTCAGTTTAATGAACTCCAACAAATTTACAAGAAAAAAACAAACAACCCCATCAAAAAGCGGGTGAAGGATATGAACAGACACTTCTCAAAAGAAGACATTTATGCAGCCAAAAGACACATGAAAAAATGCTCATCATCACTGGCCATCAGAGAAATGCAAATCAAAACCACAATGAGATACCATCTCACACCAGTTAGAATGGCAATCATTAAAAAGTCAGGAAACAACAGGTGCTGGAGAGGATGTGGAGAAATAGGAACACTTTTGCACTGTTGGTGGGATTGTAAAATAATTCAATCTTTGTGGAAGTCAGTGTGGCAATTCCTCAGGGATCCAGAACTAGAAATACCATTTGACCCAGCCATCCCATTACTGGGTATATAATATACCCAAAGGATTATAAACCATGCTGCTATAAAGACATATGCACACGTATGTTTATTGTGGCACTATTCACAATAGCAAAGACTTGGAACCAACCCAGATGTCCAACAAAGATAGACTGGATTAAGAAAATGTGGCACATACACACCATGGAATACTATACAGCCATAAAAAAGGATGAGTTCATGTCCTTTGTAGGGACATGGATGAAGCTGGAAACCAACATTCTCAGCAAACTATTGCAAGGACAAAAAACCAAACACCGCATGTTCTCACTCATAGGTGGGAATTGAACGATGAGAACACATGGACACAGGAAGGGGAACATCACACACCGGGGCCTGTTGTGGGGTGGGGGGAGCGGGGAGGGATAGCAGAGATATACCTAATGTTAAATGAGTTACTGGGTGCAGCACAGCAACATGGCGCATGTATACATAGGTAACTAAACTGCACGTTGTGCACATGTACCCTAAAACTTAAAGTATAATAAAAAAAAAGAATAAAGTGAAATGGAGACAAGTGAAAAAAAAACAGTATAAATCTTTGCATGTGTTGTATGCTGCACCATGAAAAGCCTCAAAAGAAATGCCTGTTTCAGATAAAAACCTTTGCTTCCACCTTGTGGATGACATGTTTAAATGCAGATGACTGTGCAAAAATAGATTCTGAAATCAGATCTTAATTAAATTAATACAAAATCATCTGGGATATGCTTACTTTGTGCTACAGCTGTAGAGCAACATGAAAAGCAGTTAACAATTTTATTCTCAGAGATTTTAACAATTATGTCAATTTGGCAACTTTGTACACACAGAACAAATCATCCATCCAAATTTTTCATTTAGTTCCTGAGAATGTTTAAAAATATGAGAAAAAATATCTCTTAAAATAGCACTAGTTTTGGAGTACGAGTGTCTACTCAACATTAAACTCCTGCTAAATTTAAGGAAAGGAAAAAATGTGCAAAACAGATAGTAATACTCATTTTTTATACACTTTACTACTTTTCAAAGGACTTTCCTATCTATTTTCTCATCTAATCTTCATCAAAATCACATGAGGCTGATAACCCAGGTCTATTACATGTAATTTACAGATAGAATAGGTTCAGTGAGATGGACACACTAATAAGGGCACACACAAGCAAACAGCAAAGACTGATTTAACAATAGAGAGCATTTATTGAGAACTTTTCTTAAGTACAACCCTTACTGCTTTGTAACTGAGTCACTTATCTATTGCTTAGTAACATGCCACCCAGAAAAAAACAGCTTAAAACAATAACAATCATTAACTGTGCTCACAAATCTGGGGGTTGAGTGGGCTCAGAGTTTCTCATGCAGTTGCAGCCACACAGTGGCTGCAGCTTGGGCCGGGCCATCTTGAAAGGTTTTCTACTCATGTAGTTTAGCAGTTGGGCTGGAAGAAATCAAACATCTGGGGTCCAGAATAGATGGGCTCCTTGAGCATCTCTCTCTAAGTGGTCTCTTCAGGTGGTTTCTCCACATGGCAGCCTCAGGGCAGCCAGAATTTTCATGTGGTGGCTGAAGAGTCCTAGAGTGAGTTTCCCACAAGACAATGGCAGAAGTTATCCTTTTTAGCCGACCCTCAGAAGTCAGGCAACTTCCTTTCTACCATATTAAATTAATCAAAGAAATCCAAAGACCCATTTAAGTTCAACAAGAGGAGAAATAGACTGCGATTTTTGATAAGTATAGTATCAAATAATTTGCAGATGTTTTAAAATAATCACATATAGATTATCTTCAGTAGTCTCCTTGAGATAGGTACTGCTATTATCTTTATATTATGGATGAGGAAGTTGAGGCACAGCATGGTCAGATAATCTCCCATGGTCAATAGCTAGTAAGTTTCATTGGTAAAATTTAATTCCAGATAGTTTGACCCTGCAACATTACATATATATACAATATTTATATATATATTATTTATTTATTGAGATAGCAAGATGAGATAATTCCCTTGACCCCCTTTGTGGGCAGGAACTGGAGTGGCTCGTTTCACTCAGCCTGCCTCTGGCCACTCCTCGTAAAAGGGAGTGTGCAAACGAGTGGGGGAACCGGAGGTAATGAACGCTGAAACTGGCCAGTCACTCCTGTCTGGCAGGAGCAGGCTCTGTGCAGGCCCCACAGCAGCATCCAAGTGTGTTACAACCAATGCTTTTTCAGCTCTGCCATCCAGGGATGATCAAGTGCCAACCAACTCAGCGGAGGGCCCAGGTGGCAGCCCCTGCCCTCTCAGCACCCAGGTTCTTGTCTGGCCTCCAGGAAGAATCAGGTCATACGAATGGATTGAAGGGTAGTGTAGGCGGGGGATTTTATTGGGTAATGGAAGTGGCTCTCAGCGGGATGGGGAATTCGAAGAAGATGGTGCGGGAAGAAGGTGTTCTTTCCCTGCAGCCTGGCTAAGGGCCAGGCCCCTCTTCGAAGTCGCACATCTGAAGTTAACCACATCTATCTGTAGTTTCCAATGCTCAGTTGCTTCTCTGCTCACCATTCAGCTGCTTGTATTCTCAGCGCTCAGCCACTTGTGTTGCTCTGCCAGCTGAAATCTTTTTATGGGCACAGGATAGGGGTGTGGCAGGCCAAAATGCAACATTTAGGCAGAAAAACAGGGTCAGCTGTTTTCACTTAGGGCCTTGGTTCCAGGTTTAAGGGTGGGGTTTAGCCGGGAGCGCAGCCCATATGTATCAATAGGGTCTCACTCTGTCGCCCAGGATGGGGTCCAGTGAAGTGAACATGGTTCACTGCAGCCTCAATCTTCTGGGCTTAAGCAATCCTCCCAACTCAGCCTCCTTAGTAGCTGGGATTACAGGTACATACCACCTCACTCAGCTAATTTTTTATGTTTTGTAGAGGCAGGGTCCCACTATGTTGCCCAAGCTATTCTCAAATTCCTGGTCTCAAGCAATCCTCCCACCTAACCTCCCAAAGTGCTGGGATTACAGGCTTCAGCCACCGCACCTAGCACACTATATATTCTTAACCTCTATGCATACTCTCTTGATGTTGAAATTGGTAGCTGGATATATACTAACAATTCTGAAGGGTATTTTGCTATCAATCACAATTATCAGGTAAAAAAATTAAAAAGGCTTTATTTCTATTTCCTTTTATCCTAGTTTTATAAGAAAATTATATCTAGCCAGGGTATGTTTTGCAGAATATACCTTTTAAATAAACATTTATTGAGCATTTAGTCAGCATTTACAAAGCACAGTCCCTATCATCAAAGGAACTTCTACTCTAGTACAGACGACAGACACATGCACTAATAAAGTTAGGAAATGAATGACCCAGGTAGACAGAAGGGTATCATTGAGGATGAGCTGAGAGGAAAACTGGTCAGTGGCAGGTCTGCAGTTTGAATATTGGCACAGGCTCTTTAACATGAAATGGTGCTCTCTGCTATTAAGTTAGCTCCAGGGCAGATTACCTTGTAAGGCTTCTTGTACTGTGCAGGGAGCTGCCATCTGTCATTTCTCCTTCATCTCACCAGGCAACACAGCTTTCCTGAAATTCTATCTGGGATTTGAAGCTTAGAAGGGCAATGAGAACAATACATCATTCATTGATTTCTCATTGAAAAGTCACTGTAAGTTGTTTGCGTTCTTTTTTTTTAATTTATTTTTGCTTACTTTAATGATTGGTGGAGAGTTGACACATCAAATAATAAATAAAACAAATAATGCTGCCACCTCTAAACCACCAGGTTCTGGACAAACAGGGAGGAGGCAGGATATGTCTTCCAAGGCCCACAACAACCAGCTCTGGACTCCCTTTTGTACTTTTAGGAATTCTCTCCCTCAAACTCTCCTCAAGGTTTCCAGTGTTCTGATAACAATGATAATAATTCCTCATTTTTATATCTCAATGCATTTTTAATTTTATTACTGCATTTGATATGCTTATTCGATCCCCAAAATCAACTAATACCCAAAAGTGATTTAATTTAATATTATCTTTCCAAGAAATATATTAAAAAAAAAAAAACTTATTGGCTGAAAGTGGAAGCCAAGGGACTCAATATGTTACAAGTTTTAGAGACACATGGATAGGAAAAAAGATTTTAAACAGTTGGTTCTCCAGAAAATAGCATGTGGATGTGTCCTCTCAGATTCTTTGTGAAGCCAGTCAACTCTGTAAGTAACCTTACCCACTACTTACTTAAATGCCCCAACCTTAAACAAAACCACCTCACTATCCTCCAATGCAGTGCTCTTGAAAATGTAAGACATTGACCCAAATTTATAGAAATACGTTAAAAAATGAGATCACCGACCATGTTCCTAAAAGCCAAATTTTTAGGGCAAAAAAATGAGACCAAAGACCATTTACAGGGGTGACATTCAAAATACAGTACTTAACAATTGGCATGCATAGGGCCTGAGTAGTAACAACAGGACGCTGGCCAATAGGACATGGCCAAGAACAACTGGCAACTAGCTGAGACATATGGGAGGGGGTTGCATCTGAATATTTCCTGGCCATTGTGGAATGGAGTACCTGAGGAAGTCGGGAAAAGCCTTGGAGAAGAAGGGGCACCGAAAAACAGAATAAGAGGGTCAAAGATAAATTTTATTCATTTGGATGCCAGAATTGCATGCAAACTTCCAGCGACTAAACAGACCTCCTCTCTAAGTAGACAAGACTGCTTCTCAGCAAAACTCTAGGCATGAGGGGTGGTCAAGAGGCAGTTATTTGTGGAGGATATAGGTAGTGTTTAGACATGCGGGCTGAGGTCTGCACATGCATATGTATGTGATCCCACAGAACTGGGCAGAGATGGGGCTGGGAAGGAAGAGGGACAGGCATGGACTGAAAGGTGGTTCTCCTCATTCTGCCAAGTTCTATTTTAGAGCTCAGAGGAATATTATTTAAAGCTAAACCTTAATTTTCAGGTTACTTTAAAGGAATATTTGCCAACTTAGGAGGATAGAACATGTTTTATTTAACAGCTTGTCAGCTAGATTTCAAAGGTTTAAATATTTAGACACATGCTATGTGGGCCTCCATTTGTATTCTTATGCATAGGCCTGCAGTTTCAGTGTCAGGTATTTATTTTACAGGTACTGAAATGGATCAAGTAAGTGACTTCTCTTACTTCTCTTTCTCCTTCTACACAACAGCAATATACAGCCTTAACCAAACAGGTTTAACAACAAATTGTACCCAGGTGTATTAGTTTATTCTCATGCTGCTAATAAAAGATATTACTAAGACTGGGTAATTTATAAAGGAAACAGATTTAATGGACTCACAGTTCCACATGGCTGGGGAGGCCTCACAATCACGGCAGAAGGTGAAGGAAGAGCAAAGTCACATCTTACATGGTGGCAGGCAAAAGAGTTTGTACAGAGACAACTCCTATTTATAAAATCATCAGATCTCATTAGACTTATTCACTACCATGAGAACAGTATGGGGGAAACCTCCCCCACAACACATGAGGATTATTACAATTCAAGGTGAGATTTGGGTGGGGACACAGCCAAACCATATGCCCCAGTGTTTCAGGATGGTGACAACTGTAAGTATGAGAGGAAACCAGCAATAACTTAAGAAACTAATAGCCATAACAACAATAATTATGAGAACCTTTGAGATGTCTGAAGGCTGAAGCATTCCTCAAAGGCCGCCTTGAACTTGGGAACATTGTGAGGGAAGGAGATTGAATTATAGTAGATTCGTCCTGGGGCAACGAAAGCTGAAGAAAACCTTCTACAATCTGCCTTTGCTTTTGAAAAAGTTTAAAACTCTAAAGAAGTCATAAAAGATAGTCCAATTAAGTGAAAAGACAGTCAGTCCATGCTCTTGGAGTAAATGACTTGCTATCATAAAAGTATCGATTCTTTCCAAATTTATAAATAAATTAAATGCAATTCCCATTAAAATTCCAAATGAATTTTTTTAGTCACTCAGCATTCTTATTAAAAATTTTATGTAGAAACATAAAAGTCTACAATAAAATCTGCCACAAAAATCAGTAACATGTGGTAATGTGTTTAACCAAATACCAAGACATAATACAAAGCCATACAAATAAGTAATATATAATGTACCAGTAAATAAACAGAATAAAGTAGAAATCCAGGAATGTATGGGAACTTAAAACACTATAGTGATAGTGTCAGAAAAAATGTGAAAAGGTTGTATTCTTTTTTTTTTGAGATGGAGTTTCACTCTTGTTGCCCAGGCTGGAGTGCAATGGTGCAATCTTGGCTCACTGTAAACTCCGCCTCCCAAGTTCCAGTGATTTTCCTGCCTCAGCCTCCCAAGTAGCTGGATTATAGGTGTGCACCACCAAGTCCGGCTAATTTTGTATTTTTAGTAGAGACGGGGTTTCACCATGTTGGTCAGGCTGGTCTCAAACTCCTAACCTCAGATGATCTGCCAGCCTCAGCCTCCCAAAGTGCTAGGATTACAGGCAAGAGCCACCACACCTGGCCATATTCTTTTGTAGATAGTATTGAGTTTTTCTACCATGTGGAAAAAAATTAAACTGGAACCCTATCAAACAGCACATGCAAAGGCAGGCTACAAATAAAGACTTAAAAATAAAAGCTAAATCTCTGGAGTTAAAAAAAAAAGTAGGTAAATGTATTTGGAATATGAAAGTAGGAACAGCCTACCTAAGAAAAATTCAAAGAGGACAAATCATAAGGCAAAATATTGATGAATTTTATTATCAAGTTTAGGAGTTCTGTTCAACAAAAGACATCATGAATAAAGTTCACAGACATGTGCAGGTAGGGATAATATATTTACAATTCTAAAACTGACAAGGCATTAAAGTTGCGAAAATACAACAAAATCCACAAACGAAAACGAAAAGATAAAAATGCGTGAAGCACAGGAGATTTTCAGGATGGTAAAACTATTCTGTATGATACTATAATGGTGGACAAATGGAATTATGCATTTGTCAAAACCTATAAAACTGTACAACACAAAAAGTAAACCTTAATCTATACAATTTTAAGAACATTATTTAGGGGGTTGAGGATTCCAGGAAAGAATGAAAGCTGTGGCAAGAAAATCTAACTGTTTTGCATATGCATGAAACAACTTGATTGAAAGACTTGGAAGAAAAGGCATTTATCTACATGCCTTTAGAAATTAGTGGAGTCTGTAAGACTAGAGGCAAAAGGAACTGCACATAAGCACTACACTCCAGGTAATAAAGTTCCTTCCCATGGGAATATGTATTAACAATTCTGATACTACTATACATGTATACTGGAATTGAACAATTAAGTAAGTGAGTGAAGGGCAGATAGTGGGAGCCAGGTTTCTCACTGTGGGAGTAGGAATTTACAAATAAACAAGGGGAGGAAGCTGGAATGGTCCATGTAGTAATGAATATGAGTTAGGAACATCAGTAAGAACTCATGTTTAATTTAAGATAGATACAGGTGGTTACACATAGAAATATTTACAGATATGTGTAGACACACATATACTTCTTTGCTCTGTCAGCTGAGAGGGCCAAAGACACAATACCCAAAGAGCAATGAGCACACCTGGCACTCACACCCAGATCTTTGTTTCTAATATCACATGCCAATAGCAAGAACCAGGGATCTGTGAAGAGTTTAGGACTATTGGAGGAAATATACATAATAAGCCTACACCATCTTGTAGTGTCAGAACCAATGCAAATTGCTCAGAAAATACACACATGCACACACAAATACACAAACACACACAAAACCAGGGTATGTCAAACGGACACAAAAGCCAACTTAAAGAGCTCCAATGACCAAAGCTGGAACAACTTGACCGCAAAATAAAGTAGTATTGGATTATAATCCAACATATAAAATAAATGTCCATAAAGCGGTCCATATTAATGAAATAAAGTATCGTATATATTAATAAATGGAAGAGAAAAGACAACATTCCCCTGCAAAAGAATTATAAATGAATTATGTAGATACTCTCACTTAAAGAAAGAGGAACATAACTCCCCACTCCTTAAGTGTGGACTTTGTATAGTGACTTTCTTCTAAAGAGTAAAGCAGGGAAAGAGACGAATAAAGAGAAACTTTACAGTGGAAAAACCTGGAAAACATTAGTTCAGTCAAGTGATCAAGGTTGACATCAAGAGGCCACATCATGTAGATAGTACGTATCCTTGATATGATAATGAAAATGGTGCTTTACTACTGTGGTCTTCCTCCCCAAAATCAATACACTCAGTTTAGTGATAAGAGAAACATCAGAAAAGTCTCATTAGAGGGACATTTTACAAGATACCTGACCAGTACTCCTCAAAACTGTCAAGGTCACCAAAAACAAGGAAAGTCTGAGAAACCATCACATTCAAGAGGAATTTGAGGAGACGTAACAACTAAATGTAATGTGGTGTTCTGGGTGGCCTCCTGGTACAGGAAAAGACTTTAGGTAAAACTAAGAAAATCTGAACACACTGTGGTTCAGTAATTGTAACAAATGTACCATACTAACATAAGATGTTAATAATAGGGGAGAATATAGGGAGGGGACAGAGAATATGAGAATTCTCTGAACAATATGCTCAATTTTTCTGTAAATCTACTACTGTTCTAAAAAGTAATGACTGTTAATAAAATATTGCAATTCATAGATGAGGAAATCTGCTATGGTCTGAATGTTTGTATCCTCTCAAATTTCATGTTAAAACCAATGTGATATTAGGAGGTGGAGCCTTTGGAAAGTGATTAGGTCATGAGGACAGAGCTCTCATGAATGGGATTAGTGCCCTTATAAAAGAAGCCCCAAAGAGCCACCTTGTCTCTCCTGCCATGTGAGGACAAACCATGAAGACACCATCTATGAACCAGGAAGTGAGCCCTCACCTGACAGTGAATCTGCCAGCACCTCAATCCTGGACTTATTAACCTCTAGAGCTGTGAGAAATAAATTTCTTTTTTTCATAAGCTACCTGATTTATGGTATTTTGTTATAGCAAAACCTAAAGGCTTATTATCATATAAAGAGATAAACTCACTAATGATCAGAGAAATGCTAATTGAAACAATAATAAGTTACCACTTTACCTCTGTGAGACTGAATAAACATGGAAATCTGGGAAATGCCAAGTGTTGGTGAAGATATGGAGATAAAGGAACCCTTGCTCACTACTGGCTAGAGTGCAACCTGAAGTATGTATGTGCTCTGGAGAGGAATCTAGAGGCCCTTAGTTGATTACATACATACATCTCAAAAAAAAAAAAAAAAAAAAAACAGCTAATGAATATAAAGCAACATGGCTCAATCTTAAAATCACAGTGCTGACCAAAATACAAGAAATACAATGATTTGTTACACAGTACCATGTACATATATTAAAAGTACATACATGCAAAACAAAATTAATATTTAACAAGAACACATACAATGAAATTATACATAAGAACACATAGTATGGTTACTTACAGGTAGAGGAAAGTGGAGAATGAGGAATGGGAATAAATTAAACAAGAGAAGAGCCTTATATGGACCAAAGATTATAACATACATAAACTGAAGAATATTATAAATGTAATTAAACTAACCTCCTGCACTTGATCCAACAAAAATAAAATATTCTAACTCAGATATAGAAATGGGCTCTGAAACCTCAAAATGCTATGCTGGGACTTTATGACTTCACTCCTATATGAGGAACCTTAGGTCTACACTTCCCATGGCTTATTCCAAGGACTCCCATGGTCTGGGATAACAGTTGAGCAAGCTGAAGAGGATCTTATGTGGCCCCAAGGAATCTCCAGTGTATACCCTCCAGGGTTCCAATGCCCATGACTCCTTGGCACAGGTACAACCTGTCACAAGGCATCACTCTCAGAGACCAGTTTTGACTATGGTCAACTGTCCAGGGACCAGAAAGCCAAGGACAAGACCTGGACTTAGCATTATCTTTTTGCTGTTGAAAAGTAGCCTAATTCATTATTTACTCTTGGGATGTCAACCAATTCTAGCCATTTCTGAGGAGGAAAAGGGATAATAGCTCCACTCACATTAGACTAATTTTAGTCCTGCTATTATACCATAGCCCCCACATAGGACAGAGCAGAGGCACATTTGACACTTTTGGGGGAAATCCTGCTCTTTCCAAGACATTAAAGGACTACTCTCTAAGGAACAGAATTAGTTCCAAATGGTCAGAATGAAGGCTGGTTCAAGACGGATGTTATCTGATTGATGGTACCACAGAGCTAAGCCTAGACTTAGATAGCTTCACAATCCAACTAACAAAGAAAGTCACTATAAAATGATAAAGTGGTCAATTTAGCAAGACGATATAACAATTTTACATATATATGCACCAAACACTGGAGTACCCAGATATATGAAGCAAGTAATTTTAGAGCTAAAGAGTGAAATAGGCCTCAATACAATAAAAGTCAGATCTTCCATACAGATCGAAGAAACATTGAACTTAATCTGCACTATATACCAAATGAATCTAATAGATATTTACCCAGTTCATCTCATTGGGACTGGTTAGGCAGTGGGTGAGACCCATAGAGAGAGAGCAGAAGCAGGGTGGGGCATCACTTCACCTGGTAAATGCAGGGAGCCAGGGGACCTCCCTCCCCTAGCCAAAGGAAGCAATGAGGAACTGTGCTACCTGCCCGGGGTACTATGCTTTTCCCACGGATTTTTGCAGTCTCTGTGGATCAGGAGATTCTCTCGTGAGCTAGACCACCAGGGACCTGGGTTTCAAGAACAAAACTGGGCAGCTGTTTGGGTAGGCACTGAGCTGCCGGAGATTTTTCATACTCCAGCAGCATCTGGAACTCCAGTGAGACAGGAGAATCATCCACTCTCCTGGAAAAAGGGCTGAAGCCAGGGAACCAAGCAGTCTCGCTCAGCAGGTCCCACTCCCACAGAGCCCAAAAAGCTAAGAACCAAATTTTAAGCCAAAAGGCTTAAAATTCTCACTGCTAGCACAGCAGTCTGGAGTCAACCTGAGATGACTGAGTTTGGTTGGGGGAGGGGTGACTGCAATTACTGTGGCTTTAGTAGGCAGTTTTCCCCTGACTGTGCTAAGGAGACAGGGAGGTTTGTACTGGACAGAATTTACCATGGCACAGCAAAGCAGCTGTGTCCAGACTGCTTCTCTAGATTCCTCCTCACTGGGCAGGGCATATCTACAGGAAATCCAGCAGCCCCAGTCAGCGGCTTACAGATAAAACTCTCATCTCCCTAGGAAAGAGCAACTGTGTGGAGGGGCCGCTGCAGTTTCAAGTTCAGCAGACTTAATCTTTCCTACCTACCTGCTCTGAAGAGAGAAGCTGATCCTGACATGGGGGATGCTCCCAGCACAGCACACGAGCTCCGCAAAGGGACAGACTGCCTCCTCAAGCAGGTCCCTGACCCCCAGGGCCTCCTGAGGAAGGAGCAGGCAGCAATCTTGCTGTTCTGCAGTCTCCACTGGTGATAACCAGGTGAACAGGGTCTGGAGTGGACCTCCAGCAAACTGCAACAAATCTACAGAAGAGGAGGCTGACTGTTAGAAGAAAAACTAACAAACAGAAAGCAACAACAATAATATCAACAAAAAAGTTCCCCCCACAAAAACCCCATCCAAAGGCCATCAGCCTCAAAGACCAAAGGTAGATAAATCTGCAAAGGTGAGGAAAAACCAGCACAAAAACTCTGAAAATTCCAAAATCCAGAATGCCTCTTCACTTCCAAATGATTGCAATGCCTCTCCTGCAAGGGTGCAGAATGAGACAAAGTATGAGATGGATGAATTGACACAAGTAGGCTTCAGAAGGTGGGTAATAACAAACTCCACTGAGCTAAAGGAGCATGTTCTAACCCAATGCAAAGAAGCTAAGAACCTTGATAAAAGGATACAGGAACTGCTAACTAGAATAACCAATTTAGAGAGGAACATAAATGACCTGACGGAGCTGAAAAACACAGCACAAGAACTTCGTGAAGCATACGTAAGTATCAATAGCCAAATCAATCAAGCAAAAGAAAGGATATCAGAGCTTGAAGACCATCTTGCTGAAATAAGGCATGCAGACAAGATTAGAGAAAAAAGAATAAAAAGCAATGAACAAACCCTCCCAGAAATATGGAACTATGTAAAAAGACTGAACCTATGATTGAATGGAGCACCTGAAAGGGACAGGAAGAATGGAACCAAGTTGGAAAACACACTTCAGGATATCATCCAGGAGAAGTTCCCCAATGTAGCAAGACAGGCCAACATTCATATTCAGGAAACATGGAGAACATCACTAGATACTGCACAAGAAGATCAACTCCAAGACACATAACCATCAGATTCTCCAAGGTCGAAATGAAGGAAAAAATGTTAAGGGCAGAAAGAGAGAAAGATCAGGTCACCTACAAAGGGAAACCCATCAGACTATAACAGTAGATCTCTCAGCAGAAACCCTATAAGCCAGAAGAGAGTGGGGGCCAATATTCAACATTCTCAAAGAAAACAATTTTCAACCCAGAATTTCATATCCAGCCAAACTAAGCTTCATAAGTGAAGGAGAAATAAAATCCTTTTCAGACAAGAAAATGCTAAGGGATTTCATCACCACCAGGCCTGCCTTACAAGATCTCCTAAAAGAAGCTCAAAATATGGAAAAGAAAAACTGGTACCAGCCACTGCAAAAACACGCCAAAATATAAAAACCAATGACACTATGAAGAACCTGCATCAACTAGTGTGCAAAATAACCAACTAGCATCATGATGACAGGATCAAATTCACACATAACAATATTAACCTTAAATCTAAATGGGCTAAATTCTCCAATTAAAAGACACACACTGGCAAATTGGATAAAGAGTCAAGACCCAACAGTGTACTGTATTCAGGAGACCCATCTCACATGCAAAGACACAAATAGGCTCAAATAAAGGGATGGAGGAAAATTTACCAAGCAAATGGAAAGAAAAAAAACAAACAGAGGTTGCAATCTTAGTCTCTGATAAGACAGACTTTTTTTTTTTTTTGAGATGGAGTCTCACTCTGTTGCCCAGGCTGGGGTGTAGTGGCACAATCTCGGCTCACTGCAACCTCCGCCTCCCATGTTCAAGCAATTCTCCTGCCTCAGCCTCTTGAGAAGCTGGGATTACAGGTGCCCACCACCACGCCTGGCTAATTTTTGTATTTTTAGTAGAGACAGGATTTCACTATGTTGGCTAGGCTGGTCTTGAACTCCTGACCTCAAGTGATCACCCTCCTCAGCCTCCCAAAGTGCTGGGGTTACAGGCATGAGCCACTACATCTGACCTAAAACAGACTTTAAACCAAAAAAGATAAAAAAAAAAAAAAAAAAAAAAAAGACAAGGTCATTACATTATGATAAAGGGATCAATGCAAGAAGAAGAGCTAAATATCATAAATATATATGCATCCATTACAGGATCACCCAGATTCATAAAACAAGTTCTTAGAGACCTATAGAGAGACTTAGACTATCACATGATAATAGGGTGAGATTTTAACACCCTATTGTCAATATTAGACAGATCAATGAGAGAGAAAATTAACAAGGATATTCAGGACTTGAAGTCAGCTCTGGATCAAGTGCACCTAAAAGACATCTACAGATCTTTCCAACCCAAATCAACAGAATATACATTCTTCTCAGTGCCACATGGCACTTATTCTAAAATTGACCACATAGTTGGAAGCAAAACACTCCTTGGCAAATGCAAAAGAACTGAAATCATAACAAACAGTCTCTCAGACCACAGTGCAATCAAATTAGAACTCAGGATTAAGAAACTCACTCAAAACCTTACAACTACATGGCAATTGAACAACCTGTTCCTGAATGACTCCGGGTAAAAAATGAAATTAAGGCAGAAATAAATAAGTTCCTTGAAACCAATAAGAACAAAGAGACAACATATACAAATCCCCGGGACACAGATAAAGCAGTGTTAAGAGGGAAATTTATAGCACTAAATGCCCACATCAGAAAGCTAGAAAGATGTCAAATCAACACCCTAGCATAACAATTAAAAGAGCTAGAGAAGCAAGAGCAAACAAATCCAAAATCTCACAGTAGACAAGAAATAACTAACATCAGAGCAGAACTGAAGGAGACAGAGACACAAAAAGCCCTTCAAAAAATCAGTGAATCCAGGAGCTGGTTTTTGAAAAAAATTGATGAAATAGACTGCTAGCTAGACTAAATAGAAGAATCAAATAGACCCAATAAAAAATGATAAAGGGGATATCACCACTAACTCCACAGAAATACAAACTACCATCAGAGAATACTATAAACACTTCTATGCAAATAAACTAGGAAATATAGATGAAATGAATAAATTCCTGGACACATACACCCTCCCAAGACTAAACCAGGAAGAAATTGAATCCCTGAATAGACCAATAACAAGTTATGAAATTGAGGCAGTAATTAGTAGTCTACCAACCAAAAAAAAAAAAAAAAAAAAAAAAGCCCAGGACCAGACGGATTCACAGCCAAATTCTACCAGAGGTACAAGGAGGAGCTGGTACCATTCCTTCTGAAACTATTCCAAACAATTGAAAAGGAGGGACTCCTCCCTAACTTTTTTAATGAGGCCAGCATCATCCTGATACCGAAACCTGGCAGAGACACAACAAATAAAGAAAACTTCAGACCAATATCCCGGATGAACATTGATGCAAAAATCCTCAATAAAATACTGGCAAACTGATTCCAGCAGCACATCAAAAAGCTTATCCACCATGATCAAGTCAGCTTCTTCCCTGGGATGCAAGGCTGGTTCCACATACACAAATCAGTAAAAGTAATCCATCACATAAGCAGAACCAATGACAAACACCACATTATCATCTCAATAGATGCAGAAAAGGCTTTGGATAAAATTCAACATCTTTCATGTTAAAAACTCTCAATAAACTAGGTATTGATGAAACATATCTCAAAATAATAAGAGCTATTTATGACAAACCCACAGCCAATATCATACTGAATGGGCAAAAGCTGGAAGTATACCCTTTGAAAACCGACACAAGACAAGAATGCCCTCTCTCACCACTCCTATTCATCATAGTATTGAAAGTTCTGGCCAGGGTAATCAGGCAAGAGAAAGAAATAAAGGGTATTCAAATAGGAAATGAGGAAGTCAAATTGTCTCTGTTTGCAGACAACAAAATTTTATACTTAGAAAACCCCATCATCTCAGCCCAAAAACTCCTTAAGCTGATAAGCAATTTCAGCAAAGTCTCAGGATACAAAGTCAATGTGCAAAATTCACAAGCATTCCTTTACAACAAAAATAGACAAGCAGAGAGCCAAATCATGAATGAACTCCCATTCACAATTGCTATAAATTTAATAAAATACCTAGGAATACAATTTACAAGGGATGTGAAGGACCTCTTCAAGGAGGACTACAAACCACTGCTCTCAAGGAAATAAGAGAGGACACAAACAAGTGGAAAAACATTCCATCCTCATGGATAGGAAGAATCAATATCGTGAAAATGGCTTTACTGCCCAAAGTAATTTATAGATTCAATGCTATTCCCATCAAGCTACCATTGACATTCTTCACAGAATTAGAAAAATCTACTTTAAATTTCACATGGAACTAAAAAGAGCCTGTATAGTCAAGACAATCCTAAGCAAAAGAACAAAGCTGGAGGCATCACACCACCTAACTTCGAATTATACTAAAAGGCTACAGTAACCAAAACAGCATGGTACTGGTATCAAAACAGATATATAGACCAATGGAATAGAACATAGACCTCAGAAATAACAGCACACATCTAAAACCATCTAATCTCTGACAAACTGAAAAAAAAAAACAAGTAATGGGAAAAAGATTCCCTATTTAATAAATGGTGTTGGGAAACTTGGCTAGCCATATTCAGAAAACCAAAACTGGACCCCTTCCTTACACCTGATACAACAGTTAACTCAAGATAGATTAAAGACTTAAATGTAACCCAAAACTACAAAAACCCTAGAAGAAAATCTAGGGAATACCATTCAAGACATAGGCATGGGCAAAGACTTCATGACTGAAACACCAAAAGCAATTGCAACAAAAGCCAAAATTGACAAATGGGATCTAATTAAACTAAAGAGCTTCTGTACAGCAAAATAAGTTGTCATCAGAGTGAACAGGCAACATACAGAACGGGAGAAAAATTTTGCAATCTACCCACCTGACAAAGGGCTAGTATCCAGAATCTACAGGGACGTTAAACAAATTTACAAGAAAAAAACAAATGACCCCATCAAAAAGTGGGCAAAGGATATGAACAGACACTTCTCAAAAGAAGATATTTATTTGGCCAACAAACATATGAAAAAAAAAAAACACAATGAGATACTACCTCACAGCAGTCAGAATGGCAATCATTAAAAAGTCAAGAAACAATAGATGCTGGAGAGGATGTGGAGAAATAGGAACAACTTTACACACTGTTGGTGGGAATGTAAATTAGTTTGACCATTGGGAAGACAGTGTGGCAATTCCTCAAGCATCCAGAACCAGAAATACCATTTGACCCAATAATCCCATTACTGGGTATATACCCAAGGGAATATAAATTATTCTACTATAAGGACATATTCACACGTATGTTTATTGAAGCACTATTTGTGATAGCAAAGACATGGAACTACCCAAATGCCCATCAATTATAGACTGGGTAAAGAAAATGTGGTACATATACACCATGGAATACTATTCAGCCATAAAAAATAATGAGTTCATGTCTTTGCAGAGACATGGATGAAGTTGGAAGCCATCATCCTCAGCACACTAACACAGGAATGGAAAACCAAACACTGAATGTTCTCACTCATAAAAGGGAGTTGAACAGTGAGAACACATGTACACAGGGAGGGGAACAACACACACCGGGGCCTGTCGGAGGGTTGGGGGCAAGGGGTGGGAGGGCATTAGGACAAATACCTAATGCACGTGAGGCTTAAAACCTAGATGACCGGTTGATAGGTGCAGCAAATCATCATGGCACATGTATACCCATGCAACAAACCTGCACATTCTGCACATGTATCCTGGGACTTAAAATAAATTTTTTTAAAAAGAAAATGTGGTACATATACACACAGGGTACTCATGTGGTATTCAGCCATAAAAAAGGATGATATCTTGTCATTTGCAACAACATGGATAGAACTGGAGATCCTTTTGTTAAATGAAGTAAGCCAGACACAAAAAGACAAACACTGCATGTTTTCACTTATTTGTGGGGTCTAAAAAATCAAAACACTCGAACTTACGGATATAGAAAATAGAAGAATGGTTTACCAGAGGCTGGGAATGGTAGTGAGGGGTTGGCGGGGGGCTGGGAATGGTTAATGGGTACAAAAAGTAGAAAGAGTGAATAAGACCTGCTATTTGATAGCACAGCAGGGAGACTATAATAGTCAATAATAGTCAATACTAACTTAATTGTACATTTCAAAATAACTAAGTGTGTAATTAGATTGTTTGTAACACAAAGGAGAAATGCTTGAAGGGATGGATACTCCATTCTTCATGATGTGATGATTTCACATTGCATGACTGTAACAAAACATTTCATATATACCATAAACATATACAACTACTATGTATGCAAAAATTTTTTTAAAATTAAAAGAAAAAAAACTAACTGCAACCCATTCTTAGTTATTCTAATAGCTTAAAATTGTTTACTATGTGCCAAACATTGTTCTAAACACTTTAACTGCAGTATGTCATATTCACACACACCAAAAAAAACTGTAAGATAGCTATAATAATTACACCAGTTTTATATTAGGAAACTAACACATACAGAGATTAAGTGATTGGCTACAAGTTAAATGATGGTGGTGGATCTCAACTAGATCCTGCCCTATCTCTGCCTATTAGGCATAGTGGTTAAAGAAAAGCAGCTTATCTAAATGATGGCCAAAGTTGTAATGGAGGAAATTGTTCTTGCTTCGGTCAGAAAGACATTTTTCTACCTATGTATCCAAACAAGCAGCCAGATTCCTTTTGTGTATTTTTGTTTGGGTTTAAAAGTTTTAATGCTTGCCTGCCTTCCTTCCTTCCTTCCTTCCTTCCTTCTTTCTATCTTTCTTTCTTTCTCTCATTGTCATTTTAAAATTACTGAATGTATATTGAAATTTTTCACTGTGTTTACAATCCTGCAAAATTGAAGATGATGACAAATGAGTACAGTGAAGATGGCAAGATGCTTGATGGTGGCTTCCACCTATGAGAGTGTCTTGGAGGAGCATACCTAGAGCATGTAAAAAAGGGGTGAAAAACCAAGAAATTCTCTAAAATCTCCATATGGGACATTTTAGAAATCATCCAAGAAAAAAAAGGACTGCTTTTTCCTGAGAGGAGCCCATGTTTGTCTCTGCCCTAGTTCCCCTGCTGTCTTTCAAAAGAACACAGTCAAACAGTTCTTACTTCCCAAGATAGATTGTTTTAAGAAAGAATCTAACAAATGTGACAAAGAAGGACCCACCATTTTAAGTAATGGTCCATTTCATGTATAGATACAACAAACCAGTTCTTAAGAATATTTAAAAGTGTATTATGGTAGATCTTATGTGCTATTTCATATGCAAAATAAATTTATCAAAAATAGAAATAAAAATGTTTTTGAAATCAGCTTCTTTAAAATTTGTTATAAAACTCCTTTACCACTATGACAATAATGGCATGAAGCATACTTTATACAATATATACTCGATTATTTACAGTCTATTCATCTGTTTTATTAACTATTTTTTAAAAAAATACTGAACAGCATTCTACTGCCATCCAGCCTACTTCCAGTATATCACAAGTTATTACGTGCCCAAGAAATGGAAATTTATTCTAGTATTAGCCTAAGATAAATAGACTAAGAATTACTTTTATCTTATAGGCCTTTTTGGAGGTTATGAGGCATCTTTCAGTGAATAAGAATGAGCAATATTAGCAGACGTATTTCCTAATGTTGACTCAATAAGGGGATAGCTATACTCTTTTCTGGTTTCCTCAACACCCCTGGCAGCCTCAGGTCTTGGAGTGCTCCTAAAGTTGCTAGGTTCTTGTTTTCATCCCTGTTAGTATCTAAGGATACAGCATCAAGAAACATCCTATATCTTTTATGCTTAGATGCTAACAGGAATGTAAACAAGAACCTAGCAACTTTAGGAGCACTCTGAGTGTAGGTATATAAGTATAGGTATAATTATAAGTACAGGTATATAAACATAAATGTATATAAATATGGATATACAGATATATGTCCCTATTACATACAAACATTTTCCTTTCCACTAATATAACCAAGACTTGACTGCCAAAATAGAAAGTTGAATGATATATGTGTGCTGAAAGCCTCAAAATACTTCAGGCAAATACTTTGATTTTGGATTCCATTAACTGAAAGAACCTTTTCTTTCCTATTTATAGAGTACCAGAGGAAAAGAACACTGAACCAAAACCAAAGAGACTGGAGTTTTACTCCCAGTTTTGCCTCCATTATATTTATTGTGTGACCTTGGAGAAGCCTGTCAATTCTTCACACTCAAACGCTCCCATCTGCAAAATGTTGGCAATAGACTAGAGAATCTTCAAAATCCCTATTCACCCCATATTCTTTGTATTCTCCTTCTTTGTGTGTGTGTATGTTTATGCTGCTCAATATGCAATATCTGAAACTGCTTTTGAAAATGTAAATTACTCAATTGACCCACTAGGTGGTAGCAAATTTCTGGTTACTGTATAATGGCAGGCTTCCAACCACTTCCATAACCTTCTAAATTCTGCCATCAAGAAGTTAGTGAAAAGGACTTCTTTGCCTTGTTTGTCAAAAATCATGAGTTTTATTCTCAGCTCTGTCATTTACTACTTGCATGATCTTGGGAAAATGAGTATTGCAGGGTTTTTGATTTCCCACCATAAAATCAAAGGGAGTCTTGCAGATCTAAAACTTTTTGCATATTGTTACCATAATAAAAAACAAGACATTTAAACAGTAATGTCCTCCTTTTTACTTTGAGCCATTCAAAAAGAAAAATTCCATTTTCTGTCTATGAGACATCAAGTAATTAATATTTTTTAGTTTCCTTATCTAAAAATTGGGGGAAATAATAGTGTCCATCCCTTAAAGGGTATTGTAATGATTGAATAAGATCACACAATAAATGTTCACACAATAAGATCACAGTTAATAAATGTTAGCAACTATTTTGGGCAGTGGGTATTTTTTTAAATTATTATGATTTGGTCCCTTGCCATTTGGATGCCCTCAGATCATTCACCACTCCTCTCTCCTAATAATTGTATACATAAGCCAGTGGCTATGGACTGGTTCAGAGACTGCACAGAACAGCCATGGGCCCAGAAACACTTCATGGAATCCTCTCCAGTCTAAGATGCTGTAAAAATTTCCAGATCCTTGATCTGTAAGTCCAGAAGGAACCTAGGTCTTTTGATTTAATCCATCTTTGCTAAAATTTCTCAACAGGGCCATCTAAGAGCCCTCTGAGCTGTATTTGCAGCCTGTGTTCACTTAGATGCCCCTCAAAGAGTGGAGAGTCAGCCTGAAGGCCTCCAGGTAAACACAGTGGGCTTCCAATCTTAGCAAAAATCTACACAGACCAGTAACTCTTAAAGATACCGAACCTAGATTGCAGAAGCCAAAGTATTTGGTTCCTCCTTTAATTGGCTCTGTTTAATTACAACAGCTATCAATTATATTGCTTCAATTAAAAATATTACTACATATTATCTGAACACAGTAGCCATGTTCTCTTAAGTATTGTTTTAAATCCCTGAAGACCTGAAATGCCAAGGAGGCCAGAGGCAAGAGGCACCAAATCATTGAGGTAAATAAAATTCCAAAGCTCCACCCTGCTCCTCTGCCCTCATTAGCTATCACCACTTTTGAAAATATTTGATATGATAACTTAGCAGAATTAAGGTAAAAAAGCAGAGCAAAAACTAACTATAGTTATTACCAGGAACCATTCCCTTACTTGCCCCACGCCTTTCTTCCAAACACCACAACATATTTCTCCATTTTCTTTTTCTTAAATAATTTATTGTTTAGCATTTCTTCAGAAGCAGTATAGGTGCTTTCTGATACTTTATTCTGTGCAACAGGGTGAGCCCAATCAAAATATTAGTGCTGATAGGGAGCTGTGAGTCAGAGAATATGGCCCAAGCCAGGGCAAATGCAGCAGGGGATGCAGCCCAGACACTCAAGACAGAGCAGATCATAAGAAACCAGAACCAGGAATGAGTGGGGTCTAGAAATACCCCCAAACCCTTTATCCTTAGATGCTAACAGAGATGAAAACAAGAACCTAGACACTTCAGGAGCACTCCGAGACCGCAGGCTGTCAGAAAAGAGTGTGGCTACCCCGTTAATGAGTCAGTGTTAGGAAATCTGTCTGCTTACACCCCTGGTTCTTGTTCACTGAAAGATGCCTCAGGACTTCAAAAAAGGCTAATAAAATTAAAGTAGTACTTGAATACACATCCCACATTTAGAAATAGGAATAAATACAAAATTGGAGAAAGGGGAAAGGGAAATAAAAAAAGCTGACCTCCAATTATATATTCTTTAGCTCAGGGAGTATTCTGCAGACACAAACCAACTATCACTAGCTACACTGTGAGCTCACTGAGGGCAGAAACGAAACCAGGGCTACCCTTTCTATCACCAGTGACCAGTCTGGTACCTGCCACACACATTCTCTCAAAGAATGTTTGCCTTTGTTACTGCTGTTGTGGAAGATGCAACTGAGTATATACCAAGGTGAAAGCTTGGATATTGTCCTGCTTCTAAATGACCAAAGTGCATGGTTCTGACCTTTAACCCTCTCCTAACCTTCAAGCTGAACATGCATGTGAGCATATGAAAGTTTAACCACTCCAAATAGGAAGTAAGACCAGGGTGCAGGCTTTAAAGGGATGTAAACTCCCTGTGTGCCTGTTACAGTTGGTGGCTCCTAACACCCTGAACACCCTTCCAGCTAATGATGAGTTTATAGAATTGCTTTGTAAACATGGTCTAATAGGCTGGAAGCCAGAAGATCTACACCCTAAGCCTAGTGTTGTCACCTGCTAGCTGTATAATCTGAAGCAAGTCACTTAACTATATTTGCTTTTCTTTTTTTATAAGTTAGGTCAATTGCCTCTAATGTTCATTTCAGGGACAATATTCTGATTCTAAGCTGGTCATAAAGAAGAGAAAATTGGATTTAACCAGGCCAACTAGTGTTCCTGATCTTTATAAATTCCCACACAGTCTTTGCCTCGCCCTAATCCACATACTTTGCAGTGTGTGAACAACTAAACTGCTTACAGGAGGATTAACTGGTAACATAAATGCAAGGAGTATTCCACCAAATTACATGTAATCATCTTTTTATGTACTTTAGGGCAGGAGTAAACTCTTGCCATTTCAACACATGCTAAATTGGTTAGCTAACAGCCTAAGAAAAAAATTTAAAATAACTTTAAGTGAAACTATAAAATATAAGAATTATATGCTTCATTCAATAAACCTTATATGCAATGGCCTTTAAGTTTACTACAGATGTCACATGAAATAATGATAAAATTAGCAAATGTTGACAGATTAAACCATCAGTAGACAACTGATTGGAAAAATGGGCCAATGGAGGTAGAATTCTGTTTGCAGATACTCAGTTTGCAGCCCTGTGCCACTGAAGGTTATGGCAAATTGTGTCACTGAGTTGATAATAGCTCAACTCTTTAATATGAGATTTTCAAGCACGCTAGAAAGGGGCAGGGGCAGGGGATGATGAGTTTGGGAGCTAAGGCAGCCCTGGGAGAGGCTACTAAGAAGTTAACTTTAATCTCCAAAAAATCAATCCCCTTGGCATCACCTTTCCACCAGGATATTCAGTGTTGTCCATGAAACTTATCACAAAAGTCCTTCAGTTCAAAGCACATCACTTTGCAATCTAATAAAAAATTTTCTATTCAATTCCTGTGTGGAGTAAGATGAGGAAAGCGCATTCTACCTTGTCTCTCCCACTGAATGTAACCAAAGACCTATACAGAATGCACGAAGTAGACATTTGAAGACTCTGAAAAGTAAACAGCAGCAGGCAGATGACTGATGAAGACCAAATTTAAAGTACCCTAAACACTCGTGTGTGTACCATGTTTTCCACTGATGTCCTCTGGCCTAAACTCTAACCAGCCTAAAAACCAGAAGTAGGCATCACTGAAAACAGAAAGAGCTCTAGGGGAAGCCCCATAGTTTAGACTTGAGAAGTGGGCAAGGGGTCACTTGGCAGGGGATGCTGCAAGTATCTAAAATTCTGAGGAATTAGAAACTGTCTCTCCACGTGGGGGAGCTCAGATCCCAAAACCTAAGAGGGTGGGGTGAGCCCCATTGTTTTCTTCCTTCTCTATCATTCTACTACTTAGCCACAGCACTGGTACAATCATCAGAAGTGCCAGGCAGAACAGATTAAATAAAAGTCCAGCTTTCTGGAAGCAAGACTGAAAAGGGGAGCTTCAGGGAACTGGAAAGTAATGGAGATATCATGGAGAGAACCCGAGAAAAGCAACCCAGTAAAGTTGGTTCTGAACTCCTAGGCTGATCTCCAAACTATACAGGCATGGATCTGCCCTAATCAGCATACCAAAGACTCTGAAAACTAAACTAAAAGTTAAATCATCGCCCAGGTCTTAGACTGGCCACCGAATAGTTATACACATAGGTCTGGTCCAAATAACACTGCAAAGACTTTGAAAATAGAAACAAAAGAAGAGATATCATAACAGACCATGGAGGTATTAAAAGAAAAATTAGGAAATACTACGAAGTACTCTATGCACATACATTTTAAAATACAGATGAAATAGACCAATTGCTTGAAATCCACAACTACTTAAACTCATTCAAGATGAAATAGAAAATGGGAAGAGTCTCATAAGTATTAAGGGAATTAATTTTGTAGTTTGAAACATTCCAAACAGAAATTTCCAGCCCCAGATGGTTTCACTGGTGAATTCTACCCCACATTAAAAGAAAAAAATTGCACATATTCCACACAATCTTTTCCAAAATTTTCCACCTTACTTTCTGAGGCCAGCCTTACTCTAATACCAAAACCAGACAAGGATAATAGAATAAAACTACAAGCCAATATTGCTCATGAACATAGATACAAAAATCTTCAACAAAATATTAGCAAATTGAGTATATATATATATGTGTGTATATATATATGTGTGTGTGTATATATATATATATACCATGACCAAGTGGAGTTTATTCTAGGAGTGCAAAGGCAAATTTAAATATCAGTCAATGTATTAGGTTGGTGCAAATTTTGCCATTAAAAGTAATGGCAAAAAAGGCGATTACTTTTGCACCAATCTAACAGTTCACCACATGTAAGAAAAACTAAAAACTCTACAGAAGAAAGACCAAAAATTCAATCAATTAATGCAGAAAAAAGCATTTGACAAATTCAATTCAATTCATGATCCAAAAATCTCAGAAAACTAAAAATAGGAGGAAACTTTCTCAATGTAATACTACTAACATCATATTTAATTGTGAAGGGCTGAATGCTTTCCTCCTCATAATGAGAACAAGGCAAGGGTACAACTCTTACCACTCCTATGCAACACTGTACTGGAAGTCATAGTCAGTGCAATAGGGTGCAAAAAAGGAATAAAATGCATACAGATTTGAAAGAAAGAAATAAAACATTTCCTATTTGCAGATGATATGATTGTCTATGTAGAAAATAAAACCTCCCAGAACTGTGTGTTTAACAAAGTTGCAGTATACAAGGTCAATGTACAAATATCAATCATATTTCTATATACTAGTGATGAGCAATTGAAAAGCAACTTTTTAAAAATACCATTTACATTAACTTAAAAAAGTTATGTGTGAGTTTAACAAAAGATGTACAGGTTCTACAGGGTAAAAATTACAAATGCTGCTGAAAGAAAGCAAGTAAGACTTGAAAATTGAGAGATATACTATGTTCATTGATGGGAAAACTCAACGTACTAAAGATGTCACTTCTCTCAAATTGATCTACTCATACAATGCTATTTCAATCAAAATCCCACAAGATATTTTGTTGATACAAACAATCTGATCCTATAATTTACGTAGAAAAGCAAAGGAATTAGAATCACCCAAACAATTTTAAAGGAGAATAAAGTTGCAGGACTCACATTGCCTGTTTTTAAAACTTCTTATAAAGTGACAGTCATCAAGACAGTGTGTCATTGGCAAAGAGACAGACACATCAATCAAGGGAAAAAAATGAAAAGTCCAAAAATAGACCCACACAAATATGACCAGTTGATTTCTAACAAAGATGTAAAGACAAGTCAATGGGGGAAAATAGTTGTTAAGCAAATGGCATTGGAACAATTCCATATCTATAAGCCAAAAAAAAAAAATCATTACCTAAATCTCATACCTTATGTGTTAATTAACACAAAATGGATCATACACCTAAATGTAAAATTATACAACTTTTAAAAGCAAACATATAGGGTTAAAATTCATAGGCATGTACACCAAAAAAGTCAATTTTACTACATGCTTATTTTAAAAATAAAATTGTTAAAAACCCAACTCATCCTCCGATTCATGTTCATCGCTATAGACAATAAGTAGCAAAAGATCGCATAAGCCTTTTAAAGGGATGACAATGAGATAGTAAAATTTTAACTAAATTTAAATTTTTGACTCCAGAAAAATTTCCTAATGAATAAAAATACCAACTTTTGCTATAAGCCTGCTTGGTTATTTCTCCTCAGTTCACACCATTACACTATGTTTACAAATTTGTGGTCTTGTTGAAGATGTCTGTTATGAGTTTAAGGGCATGGGTAGAGGAAAGCCAGGGTCAAGAAAAGTGTGCTAGCTTATATTCAATAGGCTAAAAGTTTCAGGTGTACCACTATAACTTAATCTCTAACCCACTCAGACTTATCTACGCCCCCTGTGGGGAACATCACTAAAGAACAGAAAAGGTACAAAGAGAAAGATGAGACATCAAAAAAATGAATAGCACAATGTGGCAGATGGTAGGTATATTAGTTTACCATTGCTGCTCTAACAAATTATCACAAACTGAAAGGCTTAAAACCACACAATGTATTCTCTTATCTTTATGTAGCTCAGGGGCCTGACACAGGCCTCACTGGCTAAAATCAAGTTGTGAGCAGGACTACCTTCCATTCTGGAAGCTCTAGGGAAGAATAGGCTGTAAGTAGGGAATAGCTCTGATGGAAAGGAGCCAGGAGAAAGACAATGAGAAAGAGAGAGAAGGAAGGTTGAAAAGATGTTGGAGAGACAGGAGAGAGGGAATAATAGAGCAAAGCTGAAAAGTTGGGAAGGTGAGAAGAGATGGGTCCAGAGTATAAGCAGAGGGATTTTTGGTGACAGAGGGGTGACCACGCCTTTTTCACACTAATAAGAGATGAGGAGGAAAGGATGAGCACAGATATAGGTAGGATTATTTTTGCATGGTGATTGGAAATTGAGGGAAGTTTGTAATGACTAAAGTAACTATGTGTCCTAGCTTGTCTGGAACAATCCTAGTCAATACTCATTGTCTCGGTATAAAGTTATAAGAGCATCCCCTTTGACTCTCAAAGCTGTCTCAGTCTAGATGAGAAATTGTATGGTCACCCAACTTAGAGTGCTTTTTGTTTTTCCTCAGTAGCGTTGGAGATGGGATGTGGGCACAGATTTTAGGAATGTGAAAAGGTATGAAACAGTGGCTGTGGAGAACAGGAGAGCAAGCTGACCACAGCAAAAGAGGATATAAGGCAGCATTACAGGCCCAAGGGATTTGGGACTTCTAGTTTTTAGAGGCATCATTTTATATCTGTCACTGTACAATAACCTGCTAAGACCTGCAATAATGTGCCTACTTAGAAGCAAGGAAGCTGACTCAGAGAGGTCATATAACTTGTTCAAGGACACAGTAATAAGAGGTAGATCTTGGATTCAAAACCAGGTCTTTCTGATTCCAAGATGTGGGTACTTAATCACTACACTTTATTGTCATGGGGCCTCTGGGGGTTTTAGTTAGTTTGAAGTGCTACCTGTCCTCTTGACTACCATGCTATATTGTCTATATTTTCTACATTTGTGATATAGAGTTGTCATTGCTTCAATTATACACATACATCTTTATATTCCAAATCTGTAAATTACAATTTTTGGAAAAGACTTCATTCATACCATGTGAAAATTTGAAAACAAAGCTAAGAGAATGAAGACCCTTGGGTATAAATTATTGCTTTGTGCTCTCAGCTGAATTATTACAACACACTGGTATGAGGAAAGGTCACTAGTAACATGTTACTAATAATAATGATCACAGGGCAGTTTGCATATGACTTATTTTGAAAAAAAGAAATAGAGGAGATTCAAAATCATCTTTACATGTGTACAATGGGAGGAAGGCATGATCCCTATAAGTCTAAAAACCAAGACAAATTTTCTCCTTGCCTTCTCCTAATGCCAGATTTATCAATGATTGTAAAATGCTTACCACTTTCAAATTGCTGTGTATATGCAAGGAGGAAATGGGGAAATATTGATCTGGATTCTTTGAATGTTTAAGAAAAAAACAACCTGGAACATCAAAGCTTTATTGGTATTTTGTGTTGCTAAAAATAAATTTTCTATCACCTTTTGGATAGGAGTTGGGCTTTTAGAGTAAACATTTTCATGAGCCTCTGCTTATGCAAAGGTAATAGAAGATTCTGTTCTGAAATGCTGAATTTGTAATAAAAGAAATCTAACTACTCCAAAAAGCAATGTAAAAGGCTATTTTCTGTGGTCACGGCAGCATTTCTGAAAGATTATCATGGGGTTAACTGGTTTGGTTTCTCTTGGACAGCAAGAATAAAGTTAAAATGAGGTTTTCTCAGTAAGAAAAGTGAATAAATCCTAGAAATTTAGTTGAGGGCTGAGGAATGACTGATAGATTTTAGGAATAGGATTTCTACTTTTCTGCATTGTAATTACCTTATGTTTCCATAAACTTTGTTTATTCAACAGGTTTTTAATGAACTTGTACTATGTGCCAAGCAATATTGCACTGCATGGAGAGTAGTTATGAGATAGCAGGGGTGGGAAAAATGGTGGGGAAGCTGGGCAAAGCCACAGCCAGATGACGGTAAGTTCTATCTGTGGATTCCCAGGACTCATGAAGGAGTCTGCACTGTGTGACTTCACATATGATAAAGACCCAGATGATAATAATTTGGGCATTGAAAGGCAGCCAAATATAAGAAGCTAGTAGGCCCTTGTATTATGTCTATAATAACAAGAATTTAATTCTCAAACTATCAGTTATATTACCTTCAGTAAGAGACAAAAAGATAGCATCAGAAATACTGCTCAGGGAATTAGCTTAAATTTCATTTATGTGTATTGCATATATGAATGCCATCATTTATCATGAGTGCTTACTGTGGAAGACAGGTTGAGATTCACTGGTACCTCTGTTCACCAGGAATACCAGGAAAACTAACATGGAACAACAGTGATATGTCAATGTAATTTATTTGAAAGCAACATAGATAACCTCTATCTGACAGAATCCTAGATTATATTTCTCTTTAGCTATAGACAGATGGAGATGTTTTTATTTTCAACACAAGGGTACCCCTTGTAAATAGTTCTTCAATCTACCCTATTTGATCATAGTTATATGATTAATCAAGTAATTATTCTTGAAAAACTAAAATTATGTAAGAATAATTTTAGTTATTTAGGTATTTTTCCATCCATTATTCTATTTTCTTTCCAAAGTTTTCTCCAATAATGAAATTATGTTCAATTTATTCCATATAAATCAATAATTATTGCCTTTCTGTGTTTCCTGATTACATTTATCATGTTAAGATGCACTTCCAAATTCAGTTTAGGCTTACATTTAATCATATGTAATGCACTTATTTGGTTTTCTAACCACACAGGCTATCAAATGGACTTTTAATCAAACCTCATGCTTATGAAGTTTTTGACCTAAAACATAAGGTTATAGGCATCTGGCTAATATTAATGAGATATGTAGAACTTATAAAAACAAAATAAAACCATTTCTACTTTAAGTCACATATAAATAAGTTTTCCTTTGCTTATGTATAAAATTTCTCCTTAGTTTCAGATTTGTCTTAAACATCTCCAGTACCTTTTTCTGTTCTGTGTCAGATTCCTAAAATTCATCAGTTAGTTTGGTCTGCTATGGCAGTCATACAAATGGCCTCCCAAAGATGTCCACATTCTAATCATGGAAACTTGTAAATATATTGAGTTACATGGCAAAAGGAATTAAGGTTGTGAATCAGCTGACCTTAAAATAGCGAAATTATTTTGGTTTATCTGGGTGGGTCCAATATGATTACAATATGATTATCAAATGTAGTTGAGAATTTAAGAAAGATAAGGACTACTATATATTGGAAATGGGGTGGAGGTCACTTGTGATGTTATCAAGACCACTTCAGTTGAATGGTGGGGGTGGAAACCAGATGGTAGTGGTTAGAGGTGTAGTCAGAATTGAGGAAACAAGTAGAAAACTTGTAAATATATTGTCCTTAAAAGTGGAAGAAGGAAGCAGGGGAGAGGCAATGTTACTGGCTTTGAAGATGGAGAAAAGGGACCATGAGCCAAGGAATGTGAATGTCCTCTAAAAGCTGGAAAAGACAGCTTCAACTATTCTTCAACCTCTCCCAGTTAAAAACAAAAGTCCCTCCTCAATCCCATGTGTCATACCAATTATTACCCTGTTTTTTGCCTCTCTTTTATAGAAAAATCTACTGGAAGTTTTCTACTTGGTTCTTCAATTCTGACTATACCTCTAACCACTGCCATCTGGTTTCCACCCCCACCATTCAACTAAAGTGGCCTTGATAACATCACGAGTGGCCTCCACCCCATTTCCAATATATCTTAGTCCTTATCTTTCTTAATTCTCAACTACATTTGATAATATTGGTATTGCTGCCCTTCTCAATACTTTCTCCCATAACCTCCATGACACCTCATTCTAAGTTTCTGGTTACTATTCAGTGTCCTTTGCGAACTTCTTCTCTTTTATCCATCCCTTATCATAAGTGTTCTTCAAGGTTCTGCAGTAAGATCTTTTATGTTCACACTTTACGAACTCTTCCTACATAATCTCATCTACTCACATGGCATCAATTGCTATCGTCATGCTAATTAATGGCTTCCAAGTATGTCTCCAGCTAGATTTCTTTCAGTTTTTAGATCAAAATGCCCACATCTTTTTAAATATAATGAAAACCTCAAACTCAACACATCCAAAACTAAACTTATCTTTTTCAAAATATTTGTCCCAACTTCAGTGTAGTACTCAATACCAGTAAATGGCATGAATATTCACTAGTTTCCCTGTCCAAAAAATTGGGAGTAATCTTTGACTCTTTCTTCTCCCTCTTCCTCTATATTGAATCAGTTCTACTTTGAAAACATTGCTCAAATTAGTTCACTTTTTATCATTCCCATTGAACTATCCTAATTCTATTCATTATCATTTCTCATCTATATATTAGAACAACTCTCTAGAAAGAAGCTGCAAACACCAGCTAAAAGTATGCCAGGAATATACCTGCCTTGCTTCCCCTTAAGGGTAGCCAGCCTAAAAATAAAGGTGACACAAAGGAAAGCAGAACAGAGAAGTAAAAAGGAAGCAGATGCCTCCTATAGCATATGAACCCCCTGGGTAAGCCATGCCTGAAGCCGCATTTCTCCCTGGAACTTTCCAGTTATCTGAGCCACTGCATTTCATTTTTGGTTTTGATTTTTAAAGCTTACTGGATTTCCATAACTTTCAGTTTGTAAGTCCTGACTTACAAAATTATTTGACTAGGATATAACCTACGTTTTACCCTCAGTTCCTAGCACAGTGCCTGGCCATGTACTGAATTTATTGAATGAATGATGTATATAAAACAGTTTCCATTCAACTTTACATTCACACCAACAATGTGCTTTAATTCGCTCAAGAATTAAACATATTTCAAACATATATTATGGATCAGGCACTAGCTAGATGCTTGGAATACAGTCCTGAAGAAAACATACAAAAGTCTTACTCTAATGAAGTTTAGATTTAGTATGTCAAAAAATAAAAAGTAAAGAATCAATGTGTGCTAGTTGGTACAGGATATCTTACTATTTTTCCATGAATCTTAGGAAAGCCGCTTGGATTTTATGCAGCAAAATATTATGCCTGAATCAAAGAAATCCTCCAGTGTTTGTCTCTCAGCATAAGATATTTATATGAAAGAATTGAGGACATGGTATCCCCTAAAAATTAGGTCCAAACAAACTCCAGGGCTTAAAATTCCATTAGAAACAAATTATTATTATAGAGTACTAAGGATTCAGGTCACAGAAACTCAGTTCACTGACCGTTTAGCTCACTATTCAAGGAACCATGAAAAAGAAAAAAATGTTACTTACAATAAGCAATCCTGGAGCTGAATACTGGATTCAAATAAAAGCTGTGTCCTCTTGGGAAAGTTTCCTGAACTTCCTAAACACTGTTTCCTCATTTGTAGAAGGAGGACTATTAATACCTAATTCACTAGGCTTGTTCTGTAATACCTAATTCACTAGGCTTGTTTTGTTCACTTGAAAATTAGCCAGAAATCATTAAATTTTGGTTAAATGAATAAATGTTAATACAAATATTAAATGAGATATACTTGAAAGCATTTGTAAGCTGTAATGTGCTATCTAAATGTTAGTTGCTTTTGGTATTGTCGTCATTATTATTATTCCGGTGACAGCTAGGGGTGTGGGAAAATTGATGAGAGTACTGGAAAGAGAGGGAAGTATGAGAACAGACTTGAAATGTGTCAAAGGAGAGTGGGCAAGGCTGCAATAAGCAACATTTCTAAGTAAAGTACTTTCTAAGTAGAGGGAGTTTGTTTTCACTGTTTCCAGTCTCTGGGCTCCCCTTCTTTGGTGCCATAATCCACCAGGCACAGTGGCTCATGCCTGTAATCCCAGCACTTTGGGAGGCTGAGACAGGTGGATTGCTTGAGCCCAGGAGTTTGAGATCAACCTGGCCAACATGGCAAAATCATTTTAAAAATTAGCTGGGTATGGTGTCCCAGCTGTAGTCCCAGCTACTGGGGAGACTGAGGTGGGAGGATTGCTTGGAACCAGGGAGACTGAGGTTATATAGTGAGCTGTGATGGCACCACTGTGCTCCAGCCTGGGCGATAGAGGGAGACTGTCTCAAAACAAACAAACAAACAAGAAAACCCTAATCCTACACCCTGTTTAAGAACCAAAATTACCTCTTCACTCAACCACACCACACTTTCCTCAAAGGCTGGTTTTAGGAAAGAATCTGATTAAGTGATAATATTATAATGTTGTGGAAATGGCTATTTTTGTGCCTGCCACTTTGGGTTGCATCTTTTTTTCCCTGTGACTGTCACCTCCTCTTTAGTTACTCCTTAAGGCTAAAGTCCACTATGACAGTAGTGGTCACCGGCTGACATTTTTCTTTTTTGTTTTGCATTTTCCAATTTTTCTATAATAAATTGGAATATAATGAAAGGAGAAATACTATTTTAAAAAATAGATTTTTTAAAAAGCTATTCCAATTAGCAAGTAGCTTCCTTTATCTCCTTTGCTATCGGCTGCCACCTTAGCCTTCTAATGATCTGCATGAGTTTCCCTATAGTGACCATTCTCTATTTCTTGGAAAACTAAATTGAGCACAGTCGAAATCTAGATATTCTAAACCTCAACTAACTTGTTTGCCCACCCCAGCTTTTGGAAATTTAGAACAGATCCATAATGGTTTTTTGTCTTGTCTTATGGAGTTTTCAAAGTAAAGACTTGAGTTTGGGCAAAAACTCTACTTAAGTAATATCTTGGGATTCAAGGAAGAAGAAATTATCAGGAGAAAAGAAGCGTAAAGATACATACAGACTTTGGTTCTGCCATCTCTGAACCACTTTCCCAATTAACCTACTTAGCTTTACTACATAGAAATTTTATCATTTTCATTTAAATGGGTAGTTTACTATTAAAATGTAATTCATAGTCCAATAAATCTTAACACAATAAACATCATGCATATAATTAGCTATATTGACTCAATTTTTTGTCATTTTAATTGAAACAAACATTATTATACATTATCTGAATTGTATAAATTCCTGATATTGCATAGCTCTTGTTCATAATCTTCAAAAGAGGAAATAATATTGGTCATGGACATAAGATCTTTAGGACAACTGAGGCCACACTAAGGATGGGGAGTGGACAGAGAAGTGGGTCAGACTTGGGAAGGAGAGCCTTGTGAGCCATTGACAGTGAAAGCATGCATTAATTCTAATAGTCAGAGACCTATAGAAGGTCAAAACTCAGTTCAGAGCATGTGAGGGGTCATAGCAAACAGGAGAGTCTATAAATCAGAGGTTAAAAACATGGGCAGAGTTTGGATACAGGTCCTGGGTAAACTCAGCTAGCAGAGCCTTTCTACTTGCCAGCTTCCTGACACCCCGTGAGTTTCTATGTGGTTCCTATTGAAATAGAGAGCAACCACCATGATAAGTCTAGGTCTGAAGAAGGGAGTATGTAATCAGAAGTGTACAGATGAGAGAAGAAAGGGTAGAAAATTAAAGTTTTGGAAGAGTGGCAGATATACAAGATAAAGTTCTCTTAAGTCAAAAAGGACCAAGATAAAAAACTAAAATGTCCAGTGTTTGAATTTGTGGATGGAATAATCTGAGTATTATTGTGAGTCCCACCGTCCCCATTTCCCCGTTGTACATTATTCTTAGACTTAACAGACTATGAGTGTATTTAAGTATTTTTAAGAAACTTAAGAGAAAGGTAAGAAAAACTACCTTTCCTACAAGAAAACAAATGCTCTACTGACAAACACATATTTTCCTGAAGGCTTTTTAAAAGACTTAATGTTTAGCCACAAACACATCTAGAATAGTTGTATAAGGAGATTGTATTAAACTATCTTCATCTCAGAAAAATACAACCCCAGGGGTTCACCAGTACCTAAGTGAGACAGATATACTCTTTGGAACTAAAACGTTGCTATGCTGAAAAGAAGCAGCAATCTTGCCCTGGAATGATCAAGAGGAAACAGAACACTGAGATCCTATTACCTGAAAAGGCCCCAGAAAGCTTGAAGTGCCACTGCCCACAGATTTTTTAAGTTTGGTCAAGAACTCCTCAAAGGCAACATGATTCTAAAAATAAAACAACGATCAATTAGGTCTTCTGAAAACTATTACTTTTAAAACATGTAAAAAAAAAAGAATGAAATCTAATTCTTTGTTTCCACACTGAAACAAAATATACTTGCCTTTTCAGCTTGTTTGATCCATTTTTCTCTCAATAAAATGGTGAGGAAGGTACTTATACAAGTAGAAATTAAGGCTTTTTTAAAAATAGAAATAGAATGGTTACATTCTATGTCATCTTATGTGCTACTTTGTGTATCTCAGCAAACTATGATAATCTCAGAATGGAAGACAACATGTGAAAATGCTAACAAGGGGAAACAGTGACAGGTTTACTCAGGAAGCTGGATTTTCAATTTGAAAATTTGTAAAAGAAGCAAACATGGCCGGGTGCGTGGCTCACGCCTGTAATCCCAGCACTTTGGGAGGCTGAGGCGGGTGGATCACGAGGTCAGGAAGTCAAGACCATCCTGGCTAACACAGTGAAACCCCGTCTCTACTAAAAATACAAAAAATTAGCCGGGCATAGTGGCGGGCGCCTGTAGTCCCAGCTACTCGGGAGGCTGAGGCAGGAGAACGGTGTGAACCCGGGAGGCGGAGCTTGCAGTGAGCAGAGATGGCGCCACTGCACTCCAGCCTGGGCGACAGAGTGAGACTCTGTCTCAAAAAAAAATAAAAATAAAAAAATAAAAGAAGCAAACATGGGTTGATATGAATTTGGAGTTGAAAGCAACATATTAAAATGGAGAAAACTATTCTAGAACAAGTAATGGGAAGCCTACCAATGGCCTGCTAATCTGACAAGCAACTTAGATTTTGGGGCGGTATTGGACAAATGCTTACAATTAATTAACTCCTGAAAATCCCTGGAAACCAACTGACAAACTTGCCATTTCAAAGACAAACTCTTGACCTTTGGCACAGTTCTTCTTAATACCAGTGGTGTGGAAGTAACAGGACAAGGGGTAGTTCCCACAGCTACTTAGAAAAGTTTGTCTCCTTCTGGGAGTCTGGAGATCAGAGTTTCTACAGCGGTGGGACTTTTGACTACTCATTTACCCTCTCTGGGTCTGAATTTCTTCCTCAGAGAATAAGAGTGTGATACAAACAGTTAATTGCCCCAGTATTTCTTTTAGTAACAAAACCTTCAAATGTTACTTAGGCATAAGAATGCCCAGCTAGAGACTATCTTTCCAGCCTTCCTCATAGCTAAGAGTGGCCATGGGCTAGCAAGAATGATATTGTAATTTTTATTTCATTTCCTTAAAGACAAAGCCACTTGACTTGGACTCTCCCCTGTCCCACTGGCTGGGAAATGGCCATAACTGGAGCCACCACCTATACCCAGGAATGAGAGCCTGGTGTTGAGGATATCAGAGCCCCCCACGAGCACAGGATCCTGACAGACATCGCTGAACAGAGATGCCCATCAGCCCTCCACTACTTAATTCTGGACTTTTACATGAAGAGAAGAAAAAATACTTCTTTCTTATTCAAACGGCTTTAGTTACATTAGCTCAGCATGAACCCTATACAGAAGGTCCTACACAAACTACCTCTGAAGTATGTGCCAGTTCTGACTGTTCATAAATGGAAGAAACAGAAGTTTTGCCTTACGACTGAAACAAAGAGATTAAACCTTGCTATTCTGCCAGTGATGATCACAGAAGCCCATGTTAAGGCTTAAGATCAATTTTTAAATGATAACCTTTTCTTCTTTTTCTCAGCATCTCAGACTTACAGGCCCCATCATTATATCTTTTAATTGTTCTGTTAATCACTTTCAATATACCTCTACTTCACTATCATGCAGTATGACAATAGATTACCTTCATTATAAAGGCTATCTTCAAATTCCCACAGGCATTTAGTAAAGTTTCATTATCCTCAGACATAATCCTATGAGAAGATTAGATCACTTAAAGTAGTTTTCTGCCGATCAGCATAAAGCAGCCAGGGAGGGCTTGCAGTTGAGTGAGGTTTGAAACCTGAAATCCTGCAGCTCACATGGGACAGCCAGAAGGAGCTCTGGGAGAATCAACTTAAGTTGACTCAACATTGCTCTTGCTTATGTAAGTCATTTCTCAACATGAACGTAAAAAATGCTGTCATCGGCCAAGCACAGTGGCTCACGCCTGCAATCCCAGCACTTTGGGAAGCTGAGTTGGGCAGATTGCTTGAGCCTAAGAGGCCAGCCTGGGCAACATGGTGAAATCCCATCTCTACAAAAAAAAAATTGGCCAAGTGTGGTGGTGTGCACCTGTAGTCCCAGTCTCTCGAGAGGCTGAAGCTGGAGGATTGTATGAGCCAGGGAGGTCCAGGCTGCAGTAAGCCAAGATCACACCTCTGCACTCCAGCCTGGGTGACAGAGTGAGACCCTGTCTCAAAAAACAAACAAACAAACCAACAAAAAAACCTAACAACAATAACAAAAGTCGTTCTCATCATTTTGTAAAAGCCCAAACTTAAATACTTGAGTTTACAGAAATTTTACAGTCATGCACAAGTTGTCTCGTTACTAATTATTCAACATTTTATTAGCAATTTTTTCAGTTGAAGCCTAATGTAAAGTCTCAGTAATCTGAAAACATCAAGAGTTATTTGACTAAAATGAATTCTTTGTGCAAATTTAAACTTCGATGTCTAAAGGAGAAAAATACATTATGGATGACAAATGGATTCAGAAGCATAGAAAATTTCCCAAGACAGAATTTTGTACAAGAAAGAGATCTGGAGCTCTCAAAGGCCAGCTAAATGGCCTCTATGAACATGGGGTAGGGAGAGCTGATATCTACAGGAAGAACTAAAGAGATGCCAAAAATGAAAGTGGAGAGATCCAATATGTTGTACCACCTACTAATCCATCTCCCACATTGAAGCCAGGGCAATCATTTAAAATCACAAATATGATCATTTCCACTCCCCTGCTTAAAATTCATAAATGGTTTGCCATGGCCCTTAGAAAAAATGTACAAAATGCTAAGTTCACCTAAAGTGTATTATGTGCTTGAACCCTAATTGCCTTTCTGAGATCACGTCAAACCATTATCCCCACTCCTCTCTCCAGGCTAGGCATGTCTGCCCAAAATGTCACATGTTGAAGTTCTGACTCCTCAGAATGTGACCTTATTTGGAAATAGAGCTATGTCAGATGTCATTTGCTAAGATGAGGTCCTTCTAGAGTAGAGTGAGCCCTTAATTCACTAGTGTCCTTATGAAAAGGGGAACTTAGACCTAGGCTCATACAAGGAGGATGCCATGTGAGGATGCAGGCAGAGATGGGGATGATGTTTCTACAAGCCAAAGGGACCAAGGATTGCCAGCAAATCACCAGAAGCTAGGGGAGAGGCATGAAACATTCTTCCTCATAGCCCTCAGGAGGAGCAAACCCAGCTGACACCTTGATCTCGGACCTCTAGCCTTCAAAACTGTGAGGCAATAAATTTCTGTTGTTTTAAACCACCCAGTTTGCTGTAGTTTGTTACAGCAGCCACAGGAAAATAATGCAATGGGATTCTCTCAACTCTTTGTATGGACCTTTGTCCATGATGTTCCCTTTTTCTAACAGAGCAACTTCCCTCCTCTTCTCCTAGTTAAGACAGCCTTAAGTGTTGCTTTAAACAACATTTTCTCTAGAGTGAGACCTTCTTTAACCTCCCATGCTAGGTAAGATCTATCTTCTCCTCCACACTACATTTACCCCAGATTTTACAGGACCTCGCACTTCTTCAAAGCCCTAGTTTCTTCTGAACTCTTTCATTATTGGCTTAATGTCTATCTTCTGCATTTGACTGTAAACCTAGGCTGGGACTGTGTCTGGATCATTCATGTCTATGTTCTCTGTGCCTAGACCAGCAGCTGGTACATAATTTGTGCTCAAGAAACATTCATTGACTAGCTTCCTTCATTTTAACTTGGACGCCTCTGATTCCAAATATTGTTTCAAAGATCTCACATCCTTAGTAATAATTCCCACCAAAATATTTCTGCCCTCATGTATATATTCATGTGCCTGAAGGCAGCCTCATATTTCTATAATTCGTTGTTGTCATACCTAACATTTTATTCCATTCCACCACACATCTGTATAAGCAATAATATTTGTAAATGTACTGGTCTCCAGGAATGTTTTTGATTTGAGTCCTATATTACTGAAAAGAATCTTAATTATTTGGCAAGCTGACATCCTCGTAAGATTCTATCTGCCCAGCAAGACAGATGAGAGAAATCGTGTGAGAGAGGACACTAAAGCAATGAAGCTCTTTTTATAAAACAATCACTTGTATAACCCGTATTTCCTGATATGAAAACTTCTGGTGAGGCACTGAAGTGAGGGGTTTGGTGAAAACTATCTAGAATCTATGGAATAGCAAAAGTTAATCTCAAAACATCAATATCTGTATCTATCCATATGCCTGCCTATCTATGTATATTTGTAAAAAGACAAAAAGAACAAATGGTTTGGGATAGGTTATTTGTACCTGTCTATAATTTTAACTTAGTCTGATTTTTTATTCTAAAGAATTGCACCAATTTTTGAAAAGAGTCTGTTTAAATAGACAGACTGAGAAACATCTCTGTCATGGAGCTCTTGGTGAGTATGTTCGCTAAGTAGAAACATTTTGATTATCCTAGAGAAAAAATTCTGAATAAATATAAATTTGACAAATATTTTCCTAAGAGGATAATAGCTGGAGATACTACATTACTTATTATGTTTTCAGACAGGTTCTGCTGGTCACAGAAGAACTAAAGGGTGCTAAGTCCATTTTGATTTCCATCATACAGTGGCATACAATATGATAAGGTCTACTACTCTTGGGTATGAGAAGACCAAGGTGACTAAATTTGCCCTAGTCTTCATTTAGTAAATATTTCTTAGGCATTAATTCCATGTCAGCTATTGCAGTAAATGCTGTTAATGCAAGTTGAGTAAAAATAATAGTAACAGCAAGAATCACTGATTTTTATCACCAGTTCATTATGTGCCAGGCACTATACTAAATGCTTTAAATACATCATCTCCTTTCATCCTCACCATAGCCCTGTGACGAAAGTACTATTATTGTCCTTATTTTATGGGGAATGTAAATCTCAGACAGATCTGAGGTTTTTTGTAAAATTGACCTTGTAATTTTTATAAGGTCATAGAGCTAGGATTTAAGTACAGCTCTGTTTTACTCCATTGCCAAAGTTCTCACCCAATACTACTTTAATTGTACTACTTCACAGTATAGCATGGCTCAATCACTAAAATTCTTTCCCCAAATCCATAAAATTCAATTTGAGATTTTGACCTAAGAAAGATAATGTAGAAGTGGGTTTGAGAAAGGGGATTTAATTCCACGGTAATACAGAAATGGCATTAAGTAATCTTTTCTTAGAATGAGTTTATGGACCATTTCACATAAGCTCTCCAAGTTCAAAAGTCAGGATTATAGTAATTTTGGCTTGACTCAAGTGACTAAAGAAAAACAGAATTGAAAGAAAGGGCTTTCAGAAGCTCAAGTCCAGTGTGTGTGTGTGAGTGTGTGTGTGCATGCAAAATGAAAATAGTATAGAAAAGAGAGCTGGAGTTTTGAATCAATAAATAAATCCATTCTGGTTTTTAGTCACTAAAGCAAAAAAAAAAAAAAAAAAAATTGAGTCTGCATACATTTTTTGGTAAGGGAGAATCCAAAGCTTTCCTGAGTTCTCCAAAAAGATTTTCACCCAAAATTCTCAGCTAAAAGTGGGGAAAAAACATTTTTCAAGAATCCAAAGAGAAGGTAGTGTACAAATGTAACTATTAGTTGAACTCAGAATTCTGGAAATCATCGGAGAACAACTGTAAAGTACAGAATAATTGGCTTCCAAGCCTGTGTATCCCTGACACGTGTCATTTTGGTATTTTATCTGTCAGGCCTCTTCCCCACCATTGATCTTTCCTTCTGTGAATTTAATACTCCTGGCCTCTCTCTGCCTCCCCCTCTCATTTAGTTCCAGATACATAGAAAGACTTAATCTGATCAGTGAATTTGGGAGAGTAACTGTGAATGGAAGCTTCCAGGAAACATGCTACCCTCTGCAGCTTGGGAAGAATCTACACTTGGAGCAGGAAACTCCTGCCCTATTCTAGTGCAAATGAAGCTGAATAGATGCCCTTCAAATTCTAGATACAGCGTCAGGGGCCAACTTATACAGAGACAAAGTCAAATTATCTAGTTTTATTAGTAATTAAGGTCATTTTTGAGGCCTGTATATACTGACCCTTTTCTTTCTGTTCTTCACTTATTCTGAAACTGAATGTGGATGCAGTGTATTATTTATCAGACCTTTTCAAAGAATCCAAAACTATACATAAATACATAACAAGCTGGCAAATGGAATGCAAAAGAAAATGTTTCTCCTTGGCATATTCTGGAAGTAAACAACTAGAAGCAGATAGAGGGGACTTACAAAAGCCCAGAGAGGTGACAAGAAGAAAGTTTCTAGCCCTAAATCTGCAGCCATGGAAACATTTGATAGAAGAGAATTCGAATTAGCATTGAGGCAGTAAGTGGGGACAATTCTGACTAATAGAAGAAAGTCTTCCAGGTATTGTTCAGATATTTTATTTTCTAGCCATCCCATCTTTTATCTTTCATTTTCTTTTCTAACCATGATAACTTAAGCAGGAATTGTACAAGGCATGTGTTTTGCTCACGTCTTATTCCAGAGAGCATAATGGACCAAGGGCTCCAGCTTGGAAATCTGTACCAGGGTTTGCTTCAAGGCTACTCCTCTCACAGGCTGCTCCAGCCAGTGACTGACTGTAGCACTGATACTAAGGCAGATCCCATTCCAGAGAAACACTGGACTTTTTTTTGACCAACTTTGTATTGAGGATTTCCTGGTGGCTTTGCCAAAACTGTGTGGCACTCCACCCAACATTCACTCACACTCTCTCTGTCTGTCTGTCTCTCTCTCTCTCTCTGTCTCTCTCTCTTTCATTCTGGGTTAGACGTGCATAGTGGTCAGGTGGTTCTCCTATTTCCTTCACACAGGCATGTTCCCCTAATAGAGTTTATATGTTTAATCTCATCCTGGTATCTGCTTCTTGGAGGACCCTGAGGGAAAGTTTTACAGATAGCACAAATAGAATTCATTTATACTGGAAAAGAGCCAGAGTGACCAGCATTTATACAACTTTATAAAATAATAAAAGAACAGTTAGCTAAAGGTTTAGAAGATAGTTAATACAGCTCAATAGCCAATGCAAGGTGGTCCTGTACTTTAAAGGAAAGATGTTGTGTAATGTCAGAAAGAAATAATAGCACTTGGATTTGTCAGAACTGTTACTGACTCTGTCTAGTAAGCATGAGTATGGGAGAAGGATTGGCATGGGGTTTAGCTGAGAATGAAACGTAGGCATAGACCCAAAACAAAGAAAGAACACAGCGACTTTCCTATTCGCACTGACCATGAGTTTTATCAGCACCACTTAAAGAAGTGATTGGTGATTAGCACTAGAAATGCATTATTTGGCTTTATTCAGTGGGTTTCCAGAGTGTAGAGTAGAGTGTAGTAGAACAAGAAATAGCACCCCTTACAGATTGGTGCCTCAACAAGATATATCTTGTTTACGTGGTACTCTTCCAAAATAAATCTGAGCCTTGCCAATTCCCTCCATTACATCATACCTAAGAGACAAGTGGAAGTACAGAATTTTGCACCTGCTTTGTGGTGCATTGGTAAGCAGACTCTAGAGCTGTGATGTCCAATGCCGTAGCCACTAGCTACATGTAGCTATTTAAATTTTAATTATAGGCCGGGTGCAGGGGCTTAGGTCTGTAATCCCAGCACTTCAGGAGGCTGATGTGGGCAGATCACTTGGGGCCAGGAGTTCAAGACCAGCCTGGCCAACATGGTGAAACCCTGTCTCTACTAAAAGTACAAAAATTAGCCAGGTTTGGTGGTGGATGGCTGTAATCCCACCTACTCGGGAGGCTGAGGCAGGAGAATCGCTTGAACCCAGGAGGCAGAGGTTGCAGTGAACTGAGATTACACCACTGCACTACAGCCTGGGTAACAGAGTGAGACTTTGTCTCAAAAAAAATAAATCAATAAACAAATAATAAAAAAAAAAAGAAAAGAAATTTAAATTATTTAAATTTGAGCAAAATTTAAAATTCAGTTCCTCACTGCACTGTCCACATTTCAAATGCTAAGCAGCTATATATGACTAGTGGTTTCTGCATAAGACAGCACAAATATAGAATATTTTCATCATCAAAAAAGATTTTTTTTTTGGAGACAGAGTCTCATTCTGTCACCCAGGCTGGAGTGCAGTGACGCAATCTCAGCTCACTGCAACTGCAACTTCTGCCTCCCGCGTTCAAGTGATTCTCCAGCCTCAGCCTCCTGAGTAGCTGGGATTACAGGCACGTGCAACCACACCAGGCTAATTTTTGTATTTTTAGTACAGACGAAGTTTCACCATGTTGGTCAGGCTGGTCTCGAACTCCTGACTTTGTGATCCCCCCTCCTTGGCCTCCCAAAGTGTTGGGATTACAGGTGTGAGCCACTGCGCCTGGCTCAAACAAAAAAAAAATTTAAACAGTCCTGTTCTGGAGGAATTCTCTTGGGACAGAATAGTAATCTGACTTCTTAAAGTGATTCTGTCACCTCTGGTGTGGGGAGAGAGTGTAAGGTCACTGTACCAGCACAGTTCCTTCTCACATCTACTAAAGAGGCATAAAGAGTCTGCCATTGTTTTTAGGAGCCACTGAGGAAGGCTCAGTTTCTTCTGGGATAATGATTAGTAACCAATAAATTTCACTGAAATCTTTAGTTTATTTGATTTTTTCCCCCATGCATTGGTTAATGAGATAAAGTTTTAGGACAACGGAAACTCCAGGTAAGTAAGCAATGGGCTGGCAAAGGGATGAACCAACCCTATTTGGAAAACCACATGGACATGGGAATCAGCATAATGTTTAGTCTGTCTTAGAAGAACCACGGCTTGGAAGACTCCTGTAGCTAGAGGAAGAAACTGAGCTTCAAGTGAGGAGTGGAAAGGAGGCCTAGCCTACTCTTTAGAGACACCCTGGTCTGAAAGCGTTTAGGTGTGCAGATGCTGTTGAGCTTACAACAGAAAATTAGCATCTCAAGAACAGGGAATATTTCTGCCAGAATTGTTGATTCTGCTGGGGAAAAAAATGCAGTCACTGACAAACCCAACTAAGAAACTCCAAGCATTTCCTGCTGATATCTAGGTGATCAGGGAGAGCTGTGGGTGGCCAGATGACTGAGAGAGCACACCACATAGGAAGAGATGCTGGATGGGAGAACAGAGAGCCACAGAGCTGCACTTAGAATATCTAAGATCGTGTTTCCATAGGTCTTATATTGGTACATTCTTCATACTCCCATGACTTCGATGATTCCGTGGACTTCAGATCAGTTTGATTCCATGGTTCCTTATGCATTTCTTGGCCTTTACTAAGACAGTTCATTCCTGATTTGGCTTAGGTTTATTTCCTGCTACATTTTTTCCCTTTAAAAGGGGCATCTCTGCCCACTAACGCCTTGGCCTGTGATTGTCATTCTCCTACTCACACTCTTCTCCATATTCTCAGCTCCAGGCTGATCTACTCCCTTTTTTCTACCAAGTCAGACTTGCTCACGCTGGTACCAATAAGTTCTGCCTCTCAATCCAGATTTATGGATGGGACAGGATACATTTTCTAAGAATAGATCAATATATACAGTTTACCTTCCAGAGGACTGATTAAGAATTCTTTGGCTTTCTCAGCTTCATTTGTTATTTCAATCTTTCATTAAATTAACCAGGCATTTATTCATTCAATCATTCAGTAAACATTTATTGAGGGTACATGATGCACCCAGACACTGGTTTAGCACTGGAGATACAGTGGTGAACAAGACAGAGAAATGTCCTGAATATAGCTGTTTACGTTGTAGTGGGGAAAGACAGATCATACACAAAGGGAAAAGTAAATTGAATTATTTCCAATAGTAGCAATTGTTATTTGAAAATAAGGTGGAGTAATGAGATACATAATACTGGGGGAAGTGATCAATTTAAACACATTGATCAATTATGTTCTCTTAGAGTAGGTGAAAAATTGAGCAGGAACATGAATGTTGAAAAAAAGTCCATCACGTAAAGGTCCAGGAGAAGACCTGCCCAGGCTGAGAGAACAGCAAGTATACAGGCCCAAAGGTGTGAGTGAGCTTACCATGTTCAAGGGAAAAGGATAAGTGTGGCTGGAACAGAATGAGGAGAGACTGAAAGGAGAAAAAAAAAAGTGGAGAGTTAACATTATGAGGTTCTATCAAACAGTTTGAATTTGATTCTAATTGGAAGATCACTGAAGGGTTTGGAATAGGGTGGTAATGTTATTTAACTTCAGTGTTATAAAGAGTTCTCTAGGCAATATATAGAATTTACATCAGTCATGGTCCCAGCAAGAAGAAGAGGCACACTCAAAAAGGGCTTAACTAAAGAGAGATCAATGAAGGGACTACATGTGGAGGCATGGGTAGGATTAAGGAACCCAACAAGGGTTAGTGAAGTACCCAGAGCAACAGAGAAGAGCTGTTACCTCAAAGCCTGAAGGGACAAATGGAAGAAAAAGGAGTATATAAGCCTTGGGAGAGCTGAAGCAAGAGAAGACTACCCGACAAGAGCTGTTATCTATGGAGATACACAACCACTGCCAGACTGTGGAAGGGAAGATGGGGCAAAAGAAATACCCCTTTCCGGCTGGGCGCGGTGGCTCACGCCTGTAATTCCAGCTCTTAGGGAGGCCGAGGCGGGCGGATCACGAGGTCAGGAGATCGAGACCATCCTGGCTAATACAGTGAAACCCCGTCTCTACTAAAAATACAAAAAAAAATTAGCCGGGCGAGGTGGCGGGCGCCTGTAGTCAGTCCCAGCTACTCGGGAGGCTGAGGCAGGAGAATGGCGTGAAGCCGGGAGACGGAGCTTGCAGTGAGCCAAGACTGTGCCACTGTACTCCAGCCTGGGCGACAGAGCAAGGCTCCATCTCGAAAAATATATATATATATGTATCCCTTTCCCTTCTTTCTCCCTCCAACCTTCTACTGGGACTCAACTTTCTGGACCTTCAACCTTCTACTGGGACTCTCAACCATCAAGGCAAGAGAGTCAGGCAAGTGGACCCAGATAACTCCTTTCATAATGGTCAGCTACCAAATGGTCACAACAGGGCAAAAAAAGATAGGGAATGAATATGGAGGGTGAAGAAGGAAGCAAAGAGAACAGATTAAATCAGATTAAAACAGAACAGAGGAAATCTGTGAGATTTAGAGGAGCAAGAGTAAATCTGTGAGAAACAATTGAGAACATAGCATGATAATAAGTGCTGTGGAAAATAAACTTACAGTGTAATATAAAAAAGATTTTCCAGGCTGGGCTCGGTGGCTCATGCCTATAATCCCACACTTTGGGAGGCCAAGGCAGGTGGAGCACAAGGTCAGGAGATAGAGACCATCCAGGCCAACATGGTGAAACTCCATCTCTACTAAAATACAAAAAAAAAAAAAAATAGCTGGGTGTGGTGGCATGCGCCTGTAGTCCCAGCTACTCGGGAGGCTGAAGCAGGGGAACCACTTGAACCCAGGAGGCAGAGGCTGCAGTGAGCCAAGATTGCACCACTGCACCCCAGCCTGGTGACAGAGCGAGACTCCATCCCAAAAAAAAAAAAAAGATTTTCCAACATTAACCATCATTTTCTTAAAATTCAGAGGTGAAGAGAAGTTTATAAATATTGTGTTTACCTACTGTATTAAGGTGACCTCATTCCACTTAAAGAAGATAGTGCTTATGAAAAATAACCTCAGTATCTTTTGAGATGAATAAAGGAAGAACCAGTTATGTAAAAATCATAAAATTAAAAAAAACAAAAAGCAGGTCATATGGCAAAAACCTACTTTATCTTCTGAGTTTGTTCCCCCACAGTATTTGTGCTGGCCTCCCTAGCTCTTAAATAAATACTCTCCCAGGTAGAAATATGAATGATAAATGATTGTGGGCAAACATTTAAACTATGTTTCCATGAGAAGCAAACATTAACTTCAAGAAGAATGTTCTCATAACCATAGTGCCTGAAACCCAGTTTTTCTTCCACTTTTATAACATCTTCATCTTTTCTCCATTCTTTACCTTCTGGGACAGTGAACCATGGAAAACTAACAATATAACAGGAAGATTTTATTAAAACAGAAGAAAAGTTAGAAATTCCTTTAGCATTGTAATAATCAGACTGTGTGATTGGAACAATCTTAGCAATGTTAGGTAAGGCTGAAAAAGGGGACAGGGAATCCTTTAGCACAACGATGATTAGGAATCTTGTTAATGAAGGAGCCCATCTTAGAAGTAGAAAGATTTGCTTGCCTGTTCTTTGTTTTCTTTTTATTATCCCCCTTCACCTTTGCATAAGGTTTGAGCTCTTTCCACCTTACCATCCAAAACGAAAGATTAAAACAAATGCTGGGGTGCTGGGTAGCGGGGGGAGAAAAGCAAGGCAATGGGGACAGAACTGAAAATTAAGAGACAAAAGAGGTATCTGTTTCTGTCCATGAGACAGTAAGGCAGTCTGAATTACCCTCCAAACCACTATAAAACTCAACAAAATACAAGAAACAACTATTTTCAGGTATTGGACAACAGGCAGTAAAATCATAATGTTCCTGGATAATTGGGGAAGGGGAGGAAGGAACTAGATGAACCTTACCAATGCCCAAGTGATGAGGGAAGGAAGAGCCTAAAGAGTGTCCAGCAATCTCACTGTGTTGAACAGACACAGTTAAAGTTCAGGAAGATCAGAGTTGCTAGAATTTTTAAGGCAATGATTCTGACAGTACAAAACTACATAGAGAAAGAACTTTAGAAATCTGTGTAAGGGTCACCTTGAGTTTTGGCTAAGGAGATATCTGCCCATTTATAAGGTAAAATCCCAGGAGGACAGACAAGAATAATTTCTGCAGAAAAAGCAATTACCATGAAACTGAAAGATCAACAGTTTCTGGAGCTAAGACGGCCAAGAACAGTTTGAATTCCTTCCAGCCAGAATGGAGAGATTTCTCTGAATACACAAGGTATTCAGTAGACTGTAGAAGGCTCAGACCTTGAAAGTGGGAAAAATTTATCTTGAGACTAAAATATACTCTATACCCATCTAAGATAAAAGACCTTAAAAACAAGCTTTGAGATGATCAAACTAACCCACAAGTGACTTAACTGTCTTCAGGCAAAATTCAAAAATTATTAAATTAACACAAAAACATCCACCACTCAACAATATAAAATTCAGAAGCCTAGCAAACAGTTAAATTTTTTTAGAAATACAGAGAAGCAGAAAAATATGACAAATGGCCAGAAGAAGAACCAGTTAATCAAAAAGATACCCCAAAATAATAGAGATTTAATTAGGGATTGAAAGCTTAAGATGATATACATTTCCTCCACATACTCAAGGATGCAAAGGGGAGGAAAATGAATATAATAATAAAAGAAATGAAAGCATACAAAAAACCAAATGCAATATCTAGAAATGAAAATTATAATCATGAAAATGAAAAAGTGACTAGAAGCAAGTAAGATTAGTTTAAACACTGTAGAAAGAAAAATCAGTGAACTTGGGGCCATAGACTTATCCAAATTAAGCATAAATATAAAAAGATTTAAAAGTTGACAGAAACTCAATGGCCTGTAGAATAACAGTGAATAGTTTAACACAGACATAATAGGAGTCTGCAGGAAGCAGAGAAGGGGCAGAAAAATTATTTGAAGAAAAAATAGTGGTCAGATGTATTCTGAATTTTCTGAGATCTTTCACCAAACAGATCCAAGAAATGTAATGACAAACAAGATAAATATAAAGAAAATCACATGAAGATATAGTATGATCAAATTACTGAACACAAGCATTAAAGGGAAAAATTTTAAAACAATTAGATGAAACAAGACATACATGTATATATATACACATATATACATATATGTGTATAATATATATTATATAATATACATTATATATAATGTATATTATATAATATATATATTATATAATGTATATATAATATAATATACAATATATATAATGTATATTATATTGTATATATTACATATAATATATATTATATAATGTATATATAATATAATATACAATATATAATATAGTATATATTATATATAATATAATATAATATAATATGTAATATTAATATTATATTATATAATATATAATATAATATAATATTAATATTATATATAATATATAATATATATATTATATATACACAAAAGAATAAAGCAGAATGTCCATAGACTTCCTGTCAGAAACTATGCAAGCCAGAGGACATATGCTATTGACACAGAGTCTGTATCCAGTGATAATATTCTTGAGGGATAAAAAAGAAAAATAAGAATTTTATCAGGAAGGTAAAAAGCAGACATAATCCATTAAATAAACCCATTAAATAAATTATTCCTGGAAGTAAAATAGAACCATAACATTATTAATCATTATTAATATTAAATATTTGTAAATATTAAATAAAGCAGGAAAAATGAAAACAGAGAAAACAAATAGTAAAATGATAGATTTAAACTCGACCATATCATATTACATGTCAATAGTCTAAATAGTTTAATTAAAAGGCAGAGATCATCAGACTGGATTATAACAAGACCTAACTAAGACTCAACTGTATATTGTTTACAAGAAACCTATTTTCAAGATAAAGACTCAAGTATTTTAAAACTTAAAGGATAGAAGAATGATAAAGCAGGACGATATTAATCATAAGAAAGCTGGAGTGGCTATATTATCATCAAACAAAGTAAACATTATAAAAAGGAATATTTTCAGGTTGAAGTTGGACATTTTATAATGATAAAGAGGTCAATTCACAAGAAAGATACAATGAAGCTAAAACCTAGAGTTTCAAAATTTTAAAAAAGGGAACACTTGACACACTGAAGCAAGACAAATCCAAAATTGTAGCGGGAGACAACAATACTCTCAATAGTTATTCAAATAATTTAACAGAAAATCAATTGGGATATGGAATACTTGAGCTAACTGATCTTCACAGATCCTTCCACATAGTAACATCAAGAAATGCATTTTCTCCAAGTACATATGGAATTTACATCAAAATAGGCCAAATGCCATGCCATTAAAAACTAGCTTCAACAAATTTAAAAGAATTAAAATCATACCACATATATTACCTTATCACAATCAAATTAAATTAGAAATCGACAATAGAAAAACGTCTACAAAATCTCCAAATATTTGGAAGTTAAACTTTTAAGTTTGGTCAAGGAAGAAATCACAGAAAGATTAGAAAATATTTTAAATGAAGATTAAAAACATAACATACTGAAACCCATGGGAAGCAGTTAAAGCAGTGCTTATAGAGGAATATACAGCTTTAAATGGTTATATTAGAAAGATCTTAAATAAATGACCTAACATTACCCTTTAACAAGCTGAAAAAAATAAGAACAAATTAAACCCAAACCAAGTAGAAGAAAGAAAACAGTAAAGAATGGAAATCAAGAAATTAGAAAATTACAAAACCAATATAGAAAATTTAGAAAAAACCCAAAGGTAATTGTTGGAAAACAAAAATGAAATTGATAAACTTCTGGCTAGACTTAACAAGAAAAAAAAAGAGGCCAGGCGCAGTGGCTCACAACTATAATCTCAGCACTTTGGGAGTCTGACGTGGGAGGATTACTTGAGCCCAGGAGTTCCAGACAGCCTGGGCAACATGACAAAACCCTGTCTCTACAAAAAATACAAAAATTAGCTGGGCATGGTGGTGCACGCCTGTATTCCCAGCTACTCAGAAGACTGAAGTAGAAGAATCACTTGAGCCTGAGAGTTAGGGGCTTCAGCGAGCCATGATTGTACCACTGCACTCCAGCCTGGGCAACAGCACAAGATCTTAAAGAGAAACGAAGAAAGAAAGAAGGAAAGAAAGAGAGAGCGAAAGAAAGAGGAAGACAGAGAGAGAGAGAAAGAAAGAGAGAGAGGAAGAGAGAAAGAGAGGAAGAGAGGAAGAAAGGAAGAGAGAAACAAATGACCAAGAATTAAATAGAATACATTACTACAAATTCTCCAGATATTAAATAGATAGAAAAAAAATATTGCCAAAAAAAAAATCGCCAAAAATGACAACTTAAATGAAATGGGCAAATTTCTTAAAATTCATAAACTACCAAAAACTAACTGTGAAGCAATTTTTAAAAACTCAATAGCCCTAATTCTATTAAAGAAATTGAGTACATCGTTCAAAATCTTCCCACAAAGAAAACTCTAGGACTAATGGCATTACTGGTAAATTTTTTAATCATTTACAGAAAAAGATAATACCACTCTCACACATATTTTTTCAGAAAAGAGAAGGGTAAAGATGAACTCCCAAATCACCATAATAGGCCAGAATAACCTCAACACCAAAACCAGACTAACACATTCCCAAAAAAGGAAAATACATGTCAATATCCCTCAGAAACCTACAAGCAGAAACTTTTAACAACCAAAATCTGGAAATACACAATGACAATAAGATATCAGGACCAAGTAGGGTTTATTCCAAGAAAGCAAGGTTGATTTAACATTAAAAATCATTAGATGTAATCCATATTAACAGAATTTTTAAAAACCAATATAATCATTTCAATAGATACAGAGAAGTCACTGATAAATTTTAATATTCTTGTTTTTTTAACTCTCAGCAAACTAGGAATAGAAGGGAACATTTTTCAGCCTGAAAATATCTGTGAAAAAGCAACATCCTACATTGCACTTAATGATAAATGACCAAATGCTTTGCCACTAAGATCAGGAGGAAGATGGGAATGAATGTTCACTGCTACTTCTACTGAAACTTGTAAACTTGTAATGGAAGTTTTAACCAGTGCAAAAGGCAAGAAGAAAAAAAGGCTTACAATTTGAAGAAAGGTAAAACTCTTTTTTAGGACAACATAATCATGTCAATTTTCTAGATTCCTTAGAAATCTTTTTTTAAAAAGCGAATATGGAACTAATAGTCTAGTTTAGCAAGGTTAATACACAGAAATCAATTGCATTTCTATATACTAGCAACAGCAATTGGAAATTGTAATTTAAGAACAATTCCACTTATAGTAGCACCAGAAACATGAAAAACTGAGGAATAAATTTAACAAATATGTGCAAGACCTGCTTAATGAAAATAACAAAACATTATTAAAAGAAATTAAAGAAGACCAAAAGAAACTGTGACACACACCATGTTTGTAAATTAGAAAACTCAATAGTATTTAGATAACAAATAATTCTGCCCAAATTAATCTAGAATGTTGTAATTGTTCTGTCCTCTTAAAAGTCACCAGAGTGACCTTTCTAAATTGCAAATTTGATCATGTAATTCATCTACTAAAAACTCTTTTACGGTTCCCCAGAGCTTATAGGATAAAGTCTAAACTCCTGAGAATAGCATACAAAGCCCTCCATGATGTGAGATCTGAGCCAGACCGCTGCTTGCTTTTTTCTTTTTTCTTTTTTTTTTTTTTTTGAGACGAAGTCTCACTCTGTCACCCAGGCTGGAGTGCCATGGTCAGTCTCAGCTCACTGCAAACTCCGCCTCCCAGGCTCAAGATATTCTTCTGCCTCAGCCTCCCAAGTAGCTGAAACTGCAGGCGCCCACCACCATGCCTGGCTATGGACTGCTGCTTTCTACAATGCTCTCTGACTGAAATGTCCACCTTTATCCCCCTGGTGAACTCCTTTTTCACCAAGATTCAGTTTTGACTCTGCTCCAAGAAGACATTTCTGATGTACCAAAGATTTCATCACTGCCTCTTTTAAGCCTACAATGATCCATGTTACCTGTTTTCAACCAATATTGTCATAATTTATTTGATATTGAATATCTCCCCAGGAAAGACTGTGGGCTTTTTTTTAGGCTCTACCTTGAGGGCAATGACTGTGTTTCATTCATTCATTTTGGTTTCTCCAGTGTTAGCACCATATCTGGCCACACAGTAGGCACTCAAATATTTTTTGAATGAATTATCGTATGATCGACTGACTGGATGAAAGAGAATTGGAATCCTCCAAAAATGAAACACACAAACAGAATGAATTTTACAGAAGAATAGGATACCTTCTCTAAAGTTAGTGAAGATAAATATGAAAAAGGACTTTTCATAACAGGAAGAATTATTAAACATTTTTATTTTGGCTCCCTTTTCATTCTGGCATTGTTTCTAATCTAAAGCATCTCTGAGGAAATTATATTTGACCACAAGCCCCACAAACTATTTCTAGTTTCCCATAGTAAGTCCAAAAGAGAATTTTTAAGTCATATGTCATCTATAGCCTCACCCTAACTCCATCTTCAAATTTCCCTTCCTCTTTTACTCTCTCTTCCATACTAGACAAATGAAAATATTTATAACAGTTGAATAAAGAACCCAGTGCCAGAAACTCTGCCTGACCCAGGGAAATTTGCCTGCTTCTTTTCCATCATTCACACGAAGTATTAATAGCATACCTACCTCCCCACCCTCAAGAATCAGTTCTGCCCTTTCTAGAACCTGATTCTCCTGCATTTTCCTTGACCTGCAAGTTTGGGTGAGTGCATGTTCCTTTGCTAACATTTGAGGGATTCCTGAGAACACACTGGCCTAACTATTCTACATAGAAAAGTTTGGGAACCCCACAAAAACTAATTTCCTTGTGGTATCTGGGGACAAATACATTTGTGCTACATTATTTTAAACATTTAATCATTTTAAAATACCATTTTGAAACGAAGTCTAATCTATAGAGAGCTATGCAAAAGATATGACAAAGCTAAAATGAAGGCAGGAAAACAGTTGGGAGAATTCCCAAAGTTCTTGTTTTAACTCAGGCAGAGGAGGCTGGCAAAAGTGAACATCAGGCAGAGCTTGCCTCCTGGAAGAGCTTGTCTTCTCCTTTCTTATCCTGATGCCCTCTCCTCATGCTGCCGTCTCCCTCCACACCCTCTCAGCCGGCTTCCAGGAAATGATCTACTCTTTCTTCACATTAAAAGTCTACCTAAATGTGTAATAAGAATGAATGAATTTCCTTTCCTGGGGATTTGCCTTTTATCGAGGACAAAGGTCTTCCAACCCCACTTTGTCAAATTACACCCCCCAAAAAATATTTTTCTGGAATAAGAAGCTCAGTGGGAGAGGGAGTTATTACTTATTACTTCCTTTATGGAAGAATTGGAGAACGCAAAGCTGATGGGGAAACATTCCCAGCCAACACGAAAGAAGTACTCAGGGCCGTTTCAGCAGAGGCTAAGGCACCATCTTCAATGTTCTACTGGAGATTCAGCACTGGCCTTGTTAACTTAAGCTCACACATTGAGAGAGAAACTAACACATTAAGGAACAGAGGCAGTATAGGTGTTGACTTCCCTTCCCCTTACTGTCAATTAACGCTCCAAGATCTTTTCTGTCACACTCTCAAAGAGCTGCTTTCTACCCCTTCTCCTTGAATGTGAGATATGTTGCTCCTTCCTTCTTAAGTGTGTTCACATTCCTTTGCTCCCTGTTTTCAATTTTCCCCTTTGTCTTTTCACCTCAGCTTGACAATGACATAGGTCTTTGTCAAGGATGCTTAAATTCTATTGTTGTCTCCTAAATTATTACCTCTCCATTCAACTTAATGCCAACAACCAACTCCTAAAGGAAGAAAAATTTGAGTGTATTAACTACATTCAATAAATCTTACAGTGCCACAAAGAAAACCACAGCAAGAACAACCTAATTTCCAGGACCTAAGATTTTACAAATCATTTTGACAGCTGCCACTGCCAAGTTTACTATTTAGTGTTAACCATGTGCAACTTTTTCTTGAATAATCCAGGAGTGAACTGCTGGGAAGAAACGGCCTGGCAGAATATTAGGCCTACTGAAAGCTTGTTAGCTCACCCTTCCTGCAGTACCCCTGACTAGCATAACTAAAATTATAAGTAAAGGGAAACAAGGCAGAATGTATTTTTAATCACAACACAATTTGAATCACAATTATTGATTGATTGTTCAATAATTCCTTTCTTTGATGAAGTGAGGAATATTATAGTTAGGAAAAGGAAAAAACTATAAAGAATACTGAAATACTTTAAACTTAAAGGAAGTTAATAAGACCTTTTAACGTCTCAATGCCGCATTTTAATTTGTGAAGCAAAGACTGAGCTTTGGCAGAGTAATAAGTGTGGGAAAAGTGGCTGACCAGTTGAACCCAAAGTGCCCACCAGGCACCTAAGCCGTAACACAGCCAGGACTCAGACACCAGATGAGTAAAGCAGATGTTACAGGAATTCATTTGCCTATCGGACTGAGGACTATCTTGAGAAAGAATGCGCTGTTGCCAGGAAAGTGAGAATCAATGACATAAACTTGATTTAAAGAAAATGGTTCTTTCTCAGGGAGGTATCTAGGGGCAAAAAAAAAAAAGAAGAAGAAAAGGAAAAGAAAAGAAAGAAAACGTTTCAATGTCAGAAAGAAAAGCAGTATCGAACAGCCTATCCTCAGATAACCCCTGACCTAGTTCTCGGGGCCTGATGTCTAATTCCCAGAGTTACCTGTACAAAACTAAGTCACCATGAGGCCCAGTCATGTTAACAGGGGCTAGGACCCCAAAATAAGTAGAAAACATCTGTTCTCAAGGTCTCTTTTTGCTCCATTCTAATCTCCCCACAAAAGGCAGTCTCTCTAAAATGCATTCCCAAAGGCATCTGAAACTTCTTGGCCCATTTTCTCTCTCCTTCCAGATTGCTTCCACCAGCAACTCTCTTCCCTTTCCAGTGTGAACTCAGCCACCCTGTCTAGATTCTCCATGTTTCTTTATCCACTCATTTCCTCCATTGACTCAGCAAAGTACAGGCTATAGTCTAGTCCAGAGCTTTCCAGCTGGCACATAGGGTGACCAACTTGTCCTGGTTCACCTAGGATTTCCCTAGTTTTAGCAACGAAAATTTCACATCTCAGAGAACCCTTCAGTTCTGGGTAAACCCTACTGCTATACCATGAATGGGTCAAGATACTGATACCTTCAGCTCTGGGGATGGCTGAAGAACAGAACTTGTGATAGCTGAAGTTCCTGGATCATTTCTAGCCATAGGGGGCCACATCCATTTACCCAAATGGCCTATACAAATATCATTGTTTTCTATCTGTCATGATGTGAAAATTTATGAAGCATTGGTCTTGACAATTTCCTTTTCATTTAGTTTAGCTAGTATAGTTAGTTAGAGGGGATGGATAGAAAATGTAGCAAAGTAACGTCTTTTCTTTTTCCTTAGTCCACCTAGTAAGAGACTGTAGATTAAAAAAGAAACTGAGATGCACAGCGCAAAGTTGCTCCTTTTTTCTTGGGCTGGGGTTTCAGCACAGTGCCGTGCCATCACTGTCTGACTTTGTGAGGGGTCAGGAGAGAGCAGTGCTCATTCAGCACCTGGAACCACCAGAGGCAGCACTGTACTCCATAGCAAACACTATAGTATTACAGGCTGCAACACCTTGATAAGAAGTGGGAAGCAAGACTAGAGCTTCAGGGTGCATCGAGGACTCAGTGTAACAGGTCACAAGGGTGACAACAATCATAAGATCGTTTAATGAGTGCCTAGTATGTGGCAAGTCTTTACACTAACAACTTGACGAAATTATCTCATTTGACACTTTCCCAAGCTCTGTTTTATAGACAAGGAAACTAAGACTCAGTGAGATGAAAAAACTTGCAAACTTCACCCAGTGGATAAAGGAAAGAGCCAAAATTCAAACACAAGTCACCCTCTGGAGTTGCTACCAGCACAAATGGCAGTCACATACTTATCTTAATTGTCACAGGATGAGAAAACTCTCTCATGTCACAACTGGATTCAGGCATGAACAGTTCCATTAAAAATAACCACAGGATGCTGGGAGTGGTGGCTCACACCTGTAATCTCAGCACTTTGGGAGGCCAAGGTGGGTGGATCACAAGATCAGGAGATAAAGATCATCCTGGCCAACATGGTGAAACCCCATCTCTACTAAAAATACAAAAATTAGCCAGGCATGTTGGCGTGTGCCTGTAGTCCCAGCTACTTAGGAGGCTGAGGCAGGACAATTGCTTGAACCCGGGAGGTGAAGGTTGCAGTGAGCTGAGTTGGTGCCATTGCACTTCAGCCTGGGCAACAGAGTGAGACTCAGTCTCAAAACAATAAAAAAAAGTAAAAAAGAAAAAGAAATAACCACAGGAGACAGTGAAAGGAGCCACAAGTTACAAGTTCCACAATCTCAGGTAAGTGCCAAGAGCCAGAGAAATTTTGTGTGACTTTTACTTATTATAACTCTAGCCTTGCCACGAGGCTGGTGTGGTGAGGAAAACATACAATACTGGCAAAAGAGGCAAGTTCAAGTAGTGGATTTTGTAGGCAATTCATAATATCCCTTCCTACTTTACAAATTCCAAAAATTCCATTGCTGATCCTTAAACCCTTTAGATTAAACTTGGATTCACTTGATTCTCCCTGGCAGTGCTCATACAAGGTGGTCTTTGATTATGTATGCATCTCCATGAGGGATGTAGGATATGTCCTGGAGGTCAAGAGGAAATAAAAAGGAGAAAATGATCACCCTAGAGGGACACACAACTTGCCAAGATAATATTTGTGATTAGCTTATTGTTTGTTTTGTTTGTGTATTTTTGGTTGGTTTGTTGTTTCCTGAGTCTAGCCTTATAATTAAATATGAATTTGGCCATGAATTTGTGACTATCTGAGCATATTTTCTGCAAATATTAAGAAAATGTTATCCAATAGAATGTCCTGTTTTGTGTTGTTTCTTAATCAACTCAGGGTAAAAGTGGCATCAAAGAGATGAAACTTAAATAGTTGATCTAGATGAAATGTTTTGAACATATCAAAGTTTGTGGGAAGAAGAGAATACTATTTTTGAAGTTGCAACTGCCCTTGAAAATTAAATCCACTACATTAAGTAGGATATTGTCTTGGCTACTTTACCAAAGACCAAAACAACACTGGCCTAAATGTGATGAAAAATTGATTTTTATTTTGTATAAACATTCAAATTGATAAAGGGCAGGAAACTCTACTCAACCAAGTTGCCTAGGAAACTCTGGTTTCTTTTATCTTATTGCTCCAGCACTCGGTAGAGTCCTCTATGGGGGCAAGCAGATCCACCGCCACCAAGTCCATGATCCAGACAGCCAGGAAGGAGTAACTGGGATGAAGGAAGCAGATGCTCAATCCTTGGTAGAGCTAGTCCCAGGTGTGACACAAGAGTCATATATGCATGTCCCATTGGCCAAAGCTTAATCATATGGCCATGCCTAGATGAAGGAAAGTTAGGAATTGTACCCTCCAACCGGATGGCCATTGGTATAGCCAGAACTCTTTAACTATGGAGTAAAGGGACAATGACCATTTGGAAACAATTATAGCTCTAGAGTCAGTCTAACTGTAGGTAGAAGCATAAGACTAGCAGTGATAAATTTATGTATTAAAAATAAAAGAGAGTAGCAGTGGCTATAGTAGAAAAAACACCAGCCAAGAAATCAGAACCCTAGGTGTAGGTTGCTTTGGTATTAACTAGAAATGTGGTCCTGGGCCACTTATTTTACTTCTTCTAAACCTTGACTTCTTCAACTGTGAAACTTTGACTGAAGGATCTATAAAAAGTCATCTAAAAAGAGTAGTCTATGGCTCTAACCTTTCTAAGTAACATTGACGCATTAATATTTAAATAAGATTCCAGATTTTTACAGACTAAACTATAGAAATTATGTAAGAATAGGCTATACTATACTTCTGGCCCATTTTCTACATTATTAATATTTTATGATGATGTCTCAACAGATCAACCTTAGTCTTGTACATTTTTTTTCATGTCATCAGGCCCAAGCTATAGCAGTAGGTGTTACGATTTCTGTACTGGTTCCTTCATCTCTCATAGCATTTCCTGCACTAAGGTTCCCCTCTGGACACTATGGTCTAGGGCTGACTCTTGGATGTTCTGCATTAATGTTTTGTCCCATTTTAACCATTTTCATGTGTACAATTAGTGACATTAAGTACATTCACATTGTTATGCAACCATCACCACCATCCATCTCCAGAACTTTTCACTATCCCACACTGAAACTCTATACTCATTAAACAATAACTCCCATACCACTTTTCCCCCACTCCCTAACAAGTACCACTCTACTTTCGGTCTTTATGAATTTGACTACTCTAGGTACTTCATATAAGTGGAATCATGGAATACAGTCATATGCCACATAATGACATTTCAGCCAGTGACTGACGGTATATACTACAGTGGTCCCATAAGATTATAATACCATATTTCTATTGTATCTTTTCTATGTTTAGATATGTACAAATATACAAATAATTACCATCGTGTTACAATTCCTTACTGTATTCAGTATTAACAGGCTGTGCAGTTTTGTGGCCTAGAAGCAATAGGCTATACCATATAGCCTAGGTGTATAGTAGGCTATACCATCTAGGTTTGTGTAAATACACGTGATGAAATTTGCATAATGATGCAATCGCCTAATGCTGCATTTTGCAAAATGTATCCCCCATTATTAACACATGACCGTGTTTGTTCTTTTGTGACTGACTTATTGTACTTAGCATAATGGATTCAAGGTTCATCTATGTTGTAGCATGTGTCAGAATTTTCTTCCCTTTTTAAATTTTTTATTTTAACTTTATTTTATTTTTCATTGTAACAAAGAACCCACAGCATAAAATTTACATTTTAACCTTGTTTAAGCGTACTGTTCAGTAGTGTTAAGTAAATTCACATTGTTGTGAAACATATCTCCAGAATTATTCATCTTGTAGAACTAAAACTCTATTCTCATTAAACAACCATTTCCCTTTCCCTCCTCCCCACAGACCCTAGTAACCACAAATCTATTTTTTGTTTCTATAAATTTGATTACTTTATTTTATTTTATTTTATTTATTTATTTTGAGGTGGAGTCTCACTCTATTGCCCAGGCTGGAGTGCAATGGCGCCATCTCGGCTCACTGCAACATCTGCCTCCCGGGTTCAAGCGATTCTCCTGCCTCAGGCTCCTGAGTAGCTGGGATTACAGGTGTACACCACCATGCCTGGCTATTTTTTTGTATTTTTAGTAGAGACAGGGTTTCACCATGTTGGCCAGGCTGAAATTTGATTACTTTAGATACCTCATATAAATGGAGTCACATTATACTGGCCTTTTTGTAACTGACTAATTTCACTTAGCATATTTTCAAGATTAATCCATGTTATAGCATGTGACGGGCTTTCCTTCCTTTTTAAGGCTGAATAACATTCCATTACATGAATATACCACATTTTTCTCCATTCTTCCATTGATGAATAATTGGTTTGCTTCCACCTCTTGGCTGTTGAGAATAATGCTACAATGAATATGGGTGTGCAAATATATCTTTGAGACTCTACTTTGAATTCTTTTAGATATATATCCAGAAGTGAGATTGCTGGATCATATGGTAGTTCATGATGTCAATTTTCAGCTCAATAAAATTTTAACTGCTTCACAAAAATCTTCTACACTCAACTAATTGACAAAGTTTTTATCAAGTTTTAATGTCAGAATTCTACAATCCAAGCCAGAATGGCTAAACATTCATACAGATACTCTTAACATTAATAAAATATGATGATTGATTCTATAATAAAATATAACATTTATAGAAAGTATCATGAATGTCCAAAATGATGAAATATTATATCAACAGGAAGACCAAGGCCTGTAGTTCAGCTAAGCAGGATCAAGAATCTGGACAAAAAAGAATGACAAATGCAGGAGATCATTGCATCCAGAATCATGAATTACACAGAAGAAGCTCTTTATTATAGGGCTTAAACATTACACATTTCTTGTTGCTGGTAAAGGCATTAATGGAAGGCTTTTGCCTCTGCGTCTGTTGATGGACCTGACTGCACTGTTGTAGGTCAGCAGGACTGGAATCTGAAAGAAAGACTGAATGACTCTGAAAGAAAGCAGGGATGATCAAGGACAGGCTAGGAAGTACACGGATCAACAGAAACACTCATCTGTCTCTCATTGCATCTAACTTCATGACACAGGTGACCTGCAGAAAAAGCTGGTACCCTTTGCCAGAGCTGTACTTACCCACCTGGGCCAGAAATAGAAGAAGTGAAGGACAAGATTGAGCAGGGGGCAAAAGAGTTGTGGGCCCAACTGTCACTCAATGTCAATGATAAGCGAGAAATTACCTTTGACTTCTTCTACCACACCTCATGTCCAATTCCACAGCAAATCCTTTTAGAGATACCTGCAAAGTGTATTCAGAATCTGAATACACTCCATGCTACCACCCTAGTCAAAACCACCATTCATTATCTCTCACCTAGATTTTGCAATCGTCTCTTTAATGGTCTTTCTACTTCTTCCATGACCCCTGTACTCTCTTGTCAAAACATCAATCAAAGTGACTACGCTAAAACATAAAGTAGATTTTGCTTTTCTTCTGCTCAAAACCCATCTCTCTGTTAGGGAAAACCATAGTACTCAAAATGGACTCCCAAGTCCTGGCCCTGCTCATTTGTCTGACTTCATTTCCTTGCATTTATGCAGATACCCAACGTGTATCTGAATTTCTCTCCCCTTCACTACCTGCACTGTAGCAACCTGGGCCTCCATGCTTCTCCCGAGTCTTTGCCCTTGCAGTTTCTTTTGGTTGGACCCTTCTTCCCATGTTCATTCACATGTCTCCCTTCTCCCTTTCTTCAGATCTCCACTCAATAACAGCATCTTACTGAGGCCATCCTGACCACTCTACTTAAAATAGCAAATGACTAAGCCTCCCACCACCTGACACTCCTTATCCCCTCTCTCTACTTTATTTTTCTTCATGTCAATATTTGACGTCCTTTGCATTTTAATCATTTATTATATTTCTCCCCTCTATAGAATGTAAGCTCAATGAGGACATGAATTTAATGGATGGAGTGAAGGTCTGTTTTGTTCACTACTATGTTCTTAACATATGTAGCAATAAATGTGTGTGGAATAAATAAATGAATGAATGAATACTGGTATTATTTCATGTATTGCTATCTTCCTACAAACTTCTGGAATACTTATCTTACCCTTAAATGACTCCATATACCAGAATTGGCTACAGAAGGCTCTGGGTGAAAACTTAATGGCATTAAACTTTATAAGATGACAAATAACTGCCTAAGGTTTCTATTGATTTTTGTCTTAACTGTGGGATGAGGGATATTACATTTTCTGAGCAAAAGAAGGCCTTGAAAGGAAATTGAGAATTAGAAAAGAAGTTGTTTCTTGGTTAAAACAATCTTTCTAGTTATCTCTGCTTTTAATCTTGTCTCATGTGGTACTTTACCTCCCGTTAAAACTATTCTTGGATCAGGCATCCTCTCCCTTGTGAATGTAATCACCTCAAACATCAATGAGAAACAGAAGAAGAAAAATATGCATATTTTACTTAGAAAATTTCCAGAATTATCTTATGACCAAACAGTAATTAGATTATCCTGTTTTTAATGCTGTTTCTCAGGACAGAAAATACGGAATTGCATCATTAGTCAATTTGCCATGTACAGCATCCAGCATAGTTTGATACCCATTTACAGGTTTCATGGATTTTTTTCTGTAGTGATCACTAAGGCTATTTATTATGTTTTATATTTAATAATGTGTTGTAACTATGGCAAATAAAAGAAATAGTCCTTTTCTTGCTGGGAGACAACAATATTACGTGAAACAGAAACTAATAATAAAAATAATATATTGTTAATTGTCCAATAAGTTTACTTGGTGTGTCTACTTAACCAAAAAACATTTTTCATTATTCCTCCCGTTTATTTGATAGTTAAACTCCCTTTTAAAATCAAGAGATCTAGCATTTCTAGTAATCTAAAAGGTAATATAATTTTTTCACCCTATGCCTAAAATTTCAATATCTCCATTTATAACCTATTCTGCCTCAGAACAAACTGAATTTTATTTTTATTTTTATTTTTATTTTTTTGGGGGGGATGGAGTCTCGCTCTATCACCCAGGCTGGAGTGCAGTGGCGCAATGTCGGCTCACTGCAAGCTCCACCTCCCGGGTTCACACCATTCTCCTGCCTCAGCTTCCCGAGTAGCTGGGACTACAGATGCCCGCCACCACGCCCGGCTAATTTTTTTGTATTTTTTTAGTAGAGACAGGGTTTCATCGTGTTAGCCAGGATGGTCTCGATCTCCTGACCTCATGATCCGCCCGCCTTGGCCTCCCAAAGTGTTGGGATTACAGGCGTGAGCCACTGTGCCCAGCCAACAAACTGAATTTTAAAGCAATTTTAGTTCAAAGGATCAAAGTTAGCCCAATTGTTCTTTTAAGGGAAGAAATTCATTTTGGCTACTAACTAGGATGTAGTGTCAAAAAATACAAGTAATGTGTGAAGTGATTTTAAAATGCTAAGATTAAATGTTTACTCCTGTGATGGTTACAAGTGAAATTCAGTGACTCGGCAGGTGCAGTGACTCAAGCCTATAATCCCAACACTTTGGGAGGCCGAGGCCGGTGGATCACTTGAGGTCAGGAGTTCGAGACCAGACTGGCCAACATAGTGAAACCTCACCTCTATTCTACTAAAAATACAAAAATTAGATGGGCGTGGTGGCACACACCTGTAGTTCCTGCTACTCGAGAGGCTGAGGCAGGAGAACAATTGAGCCTGGGAGGCGGAGGTTGCAGTGAGCCAAGATCACGCCACTGCATTCCAGCCTGGGCGACAGAGCGAGACTCCATCTCCAGCAAACAAAGAACAAAAAGAAATTCAGTGACTCGATGGTCTATATATTACTGGTTAGAGATCAACTGTTCTTTAAATTTAATTTGCATGTCTAGGTACAAGTTCTATTGATAAAGCTGATTATTTAAAAAGAATTATATGGTAGCACATTCTCATTAATTATCTAATTTGGTCACAGTGTGTCCGGAATTGGTTTCTTCTGGTGGGTTCTTGGTCTTACTGACTTCAAGAATGAAGCTGCGGACCCTCGCAGTGAGTGTTACAGTTCTTAAAGACAGTTTGTCCAGAGTTTGTTCCTTCAGATGTTCAGATGTGTCCGGAGTTTCTTCCAGTGGATTCGTGGTCTTGCTTGACTTCAGGAGTGAAGCCACAGACCTTCACAGTGAGTGTTACAGCTCTTAAAGGTAATGCAGACCCAAAGAGTGAGCAGCAGCAAGATGTATTGTGAAGAACGAAAGAACAAAGCTTCCACAGCATGGAAGGGGACCTGAGTGGGTTGCCACTGCTGCGGGTGGCCAGCTTTTAGTCCCTTATTTGGCCCCACCCACGTCCTGCTGATTGGTCCGTTTTTACAGAGTGCTGATTGGTGCGTTTAAAAACCTTTAACTAGACACAGAGCACTGATTGGTGCATTTTTACAGAGTGCTGATTGGTGCGTTTACAAACCTTTAGCTAGACAGAAAAGTTCTCCAAGTCTCCACCCAACCCAGAAGCCAAGCAGGCTTCACCTCTCAACAGCATGGCTCAAAATTAATTTAATCCCAATTAACACTGTGATTTTTTAAATTTATTCAATGTTTCAGATAAACTATTTCAAACTTAGGAGTCTTAAAAGAATGTGTAAAGATAGCTTAAAATTACTCATTCATCGCTTGTTTATGCCAGCATTTATTTGAAACAATATTTATTGCCAAGTCAGGTTTTTCTCTACCTATGCAACAACATATTTTTTATTAACAGCTCCTGTCACTTAATAGATAGAATAAATATTAAATTTTAATATCATCAGAAGGAAAATAAAGTTAAGAATCTAGGACTACCAAAAAAAATGGTTTGTCCCAAAATCAAGTATACATTTTTGTTTTTGATTACCTATACTATTTCCTTTCCCCATAGATCTTCTCATTAAATATTCACTGTAATGAAATGTTACCTTTCACGGAGTTAGTTTTCATAGAGCTAGACACCTAACCCTCCAAGGATAGTCAGGAGTGGTGGTGGAGTAGAGCAGTACAACTTTGGAATCAAACTCTCTCCCTAATTCCTAGTGGGAATTTTAAAAGACATTTAAAAACTTCTAAACCTTAATTTTCTCATCTCCAAAATGAACTTCGTAATGACTTACACCCAAAAGATTTTAGCGCAATACTCTCCAAAGAATGTGGCATATGGTAGACATTCACTAAATACTGGTTTCTCTTGTGTAGTAAGCTTCTTTTAATTTTTACGATTTTAAGATTTGGGATTTTTCTAAAATTTGACATATATACTTTTCCATCAATTTTATGATTGTATCTTGATTCCAGACAGAGAGGATCTAGAGTGAGTAAAGTGAAGCACCTGGGATGCAAGATTTAAGGAGGTGTACATTCTCAGGGTCACATGATTTGAGAAAGGTCCTGAAATTTGGTTAGAGGAGAGTTTCCTGGAGTGTTTCACAAACTGTCGTCTCCTCCTTTTTCCCAGGCAGCTCATGGTTTCCAGTCCCTGCTGTGATGCCCCAATCATTTCTAATATTACCAGGCATATGCCCTGGTTCCTCAAAGTTTGATGTGCAGACCAGTAGCAGAAACATCATCTGGGCACTTGTTAGAAATGCAGAATCATAAGGCTGGGCACGGTGGCTCATACATGTAATCCCTGCAGTTTGGGTGGGCGGATCACTAGAGCCCCAGAGTTCAAGCCCAGCCTGGGCATCATAGCAAGACACCATCTCCACAAAAATATAAAAAGTAGCCAGGTGTGGTGGCATGTGCCTGTAGTCCCAGCTAGTTGGGAGGCTGAGGTGGGAAGATCACCTGAGGCTGGGGAGATCAAGGCTGCAGTGAGCTGTAATACTGCTAACAAGACTCTATCTCAAAAAGAAATATTTTGGGGTGGTATTTCCTGTTTGGGCTCAGGAAATACCACCTCAAAATATTTCTCTTTGGCATATTGATTATTTAAAGCTGGTTATTCTGAGAAACTGCAGAAATAGAAATAGCTCTGAAAAGCTGCCCTTTGTAAAATCAATTTACATCTTTGAAAAATAAATTTTTTTTAGTAAAGATATCTGTATCAGAAAGAGACCTTCTCCTTTTATCACCCAAGAGACTTTTATTTCCATATTTTTATACCATATATTTCCTCCCCTCACCCTCCTATAACTTGTCTTTACCACCTGCCAAAAGCTCCAAGCCCTTATTCCTTTTGATAGCTCAAGATGCCATAGAAGCTTCAATTATCTGACCCTTCTTCAAGTCTCATATTTTTGTGGGTCTCCTGTATAAATGTATATAATTACATATGGTTTTTCTCCTGTTAATCTTTTTCATGTCAATTTAATTCATAGACTAGCAAGAACTTGGGAGGGTAAAGAGAAGTCATTTTTTTTCTTCTCTACAAAGGCTTTTAAAAAAAAGTTGTAGCCTCATCTCAGCTATGTTACCGAAAGTTAAAGGCAAAGACCTTGGGTTTACTTTGGTCCTAGAATGTTAAAAGGAAAATGGTGCCCTAAGCTCACTTCAGAACAGGGGAAATAATGACTGAGGGTTTTTCTGAGACGTGCAAGATTTCCCTCCAAGAGCAACCTTGAAAGACTAGGGTTTTATTTTCCTTAAGAGGAGTGATTGTCCCTTTACCCTTATTACTATAATACCGGGGCTAGAATGGTGAGGGAAGGAGGGAGGGATGTAAAGAGGCTGTTCCTTGTCACCATAGCCCCCAGGGAGGAGATCACAGATCCAGGAATATTAATGACATTACCCAGAGAAAACGACATTTCAGAACACCTACTCAAAGTTTCAGAGCCATTTCTGCACATTCCAACTGCTAGCTACTCTTCAGCTATGAATCTGGATAAACAAAATCTGTAGATTTGAATAACTGATCCTTCAATCTTTATAAAATAGGTTTTTAAAAAGTGGAAAACAGTCAAAAGACTAATTCTATACAAATAAAATCTGGTTTCAGAATAAGACGCTTACTCATCCTAGGTGAATAGCTCCTTCAAGGTTAAATGGTTCCCTAAATTGAACTAACTTTTGAAAATCTTACATGTCCCTCCTGTCCTTGAAACTGTTTTGACTCAAGGGAGTATTTGATTCCTTAGGAGTGCTCCACATTTTGATTCTTGATTTGATATGAACTTAAACTAAATATTTAAACTTGACATAAATATTTAAGTTCGACCCTCAAATATTGTATGTACACAAAAGTAAAATGTTCAACCTATTAAAAGTAATTCATCTTGGGTAGTTGTAAAGATTACAGAAAATTTAAATTTTCTTTTTTGTGTACTTCTATGCATTCAAATTCTCTGTAAGTAGTATATGTTATTTTCATATAAACAAGTATATGGTTATTTTATATACAAGTAATTTCTCTGGCCAAGCCTACAGCCATCATAGATTTTGTTGCTTCCCATGACCCGGAAAGTTAAGCAATATTAATTGGTTTTTACTGTGTTTTAGATACAATCCTAGGAACTAGGATGAAATAAACAAACAAACAAAAATAACATAGCTCCTGTTCTTAAAGAACTTATGGTCTAGGAGAGACAGATATTCATTAAAACATTCCTGTTCAGCCTGTGCTATTAGTGAGGTACCATGGCGTGCTATGGAAACTCAGGGACAATGCCTATGTCAGTTTGGGTAACTTAGGGAAGTCCTGAGGAACAAATTTGAGCAGAAAGGCAAGGACTGGACATTCCAGACAAAGAGAAGAAAGAGCATGAAAAACACCTTCACTGTCTAATTTTTCAGCCAGCCTGATTTTAAAGCACATTATCCTCATTAACTGGTTAGTCCATGTCAAATCTCTGAGAGTTATTTCTGTTAACAGTAAATTTGGTTGATTAGATTTTGATGTTAATGAGAACCTTGTGCTAATTTGACGGCTTACCAAAAGAATGTGCACAGAGAAACTAGGGTAAAGAACCCTAGAATACTTTAATCCTAGCCCATAACGGCATTCCAAGACAGGTAGTCATAAGAATTTATTCAACAGCTAATTATGGCAATTTATTCTCCACAGGTCCTGAGAGCAAGATTTTGGGGGGCTTCCTAAGGAAGGTAATTTGTTTTATGCAGCCTGTCCCTTCCCAAACACACACAACACACACAGCCATACCCTCTCCCCATTACCAATATCACCCAACATACACATGCAACATTAACTTCATAGGAAGCAATAGAAGGAAAATTAACTAGTCAACACCAACCAACTTTCCAAACAACTCAAAATTGTACCCCATTATCTATCGGTAGAATAGCTTTGGTTACCCCTTTCTTTATTCATTTATTGAGCAAACACCTACCAGGTGCTAGGGATGCAAATCTGACTGAAACATGGTGTTTGCTCTCAAGAAGGTGCAAATCAAAGAGCATGTGGCACAGTACAAGTGCAGTGATAGATGGACAGAGTGGTCAGAGAGTGTTAGGAGCACACATAAAGTGCATTAAGTCATCCCAGGAGGGGATTATCCTGAAAAGTGGTCTGGTTCTCTTGGAAACTGCAAAGAACTACAAATAGCTCAGTATGGCTGGAGCAAAGGGCGAATGTGAAGGAGTAGCAGACAATAAAGCTGAAATTACAGGAAGAAATGGGGTCATGAAAGGCTGTATGTACTAAATGAAAGAGTTTGAACTTTATCCTTGAAAGCTGTGGGGAGCTATTTAAGGACTTTAAACAAGAAAATGGCGTGATTTAAAAAATCAATATCACAGCAGCGTGGAGAACAGATTGGAATGGGCCCATACTAGGAGGAGGAGATATAGTTAGGGGGCGATTGCAGGAATCTAGAGCCTTTAATGAGTTCAAATTAGGGTGGTTGCTGTGAAAACAAGCAGGAGGGGAAGAATTTAAGAGATAGTGAGGAACAAGATCTTCACAACTAAGGGTTACCAAGGATACCTCCTCCAGCTTCCAGCTCTGAGATGTTCAGTGTATGGGGAGAAAAATCACCAGGAAAGTACTAATCTCAGAGCAGTTTTCAGTTGGAGTAAGGTGGAAGGAATGTTCATACAAGGCAGTGAAGATGTAAGGTAGTTTGTTGGTGATAGCCTATGAGTTCTGGAGGGCACAAGGGGAAGTTCTGAAAGATCAGATGGGCTGCTTGATGGATCAGGTTGAGAGAGATGCAGAGCAATTTGGAAATTAGCATTCAAATAAAGACAGGTTATCTGGAAGTCTTGAACAGGGACATGGGCTTGATGTGTCAACCTCTAATGCTTGCAGTATGTGATACAGTCATGTTAATCTAACTTACTTGACCATGACATTTTTTTTACTTCATAGTGTATTCCTAGAACATCAAAAGGAGTTCATAAAGTATGATGAGCTCTTTGATTAAAGTAGGTAATATTGGGGCTCAGAACACAATAACCTAGAGTACAACACCCCCGCATGCTGAGCATTTTGAACTGAAGGACCTTAGTAGCAATGTCTTTCTGACCTTCTCCCACCCTCCTGTCTCTTGCCGCTTTTTTCCCCCTGAAGTGATTCACAGAAACCAGAATTCCTCTCCCCTAATGTAGGTCATAGAAAGTAGAACTCCTCTTCCCCAAGGCAGGCCGTAAAACCTAGAAAGGTCACTGTCTGACCTTCTCCCTTCTCCTTACTAACCCTTATGTGACAAGTGCCCTGTCTAAACACAGAGGAAAGGAATGCCACACACAGAGGCCAAGAAGAATCTGAACAGACAGTCCCTCCTGGGTTTCCCCACTCAGTCTCTTACCATTAGACGATACCCTTTTGTCCAATCACATTTCTACATGGCTGTTCATTCTTCATTGAACCTAAGCATAAAAACACACAGTTTTCCTTGCGTCTTTGAGTCTTCATTTATGAAGGCTTCCATGTCATGTGAAACTTGGATTAAATAAATTGGCTGTGCTTTTCTCTTGTTGTTTTTTTACAAAAGTGTTCCTTGTGATGCATGAAAAAAACATATCCCACTTTTCTGCCCCTACAGTAGGCAAAAAATGGTCTTTAGGATAAATTATTTGCTTCAGGAAATTATCAAAAAACTTGTATTTGTGTCATTTTAGTGCTTAATAGTGAACACATTAGAGGGATCAAATATGTTGTTTTATTGAAAAGAGAAAACACAAAGGAAATGATCGAGATGGAGGTCCAGCCCAGCACACAGCCCCTCCTACTCCATGCCCAGAGGCTTCCCCTCACGCCATCCAGTCCAGACTAAGTAATTTTTGACCACACAGTGTTCCAGACCCCTCCCTGATTGGCATCATCCTTTTAGTTTACTCAAAGGAAACTGAAACTAGAAAGGCAGGTTTAAATTTAGACTGAGTGGATTTCTTGAGGTTTTGCACCTGAAGATGGTGGTGAAATTCAACCTCCAGCTCCAATTCCTGGTCTGAATACTGCCTCTCTCTTCCCATCCTTAGCTCCATCCAAATCACCAGGGCAGCAACCTGGTTCTTTTCCAAAAAAAAAAAAAAAAAAAAAAAAAAATGTACAATCAGGGCCTAGAAGTGGGCTCGTGGGCTCAGCTGTGTTTGGGTGGAGAATTCTAGAGCCAATATATCCAAAACGCAGTTTAGATGTCAGGTGCTGGAAGGCAAAGGGATGAGAGGTTGGGGTGAAGTATAATGGATAGAGACAGGGGTTTTACTCAGCACATCCTGTTGGCCACACAGACTCCTCAATCCTAGGAAAGGACCACAGCTAGAGGAGGGCCAGAGTGAGGTCTGCTAAAGCACAGGGCTCAGAGCAGGAGCCTCTTGCCTAGGTCTAAGTGTGGAGGGGCACTCAGAAGTGAGAAAGAGCAAAGTTACTTCCTAACCATATACAGAATTCACCGTCAAGCCATAAAACAGCACAGTCATAATTTCCAACACCACATCTTGAAGCTTCCGTGGCCCATCTTTCAGTTATATATTTTTCTGTAAATAAAGATAACAGTTCAGTTCTCTGGATCAGTCTGAGCCCCAGTGGAAAGCAAAAGGAAGGCACACTCAGCCCTGAGAAATAAAAGTGAAATTTTAAGCCTCACAATTGACTGAACAGAGCCCCTCTTGGCCAAGAGGACCCCAGAGTAAGCTTGAAAACTGAGTTCTCGACCAAGAAGAGATGGGGCATCAGACACGTCTCCTTATAACCCCCTCCCTCGCTAATTGCCAAGACACTTTCTTCACTAAGGGCTAAATCAAAACCAGCTCTTTGAAAAGACTACACACTGATATCAACAATTGCCTGATGATGCCCCTCCATTTTGCAGTTTCAACAAAGCAACTACCAGCGGCCGGGCATGGTGGCTCATGCCTGTAATCTCAGCACTTTGGGAGGCCAAGAAGGGTGGATCACCTGAGATTAGGAGTTCCAGAGCACCCTGGCCAACATGGCGAAACCCCGCCTCCTAAAAATACTAAAATTTAGCCGGGCGTGATGGTGCGCATCTGTAGTCCCAGCTACTCAGGAGGCTGAGGTAGGAAAATCGCTTGAACCTGGGAGGCGGAGGTTGCAGTGAGCAGAGATCACACCACCTCACTCCAGTCTGGGCAACAGAGCAAGACTCTGTCTAATTAAAAAAAAAAAAAGCTGGGCACGGTGGGGCTCACACCTGTAATTCCAGCACTTTCAGAGGCCGAGGCAGGGGGATCACCTGAGGTCAGGAGTTTGAGACCAGCCAGGCCAACATGGCAAAACCCCATCTCTATTAAAAATTTAAAAACTTAGCAGGGTGTGGTGGCACGCTCCTTTAGTCCCAGCTACTTGGGAGGCTGAGGCAGGAGAATTGCTTGAACCTGGAGGCAGAGGTTGCAGTGAGCCCTTCACTCCAGGCTGGGCAACAGAGTGAGACTCCATCTCAAAAAAAAAAAAAAAAAAAAAACTACCAGCGTTTCTTCCTCATAAGAGATTACTGGCCATGGAGTGTTTTCTGGCAAGTCCACAGTGGATGCATAGTGAGGGTTTTCATGTCCTCTGCTTCACCTTTTGATGACAGAGGACTGAAAACTCTAACCTCACATCATGCTAACACGCTGCCTTTTTTTGAACATGGGTCCTACGGAGAGGCATGAATCTCAATTGCACACACGCACATTTCTCCGCTCATAAATATTTACGACTCTTCCTATAGCGTATTAAATATGTATCTTTGGCCACCTTGCTCAGCATAAATTCCTGTTCCCTTTGCCCCTCCGTTGAAGTGTATGTTTCCAGCTTCTGGCCAGAGGCTGTGCTTTCTAGCCTGTGAGATTGGCCACCCAGCAAGCTGCAGCCCTTTATGAGAAATAAAGCTCTCCTGTCCAAATTTAAGAAACTCATCATTCTTCAGTTGACAGCCCAAAGGCTTAAAAGAATTTAGGGAAGGGACTATTTCTGAAGGGGTCGGTAGGTTAAGGGAACCTATAGAAAATGTGGATGCACTCAGGGTTTAGAAAAAGGAGGGAGCCGTTACCACCCCAGCCTGAAGGGATAAGGAGAGGAACTGATGGTGTTTGAGTCCAGTGACAGTAGCCAAGTAGGATCTATAGTTTTAAGGCACAAAGACAGGAAAGGAGCAGGTGAAGAAAAACCCCAGCCCCTTTTTCCTTAGGTCCTCTGACTCTCTGAACCCACTCAGAAGCCAGAGGGATAGTGGACCCAGGAATTGTAAGTAATAAGGTCACTCCACCAAAAGTACTCACAAAAAGCAGAGCAGAGAAGGCAAGAGAATAAATCATGAATCTGGGAAGGGGAAAAAGGGAGAAAAATCAAGCTCCCTTTTATAATTAGCTTGCTCTCTAACATCTCTAGGAATGTGGACGCAGCACAGTCAAATCCTAGTCAAAAGAAGCACCAAACATTCACAGAGTGAAGAAGCGCCCTTCAGTCCTGTAATTGACTCTTCTGTTTTTAAAATTAAGTTTAATCGTTGATTATCTTTTTTTCTTTTTCTTTTTTTTTCTAGAAGCAGGATTCATATAATATTGACCTGCCCAGTGGGAAAGACCTTCAATAAATTAGTCACAAAATTTTGTATTGGCCTTTGTCTGAAAAGGAAATGTATCTAAATACCAAATGAGTCCCCAGGAATTTTCTAAAAACATCAGGTAAGTGTTTGCTGCCATTTCCGGAGGGAAATTTTTCCATAAATATAAACTAACTTTACTCCCAAATTGTATTCTGACTTCTCTTTTAAGTAACTAGAGTATAATTAAATGTCTTGAAGTTCAGATTTAGGGAAAATACAAAATACTCTCTTAATTCTGACTTTTTGTTGCTGTTGTTGTACAGCGAAGTTGACAATATGCTGCCTATTCTTTCCAAAGGCATTGAAAGCTGTAGTCAAACTCTGTCCAAACTTTCTTTTAATTATCTCATGAGGTACTTTGGTAAACAAGATGAAAATAATGTGTCCTAATGTAACTTTGATGATTTTCTTTCTAATTTATCTTTACAGAAATCTTCTAATTACCCACTCCCTTGCCTCAGTTGGCTGAAATTTTAGTAGAGGCAGAATCTTCTGTCTTCTAGAACTTTTGCTCCACAGCCAGAAAATTTCCCACCACCCTCTCCATTTTTAATGGCGATGCCTTCTATTTCCTTGCCTTAGCTCTGTAAACTAAAAATAAAATCCTAAGCCCTGCAACCAACTGAATGAACCCCCATTTTATGCATTTAGAAAGTGTTAGAAATTAAGATGGTATATTAATAAAAGCCAGTGTAATTCAGTGGAGATAAAGGATGCTGGGGCATCAGAAAGGATTTTTATGAAAGTAAAGTAGGCATTAAAGTAGGCTTTGAAGAATGAAAGGAGTAAACATGCAGTGACAGAGGTACCTCGATACCTCAAGTGCATGAAAGTGCAAAAGCAAAGGCCTTGAGATAGGAATGCATGTAACATAATTAAATAATTGCATGTTTAGAACACATAGCACCTACAATGCAATAGACAGAGAGAAAACTCATAATGAGTTTATTTGGCAGTGGCTAGCTGGTTTGCATGTAACATGATTAAGGTTGGGCTTCGGCTCTACCAATTTGGCAGCAATGCATGGTATGCATTGGAGGGAAAGAGCTCTCGCATGGAGGGAAAACCATGAGAAAATTCTTAGAATGTTTGTAAAGACATGACAATTGCTTGAACTTGGCAATTAGTTGGCTGTGGAGAGTTAAATTGAGAAAAGCAACAAAGATGTTTGGGATTTTTTTTAGCTTAATAAATTTGGAAAAGAGTAGTATGATCAGCAGAAACCACAACATGGGAAGAAGAAAAAACTTAGAGAAAAAGATTAGCTAGTTTTAGATTTTTTTTTAATATACCTCAGCATGAACATATCTGACAAGTAGGGAGCTTGCAAGTGGGACCAAGGCTGAGGACAGATATTGACTCATCTACTCAAGAACGATTTATTACTAACCTCTTCAGGAATCATGGTCATCTTGTCGCCATTGTATGTCTAGCATCTAGCAGATTCCTGATTTACAGCAGCCTCTTGATACAGACTTATTGAATGAATGCTAGGCAGTGGGCTTACAATGGTGAAGGAGATACAGACCATGCTTTCGGTAAGTTCAGTCTAGATTTGAGAGTTATCATGGTAGAAGTTATGACTGAAGCTATAAGAAAAAACACAATTGCCTAGATTTCTTTGCCCAGCCACTAACTTTTCCCCCAAAACAAAACAAAATCATAGTAAATAAGAACAAATGGGCTAGGTGTGGTGGCTCACACCAGTAATCCCAGCACTTTGGGAGTCCCAGGCGGGCAGATCACAAGGTCAGGAGTTTGAGACCAGCCTGGCCAATATGGTGAAACCCCATTTCTACAAGAAATATAAAAATTAGCCAGGTGTGGTGGCAGGTGCCTTTAGTCCCAGCTACTCAGGAGGCTGAGGCAGGAGAATCGCTTTAACCCGGGAGGCAGAGGTTGCAGTGAGCTGAGATAGCGTCACTGAACTCCCGCCCAGATGACAGAGCAAGACTCCATCTCAAAAAAAAAAAAAAAAAAAAAAAAAAAAAGAACAAATGGGGTTGGGGGGAGAAGAAAAAGGGGAGCCATAGAATAAATAATTATAGAAAAGAAAGAAAACAAAGTAACCAAATTTCATAGAAACCAAGGTAAGAGAAAATTTCCCTAATGACATAGAGGTAAAGTGTATCCGAATTTCAAATAGGATGAAAATACAAACAAGTAATTTGATTTGGCAACATCAGGTCTATGATGCTTTTTAGGAGTTAAACAGTCGGGGCAGAAACCATATAGCAAGAACTTAAGAAAACTGGAGGCGCTGTAGGAGCAAAAGCAATGAATGCAGTATAAACTTTTTAAAAAGGGTGACAGAAATTGGAAAAGAAAAAACAATACAGTAATTCTGGAGATTCTTAATTACTGAATTAAAGTAACTCATAATTATGTACGACTGACTAATATTATTCTTTGGTTGGTCCCTGTTTAGTTATTTCACAATCTACGTCAGCTAAATCTCTGCTCCTAATCATGTTACTTTCTCAAAAATGTTCCTTGGTCATCACCTCTTAAACTTGCCTTAGACTTGTTTATTTGCTCCAGCTCGAGTGCCAAACTTATGCTTTAAGGCATTATCTTCTAGGCCCCTTCCTTATAATATATGTATTCTATGCTCCAAGCGAATTAATAGCTTTTTATCTACTCCTTTCAAAAAAAAATCTTTCTGACTTCAATAACTTTGTTCATATACTTCTCTCCAATTATACTTCATTGTTCCTGCAACCTTGCCTTCCACATAAGTCGACTAATCCTTGGAAGCCTCTATTAGTCTCCTTGACCCCTGTCTTTCTCTCTCTTGAGCAGAAAGAAGCAATACCAAAATAGTGAAATACAGAGGCAAATAGCTATAGAAACAGCAAGATTTTTAAAAATTTTAAAATAAACATATAATCTGAACAACTCTATGCTAAAAATAATAATAACCTAGATTAAAGGGATATATTTATTGACAAAATATAAAATGCCAAAATTGGTACAAGAAAATATAAATATCTTTAATAGACAAGTAATATAGAATTGGAAATCTTAGACCCAGAGAGTTTCAGGTAAGGTTTACAAAACTCTCAAGGAACACATAACTCTATATTTTACTAGCTGTTCCATAATTTTGAACATGGTTGGGGAGGAGGTTGCCTAACAGATTTTAGGATGCTAAGATAGCCTTGAGCCCAAAATTTGTTAAGGCTTGTCCAAGAAAAGAAAATTACAGGGCCATTTCACTTATAAACATAGATGCCAACATTCTAAGTAGAATATTAGCCTACCAAATCCAGTAAGAGCATTTGAAAATGATTGATTAAGGTTTTTTCCAGTATTGCAAAAATAATTAAACAACAGAAAATCAATGGATGCAAACTGAATAATCATGCGATTTCTCCAATGATACAGAAAAATATTTGACAAAGTTTAATGCCTATTTGTTATTTAAAAGCTAAAACAAAGTGAAGCATTTCCTGAGCCTAGGAATAGAAAACTTGAAATTCTATAAGGTTTGTATACCAAAATTCTATACCAACATAAACAACTATCTGTTGGTGCTATTAAAACAAATCAGACAGTGTTATCGAATCAGTTTGAAAAATCTAAAACATTCCTCTACACTGGCAAAATCAACTACAAAATAAAGATCCATTCACAATATCAATATGAACTGGAACTAACCTTATATGGAATGCCCAAGAACCTTATGAAGCAGGTATTTCATGTTCATTGTTAGATAATTTAGCATCTATAATTTTAATGTCATCTCAACTGAAACTCCAATCGAAATTTTTGCCACTCTTCTGAGATTGTTCAAATTCTTCCTTTTGCATCACAATTGTATGTGTCCTTATTCCCCCTCCTAAACCTCCCATTCCTATCCTCCTAATGATTACTTATTCATCATTAGGAAGATAGCAATCTCTTTTCCATTTTTTAAATTCCTCAGAACACCTAACACAATGCCTTTTATGATAGATGCTTAAAGAAATACATATTGAAGAAAGAAGGAAAGAGATTTTGAAGTTATATTTTTCATTTTCCATGAATTTGTCCAAGGAAGAGTTCTTATTCTTAAAATAGATGAATAAAGTGACTTATCGATTTTGAAGAGCTTCTCAATTTCTTTTCTTTTTCTATAATTTTTAATGTTATAATCAATTATACCTTAAGCTGGTTAAAACACTAATAAATATTTGGCATATGTAGAACACATATCACTGAATTTTAAAAGAATTATTTCACTGTTTCACATTAATTTCTAATCCAGTTTACATTTGTATTCTCATACACCAGCTATTTTCTTGTAATACAAGCTTTTGAGAAATGTATCAGCTTTTGAGAAATGTATCATTTAAAAAATTGTATACATTTCTATTCCTCCTCCTTTTCACACACACAAAAAATCACACACCTTTATTTTGTTTCTAAATTACTTATCAGTGTCTGTTTAAGTAGTGTTTGACACAGGCAATGCATCTGACAAATTACTAGTTTGTGCAAAGTCCAAATATCTCCTTAACAGAAATAGAATCAGGATATTCACCAAAATTATTAAGTGATATGAAGATGGTATCTATTCTATGAAAATCTGAAATTCTCAGGACATATATGAGCTCATACACTAATCAAATATAAGAACCCAAAATCGGTCTTATGAGGACAGAGGAAGTTTAAGTGACTTTCTTACTGTCACAAGGAAGTTGGTGAAAGAAAAGACACCAGACTCAATCAATCAATCAGTTATTTATTAACTGCACATACCTTTTGTTCTTATCATTTATACAATTATTTATGGTAGGATAAATTTGAACAGAGTCATATGGAAGAGTCAGACCTGCACAAAACTATGAGGTCAGTAATATTTTCCTTTCTTTCACAAATTTCTCTTCAGTGAAATATCAGTTCCCCACTTTTTGGATCCGTTACCTTGGGACCATTACTTAACCTCTGAGAGCTTGTTATACTGTGTATTGGAGATAATGCCTATTCATAAAGCTGTGGATGTGAGTCTTTGTCTAGTGGCCAAACCATAGCTGATGAAAAACATTTTTTCTTCCTTGCTTTCTTAAGACAATATGGTTTCCTAGTCTGTAATAACCTGTTACATCAAAGAAGCAAAAAATTTCAAGACCCTGACCCAAACGACAGATGAATAAAACGTACACTGACACACAGATATTCTGTTTTGCCAGTTTTGCTGAGTGTCCGACTGCCTACACACCAAGAGAGGCTTGTCACTGCTGCCTGCCCCATCAGGTCGGGAGGCTTGCATTTATTCATTAAGATTAGTTAACAAAAGCTTGAGTGTAATTGACATTGTGGACTTCCCGAGTAAAAAGCACACATCAAAGGCTCATCTTAAGACCATATGAGTAAACAAGCTTAACTATGTAACTTCCTCACCTCCCATTGTTTACTACTCTAATCTATTTAACTAAAGGTAATGGGTCCATTACCGAAGTCATGTGAAAACAGCCTTCCAAAACGATTTTGTGGCTGTCATAACTAATATTTTTCCCTAATATTTCTGCCACTATCCTGAGTGAATCCCAATACTCAACCTAGCTTATTCTTTGGCAAAACTAATTTGCACCATCTTTAAAAAAGCTTTTGAAGTTATTTTGTAATTATAAATATTTTAAATATACAAAAATAAATTATACATAATATAAAAAACGTAAATATTTTATAAATATAAATATTTTTATAAAATGAAAATTATGTTTGACTATATAAAATAAATATTGGGTGGGTCATTTACGTAAATCCATACTTTATGATGTATATCATACTGAAAAATAATTATTTATATGTATCCTAAAATTTGACACATTGATTTTTTTACAAATGCATTATAATCAAAAAGGAAGGTATTATATAGAGAACACTAGAGTAGAAGTCAGGAAACCTTGCTTCTAACTCTGGCTCTGCCATTATTCAATCATATCTTTTAGGATAAATCACGTAATCTCCCTGACTTTCGTTTTCCTCATGTGTAAACTCAAGGGGCAGAAGCAGGTGATTTCTGATCCTTCAGCCCAGGAAAGGCTTTTTTTGATGCTTTTACAGATGCTCAGCCTTCCTAAGGTTTTCTCCTATCTCACATACTTTTAATTTACTCAAAGCCACCAAGGATCTTACCACTTTGCAGATATTTGCTCTTGGAAATGGGAGACATAGCCTAAAAATAAATCATCAAAGAGTATGAAAGGATTTGATTTAGGGTTACACAAATGCTCAGATATAAGAGTGATCTTCAAAAAGTTCATGGAGGCCGCGCACGGTGGCTCAGGCCTATAATCCCAGCACTTTGGGAGGCTGAGGTGGGTGGATCACGAGGTCAGGAGATCGAGACCATCCTGGCTAACATGGTGAAACCCCGCCTCTACTAAAAATACAAAAAATTAGCCAGGCGAGGTGGTGGATGCCTGTAGTCCCAGCTACTCGGGAGGCTGAGGCAGGAGAACAGCATGAACATGGGAGGCGGAGCTTGCAGTGAGCCAAGATCGTGCCACTGCACTCCAGCCTGGGAGACAGAGCGAGACTCCGTCTCAAAAAAAAAAAAAAAAAAAAGTTCATGGAAAATGCATATTATGAAAAAACTATGCAGAAATTTCAATTTTTCTGCACCAAAATAAACTTGTACTAACTTGTTGTAACATGTTTGAACAGGATCTAGTCTGAAGCAATAAGAAGGATAAGACCTCAGTTTGAAAACAGACCCTATCAGAACAACAGGAATTCTGCTAATATTGAAACCAGAACAAACACCAAATTTATGGTGAAGCTTGGGTGGAAGAATGGTGATATCACTGATCCTTTACAAAAAGTTTATGAGGACAAGGCCCCAAAGAAATCAGCAGATTACAAATGGGTATCTTGTTTTAGGAAGAAAGGAGATGATGTTGAAGATGAAGCCTGCAGAGGCAGACTATCCACATCAATTTTGAGGGAAAAAATCATCTTGTTTGCCTCCTAATTAAACAGAACCAATGATTAGCAGCAGAAACAATATCCAACACTGTAGACATCTCGATTGTTTCAGCTCACACAATTGTGACTGAAAATTTAAAGGAGCAAACTTTTCACACTTGATCGGTGACAAAACCATTGCACCCAGATCAATTGCAGGCAAGAGCAGAGTTTTCAATGAAATTTTAAGTAAGTAGGATCAAGATTCTGAAGCATTTATTCAAAGAATTGTAGCAGGAAATGGAACATGGTTTTATCAATATGATCCTGAAAACAAAGCACGATCAAAGCAATGGCTACAAAGAGGTGGAAGTGGTTTAGTCAAAGCAAAAGTGGACTGGTCAAGAGCAAGGTCATGGCAACAGTTTTTTGGTATGCTCAAGGCATTTTGCTTGTTTACTCTCTGGAGGGCTAAAAAATGATAACATCTGCTTATTATGAGAGTGTTTTCAGAAAGTTAGCTGAAGCTTTAGCAGAAAAATACCCAGGAAAGCCTCACCAGTGAGTCCTTCTCCACCGTGGCAATTCTCCTTTTCATTTCTCTCATCAAGCAAGGACAATTTTGCAAGAGTTTTGATGCGAAATTGCTGAGCATCCACCTTACAGTCCTGATTTGGCTTCTTCTGAAGTTCTTTTTGTTTTCTGATCTTAAAATATCTGTAAAAGACTCCCATTTTTCTTCAGTAAAAAAATAAAAAATAAAACAAAACACCGACATGGTTAAATTCTCATGGTCTCAGTTCTTTAGGAATAGACTAAATGGCTGGTGTCATCACTTTTAAAAGTGTCTTGAACTTGATGAAGCTTATGTTAAGAAATAAAGTTTATATTTTTTATTTTTATCTTTTTATTCCTTTTTTTCCACAAACTTTTTGAAGTTTCCTCATATGTGGAGTTATACTAGCCTCTTATCTCATCTGAATTGTTAGAATATCATAGCATTTTCCCTCAAAATGTGTCAGAGAGAAGTAAAAGCAATATGAAAGGTAAGAGTAATTACTTTTTGCATGTGGTGAATAGAAAATGCTAAGCCAATCATCAGGGCTGATAGTAGACAAAATTACAGCACTACACCTTCAACTTTCAAAAAATGAACATAATAAATGATAAGATATTTGAGATATCCTAAATACTTTTCATCCCCTGAGCATAGTATTCTCTGAAGCCATATTTGCCTGCTACTAATCCAACTACAGTTATCTGAAGGGAACACTCACTACTGATTTCATTTATGTATATACTGCCTCATCTATTTAAAAGCAATTTTTTAAAATTGTACACTGGTTTCCAACCCTTTTTACCTACTCAAGGAAATTGCTATAGCAATTCTTCCCTAGTCCACATAAATACTTCCTCTTGTTTGAATATGTCCCATCTACATTTTTAAAATGCTCTAGTTTCTCCCATGGAAAAATAAATAAATTCCTCTTGAACTCTAATCCCCTTTAGCTACTGCTTCTCTTTTACTTAACAGAAACATTTTTTAAAAGAGTTGCTTATATATTCTATATACAATTATTCTCTTCCATTTTGTCTTTAACTCTACCCAATCAAGCTTTTGCCACCACTATTTTACCTAAATAGCTCTTGTCAAGGTCAACAATGCTGCTAAATCCAACAGTCAAGTCTTAGTCCTGATTTTAGTTGATATCTCAACAGCAAGTTACATAGATGATCACTTCCTCTTCATGGAAACAGTTTCTTCCATTGACTTCCAGGATAATTGTAATAATAAAAATAATAATGACCAATACAAACTAGTACAGTTTCATTTTGAAGTTCACCTGCATCTACCATGATTCATCAACCAGGTTTTTCATAAAGGCTATATAGTTCAATTCAACTTTGATATCATGAAGACTACTACCCCTGCATCTTTTTAGTCTTTGATACAGTTCCTGCAATTCCTCCTGGGATAGAGTACTCTATTACTACTTCTTATTTACCATATTAACCAAAATATAAGGGAGAGGTAGGGGAAGGCAATTTCAGAGGTTTCCATTTGGCTTTTTCTAACAAGGTGGCTCTTACTCCACAAATGTGGAACCAAAATGATGATTCTGCTAGTTGCTGATGTTGCTGCCATGATTCTGTACTCAGGAACTGAAAACATGACCAAGAATGGGTTGTGGGTTGGATCTACTCTAGACCTGCTATGAGTTGAACTTGGACCAGGACTCCATGTGTTTCATGGCCTTTATATTTAGCAATTCTAACAAGGATGCCATGAGAGAATTTTACAGCCTCTAGTATCACTATTGGCTTACCCTCTTATAAAGTAATCCTCACAAGATCTGAGCATACCCAGCCCCAGGGTACAGAGTATTGGTAAATGGCTATAGAGCCCCTGAGTGATGAAATGGTAAACGCCTTCTGGAAATGCATGTTGTAGTATTGTATAGCCCTTCTTCAAGGGGATCAGCCTCCTCTTCAGTCAATAGGCTTCATGTCTGCAAAATGAGTAAGAGTGAATTTTTTTGTTGCAAGAAAAAACTTGATTTCAACCCTCTACTTGCAAGCTCTTAATATTATTTAGTTATGTAATTCAAGCAATACTTTAATTGGCTGCCCATCTCTCTTGTCCCTAAGAAATCATGGTTTATAAGCCATTGCTACAGATCCCTATAAGTATAGGCTCCCTGGTGCCTATCCAACTGTGTTGGCAATTAATTATAATCACCCTGCTTCGAGTGGTTAAGTGTCACCACTGGGCCTCTTCTATTAAAATCCTATTATCATCACTGACATTAGGCAGTTAGTACCACAGTAGCAACTTTTATCATCAACTTGCTTACAAACACAGCTATCGCTGAGCTTCTCAGGGATGCCAGTGGCCCTCTCACTAGTGTGCTGTTCATTGCTTTAGTGTAGGAAGTGTCCTCTATGCCCTACAAGAGAACATAGTCAGCTGTTTTCTGTAATATGTTTATTCTAGCATGATGATTCCTCTGGGACTTCTGATCTTTTGCTTCATTATCTACTATGGCAGTTCAAGCATCTCTACCTCATTTACTATGTCATTGTTATCACCATCATTTCAAGGAGTTACACTGGTGGTATATTAAGACCAGATCCCAGCATTATTGCCAGTATGTTAAACCCTGAGTTATGAGAAAATACCTCTATAGCAATAAACTCTTCCCTATCTAATCATGTGTTTTACCCCTGCCCCTATTCTACACTATTCCCACACATGCTCTTTCCATTCCTGTTGGTATTAACCATGTGTTACAACTCTTTAATTAGTAATACACTCCCACCAATAGCAGAGACTATACATCCCTGTTTTTTTTCATGCTAAAACTTGACCCTAGTTATTAGCCTAGAAATAATGAGAAAATGTGTAGGCAGATCTTAAGGAGGGCAAGCATCATCTTGAAGGGCCTCAAGTGAAGAAGCTTCCAGGCAATGGAAGCTGCTAGCCAGAGAGAGAAGGTTGTTTCTGCAAACCTTGAGGGTTTCCAGAAACCTGGTAATAGCAATGCTACAACATGCTGGTATTGTTACCACCCCAGTTAACATCAGCAATGGGATCTTTATTTTGTCTGGCCAGAGAATGATCAGATTTCAGACTCTCATACTAAGGGCTTGCTTTCTATGACCACCTCTGGTACCAACTGCTTTAGACTAGGTTTTCTGAATCAAGGATTTGGATGCAACTAATTTCCTTAGAAAGCAACTCCAGGAAGCATGTTAAGGGATTGGGAAATAGTGAAAGGAAATGGAGGAAAGCCAATAAACAGAATGTTAAAGAACAAGTTATCACAGCAGGCAACAGATATCCTCTAAGAAACTGTAGAACTCAGCATGGAATTGTCCCATCAAGGGGCAAGGAAGTTGAGATAATTTATCAACAAACTCCTGACCTTCATTGTTGGTTGCTCTGAGAGCAGTTAACACTCTTCCCCCAGTCAGGCCTAACCCAGGCACAGACCAAGCATCCTCCCTCAGCTAGTTAATCAAAAATAATTGGTTTCTACGGTCCATGGAAATGCTAAGGCAAATCCAGGTGGGCCAAGAAAATGTGGACAGGGTACTAACAGCATCTGCTACTCTACCATTTACCAAGAACCTAACTCTCCTGTCTCAAATAGAAGGCATCAGTTATATTTTTAAGTCCACATAAAAATAAACCTATAAGTGTTTCTTTTTTATACAATTATCCAAGTCCCACCTAAAAATATTTTGTTCTACCAGTTCTATGGATTCTACAGATTGGTAAAAGATGTGATGAGCAAACACTAAAGAACTATTATGTATCGGTAATATATACATAATAACTGTGCGAATAAGATGATGAATTTAAAGGAAGAAAGATCATATGTAGGGAAACCATATGGGAGACTACTATAATATCCATAGCATTAACTAAGGCAGTAACTGTGAGTGGAATGGAGAGTGATAGTTTTGAAAGACATTAATGAATGAAATTTATAGGACTAATTGATAGAAAATGAGGATTAGAGGAGTGAAGGAATTAAAATATAATTAATATATTTCCCTTCTTTTAGATATGCAAGTTAAGTACTTAACAGCAATCAAGTGGAGAGAAATTATCGATGTCAGAAATATCTAGTAGAAATCCTTCACACTGAAGTTCAAACTAATGCCACAGGTGATTTAGATACTTTCCAAAGTTTAAGAACCTCTGTTTTATATGATACTACTGGAATCCCTTCTCAAAAGATTTGAGTGTCATTAATTGGCCCATAGGTAACAATTCCCAGAATATCATCTATTTTAGGTGTTCAAAGTTTTTTATGGAAATTTGTAATATCATATTAGCAGGAACCAAGAAGTTTAACTACACAGCTGTCAGACTTCCAGTTACTGCCTTGGCAAAAAGTCAAGTGATATTTTAATCATTGTCAGACACCATTCTTAGCAAGAAAAACTTTCCAGGAAAAGAAGGTAAACTGAGAGAAGAATTGCATAACTCTAATCCAAGTACCAAAATATAAATATCTCCTATTCTGTTTCCAGTAAGCACTGAATGAATATCAATTGAGGCAGCTCCAGAATGATGCAAGATGAATTCATAATTGGCCATTCAAACTTATTAATTGCCCCATATTAAGCTCACAATATGTTACCACCTGGTTGCCATGCTGCTAAAACAAACCAGCTGTAACACATTCTTTCCACCTGAGGGATTGATTGAATGCCACAGTCAACAGAAGACTGTATCTCTCCCAAGTTCGCATGCAGATTTCTTGTAACAAATAATTTTTAACAAAAAGATGTTCCTTTTTTCCAGCTTCCTAATGACTGAGAAGTTTAAAGATATCCTTAAATTTAAGCAAAAGGAAAAGGAGGTAGATTTAGTATGAGAGGACTTATTGACCTTTTAGGGGTAATGGTAAAATATAAATCCCAGAAGATCTTCAAGAAAAGTAAAAACACTGAGTGATTTAGTCCGGACTTTATTCATTCATCAAGTATTTATGAAATGCCTATTTTATATGTAACAGGTACTTTCGCTGAATGTGGGTGATATAGCAATGAATAAGACAAGCAAAGTGAATTCTATGAACACCACAGTAGTAATTATGTAATAACCAGTTTTTCTGGTTTCTAGAGTTCGCTGGTTTCCGTACTTTAAATACTCCCACTGTGGCCAATTTCAAGTCACTGACATGGCATCACTGGGAAGCTGGGAAATGATGCAACACAGTTGGCCTTCATGAGCTGGTAGGAACCAACTTCAGCACTCCTCTGGAACACTGGTACAGTGAGGCTTTCAGAAAAAGAGGGTGGTTGAATTATGTAGAAATATAAGTTTTGAGAAACGCTATATCCCTTTATTGTATACTGCATCATTCTCTTAGAGGTTTTTTAAACACTTTAGTTCAACAAGGAGTCATATGGCTAAAAACCTAAAATTATTTACCTAGTGTTTCTCCAGGAGATTTGGCCACAGACCAGCTTGCCAGCCTGCATAATCCTTAAACTCGTAATCAGCTCCTGGAGAGTTGGAAAGTTGGTGCGTCTGACTGTGAAGAACTTAAATGGAATGATCTCAGAATTTGTATGACTGGAAAACCAGGTATACCTTATCTATTTCTAAGACATTTAGGAAATGGCCAGATTTTATTTTGTTTTGTGAACTACATAAATCCTTTATTTTGTTTTTCTGAATTCTTCCTTGTTCATCCAGGTAAGGCTGATTGATGGGGGCGGGGAGTAAAACTGTCAGAAGTTGGAACCAGAGTAACTCCATCTTATAGGGGCGGGTAAAATAAGGCTGAGACCTACTGGGCTGGGTTTCCAGCAGGTTAATGCATTCTTAGTCACAGGATGATACAAGAGGTTGGCACAAGATACAGATCATAAAGACCTTGCTGATAAAACAGGTTGTAGTAAAGAAGCTGGCTACAACTCACCAAAACCAAGATGGTGAAGAGAGTGACCTCTCGTTATCCTCACAGCTACACTCCCACCAGCACCATGACAGTTTACAAATGCCATGGCAACATCAGGAAGTTACCCTATATGGTCTAAAAAGGGGAGGCATGAATAATCCACCCCTTGTTTAGCATATAATCAAGAAATAACTATAAAAATGGACAACCAGCAGCTCTTGGGGCTGTTCTACGGAGAGCCATTCTTTTATTCCTTTACTTTCCTAGTAAACTCACTTTCACTTTAAGGACTTGCCCTGAATTCTTTCTTGCATGAGATCCAAGAACCCTCTCTTGGGGCCTGGATTGGGACCCCTTTCCAATAACAAAACTAAACCAGCTATTTTATATAATAACAACTTGACCAAAACAACAACTTAGAAAGGCTTTGGAAATGTTGGTTTAAATTATGATTGGATCAATAATCTAGCCTTTTTTTTCAGACCAGCACAGACAACTGAGAAATTGTGATAAATGACTTACACCTTTATAACAGACAAAATTGTGAAGATACTTGAAAATTAATTTTCTTACTTGATAGTTAGATTCAAAACAATGAACTAAATTAGAAAATATCCAGTAATGATTTCAATTGCAGGTTTAGAATGTATGTGATTCAGAAAAACCATGATCTAACAAATAATGAAGTTTTCTCTTGAGGTTTTAGGAAAAGTCCAAAGTGGTGGAACTATATTATACATGTTATATATAATATATATTATGTTTTTATTTGTTATATAAAAATATTTATATATTATAAATAACATCTATTATAAATAACATTTATTATATATAAATATTCATATATAAACTATGTAAACTACAAATAAAATGCTAAGCCCCCAACTGACTGAACGGATCCCCTTTTGGACAAGGGGAACCCAGAGAAATCTGAAAAACTGAATTCCCAGTCATAAAGGAACAGGAGGTCAGATACACCTTTTATGTTCCCTCCCTTTTGGAGTTTAGGCAAAACTGGCCAGCATTAACATTAAAATGCAGATTATAAGACTGACAAAAAAGACTCCTTGTGGCAATAAGATACTGAATTCCAGCCTGACTCTGCTATAGCATCACATGACAGATAGTAAACTCTGAAAGAAATAAAAATATTTTACCCCAAAATATATTTATTGGACATGTTTTGAAATGGCCCTGCAAAGCCATCTTTGCATGGGGAGATTTGCATCTGTAGAGAATCTCCATTAAAGCAGCCAGGCCTCCCTTTCTGGCCTTTTCCCAGATCTAGGAAAGATAAAATGAGGGTGTGACACATTTAAGGTTTGAAAAGAGACATTTATCATCTATTCTCTCTGACGGCTATTACCTATGAGGCTTCATCTACATAAGAGCTTTGGCATCCGCAATGCCTCTTAACTCAAGCATTTCTTCCTGCCGACTTAAAGTCTTCAGACAAAGTTTTACTTTTACAACCAATTGCCAATCAGAAAAACCTTTGAATCCACCTATGACCTGTAACCACCCTCACTTCCCTGCTTCAAGATAATTCACCTCATAAGGTTGAACCAATGTAAACCTTCCATGTATTGATTTATGTCTTTGCCTGTACTCACGCATACTTTCTCAGGACCTTTTGAGACTGTTCCTGGGCCATGGTCACTCATACTGGCTCAGAGTAAATCTCTCTAAATATTTTACGGTTTTATTTTTGTATTAACAAATATGTGTGTTTGAGTTTTTGTCTGTCTGTCTGTGTGTATCCCTGAGTTTTGCTTTGGAATCAAGACTCTAAAAGGTATATATTGTGAACCCCCCAAATTTGAGATGTGTCTCAGTTAATTTAGAAAGTTTATTTTACCAAGGTTGAGGTAGTGGGGGCACGGCTTAGTTTTATACATTTTAGTGAGACATGATGTAGCAGGATGAGCCACAGACAAAACCCTTCAGACACCGAGTTAAAGAAGGAAGGGCTTTATTCAGCCGGGAGCATTGGCAATACTCATGTCTCAAAAACCAAGCTCCCCGAGTGAGCCATTCCTGTCCCTCTTAAGGGCTTACAACTCTAAGGGGGTCCACATTAGAGGATTGTGATCAATTGAGCAAGCAGTGACTGGGGGCTGAATGCACCAGTAATTAGAATGGAACAGAACAGGACAGCGATTTTCACAATGCTTTTCCATACAATGTGTGTAATCTATAGATAACATAACTGATTAGGTCAGGGGTCGATCTTTAACTGCCAGGCCCATGGTGCAGCGCTGGGCTGTCTGCCTGTGGATTTCATTTCTGCCTTTTAGTTTTTACTTCTTCTTTCTTTGGAGGCAGAAATTGGGCATAAGTCAACATGAGGGGTGGTCTCCTCCCTTATTCCCCCTCTTTGAGAACTTCATTCATTAGTGGGAGTCCTCACTTTCATTCTCACTACCCATGTCTTCTTGGAAGACAGATTGATAGTGATTCATATAGTACACTTGTGCTAAAGCATTATGGTGAACAAGGTAGCGATGAAGCTTTTTATCATTTGAAGAAGTAGAGGTGGCAAACAAGTGAGCAGTAAGCAGGTTCCTATTACTACTATGACTCCTATTATAAGAGTTTTAAATCCTCCTAGTGCTGGAAATCATTTTCCAAACATGGACCCAGGACCAAATCCATGCCACACTTGCACAGCCACAAGTGCCAGTTTTGTCATATATCTAACTATGTCTTCAACTACTTGCCCTTGATCAACTATGTGTAGACAGCAATCAGTAAGGTTAAATTTCATACAGACCCCTCCTTCAGCTGCCAGCAAGTAGTCGAGAGCCAATCTATTTTGATAGATAGCATTTCTCATCTGAGTTTCTTGCTGGGCCAGAATAGTCAAGGCTCTGCTGGTCTTATTAGTGACTATTTCTAAGACAACTTTTAACTGTATGATTCAGTTGAGCATGTAAATGGGGGTCTGGTATCCCCACGAGCCATCCTGTGCCCAAGTACCAGGCCCATAATGTTGTATGATTCTCTCAGGGGCCATTCATCATCTTTCCAATTGCCTATAGCTATGTTTCTCTTTTCGCAGGAAGCATAGACAGGGAAGCCCAGGAGTTCACCTGTCTTTATGGGCAGTAGGAAGAAAGATGGTTGAATAGTGCCAATAACACAACTACCTGCCCACTGGCCGGGTTATTTGGTGTAAGCTCTATGCCCACATATCCAGTATAATCCAGTGGGGGCTGTCTAGTCCCGGTGGGACTCTGGGTGGGTCCACACGGTTTGCAACTTCACGAATTTACTAAATGGATTTTTCTTAGTGTGGTATGAACTCCACTAGGTGGCTGCTTTTGTAGTAGTATTATACAGTTTTTGCCCAAGGCAGCTGAGTCTCCCCACAGGAAGGGTGAAATTCTTCCCCACTCTTGCTATACAGTATTGTCTAATGATTGAGGCTTTTAGGACCCAGAAGTTATCAGGGTGATTCTTTTGAACTGGGAATTCATCAGGAAATGGGTCTGTAGGTACTAATTCTCGGGCTTCCCATGGCCATTGATCTCCCATTACAGTTCCTCCACATACATAACATGAAGTGACATTGAGAGACTGGGCTACACGCTTGGCTAATTGCAAAAACAAATTTCTTGTTTTTCCTGGAATTTCTGTTACTGGCACATTCAGTTCATCATAGAAGGTTTGAAATACTGGCTCAGGAGAGCGTTTATAAACTTCTCCTCAAACCACGATATTCGCTCAAGGATCCAGTCCAGACCCATCAATTCCTAGGGTTACATTCTCCCCTTTTTTCCAGCGAGGATCAAGGGGGTTGGTTATTACTAGTTCTAAGGGGTTACACTGACCAATGGTACAGGAAGGGCCACTTTTCCCTTTCTGAAGGTGGACAGTATCCTTTTCATTTTTTCTCCAAGTAGCCTAAATGACACAAGACCAGTATCCACATTCATTTCCACACAGTCCTAATTCATGAGAAATGTACTTATTTTCTGCCATATAGCCTCTTTCCTAATTAAGAGAACCACATCCTATTCCTAACTTATTACTATTAATGACAGCACAGGCATCACACTTCAAGGTGACTTGTTTGGGCACCCGTTTTTCTTTTGTTTTGTCTAACACTTTACTTGTATCATTTATGAGCCACCACCAGTCCTTAGTCCTTAACCTTATTTCAAAAACTGTGGTCATTGGAGGCTCAGATGGGTCATAACACACAACAGGTTGGTCATTTCCTGGGCTACATACCTTGCATAGAATAGCATTATACAAACAAGTTCTTTTTAGATTCCCAGTACACTTACAATAATCATAAAATAATAGGACTGTAGCAACTTTTTGTCCTACCTTAGTGACTTGATGTATACACTGGGAACAGTCCTCAGTCTGAGGAAGGTCAGTTGAAGTCCTTACTGTACAAGTCCAAATTTTAAGGAAAATGAGTCCCGCGATGAGTTTTCCCATGTTTCGGCCATGCATGGACCAGTCAGCTTCCAGATGTGACTGGAGCAGGGCTAGTCATCTTCTTCAGAGTCCCTTTGCAGGGGTTGGCAAAGATGCTTCTGCCCACATACAGCTCACAGGCTACTGATGTTCAAGGATGGTATCGGAGGTTGGGCCCACTAGAATAAACTGAGTCCAATACCTCTATACAGTTATGTTCAACTGGGTTCTCTGATATGAGGAGCTAGGTGGTGGGGTTTAGGGTGTTGCAAACTTCAGTGGTTATGCGTGGATTTTCACATAGCAAGCTTTGGTACTTGGTTAATCTAGCATTTGTCAGCCAATGATGTCCTTTGGTATTCGTCAAAGTTACCATAGCATGGGAGGCCTTTATATTCAGATTTTGCCCAAGGGTTAGTTTATCTGCTTCTTGTGCTAACAGGGCTGTTGCTGCCAGGGCCCTTAGACATAGGGGCCAGGCTTTGGAAACCCCATCTAGTTGTTTGGAGAGATAGGCCACTGGCCTTGGCCAGGGCCCCACAGTCTGGGTTAAAACTCCAACTGCCATTTTTTCTCTTTCTGACACCTAGAGTGTAAAGGGTTTTGTCAGGTCAGGTAGCCCCAGGGCTGGGGCCATGAGTTTTTAACTCATGAAAAGCTTATTGCTATTGGTTGTAATAGATGTAGTTTATCCAAATTATATTTTTATTAAGTGTCACCCACCAAAATATTGACTCAAATCCTGCAGCTATTTGATTTCAAGCTTTAAATTGATCTTGTATTCCCCATGGGACTCCAGTTGTGTCTAAATAGACGTGAGAGTTGAAAGACCCATAAGAGGCTTCTCTTGCTTTATGATGTCTTATTTTTCCTCCCTCTGGTTGATGAAATGCCAGGGTAAAAGGGATAGCCAACTGGACTAAAGTACAAATGCCACTTAAGTTATTCAGCAGAGTGCCCAGTAAAGGTCCACCACAATACCACCACACATCCACTAGAGGATGAACAAGGGCTGACTGATTGATAAACTCTTGAAAATTCTTAAGCTTACTGCATCCCTTCAGGTCTCCAAGGAATGCTAAGTTTTCTCCCTGTCATGAGAGACACAAAGTGAACTTAGTGTTGGGAGACGGAGGCTGGATGGCCCTCAGGGCCTGACCCACAGGGTGCCGGACTTTGGGATATAGCAGAGGGAGCTTGGCATGACTTATTACTCCAGGCTGTAGAATCCTGGAAAGCAGCTACCATGTAGCCCATGTCTGGTCAACTGGAAGACCACCTTAGTGGAAAGGGGACAATCTGGGCCTCTGGCCTGCCATGTGCACAAGCATAACAATTGCTTTTGTTTAACGTGTGGATGGAATATTTGATCCATTCCAACCAGGCATTTGTATCTTGGTATCCTGTCTTAACTGCCAAAGTTTAAGTCTTTAACTACTATGATCCTCCAGTAAAATGAATGTATGATTTTAGGAAATTACAAAAACTGGCTGGGGCAGTCCATCCTTGCTCTTTAGTGGTCCACAGAATGTTGGACCAACTACAGCATGAAAGCTCTACATTGGGGAGCAAGACTCCTTGTTGACACTGGAGTCTTTATCAAAATTTCCCAGGATTAAATGGTTCTAATATACTAATGCCCAGTCTGAGGAGAGTCAAGAGGGAAAGAGGTACTTTTCTGAAGTAGAGAGCTGTCTTTGACTTGGCAAGTCCCCACAGGGTATAAAATATTAAATGCAATATTTTGAGGCAAAATTGACTTGGTTATATTAATAACTAGATGGTCAGCAATAGAGTGAGGAAAGAAGAAAGAGTAATAGAATAGATGAAAGAATCAAATTTTTCTTAGCTTTAGTTTGGTAGGGTTTTCCCCTGGGACTACGGCCCATAACTCTGGAGGGGTTGGTGTTTTCTTGACTCAGTGGTGATGAGTTCATCCTTTTTTTTTTTGCTGTATGAACAGCAGTCTTGGTGGTTAGCAGCACCAGGTAGGGTCCTTCCTAGGCTGGTTCAGATTTCCTTTCTTTTCACCCTTTGATGAGAATGTGATCTTCAGACTGGTGCTGGTTTACCAGAAATTCTAGAGGTGGTACATGTGCTAAAAGACTTTTAGTTTTGAGGGAAAGGAAAGTGGAAGATAAACCAAATATATAATTTCTAAGAAGTTGACCTTTTGTTTTAAATGTGGGTACATCAGCAGTGGACTTTGTAGTCCTTGGTGCCTTTCTACTGAGAAATTTCCTTTAGCATCTATTTTTTATTAGTTTTTAGACCAAAGAAGCCAAACACCATATTGTATTTGACAATGCTTCCTGTATGAATACCAGATAAGCTAAATTTCACCTTTATATTAGTGTGCTATTAATGTTAAACTTAGTTTTAATAAAACTTTGTAGACATATTTATTCAATTTTTAATGTCAGACCATAAGGTAAGATTTTTATAGACTCTTTTTAACCTTTTATAACCTTTGTTAAAAAGCAGGTTAGTGCTTTAAGAAAAACCCATTGTGTTTTTACTTTAATGTCCAGTTCACAGAAAAACTGGATGATACCCCTTTAACTTCAGCTAATATGTTTACACACAGAATTTTCTTTACAATTAATGTTTTAAAACTTGCTTAAACCTTCAAAACAATAATTTTTTTTACCTTTTAATGTAGGTAAAAATTTACATTCTTATGCCTCCTTTTACCAAAGGTATATTTTACTTTCCTTATACACCTTGCCCATAAACTATTTTTTCAATAGTTTTACATTCAGGAAGCCTAGTTACTTTTAAACTATACAACATTTCTTGCATAAATTCTTTTTTTATAACTTTTTTTTCTCTTTCATGACTTTTGCAGAAAATTCTTTGACATGCCTCAACTTTCTGACTTATTACAAACATTTCTTTCTTTAAACAACCAGTTAATTTATATCAGCACAAGAATCTACCACATCACATGCTTTTTACATAAATTCTGCCCCCCATTTTTTCCCTGTTTTTTGAAGATGATAACCATTCTTTTCCAAAGCGAACTTCTTTTATGTCTGTGGACTAGACTGTCCAAGGCCACAAGATTAGAAGTTACTATAATATATGTTACACTGTTAAGTTTTAGCAAACTTTACTTTTGTTGAAAACCTTGGAAGTTTGGGATTTCAATTATCCTTTGCTGTTAATAAGACCTTGTTTAGTCCAAATTAGCTTAGAATTGGTATAGATGGGTTTTTTTTCTTTTTTTCCTTCAAATACCTGGGAGGAACATCCTCCTAGGTCTGGTCAGACCTTTGTATGGTAATTAAGATTTACATCCCCTGTTAGGAAACCTGCTGGGTTAAGGGAATAGTGGTTAATGTTAAATCATCTTTTTTTTTTTTTTCTTTAGGATAATTCTGAACTAGTGAGGTGTGCTCACAATGAGGTTTCCTCTAAAAGTTATTTTTTTTACTTTCTTGTGTTAGCAAAGCAGTTGTCGCTACAGATTGAATGCATCTGGGCCAACTGCAGGTTACTGAGTTAAGGATTTTTTATAGGAAGGCTACGGGTTATCAGTGGTCTCAGTGCTTTCAGGATACGCCCTTGTTTACACTGACAACAAAGTGGTATTGGAGTGTTATAGGGTTATGGAGAATAACTTCAATTATCAATTATAGGTTTTAAATTTACCCTGGCTTTTAAAGGAATAGGGTACAATTTTTTTTTTAAACTACTTGTATATCTCTCTCCTTCTCTCTTCTTGACTCCCTCTTTGTCTCTCTGTCTCTTCCTCTCTGTCTCTTACTCTGTCTCTTTACCTCTTTTCCTCTCTGTGTCTTTTTTTTCTCTCTCTCTATTGGTCTTTCCTTGCCTCTGTCAGCCACTTATGCTGCTGTTCTCTCAACCACTGTAGGGGGGCGTCTAAAACCAGCTGTAACCAAGCGTCTATGTAGGGGAACTGGTCTGGGTGCCCTGGCTTACAGGTTACCTTGTGCCATACCTCTGAAACAAGGGACCTGTCCAGGCTTCCTTCTGATGGCCAACCCATCTCTAATGCTGGCCAGTCTACTTCACACAAAGTTCTAAGTTTTCCTGCTGTCATAGTAACACTGTAATCTCCCTTAAATCCATTCTTGAAATTTTTCCACATAGCTCCTAGTGGGGTGGGCTTACTTTGTGCCTGACCCATGCTTCCTCGAGACAAAACACCAAGCTCACACCACATGCACACCACAAAACAAAGAACAGGTGAAAAGGGCACACACACACTTTTACAGTTAACACCAAACCAGAATCAAAACCAAAATCAGAGTATCAAGAAACCCAAGCCAGGTCAAGACCAAAACCAAAGTATCAAGCAATCCAAGTCAAATCAAAAACAAAAACCAAAGTGCCGGTACAGGCATGCCATGGGTGACCAGTCCACGCTTCCACTCAAATGGAGTGGGCAAGTTCCAAAGACTAATCTTACCAAGTTTCAGATGTCCGGACTCCAAGTGCCAGTTCCTTCCCGGTGTTCAACCACTGTATTAATCCTCTGTGGGGGCCTGCCACATGCTGCTCTGGCGAGGCATTCCACTGGGGCAATTGCCTACCCAGGAGTGCTCTCAGGATCCATGTCACTCAAGCTAGCTGGCATCTCCTGCAGGGATGCTCCACAGGGCAGGCCTAAGCCACCTAAGGGGCTGCCTCGACTGTCCATTAATCACCTCGCTTCCCAGTCAGGGAATCAGGAAATATAGCAGGATGAGCTGCAGACAAAACCCCTCAGACACCGAGTTAAAGAAGGAAGGGCTTTCTTCAGCCGGGAACATCAGGAAGATTCACATCTCAAAAACTGAGCTCCCCAAGTGAGCAATTCCTGTCCCTCTGAAGGGCTTACAACTCTAAGGGGGTCCGCGTGAGAGGGTCATGATCGATTGAGCAAGCAGGGAGTATGTGACTGGGGGCTGCATGCACTGGTAATTAGAACAGAACAAAACAGAACAGGACAGGGATTTTCACAGTGCTTTTCCACACAATGTCTGTAATCTATAGATAACATAACTGATTAGGTCAGGGGTCAATCTTTAACTACCAGGTCCAGGGCATGGCACTGGGCTGTCTGCCTATGGATTTCATTTCTGCCTTTTAGTTTTTATTTCTTCTTTCTTTGGAGGCAGAAATTGGGCATAAGATAATATGAGGGGTGGTCTCCTCCCTTAATGAGACATGAATTGATAGATGGAAGAAGTACATTGGTTTGGTCTGGAAAAATTGGACAACTTGAAACAAAGTCAGGAAGACCTGAAGTGGGAAGGGTGCTTCCAGGTCACAGATAGGTGAGAGACAAAGAGTTGCATTCTTTAGAGTTTCTGATCAGCCTTTCCAAAGGAGGCAATCAGATATGCATCTATCTCAGTGAGCCTCTGCTCACTGAATTTGAATAGAATGGGAGGCAGATTTGCCCTGAGCAGTTCCCAGCTTGAAGAAGTCCAAGATATTTCCTTTCACTTTTCCCCCCTTTTCTTTTTTAAAATATTTTGGAGAAAGCATTTTAGAAGAAAATGAGTCTCTGGTCCCAGGATTCATCTGATCACTCATGGCTAGGACTGTTTATTCCTAGATGTGTAGGTCTAGAATGCTCATTTTTATAGGGTTGTGGAGTCTCATGTCCTCTTAAGAGAAAATGTCCTCTTAGGAGAAAAGGAGAAAAACAACAGCACACAAAAGACCAATCCTGGAAAATCAATGCAGGCCACATTACTCTGAAGTCTATGCATCAGAAGGCAGTTATGAAAGTGGTTTATGGCTGGGCATGGTGGCTCACGCCTGTAATCCCAGCCCTTTGGGAGGCCGAGGTGGGTGGATCACAAGGTCAGGAGATTGAGACCATCCTGGCTAACATGGTGAAACCCCGTCTCTACTAAAAAAAATACAAAAAATCAGCTGGACGTGGTAGCAGGTGCCTGTAGTCCCAGCTACTCAGGAGGCTGAGGCAGGAGAATAGCATGAACCCAGGAGGTGCAGCTTGCAGTGAGCTGAGATTGTGACACTGCACTCCAGCCTGGGGGACAGAGTGAGACTCCGTCTCAAAAAAAAAAAAAGTGGCTTATGTACGTAAATAGGTTACTGTTATTTTGTTCTGAAGTTTAAGTTGTCTAGTTTCAGTTTGCAGGGCTTTAAGAAAGCACTTCTTAGTTTTCAGTGACTCCCAATTAGGAAAAATGGAAAAAAGGAAAAAAAGTGAAAACATATTTTGAAGACTTGTAGCCAAGAAAAAATTACAATTTAGCCCAAATTGTAGAAAATAGTAAAAATTGAAAAACATTAGGCAAGATGAGAATCTAACAATAGGTGTACTATAATTTTGGAAACATAATTTTTATCTCTCCAGTTTCCTATTTTTGCTAAAGACAAATCATGGTAGAATTGTCTTGCTTTATTCCACTTGGCCTAATTGTTTGTATACAGTGCAGCAAGAGTAATTATTTTTTACATAGGCTTTTAAATTGGCTTTGCTGGGACTTTGTTTCATAGAAGGAATCTTGGGTAACACTTTTTTAAAGCTGAGCCAAGCCATGGATGTGTGCCATCAAATACCTGTGAGTTGGGTGATTCTCTCGAGGTTCCAAGATAAACTTGGGGACCTAGACCTGTCAGAAAGTGACATTCTTTACTTACCACAGGTCAGGAACCCTGTACTGGGGTGAATGGACAAAGATATAAGGCCAGTTTCCCCAAGGGGATTTATTGGCTCTGTAAGTCAAGTTTGATTCCTTAAAGGAAAGCACACCATTCCAGTCCAAGACTTGGTAAAATAACCAGGTCCTCCAATTGCATCCTATTACAAATGAAAACAGATTTCTATTACACTTATGCAAATAATTGTATTACCATAACACAAAAATTAGCCGGGCATAGCGGCACATGACTGTAATCCTAGCACTTTTGGAGGCTGAGGCAGGCAGATCACCTGAGGTCAGGGGTTTGAAACCAGCCTGGCCAACATGGCAAAACCCCATCTCTACTAAAAACACAAAAATTAGCCAGGCATGGTGGCACATGCATGTAATCCCAGGTACTGGGGAGGCTGAGGCAGGAGAATCGCTTGAATCAAGGAGGCGAAGGTTGCGATGAGCCAAGATCTCACCACTGAACTCCAGCCTGGGTTGACAGAGTAAGACTCCATCTGAAAAAAAAAAAAACTCTGAAAAACAAAACAAAAGGATCAGCAAACATTTTAAACAAAAAGTCAAAAAGATTAGCTTAGTCCATGCAGTTAATTCCTGTTCTGCTTGACACTCATGAATATTTTAGCTCTCCCTGAGTTCTGAAAGTTTTTCCTCTATTCTTATGTCACAGGATATCTATAATTTATCTACATACACATAAAAATATTTCTAGACATTTTATGAAAAGGGTTTTTTTCGTATATTTGGTCTCTTTAGAAAATTGACAGAAATATTATTTATAGAAATTGTAATTATTAAACCTTGCACTCCAGAAAGAGTTTTCAAGAACAACCTGCATAAATGCCAAAACTTGATGCTAAACTAAATATTTTAATTTAATTCACTAAGTTTCCACTAAAAACATGCTTCAAGAGAGGCCTTGTGCTTGCCAAGTGAGAAAAGAATCTTACATGTCCAGGGTTCAAGTCTGTCAGAGGCTTAAATATTTGAAAATTTTCTGCTGTTAATTTTCCAAAGAAGCGTAGACTGTGAAGTAAATATTTGCCATGTAAAATTGAAGATAAAGTTAATAATCTAAAAATAATTCTGGTTGAATTAGACAAAATTCATGCAAATTTGGCTTACTCGACACTGATGAGTTTAAATGGGAGGGTTAAGTTATTGACTCCACTCATACAATTTCTATTAGCTTATGGAACAAAATCACTGCCTAGAATAGAACTTACCAAATGTTGTTGTAAACTGCTGACCTCATGCATCTTGATGATGATAGTTATTCTGCTAAAGTCTTTTGAAGCAATTGATTGTGGCCTTCTGAAGCTCTATTTAAAGGGATTCTGTTGTAAAACAGATGAATTTGCATGAAATATTGCTCCTATGCTTTCTGACCTTTTGTTTTTTCTCATGAAAGTGAAATTTGTTATCTGTATCCTCTCTGGTTGCTAGGATAAAATGTCTCCTTAAGGTTGCCAAGACTAGTAGCAACAACAGCTGGTGAATCTAATTTGCATTTAAATAGACAATTCACAATAATGTCCTTCAAGTCCCAGGATGCTCTGAATATATGCTCTATGTACATATGCAGTAGTAGCTGCAAGAGGGATATACAGGCAACAATACAATCTAAAATCTGCATATTAAGGATCAGTCACATTATAAAGGGCTGCTGATGCACTCATCACCCTCTGGAAAAAATTATTATCCCAAATCTAATGTCTGATCTTCATGTCAGGCCATCTCCTAATATTTCAAGCTGCTCAAGGATTAATTTTAGCAAGCCTAGAATGGGCCTGTGTTATATTACTGAATAAAAGATCTACCAAAAATCTGTGATCTCTGGTCAAGTCATGAAATAATTATTATAATTAATAAGGTTGTTTTGTAACCGAGAGTCCAAGGAGTTTCAGGGAAGTTTGTACCAGCTTGTTAGCATTGTTTATTGATAACAGTGAGACTGATGATTTGTGCCTGTTAGATATAAGTTCTAAATTTCTCTTCAAAGAATCAATATATCAGTATGTTCAGTTATTTGCCCTCTGCTTTTAAACTCATCTTCCTTGTAAAGCAACCTTTTTCAATTACCTACTCCACCCTGGCTCATTCAGATTACCTGCTACCTGCTCCGCCCTGACTCATTCTCCACCCTGCATAACCATCTTTTTTTCCCGCCAAAGCACTCACCCGGTCACTCTCTTTAAATTAGCCAAACAGAATTAGTTTATCCTGTGCAGTCTAACCCTAGCCAATAGGGGAAGGACACAGAAGCAGGGGCCACGTGCGTCAGGGATAAGAACCGTTTCCCCTCCGTTGTCCAAGTGTACACTCACCACTGCTCCATCTGTAAGAGTGCACCCTTTTATAGAAGTAACTTGCCTTGCTCAGAATTAAAAGAAAATTTCATAATCAAGTTCCGTTTCTTTTGCGGCACCTAAACTTTATATATAACATACCCAATCTTGGTAAGATCCCAGAAGGTCTCTGCTATTGGTTTTGGTTTTGGTTTCACACCAAGAATATTGCTTTGGGCTGTGATGTATATTCTTACTTTAATGCTGTTGCTATATTGTATCCTTTTCTTGTAAAACTAGATTTGAAAATACTTCCACTTTGGGTACTGAGAATGCTCTTTAGCAATTAAACCCTTTTTGATTGCCATTGTTCATGCAAAAGCTATACAAACTCCCCTTTTAATAATCACCTTTAAAAATAATCACCTTTTTATGATTATAAATTATTATGTGCTTATCAAAAAGCTTGGAGACTACACAAAATTTCTAAGGAACTAAATTAATAAATTTAGTTAAATTAAATAATTTAAATATTATTAAATAAATTAAAGTTACTAACAATCTTAAAATCAAGAAATAATCATTCTTAATTTTTCCCATAGACTGCCTCTCTGTTTTCTTGAGATCATGTGTCATAAGTGTTTTGTAATTTGCTTTTCCTCTGGTGACCTTAATAACATTAGCATTACTCTTAGTAAATATCATTTTCTTGACTATATACTGTTTCATCAATGGATATCCCATTATTACAGAAAAGATTTGTATTGTTGAAAATTCCATTTATTTTTATTTTTCTTCTTTAAAAATAAGCAGTTATGAAACTGTGTTTTGCATAAGGCTGTTTATCATATTTCATCCATATCCTTAGGATAGATTTCTAAAATGAAATTGACCATGCCATAGAATACAAACATTTTTAAGGCTAAAGATATAATTTTACTAATTAATTTCTAAAAGGTAATATATATATTTATACTCACAAAAACTATAGGAATACTTTAATAGAGCAGTCATGTCTTTTAGAAACATTTATCTCTTGTCTGTCATAGTTATTGAGATAATTTTTGTTTGACTTTTAATTTATGTATTTGGCTTATAGACAATTTATGTCTTAATACAATTAAATCTATTATCTTTTCCCTTCTGACCTCTTATATTACTTTTAAGTCTGGAAACTCTTTCCTTATGCAAACATTTGACAGTATATTCATTTTTATTTTCTTATAGGCTCTTTATAAACTGATTTTTTTACATTTAACTCTTTAAGCACTTTAGATGAAGTTCCCCAAATTATAACTTCATTTCTTCTAGTACTATTTATTGAAAATCTTTACTATATGTTAATATATGGTTCATGTATATTATGGAAAAATAAATCTTCCCTGGATTTCTAGGTTTTCCTGCAAAATGTCGGCCTCCTGAGCCGTACATTGTGAATTAGAAAATATTTGGTTTTACTTTCTCCAGAAAAAAATTCCTTTTCATATGCCCAAATATTACATCTTCAGCCATTTGCCTCCTTAATTGTGGAACTAATTGCTTCCATTCAAAAGATAACAAACCTCTTATCCCCTAGGAGCCAAATGGTTGCATTCCAGAATGGGAACCTGAGTTAAAGGAAAGGGTGATTGAATAATGCTTAGACTCCTGGAAGGGTTTAGAGTGTTATCTTTCCTTGTATTTATATTTCAAAAGAGACAATTCTGGGTTGCAAACTTGGAGAACTAGACTTATCTTGCCCCTGAAGATATTCATTTGCACTACAAACTTAAGAACCCAGGATTTTTCTTCTCCTATCTCCTAACAGAAAGAGGGACAGATCTTCTCCTCTTCTAGATAAAAGGAGAAATGTAAAGCTCTGGGTCCCTAGCCTACAGTGCAATCCCACAGCATATTTTAGTATTTATCCATACACCTCTCATCATCTCTAAGGGCTGTTTTAGCTTTGAGTAAAAAAAAACCTCTGATCTCTGATTGTCTGCAGGTGTTTCTGTTAAGTATTCTACTATCCATCTTCCTATCTAAATTATCTACATATCTAAATATATAATCGTGCTGATAGAGAAACAGTCCCATCACAGTTTCTAACTTCACATACATTAAATTTTTATTCTCCTGGAGCTCCTTCTGGACTATTTTCTTTGTCACTATCACTTTAATGATTATGTAAGACTTATAATTTTTTTTAGATATTTAATACATTTTATATAACATATTTTTTCTAACTTTTAAAGCAATTCTTCCCCATTTACTTTTCCATATGAATTACAGAATCCCTTCATCAAAACCTAAAAAGAAGTGACATTTTTATTAAACCTATCAACAAATTGGTAAATAGTTCACATCTCTATAATATTTGGTTTTCACATGGAGAAACATATTTCTTCATTTATTTAAATATTTTTCTCACTTTTGTAGTTTTCTGTATAAAATGCAATTTCTATTTGATATTATTAAGAGTTAATTATTTCTGTTGCTGTTGCTCTGTATATAATCTTGGTTTTCATTATGCTTTCTACCATTATTGATGTGACTATAAAACAGTCTTTCAGTTGTTATTCTTTTTGAATTCTCCTTAATTTTTTTGAGACAGGGCCTTGCTCTGTCACCCAAGCTGGAATGCAGGCTGGAGTGAAGTCATAGCTTACTGAAGCCTGGACCTCCCCAGCTCAAGCAATTCTCCCACTTTAGCCTCCCAGAGTAGCTGGGACTACAGGCGTGCACCACCATGCCTGGCTAATTTTTGTATTTTTTTGTAGAGACAGAGTTTGCTGTGTTGACCAGGCTGATCTTGAACTCCTTGGCTCAAGTGATCCTCCCTCCTCAGCCTCTCAAAATGCTGGGATCACAGGCATGAGCCACCGTGCCTGGCTGAGAACTTCTAAAATACTTTTAATGGTAAAACATATTTGTTGAGCCCTGGAACAAAAGATTTTTCATGCAGACCTATCCAGCATATTCATCATGAGTACTTGCCATTCTTAGGCACTGGAAACAACAAGTTTTGTAAGATAATGTAATCACGGTTTTAAAAGGACCAGGACTTTGTAGATTCTGGATACTAGTCATTCTCCTTAAAGGAAAACTCTGAAATTCATTCTATATCCCTCTGTGAAAAACTGAAACTGACTTTGTAAATTATGAGAGTAAGAAAAAACTGCTGTAGTTGACTCCATCTTGCTTCTAATTTCCAAGCTGTATTTGGTCACTCCTGAGCATAGGCCACACTCTCTTTGGGAGGAATTTAGTTTATAGTTTAAATTTAAAGCAAGGATGATGATAGCCCTTCCCAAAGCTAAACCACCTTTGTAAAACTAATGAAAGCCCACAAGGTTAAGATTATGAGAGGGGCCTGAATTCTACTAAGATATAGGCATAGTTGAATGATAACCAACGTTCCAGAGGTCACAAGATTTGTAACTTCTGCAATTACTCCTGTAGATAACATGACTATTGTAGAACTTAAGATTGGCCTTTTGAGATGTTTTTCAGACTTCTGCATTTCTGGCAACTGACTGACTCTACCGGGACCTGAGACTCGTGACTCAGCCAGTCCTGTAGCCTGCCCCTGGGCTGACTCAGTGCACAAGGGCTACTTTCCACACCTCTATGATTTCATTCCCAACAAATCAATATTCCCAATTTCCTACCTGCCTGCCAACAAAACTATCCTTGAAAATCCCTAGCCTCCAAGCCTTCAGGGATACTGATTTGAGTGATAACTTTAGTTCTCCCATGTCACCAGTCTCCTGTTAATTAAGCTCTTTCTTTACTGCAATAGTGTGGTCTCAGTGGATTGGTTTTGTCTGTACAGTGGGCCAAAAGACCTCTTCAGGTGACTACAATGCTTTAGTCACAGAAAAAACAGGCAGCAAAATAATCAAGAAATTGGCAGATAAAATGTTTCTTGATTCTAAGCTCTAAAAAATATATTGCTTAACACATTTACTGAATTCAAAACAATTAAATTTTTTTAATTTATTGCCTTAGTAAATATTTAAAATTTAAAACTATATAGTTTTAAAAAGAGAGACAAACATTAACTTTTATTTATTTATTTTTAATTTCAATAGGTTTTGGGGGAGCAGATGGTGTTTGGTTACATGAATAAGTTCTTTAGTGGTGATTTCTGAGATTTTACTACACCCAACACCTGAGCAGTGTACACTGTAGCCAATGTGTAGTCTTCTATCCCTTCCCACCCACAACGTTTTCCCCTGAGTCCCCAAAGTTCAGTGTATCATTCTTATGCCTTTGCATCCTCATAACTTAGCTCCCACGTATGAGTGTGAACATATGATGTTTGGTTTTCCATTCCTGAGTTGCTTCACTTAGAATAATAGTCTCCAATTCCATCCAGTTTGCTGCAAATGCCATTATTTTGTTCCTTTTTATGGCTTAGCAGTATCCCATGGTATATATATAACAGATTTTCTTTATCCACTCATTGATTTATGGGCATTTGGGCTGGTTCCATATTTTTGCAACTGCAAATTGTGCTGCTCTAAACATGCATATGCAAGTAGCTTTTTCATATAATGACTTCTTTTCCTCTGGTTAGATACCTAGTAGTGGGATTGCTGGATCAAATGGTAGATCAACTTTTAGTTCTTTAAGGAAACTCCACACTGTTTTCCATAGTGGTTGTACTAGTTTATATTCCCATCAACAGTTTAAAAGTGTTCCCTTTTCACTGCCTCCATGCCAATATCTCTTTTTTTTTTTTTAATTTTTTGATCATGGCTATTCTTGCAGGAGTGAGGTGGTATCATACTGTTGTTTTGAATTGCATTTCCCTGATCATTAGTGATGTTGAGCATTTTTCCATATGCTTGTTGGCCATTTGTGTATCTTCTTTTGATAATTGTCCATTCTTGTCCTTAGCCCACTTTTTGGTGATATTGTTTGTTTTTTCTTGCTGATTTGTTTGAGTTCTTTGTAGATTCTGGATACTAGTCCTTCGCTGGATATATAGATTGTGAAGACCTTCTTCCATTCTGTGGGTTGTCTGTTAACTCTGTTGATTATTCCTTTTGCTGTGCAGAAGCTTTTTAATTTAATTAAGTCACACCTATTATCTTTGTTTTTATTGCATTTGTTTTTGGGTTCTTGGTCATGAACTCTTTGCCTAAGCCAACATCTAGAAGGGCTTTTCCACTGTTATCTTCTAGAATCTTCATGGTTTCAGGTCTTAGATTAAAGTCTTTGATCCATCTTGAGTTGATTTTTGTATGAAGTGAGAGATGAGGATCCGGTTTTATTCTTCTACATGTGGCTTGCCAAATATCCCAGCACCATTTGTTGAATAGAGTGTCCTTTCCCCACTTTATGTTTTTGTTTGCTTTGTCAAAGATCAGTTGGCTGTAAGTATTTGGCTTCATTTCTGGGTTCTCTATTCTGTTCCACTGGTCTATGTCCCTATTTTCATACCAGTACCATGCTGTTTTGGTGACTATGACCTTATAGTATAAGTTTGAAGTCAGGTAATATTATGCTTCCAGATTTGTTCTTTTTGCTTTGTCTTGCTTTGGCTATGCAGGCTCTTTTTTGGTTCCATATGAATTTTAGGACTGTTTTCTCTAGTTTTGTGAAGAATCATGGTGGTATTTTGTTGCTCTGATTGCTCTGGGTAGCACTTCTAGCACCATGTTGAAGAGAAATGGTGAGAGTGGGCGTCCTTGTCTTGTTCCAGTTCTTAGGGGCAATGCTTTCAACTTTTCCCCATTCAGTATGATGTTGGAATTGCATTGAATTTGTAGATTGTTTTTGGCAGTATGTTCATTTTCACAATATAGATTCTACCCATCCATGAGCATGGGATGTGTTTCCATTTGTTTGTGTCATTTATGATTTCTTTCAGCAGTGTTTTGTAGTTTTCCTTGTAGAGGTCTTTCACATCCTTGGTTATGTATGTTCCTAAGTTTTTGGGGTTTTTTTTTCAGCTATTGTGAAAAAGGCTGAGTTTTTTATTTGATTCTCAGCTTAGTCACTGTTGGTGTTTAGCAGGGCTACTGATTTGTGTACACTAACTTTGTAGCCTGAAACTTTGCTGAATCCATTTACCAGTTCTAGGAGATTTTTAGATGAGTCTTTAGGGTTTTCTAGGTAAAAGATCATGTCATCAACAAACAGTGACAGTTTGACTTCCTCTTTACTGATTTAGCTGCCCTTTATTTCTTTCTCTTCTCTGATTGCTCTGGCTAGCACTTCTAGCACAATGTTGACAAGGAGTGTTGAGAGTGGGCATCCTTGTCTTGTTCCAGTACTTAGGGGCAATGCTTTCAACTTTTCCCCATTCAGTATAATGTTGGCTGTGGGTTTGTCATAAATGGCTTTTATTACCTTAATGTTTTTCCTTCTATACCTATTTTGCTGAGGGTTTTAAACATAAAGGGATGCTGGATTTTGTCTAATGCTTTTTCTGTGTCTATTAAGATGATACTGTAATTATTGTTTTTAATTCTGTTTTTGTGGTGTATCACATTTATTGACTTGTGTATGTTAAACCATCCCTGCATTCCTGGTATAAAATCCACTTGATCATGGTGGATTCTCTTTTTGACATGTGGTTGAATTCAGTTTGCTGTATTTTGTTAAGGATTTTGGCATCTATGTTCATCAGGGATATTGGTCTATAGTTTTCTTTTTTGGTTAATGTCCTTTCCTGGTTTTGGTATTAGGGTGATACTGGCCTCATAGAATGATTTAGGGAAGATGCCCTCTCTCTCTATCTTTTGGAATAGTGTCAATAGGATTGGTACCAATTCTTATTTGAATGTCTGATATAATTCAGCTGTGAACCCGTCTGGTCCTAGACTTTTTTTTGTTGTTGGCTTTATTTATTTATTTATTTATTTTTAGGTGGAGTCTCACTCTGTCACCCAGGCTGGAGTGCAGTGGCAAGATCTCAGCTCATTGTAACCTTTGCTTCTTGGGTTCAAGTGATTCTCCTGCCTCAGCCTCCGAAGTAGATGGGACTACACGTACATGCCACCACACCTGGCTAATTTTTGTGTTTTTAGTAGAAATGAGGTTTTGCCAAGTTGGCCAGCAAGGTCTCAAACTCCTGACCTTAAGTGATCTACCCACCTTAGCCTCCCAAAGTGCTGGGATTACAGGCGTGAACTACCATGCTCAGCCTCTTGGCTGTGTTTTTATCACTGTTTCAATCTTGTGGCTTGTTATTGGTCTGTTCATAGTCTATATCTACCTGGTTTAATCTAGGAAGGTTGTATATTTCCAGGAATTTATCCATCTCCTCTAGATTTTCTAGTTTATGCATGTAAAGGTATTCATAGTAGCCTTGAATAATCTTTTGTATTTCTGTGGTATTAGTTGTAGTATCTCCCATTTTGTTTCTAATTGAGCTTATTTGGATCTCCTCTTTTCTTTTTTGGTTAAATTCACTAATTGTTTATTAATTTTATTTATTTTTTCAAATAACCAGCTTTTTGTTTCATTTATCTTTTGTATTGTTTTTGTTTGCTTGTTTCAATTTCATTTAGTTCTGCCTTGATCCTTGTTATTTTCTTCTGCTGGGTTTGGATTTAGATTGTTGTATTGTTCTTGTTTCTCCAGTTCCATGAGTTGTGACTTTACATTGTCTATTTGTGCACTTTCAGACATTTCGAGGTAGGCATTTGATGCTATGAACTTTACTCTTAGCACCGCATCAGCTGTATCCCTGAGGTTTTGATAAGTTGTGCCACTATTATTGTTCAGTTCAAAGAATTTTTTAATTTCCATCTTGATTTTATTATTGACCCAACAATCATTCAGGAGAAGGTTATTTAATTTTTATGAATTTGCACGGTTTTGAGGGCTCCTTTTTGGAGTTGATTTCAAATTTTATTCTACTGTGTTCTGAGAGAGCTTGATATAATTTCCACTTTCTTAAATTTACTGAGATTTGTTTTGTGACCTATCATATGATCTATCTTGGAGACTGTTCCATGTGCTGATGAATGTATATTCTGCAGTTGTTGGGTAGAATGTTCAGTAAATATCTGTTAAGTCCATTTGTTGTACAATATAATTTAAGTATGTTCTTTTTTGACTTTCTGTCTTGATGACCTATCTAATGATGTCACTGGAGTGTTAAGGTGACCCCCTATTATTGTATTGCCATCTATCTTGTTTCTTAGGTCTAGTAGTAATTGTTTTATAAATTTGGGAGTTCTAGTGTTAGGTGCATATACATTTACAATTGTGATATTTTCCTATTAGACTAGTCCTTTTATCATTATATAATGTCCCTGTTTGTCTTTTTTAACTGCTATTACTTTATTTATTTATTACTTTATTTATTGTTTTGTCTCATATAAAAATCACTACTCCTGCTTGCTTTTGGTGTCCATTTGTATGGAATATCTTTTTCTACCCCCTTAAGTTTATGTGATTCTTTATGTGTTAGGTGAGTCTCCTGAAGACAGCAGAAACTTGGTTAGTAAATTCTTATCCATTCTGCCATCCTGTATGTTTTAAGTGGAGCATTTAGGCCATTTACATTCAATGTTGGTATTGAGATGTGAGGTACTACTCTATTCATTGTGCTATTTATTGCCTGAATACCTTGGGTTTTTTTCATTGTGTTATTGTTATATAGGTCTTGTGAGATGCTTTAAGGAGGTTCTATTTTGGTGTACTTTTAGGATTTGTTTTGAGATTTAGAGGTCCTTTTAGCAGTTCTTGTAATGCTGGCTTGGTAGTGGTGAATTCTTTCAGCATTTCTTTATCTGGGAAAGACTATCTTTCCTTCATTTATGAAGCTAAGTTTCACTGAATAAAAAATTCTTGGCTGATAATTGTTTTGTTTAAGGAAGCTAAAAATAGAACCCCAATGTTTTCTAGTTTGTAGGGTTTCAGCTGAGAAATCCGCTATTAATCTGATAGGTTTTCCTTTCTAGGTTACCTGATGCTTTTGCCTCACAGCTCTTAAGATTCTTTCCTTCATCTTGACATTAGATAATCTGATGACTATGTGCATAGGTGATGATCTTTTTGCAATAATTTTCCCAAGTGTTCCTTGAGCTTCTTGTATTGGGATGTCTAGATCTCTAGAAAGGCCAGGGAAGTTTTCCTTGATTATTCCCTCAAATATGTTTTCCACAGTTTTAGATTTCTCTTATTCCTTGGGAACACCAATTATTCCTAGGTTTAGATGTTTATCATAGTCCCAAACTTCTTAGAGGCTTTGTTCATTTTTTTCTTCTTTCTTTCTTTGTCTTTGACTGGTATAGTTTGGCTGTGTCTCCACCCAAATCTCATCTTGAACTGTAGTTCCATTAATCCCCACATGTTGTGGGAGGAACCCAATGAGAGGTAATTGAATTATGGAGCAGTTTATCCCATACTGTTCTCGTGGCAGTGAATAATGCTCATGAGATCTGATGATTTTATAATGGGTTTCCCGTTTCACTTGGCTCTCATTCTGTTTTGTCTGTTGGTATGTAAGATGTGACTTTTGCATTCCACCATGATCGTGAGGCCTCCCCAGCCACGTAGAACTGTGACTCCATTAAAACTCTTTTTCTTGGTAAATTACCCAGTCTTGGGGATGTCTTCATCAGCAGCAGGAAAATGGACTAATATGTTAAATTGATACCAGTAGAGTAGGGTGCTTTTGTAAAGATACTTAAAAATCTGGAAGCGACTTTGGAACTAGGTAACAGGCAGAAGTTGAAACAGTTTTGAGGGCTCAAAAGAAGATAGGAAAATACGGGAAAGTTTGGAACTTCCTAGAGACTTGGAGGGCTCAGAAGACAGAAAGATGTGGGAAAGTTTGGAACTTCCTAGAGACTTGTTGAATGGCTTTGACCAAAATGCTGATAATGATATTGACAATAAAATCCAGGCTGAGGTGGACTCGGATGAAGATGAGGACCTTGTTGGGAACTGAAGTAAAGGTGACTCTTGCTATGTTTTAGCAAAGACTGGTGGCATTTTGCCCCTGCCCTAGGGATTTGTGGAACTTTGAACTTGAAGGAGATGATTTAGGGTATCTCGTAGAAGAAATTTCTAAGTGACAAAGTGTTCAAAAGGAAGCAGAGCATAAAGGTTTGTCAGCCTAATGATGCAATAGAAAAGAAAAACCCATTTTCTGGGGAGAAATTCAAGCCTACTGCATATATTTGTATAAGTAACAGCAGCCAAATGTTAATCACCAAGGCAATGGAGAAAATGTCTCCAGGGTGTATCAGAGAGCTTTGTGGCAGCCCCTCGCATCTCAGGCCCAGAGGCCTTGGGGGGAAAAATGGTTTCATGGGCCAGGCCCAGGACCCCCTACTGTGTGCAGCCCAGGGACTTGGTGCCCTTTGTCCTAGCAACTCCAGCTGTGGCTAAAAGGAGCAGGCTGTGGCGTTGGAGGATGGAAGCCCTTAGCCTTGGCAGCTTCTATGTGGTGTTGAGCCTGCAAGTGCACAGAAGTCAATAATTGAGGTTTGGGAACCTTGGCCTAAAATTTAGAGGATGTATGGAAATGCCTGGATGTCCAGGCAGATGTTTGTTGAAGGGGCAGGGCCCTCATGGACAACCGCTGCTAGGGCAGTGTGGAAGGGAAATGTGGGGTTGATGACTCCACACAGAGTACCCACTGGGACACTGCCTAGTGGAGCTTTAAGAAGAGCACCACTGTCTTCTAGACCCCAGAATAGTACATCCACTGACATCTTGCATTGTGTGACTGGAAAAGCCACAGACACTCAATGCCAACCTATGAAACCAGCCAGGAGGGAGGCTGTACCCTGCAAAGCCACAGGGCCAGAGCTGTCCAAGACCACAGGAACCCACCTCTTGCATCAGCATGAACCAGATGTGAGACATGGAGTCAAAGAAGATCATTTTGGAGCTTTAAGATTTGACTGCCCTTGGCTGACCATGGTGGCTCACACCTGTAATCCTAGCACTTTGGGAGGTCAAGGCGAGTGGATCACAAGGTCAGGAGTTCAAGACCAGCCCGGCCAACATGGTGAAACCCCGTCTCTACTAAAAATACAAAAATTAGCTGGGCGTGGTGGCACACCTGTAATCCCAGCTACTCTGGTGCCTGAGGCAGGAGAATTGCTTGAACTGGGACCCAAGAGGCGTAGGTTGCAGTGAGCTGAGATTGCACTACAGCACTCCAGCCTGGGCTGCAGAGTGAGAATCCATCAAAAAAAAAAAAAAGATTTGAGTGCCCTGCCGGATTTCAAACTTGCATGGGATCTGTAGCCCCTTTGTTTTGGTCAATTTCTCCCATTTGGAGTGGGTGTATTTACCCAATACCTGTACACTTATTGTATATAGGAAGTAACTAATGTGCTTTTGATTTTACAGGCTCACAGACAGAAGTGACTTGCCTTGTCTCAGATGAGACTTTAGACTGTGGACTTTGAGTTAATGCTTAAATGAGTTAATACCTTGGGGGAATGTTGGGAACACATGATTGGTTTTGAAATGTGAGGACATGAGATTCATGAAGGCGAAGGGTGGAATATTATAGTTAGGCTGTGTCCCCACCCAAATCTCATCTTGAATTGTAGTTCCCTTAATCCCCTATTGTTGTGGGAGGGACCCGGTGGAAGATAATTGAATTATGGGGGCAGTTTCCCTCATACTGTTCTGGTAGTGAATAAGTCTCATGAGATCTGATGATTATATAAGGGGTTTCCCCTTTCACGTGGCTCTCATTCTCTCTTGTCTGCCATGATGTAAGATGTGACTTTCACTTTCTGCCATGATTGTGAGGCCTCCCCAACCATGTAGAACTGTGAGTCCATTAAACCTCTTTTTCTTTATAAATTATCCAATCTTGGGTATGTTTTTATCAGCAGCATGAAAATTAACAAATACAATATTAACAGATTGGGTTAATTCAAAATCCTTGTCTTTGAGCTCTGAGGTTTTTTTTTTTTAACAGTACAAAATTATCTTTATTCAGAAGATCACATAGCAGCATGTTCATAATCAAAAACATTTTACCTTAGCAATAAACACCAGTCATTTATGCAAGAGCTTCCCAGGGTTGGTAGATATTTTTATGGCTTCATTTTGCTCTAGTTAAAGAAATGGAAAAGATGCTTTTAACTTATTATCAATCCTACATCAGGTGTCAAGAAATGCAAAGCATTAGAAAGAGAGAGGGAAAGAGGGATCTTCAATATTCTCTGTAAAGGAGCAAATTCTGACATGGTCATCTCAGACACCCTCTTTTAATTCCAAAGTCTAACCTTACAAAAGCAGAGAAAGGCCGGGCACGGTGGCTCATGCCTGTAATCCAAGCACTTTGGGAGACTGAGGCAGGCGGATCATGAGGTCAGGAATTTGAGACCAGCCTGGCTAATATGGTGAAACCCTGTCTCTACTAAAAATAAAAAAATTAGCTGGACATGGTGGTGTGTACCTGTAGTCCCAGCTACTTGGGAGGCTGAGGCAGAAAAATCACTTGAACCCGAGAGGCAGAAGTTGCAGTGAGCTGAGATTATGCCACTGCATTCCAGCCTGGGCAACAGAGCAAGACTTCATCTCAACAACAACAAAAAAAAAAAAAAAAAAGAAAAGAAAAGAAAATACACATGTCCTAAGTTGCACATGCACAAATAGCAAGTACTAATGCATTCTTTTTTTTTTTTTAATTATACTTTAAGTTCTAGGGTACATGTGCACAATGTGCAGGTTTGTTACATAGGTATACATGTGCCTTGTTGGTTTGCTACACCCATCAACTGGTCATTTACATTAGGTATTTCTCCTAATGCTATCCCTTCTGCAGCCACCCCCTCCTCCTGACAGGCCACAGTGTGTGATGTTCCCTGCCCTGTGTCCAAGTGTACTCATTGTTTAATTCCTACTTATGAGTGAGAACATGTGGTGTTTGGCTTTCTGTCCTTGTGATATTTTGCTCAGAATGATGGTTTCCAGCTTCATCCATGTCCCTCAAAGGACATGAACTCATCCTTTTTTATGGCTGCATAGTATTCCATGATGTATATGTGCCACATTTTCTTAATCATGTCTATCATTGATGGACATTCAGGTTGGCTACAAGTCTTTGCTATTGTGAATAGTGCCGCAATAAACATAAGCGTGCATGCGTCTTTATAGTAGCATGATTTATAATCCTTTGGGTATATATCCAGTAATGGAATCGCTGGGTCAAATGGTATTTCTAGTTCTAGATACTTGAAGAATCACGACACTGTCTTCCATAATGGTTGAACTAATTTACACTCCCACCAACCGTGTAAAAGTGTTCCTATTTCTCCACATCCTCTCCAACATCTGTTGTTTCCTGAATTTTTAACAATTGCCACTCTAACTGGCATGAGATTATATCTCACTGTGGTTTTGATTTGCATTTCTCAGATGACCAGTGATGAGGAGCATTTTTTCATGTGTCTGTTGGCTGCATAAATGTCTTCTTTTGAGAAGTGTCTTTGCCCACTTTTTGATGGGGTTGTTTGTTTTTTCTCTTGTAAATTTGTTTAAGTTCCTTGTAGATTCTGGATATTAGCCCCTTGTCAGGTGGGTAGATTGCAAAAATTTTCTCCCATTCTGGAGGTTGTCTGTTCACTCTGATGGTAGTTTCTTTTGCTGTGCAAAAGCTCTTTAGTTTAATTAGATTACATTTGTATATTTTGGCTTTTGCTGGCATTGTTTTTGGTGTTTTAGTCATGAAATCCATACCCATTCCTGTGTCCTGAATGGTATTGCCTAGGTTTTCTTCTAGGGTTTTTATGGTTTTAGGTCTAACATTTAAGTCTTTAATGCATCTTGAATTAATTTCTGTATACATTGTAAGGAAGGGATCCAGTTTCAGCTTTCTACAAATGGCTAGCCAGTTTTCCCAGCACCATTTATTCAATATGAAATCCTTTCCCCATTTCTTGTTTTTGTCAGGTTTGTAGATCAGATGGTTGTAGATGTGTGGTGTTATTTCTGAGGCGTCTGTTCTGTTCCAATGGTCTATATCTCTGTTTTGGTATCCATACCATGCTGTTTTGATTACTGTAGCCTTGTAGTATAGTTTGAAGTCAGGTAGCATGATGTCTCCAGGTTTGCTCTTTTTGCTTAGGATTGTCTTGGCAATGTGGGCTCTTTTTTGGTTCCATATGAACTTTAAAGTAGTTTTCTCCAATTCTGTGAAGAAAGTCATTGGTAGCTTGATGGGGATGGCATTGAATCTATAAATTACCTTGGGCAGTATGGCCATTTTCATGATATTGATTCTTCCTATCCATGAGCATAGAATGTTCTTCCATTTGTTTGTGTCCTCTTTTATTTTGTTGAGCAGTGGTTTGTAATTCTCCTTGAAGAAGTCCTTCACATCTTTATAAGTTGGATTCCTAGGTATTTTATTGTCTTTGTAGCAATTGTGAATGGGAGTTCACTCATGATTTGGCTCTCCGTTTGTCTGTTATTGGTGTATAGGAATGCTTGTGATTTTTGCACATTGATTTTGTATCCTGAGATTTGCTGAAGTTGCTTATCAGCTTATGGTGATTTTGGGCTGAGACGATGGGGTTTTCTAAATATACAATCATGTCATCTGCAAACAGGGACAATGTGGCTTCCTCTTTTCCTAATTGAATACCTTTTATTGCTTTCTCTTGCCAGATTGCCCTGGCCGGAACTTCCAACACTATGTTGAATAGGAGTGATGAGAGAGGGCATTCTTGTCTTGTGCCAGTTTTCAAAGGGAATGCTTCCAGTTTTTGCCCATTCAGTATGATATTGTCTGTGGGTTTGTCATAAATAGTTCTTATTATTATAAGATACATTCCATCAATACCTAGTTTATTGAGCGTTTTTAGCATGAAGTGCTGTTGAATTCTTTTGAAGGCCTTTTCTGCATCTATTGTAATCATGTGGTTTTTGTCGTTGGTCTGTTTAATTGATGGATTACATTTATTGATTTGCATATGTTGAAGAAGCCTTGGATCACAGGGATGAAGCCCACCTGATCATGGTGGATAAGCTTTTAGATGTGCTGCTAGATTTGGTTTGCCAGTATTTTATTGAGGATTTTGGCATCCATGTTCAGCATCGTTATTGGTCTAAAATTCTCTTTTTTGTGTGTGTCTCTGTCAGGCTTTGGTATCAGGATGACGCTGGCCTCATAAAATGAGTTAGGGAGGATTCCCTCTTTTTCTATTGGTTGGAATAGTTTCAGAAGGAATGGTACCAGCTCCTCTTTGTACCTTTGGTAGAATTCAGCTATGAATCCATCTGGTCCTGGACTTTTCTTGGTTGTTAGGGTATTAATTATTGCCTCAAATTCAGAGCCTGTTACTGGTCCATTCAGAAATTCACCTTCTTCCTGGTTTAGTCTTGGGAGGGTGTATGTGTCCAGAAATTTATCCATTTCTTCTAGGTTTTCTAGTTTATTTGCATAGAGGTATTTATATTATTCTCTGATGGTAGTTTGTATTTCTGTGGGTTTGGTGGTGATATCACCTTTATCATTTTTTATTGCATCTATTTGATTCTTCTCTCATTTCTTTTTTATTAGTCTTGCTAGTGGTCTATCAAGATTGTTGATCTTTTCAAAAAACCAGCTCCTGGATTCATGGATTTTTTGAAGGGTTTTTGTGTCTGTATCTCCTTCAGTTCTGTTCTGATCTTAGTTATTTCTTGCCCCCTGCTAGCTTTTGAATTTGTTTGCTCCTGCTTCTCTAGTTCTTTTAATTGTGATGTTAGAGTGTCAATTTTAGATCTTTCCTGCTTTCTCTTGGGGCATTTAGTGCACACTGATTTAGTTGTTCACAGAGATTCTTGCACATTGTCTCTTTGTTCTCACTGGTTTCAAATAACATCTTTATTTCTGCCTTCATTTCGCTATTTACCCAGTAGTCATTCAGAAGCAGGTTGTTCAGTTTCCATGTAGTTGTGCAGTTTTGAGTCAGTTTCTTAATCCTGAGTTCTACTTTGATTGCACTGTGGTCTGAGAGATAGTTTGTTATAATTTCTGTTCTTTTACATTTGCTGAGGAGTGCTTTACTTCCAATTATGTGGTCAATTTTAGAATTAGTGCAATGTGGTGCTGAGAAGAATGTATATTCTGTTGATTTGGGGTGGAGAGTTCTGTAGATGTCTATTAGGTCTGCTTGGTGCAGAGCTGAGTTCAAGTCCTGGATATCCTTGTTAACCTTCTCTCTCGATGATTGTCTAATATTGACAGTGGAGTGTTAAAGTTTCCCATTATTATTGTGTGGGAGTCTAAGTCTCTTTTTAGGTCTCTAAGGACTTGCTTTATGAATCTGGGTTCTCTTGTATTGGGTGCATATATATTTAGTATAGTTAGTTCTTCTTGTTGAATTGATCCCTTTACCATTATGTAATGGCCTTCTTTGTCTCTTTTGATCTTTGTTGGTTTAAAGTCTGTTTTATCAGAGACTAGGATTGCAACCCCTGCTTTTTTTTTTTTTTTTTTTTTTTTTTTTTTGCTTGGTAGATCTTCCTCCATCCCTTTCTTTTGATCTTATGTGTGCCTATGCATGTGAGATAGGGCTCCTGAGTACAGCACACTGATGGGTCTTGACTCTTTATCCAATTTGCCAGTCTGTATCTTTTACTTGGGGCATTTAGCCCATTTACATTTAAGGTTAATATTGTTATGTGTGAATTTGATCCCTTCATTATGATGTTAGCTGGTTATTTTGCACATTAAGCGATTCAGTTTCTTCATAGCATCGATGGTCTTTACAATTTGGCATGTTTTTGCAGTGGCTGGTACCGGTTGTTCCTTTCCATGTTCAGTACTTCCTTCAGGAGCTCTTGTAGGGCAGGCCTGGTGGTGACAAAATCTCTCAGCATTTTGTTGTCTGTAAAGGATTTTATTTCTCCTTCACTTATGAAGCTTAACTTGGCTGTATATGAGATTCTGGGTTGAAAATTCTTTTCTTTAAGAATGTTGAATGTTAGTCCTCACTCTCTTCCTGCTTGTAGGGTTTCTGCCAAGAGATCTGCTGTTAGTCTGATGGGCTTCCCTTTATGGGTAACCTGATCTTTCTCTCTGGCTGCCCTTAACATTTTTTCCTTCATTTCAACCTTGGTACATCTGATAATTATGTGTCTTGGGGTTGCTCTTCTCAAGGAGTATCTTTGCGGTGTTTTCTATATTTTCTGAATTTGAATGTTGGCCTGCCTTGCTAGGTTGGGGAAGTTCTCCTGGATAATATCCTGAAGAGTGTTTTCCAATTTGGTTCCATTCTCCCTGTCACTTTCAGGTACACCAATCAAACATAGATTTGGTCTTTTCACATAGTCTCATATTTCTTGGAGGCCTTGTTCAGTTCTTTTTACTCTTTTTTCTCCACACTTGTCTTCTTGGTTTATTTCATTCATTTGATCTTCAATCACTGATATCCTTTCTTCCACTTGATTGAATCAGCTATTGAAGCTTGTGCATGTGTTACAAAGTTCTCGTTCCATGGTTTTGAGCTCCATCAGGTCCTTTAAGTTCTTCTCTACACTGTTTATTCTAGTTAGCCATTCGTCTAATCTTTTTTCAAGGCTTTTAGCTTCTTTGAGATGGGTTAGAACATGCTCCTTTAGCTCAGAGAAGTTTGTTTTTACTCACCTTCTGAAGCCTATTTCTGTCAACTGATCAATGTCATTCTTCATCCAACTTTGTTCCATCACTGGCCTGGCAAGGAGCTGCAATCCTTTGGAGCAGAAGAGGCACTCTGGTTTTTAGAATTTTCAGCTTTTCTGCTCTGGTTTCTCCCCATCTTTGTGGTTTTATCTACCTTTGGTCTTTGATGTTGGTGACCTACAGATAGGGTTTTATTGTGGATATCCCTTTTGTTGATGTTGATGCTATTCCTTTCTGTTTGTTAGTTTTCCTTCTAACAATCAGGTCCCTCAACTTCAGGTCTGTTGGAGTTTCCTGGAGGTCAACTGCAGCCCGTTTGCCTGGGTATCACCAGCAGAGGCTGCAGAACTGCAAATATTGCATAACAGCAAATATTGCTGCCTGATCCTTCCAGCGGAAGCTTTGTCCCAGAGGGGCACCTGCCTTTATGAGGTGTCTGTTGGCCCCTACTTTGAGGTGTCTCCCAGTTAGGCTACATGGGGGTCAGGGACCCACTTGAGGAGGCAGTCTGTCCATTCTCAGATCTCAAACACCATGCCGGGAGAACCAGTATGCCCTTCAGAGTTCTCAGCCAGGGACATATAAGTCTGCACACATTTCTGCTGGCTTTTCTTCAGCTAGGCCCTGCCTAGAGATGTAAAGTCTATAGAGGCAGCAGGCCTTGCTGAGTTGTGGTAGGTTCCACCCAGTTTGACAGTTTGAGCTTCCTGGCTGCTTTGTTTACCTACTCAAGCTTCAGCAATGGCAGACCCCCTCCCCCCACCAGGCTGCAACCTTGCAGGTCAATCTCAGACTGCTGCGCTAGCAGTGAATAAGGCTCCATGGTTGTGGGAGACGCTGAGCCAGGCATGGGAGAGAATCTCCTGGTCTGCCAGTAGCTAAGACCATGGGAAAAGTGCAGTATTTGTGCAGGGAGTGTCCTGTTTTGTCCAGTACAGTCTGTTAAGTCTTCCCTTAGCTAGGAAAGGGAAATCACCCATCCCCTTGTGCTTCCTGGGTGAAGTGACAGCCTGCTCTGCTTTGGCTTGCCCTCCATGGGCTGCACCCACTGTCCAATGAGTCCCAGTGAGATGAACCAGGTACCTTAGTTGGAAATGCAGAAATCACCTGTCTTTTGCGTTGATCACGCTGGGAGCTGCAGACTGGAGCTGTTCCTATTTGGCCATCTTGGAAATATAGATCCTGAGGTTCTTTCTTCTACTTGTTCAATTCTATTGCTGAGACTTTCCAGTGCATTTTGCATTTCTCTAAGTGTGTCTTTGATTTCCAGAAGTTGTGATTGTTTTTTATTTATGCTGTTTCACTGAAGAGCTTTTTTTTTCATATCCTGTATCTTATTTTTTATTTCTTTAGTTGGATTTCACCTTTCTCTGATGCCTACTTGATTTGCTTAATAATCAACCTTCTGAATTCTTTTTCTGGCAATTCAGAGATTATTTCTTGGTTTGGATCCATTGTTCGTGAGCTCATATGATCCTTTGAGGGTGTTAAAGAACCTTGTTTTATCTTATTACCAGAGTTGTTTTCTGGTTCCTTCTCATTTGAGTAGACTACGTCAGAGGGAAGATCTGGGATTCAAGGGCTGCTGTTCAGATTCTTTTGTTGCATGGAGTGCTCCCTTGATGTGGTGCTCTCTCCCTTCCCCTAGGAATGGAGCTTCCTGAGAGATGAACTGTAGTGATTGTTTTTGCTCTTCTGGGTCTAGCCACCCAGTGGAGCTACTGGGCTCTGGGCTGGTAGTAGTAAGTGTCTGCAAAGAGTCCTGCAATGTGATCCATCTACACGTCTGCAGCTGTGGACACCAGCACCTGCTCCAATGGAGTTAGCAAGGAAGTGAAGTGGACTTAGTGAGGTTCCTTGTTTGTGCTGTTGTTTAGTGTACTGGTTTTGATTGGTTGACCTCCAGCCAGGAGGTGGCACTTTCAAGACTGCATCAACTGCAGTCCTGTAGGGAGGATGAAAACTTGCCCTAGGACACCTAGCTAAGTATTCAGTATTCTCAGGTGGTGGGCAGGGCCATAGAGCTCCCATGAGATTATGACCTTTGCCTTCGGCTACCAGGGCAGTTAGAGAAATACCACCAGGTAGGGGCAGGGATAGGTGTGTCTGAGCTCAGCCTTTCCTTGGGTGGGGCTTACTGCAGCTGCTGTGGGACATGGGGTGTGGTTCCCAGTCCAATGGAGTTATATTCCTATCGGGATTATGGCTGCTTCTGCTGAGTCATACAGGTCACAAGGAAAGTGGGGGAAAGCCAGCAGTCACAGGCCTCACCCTGCTTCCACATAGCCTGCAGTCCTAAAGGCCAGTCTCACTCCCACCATGCCCCCACAACAACTCTGAGTGTATTTCCAGGCAGCAAATGACCAGGGCTGAGAACTTGCCCCAGACCATGAGCTTCCCCATTGAGAAAGGAAGCAGACTCACCATTTTTTGGTGTCTCAGGGAGCCTGCAGCAGTGATCCAGTTCCTTCAAAGCGTTTGTGGATTCTCTCAGCTTTCCTGGTATGTTCCTGCAGTAGTTCTTGGAGCAAAAGTTAACGATGTGAGTCTCCACACACTGCTCTGACCATCCAAGTGGGAGCTGCAAGCTAGTCCTGCCTCCTGTCCACCATCTTAATCTGTCTCCCAACTTTTAATTTTTTTTAAAAACTTGTTTTTAACTCAGGTAAAAACACATCCTGTAAAGTGAAGAGTGAGACAAAATTCAGCTACGGGAAAGAAGGAGTTTTCTCTACACCAGTATCATACCATAATTCAACATTTCTGAAATCCTGGGAAAAATTTGGAATTTAGTTTCTTAAAAGTAATTATTGGTCAAATTGAACTTCTTTCTGTTTTTGAGCTTGTTCCTATCACATGAGGATTTGGAGTGAAGATTAGAGAGGACATATCTAAAAGCACCTGACAGAGTTTCTGGCCCAAGAAAAATGCATAATAAATAATAATCCCCTTTGCTGTGTTTGTGTGTGTATGTGTGTGTGTGTGTGTGTGTGTGTGTAATGTGGGGCAGCCATTTGAATTAAACTTTTAGTTTCACTAAATTGTTTTATGGTAGAAATAAATAATCTATAATTTTTCTAAAAATCAGTTGTAAATTTTTCACCATCAGTTGTTAAGAATTCTAATTTTGGTAGTTGTTAAACAGAATAAAGCTTGTCAACTGCAACCAATTTTTATTTGTGACAGGATCCAAATTTAAAACACCAGACCCTTTATAGAAATATGTATAATACAAACATATATTTGGTGTAAAGGAAATTTCCTATTTTTAGGAAATTATGTTTCCTAAAAATTCCATGTACATGTTATTCTTATTATACTTAAAATTAGAGTTTTTAAATTTTAATATAATCTATTTTTTCTGTGTTTCTTGTATTTGCCATATATGCACCTCTCACACCGAATTGGCATAAGGCAAATGGATGAATGGATAGAGAGACAGATAGAAGATAGATAGATAGATGATAGATAGATAACAAAAGAGGAAAAGAAGAGAACAAATAATTTTTGTGTTAGTCTGATAAAAACGTCATTTATTGGAATCCAATTAAATTATTACAAAGTTGAAGTTTAAAAAGTTACTTAAGATCTAGAGTATAAATCGGAAAATCTATTTAATGCTCATTTAGCCAACAGTTTTTATGTCTCCAAGAATTGGTTTACTACAAATTTTCAGGAGTAAAATTTGTTTCTTAACCAATTATAAGTATTTTTATTTTCCAAAACTTGGGTGTTCTACTAGAAAAATTTGAAAATAAGAGTAAAGTAAATATAGTCAGTTTTTCAATAATGTTTGTTTTGAAAATGCAAATTTGTCCCAAAGCAATTGATAAATTAGAAAAAATATTTAGTATAATGTGAATTTGTATTTCATATGCATGATTTTCTCTGCAGAAAACACTACATGAAGGTAAAAACCTTTATCCAGCTGAACTGAGCCAAGTAGGAATGCACAGAATGCATATCCACACACATCTTAAATATCTACCTCACTTAATGCAAGAGTTAAACGTCAAGGTTTGTTTTTGTTTTGTTTTGTTTGCTGTTGTTTTTTTCTTTGCATTTGTAAACTTGTTTATTAAAAAAAACTCTTTCATCATCTTATATATGTCTAAATGTCTTGGCTCAGAAATGCCAAATTATGCATGCAAAAGGAAAGCTTTAAGAACTGAGAAGAAGCTTGAAAGAGTAAAGCACTCTGAATGAAATGAGAGAACATGTGATACATTCTGAGCAACAAATGTAAAAGAATCCATACTGCCAACCATCAGAGACAACACTGGGAAATAAAAGAAAATTCTATGGTCAGGAAAATTTGGGTGCTGGAAGTCAATAAGAGCAAGGCCTAAAGAAGAATAAAAATATAGAAAGATTGTAAAGTATATGGACTGAAGACCAAATGTTAAGAAAATTGGAAACAATCTTTTCCCTAATCAAAGAGACAGCACTATCTATATTCAAAGACCCTAAATAGAAATTACCAAATCTTGCAGAAGTGGTTTTTGTTTTGTTTTGTTTTAGTGATAACAGTGTCTTCAAACATGGCAAGAACTTCCAAAGGCTTCAGCTGTTGGATGGAGCTGTAAGAACAAATTAGATAGCCACAAAAAAAATTCCCAGCAGTGATACAGAAGGCAATTAAAGAAAACAGCTGTCCTTTAGATCAAATTCTCTATTTTGAAGAATGGAGTACTATTATCATTGTACGCCTGAAAAAAACCTACCTTTCAAAGGCAGGAAAACATACCCCAGGATTCACAGCTGTGAATTGTATACAACTGATGCTGGCTGGCTCAAGCACAAGGATCTACAGTTATCCGTATCTGGTATTACAACTTTCCATTCTTCAGAAAATGGTTCTTCTGCCATTTAACAATAACTCACGAGTCACAACCCTTCAATGCCCACTTCCACAAACAAACTTTATGTCCTTTTCAAGATAAGGTATCATATTTATTGTAGTACTTTTGTATGTCTTGACCATTTAACCTGTGTAAGACTGTGCTACTGTTTTTATTAGGTTTCTGTCTTTTTTTTAATATGTCACAAAGAAGTTTTTGAGGTTTTGCCTAATTTTTCCCATAAGCCTCATGGTTTTTATTGTGCAGCTTTGCATAGCACTTTCATTCTGAGGAACACATATATCATGTTATAGCAGAACTAACAGTGTTACTCTTCAGAGATGGCCACTACCTTTCTGCAAATGCAAGTCATCTACATATTATAGTTAGGATGACAATTATCCAGAAAGATTACAGTCAATAAGATGAATAGTTTTGTCAATAACGGTAGCACAGAGAGAGAGGGAACTGGGGTTTTTATCTCTATGTTGACAACTCCCAAATGTATATGTTGAGCTCAGATTCTTCTTCTGGACTCCAAACTCATATAATCAAGCACATACTTGACATTTCCACTTGGCCTTCCTCCAGTCATCTCAAATGCACTTAACATGTCCAAAATGGAACTCTTTATCTTCTCTTGGAAAACTTCTCCTCCTCCAGTTACTACTGTCTTAGTAAACTTCCCCTCTGCTTTTGCCCTTTCTCCTATTCATGCCCAAGCCTTGCTAATCCTGAACAACTCCCCCACACCTGCCAGTTGCATCCCAATCATCACCAGACCTGTCTGTCAGTCTCCCAAATGCACTTTCAGTCTTTGTAACTTCTCTCTACTCCAATGACAACACTTGGTTTACATCTCCCTGGGACCATCATAGTCACTCAGTTGTACCCCTGCTACATGTTCTTCCCAGAGTAGCCTGAGTGTTTTGTAGGAAAAACTAAAGTCAGATCACAGCTCTGACTAAAGCATCTAATTGCTTTCCATTGCAGGTTTTATAATCCACAGAATCCCTCAAGGTGGGCAGGACATGGCCCCAGACTGCCACTTAAATCTCATTTGACAACACATCCCTCACATTATCATTAATTGTATCCAAAACCTGGCTTACTGGAGCCACGTTCTTTCTTGCCCCATACATTCACACATACTGTTCCTCTTCCATGCACATCTCACTTGTTTAATTTCTACTCAGCCTTTAAGGTCTCAGGCAAATATCAATTTTTCAGAAAGACTTTTTCTACTTCTTTTCTAAATTAGCAACTCCTTCATTTGCTTACTGATGGAGGTGTTTTCATTCACAACACTTTTTAAAAAATTTTGGCAAACAATTCTTTTTTTACATTTTTGTTGTTTTTGTTTTGTTTTGATTTTTTAAAATAAATTTAGGGCACAAGTGCAGTTGTGTCACACGGATATATTGTGTAGTGGTGAAGTCTGGACTTTTAGTTTACCCAATACCCAAATAGTGTAGGATTTCATCTCTCACACCCCTCCCACTCTCCAATTTATGGGCACCTCCAATGTCTATTATTCCACTTGGTGTGTACATGTGTACCCATTGTTTAGTTCCACTTTTAAGTGGCAACATGTGGTCTTTGACTTTTTGTTTCTGCATCATTTCACTTAATAATGGCCTTTAGTTCCATCCATGTTGCTGCGAAAGACATTATTTCATTCTTCTTCATGGCTGAGCAGTATCCCATGGAGTATATATATTCCATTTTCTTTATCAAATCATCTGTTGATAGACACTTAGGCTGATTCCAAGACTTTGTTATTGCAAATAATGATGTGATAAACATATGTTTACTCATAACACTTCTGACACCAAAATGAGGGGTTGTTTTTCCTCCTGAAACAAACTGAGTCTCCTACAATTCAATTCAATTGAATTCTGACACCCCCAGAGTTAACATCAGACTCCACAGGTTTAAGAGCTCAATCCCACAAGACTGCCCTTACTTCACAGGCCAATCCCAAGTATGAAATCCCCAGGCCACCCGCCCTTCTGTCCAACATAGCTACAAAGTTAGGGATTCCTACAACCCTCTTTTTAGAACTGATCATTGACTACAACTCATAGAACTCAGGAAAGCACTTAACTTACTATTTCTGGTTTATTATGAAGGGTAAAACTCAGGAACAGACCAATGGGAGAGATACACAGGGCAAGGTATGGGAGAGAAAATAGAGCTTCCATGCCCCATCTGGGCACACCACCCTCCAGGAACCTCTGCATGTTCACCAGCCTGGAAGCTCTCCAAACCCCATTGTTTATGTTTTATTTAAGGAGGTTTTATTACATACACATAATTGATTAAATCATCAGCCATTGTTGATTAGGACAGAGTCCAACCTTTCTGCACTCCCTGAAGGTTGGGGAGTGGGGCTGAAATTTCCAAGCTTCTAGACAAAGTTTGGTCTTTCTGGCCCCCAGTCTCTATCCTGAAACTATATTAGGGGCCCAGCAAGAGAGTTGCTTCATTGGAAAAAAAGGTGCTTCTATGATTGTTATCAATCACGAAACTCCAAGAGTTTTGGAAACTCTGTGCCAGGAACAAAATCCAAATTTCTTTCTATGATACCACACTGATCTTGTAATTATTATCCTTCTTAAGATTTATCACAGTTTGCATATATTTATTTATTCACTTGAATAATTCTTTGCTAAATTCATTATTTCTCACTAGACTGTGAATTCCATGAAATCAAAGAGCATCTCTATTTTGGTCACATTATTGCATAACATATGCCTGGTACATGGTATGCGCTTAAAAATATTTACAGAATGAATAATTTCCTTCAGAAAATGTTCATCACATATTGTGGATTTTGAATTAACTTCTGGAACCATATCTAAGAAAAGGGTTTTTTTTTGTTTTTTTTTTTTGAGACAGTCTCACTCTGTCTCCCAGGCTGGCGTGCAGTGGCATGATCTCAGCTCACTGCAAACTCCGCCTCCCGGGTTCAAGAGATTCTCTTGCCTTAGCCTCCCAAGTAACTGGGATCACAGGCACCCACGACCAGGCCTGACTAATTTTTGTATTTTTAGTAGAGACAGGGTTTCACCATGCTGACCAGCCTGGTCTCGAACTCCTGACCTCAGGTGATGTACCCACCTTGGCCTCCCAAAGTGCTGTGATTGCAGGCGTGAGCCACTGTGTGCCCAGCAATTTTTTTTTTTTTTTTTAGAAATGAGGTCTCAGTATGTTACCCAGGCTGGTCTCCAACACCTGGTCTCAAGCAATCTGCCAGCCTCAGCCTTCCAAGTGCTAGGGTTACAAGCATAAGCCACCACATCAGCCTAGAACACACAATTTTAACATAATCAGATAAACATAAAAATAGCAATTATTAGCATGTTGATTATTTGCAATTCACCTTAAGGACAACTTTATTGATTATTATCTATTATTATCTCCACTTAACAGTTGAGGAAACTGAAACTCAGGAAAGGTAAGCAATTTGCCTAATTTTACACGGTCGATGATAGAAGTTAAATAGCAAGTGCTCTGAACACTCTCTTAAGAGACAGAAAGAACTTACTCACCCTGAGGGAGTTGAAAAAGGTTTCACTGAGAAGTGACACTTGATCTGAATTTTAAATAATGAGTCAGAGGTTTCCAAACAGAAAAATGGTATGAGGGCATTCCAGGAAGAAAAAGGTATGCATAAATGTGGGAAAGGGCATGACATATTTGTTTAAGGCAAAGAGTTCACAGGAGCTGAATTCCTAAGTTACTTGGCAGAAAGTACACAGAAAAGAGGCAACAAAATTAGGTTTGGACCAAATTGGGAAAGGCTTGCATTAAATCTAATCTGGACAAGGGAAAACCAATGGTGGATTTGGTCTAAAAAAAAAAATCCAGGTAGCTTTCTATGACTTAAAATGCTAGGTATATACAATTCTGCCAAAGAGAAACAAAAGTGTCAGACTTATTGAAACACACAGATGATAAAAGACAAAAGTTAGGAGTTCCTCATTTAAAATAAACCAACAGCTCTCTTCCTCTTTTCTTCACTTCCTTTCCTGGACACTTCAGTCCTAGCCAACCAGGTGTAGTTGAGCATGTGTCCATCTCAGCCTGGGAGAGCCACAGTGGTCAAGAGTGAGAATTGAGAGCAAGCTAAGGGTAATGAGAGCGTCCACCAAAGGAGGCAGCCCAAGGTGGCCTGACAGTGCTTCAGTAGGATAAGGAAAACATCCATGTGAGCAGGCAGCCTGGCAGCAGGTGTTGGAACCTGAGCACATCTATAGAGGCATAGCCCAGGTGCAGGATCTCAAAGCCAAGCAGGGTAAGGAAGACACCCCTGAAGGGGTGAGCCCAACACAGGGAGTCAAAGCCCAAGCAGCATGAGGAGGGTGTCTGTGTAGGAGGGATGGCATGATAAAAAGAACTGGGTGTCCAGGTCAGGTAAGGAGGATGTCTGGGTATGGGGGGTGATCCAGTGTAGAGTGTCAAGACCAGTTGTGGTGAGGAGGGTTTCTTTCTGGGATAGTGGCCAAATGTGGGGTGTAAGAGCCTAATGGGAGTAAAGAGAGTGCCTGCATGGGTGCCGTGATGTGGCAGTAGCCAGGAATGAGGATGTAAAACCTGAATGGAGTGACGAGGATGTCCCCATGAGGAAAGAAATAGGATCAGCAATGGTGAGAGGTGAAGCCAGTGGACTTCATGCATCGAATGGGGACTTGGAGAACTTTTCTGTATTACAAGAGGATTGTAAAACACAGCAATCAGCACTCTGTAGCTAGCAAGGGGATCATAAAATGCACCAATCAGCGTGTTGTAAAATGTACCAATCAGCGTGTTGTAAAAACGCACCAATCAGCACTCTGTAGCTAGGAAGAGTATTGTAAGATGCACCAATCAGCACTCTGTAAAATGCACCAATCAGTGCTCTGTAAAATGGACCAATCAGCACTCTGTAAAACGCATCAATCAGCAGGATCCTAAAAGTAGCCAATCACAGGGAGTATTGAAAAAAGGGCACTCTGATAGGACAAAAACAGAACATGGGAGGGGACAAATAAGGGAATAAAAGCTGGCCACCCCAGCCAGCAGCAGCAACCCGCTGGGGTCCTCTTCCAAGCTGTGGAAGCTTTGTTCTTCCACTCTTCACAATAAACCTTGCTACTGCTCACTCTTTGGGTCTGTGCCATCCTTAAGAGCTGTAACACTCACTGTGAAGGTCTGCAGCTTCATTCTTGAAGTCAGCAAGACCATGAACCCACTGGAAGGAACCAACTCCGGACACAATGGGAATGAGTTCCTTACTCGTAGATTGATCAACAAATAAGTACCTTAAGGGTAATGTGTGCAGATTGCTCATGAATGAACTGCAAATATGGAACTTTATGGTTTTGTCTGGCATTGGAGGCATTAGTGTAAACTCAGGTCTTTCAAAATATATGTTAGATATAGAAATAAATAGAGGTGTGTGCCTGTGTGTATATAATGAGAGGGCATGAGATAAAATGAAAGGCAGGAAGCACAGCTAGCACCTTGATCTTGACTTCTAAAGACCTTTATCCATTGAGAGCTAGGGATTTTGTGAAGAAGTAGCTGATTCCAGGCTGGGGGAGAAAACTACAGTGTGAGCCTAGAACAACTTGTGGTGTCTAAAAGTGAGGAAGTGCTCAAAGAATCATAGAGACTTGTAGAAAAAAAAAAAAAGTCAGGTTGAAGGGGCTTCCACTAGGCAAATCAGGGATAATTTGGAGGTCAAAATGAATACAAAGTGGCAGACAATAACGCATTAAATAAAACAGGAAATCATGAGTCTATATTAATATAAGCAAACAAGCAAACAGATTGAAACTATGCTGAGAAAGAGGATTTTACATAGTCTCATATACTTGCCCCTGCAAAAAATGCTTATTAACTGCAAAGGGAAAAAGAGTCACCTCACAGTGAACAACCTTGGCAGATGCCACCTCATTCAAGGATTAAACACCAGTGATAAGACAAGATGTATTTTATCAGGTCCACCTGATAAAATACAAAGAACAGAACACAGTATCATTTTAAAAATATTTATGCCAAAGATGCATTACCTGAAACTAAAGATAAGGAAATGTTAGACAAACCCAAAGAGATAGTCTCTAAAATAATTGACCTGTAATCTTCAAGTGTCAGAGTGTTAGTTAAGAAGAGACTGAAGAAGTAACTGTTCCCTATTGAAGGAGACTACACACATGACAACTAAATGCAAGCTGCGATTTTGAACTGCATTCTTTAGATACAAAGGATGTTATTTACACATGGGCTGAGGACGAGATGGTAGTAAGGTATCAATGTTAATTTCCTGATTGTGAGTGTTGTATTGTGGTTATGTCCTTTTTTATAGGAAATGCACATTCAAGTATTCAGGGATGATGAAGCATAATATCAGCAACTTAAGAATAGATTCAGAAAAAAAGGTTCTTTGTACTTTATATCCACAGTTTCTGAAGATTGAGATTCTTCTTCTAAAAAAAGAAACCAACAATAAAATCCCATGTGTGTGTCAGCTGAGTTCTCCAGAACTCAGTTTGAGCTCAAACATAATGCAGGAGGACCTTCATTCTTCAAACCCCAGGCAATGTACTGCTTCCCTTAGCAACTTACTAAAAATCATATTCGTTCTTACTTTAACACACAATTCTTAACACATCATTCTTGGTTTTCAATCTTTCTGGCCAATGACTGATTACATGACCACTATTGAAGCAGACCAAAGACTAACGGGCGCGCTTGTAAAATAAATAAGTAAATAAATGTAAAAGGTGAAGGTTATTTAGCTTGCTGCAGGAAGGGAGACAGCACTCCATAGGAACATAGGAGCATGTCAGTAATGGGGAGGGGGTTAAGAAAAGGCTTCTTATGGGAGTTGAGCTTATGTTGGATGATTCTAAGGAGTTAAATAAGGAAACAAGAACCAGTTCTGAATTGGGAGCTTTCAAGAAGAAGGAAAAAGTCAGTGATTGGGAATCTTAACATTTTTTGTCTAAGAGATAAGAAGAATAAAGCGAATCTAGAGTTGCCACTGGTAAAAAAGCAGCAATCATTCATGTTAGTCAAAAGAGGTGGGTATTTAGTCATTTCTCTGGTCACGTAGCAGTCTTGTCTATGCCTTGTTCTTAGCATTGTTTATGCGAATGTTAAGAACACAACGTTGTGATGGGAGAGAATATTGCGGTCTGGTTTTCATCAGGGCCATGTTTCAGTTCCTCACCAGAAAAATAGACAGAGATGAGTAGTACTGTAAGATGCAGACACAATGCAAACACAGGAAGTAATCACCAACAACCTGCTATTAAGAAAGCAACCAAAAAATTAAAGAAAAAACATGGACCCAAGATAATTATAATAATAATCTGCTAACTGCTGCCAGTTCCTAGGACTGTTCTAAGGGCTGTACATGTTCTAAGGGCTGTACATAAAACATTTTTAATTCTCAAAGATATATAATAAATTATCTCATATTATTATCTCCATTTTGCACATGGGAACACCGAGGGACAGAGAGATTAATTTCCCCAGTGTCACTCTGCTGGTAAATAGCGGACCCAGAATCACTATATAACATAATGGTGGATTTCCACATTCAATGACTAAACATTTACTGAAATCACGCTATATAAAGTATTAGCTGGACATTATAGGGAATAAGGCATAGCACCTTCTAAAATATCCCTTAATATCTCTTCCAAACATTGGCCACTTTCAACAATCCCCTTTCCTTGCCTCACTCCCAATTTTTAAAGTATGTAATCTAGCCTTCTATTTAATAGTTGAACCAAGGATCAACAATGTACCTCCCTCTAACTTTGACTTACCCTAAATTTAGCCATTTCTCTCCTTTCATTCTTTTCTCTATGCTGCATTGTTTTCTTTTTTGTTTGTTGAACTCTATTGCCCCGTAAATACTACATGTGTTATCTTGCAATTGCCTGTTTATATACCTATCTTAGAAGACATAATTTATTTTTGTTTTTGGCTGCTCAGCATCCTAAGTTTTTAGGGTGGGAATTACTCATATTCATGCTGATATATGTTCAACAACTGGTTCTCCGTGTGTGTGTGTGTGTGTGTGTGTGTGTGTGTATTATTTTATTATATTATACATGTACTCATATCAAGAACATATAACAGATAATTTATAAATAATAATAAAATATCTAATTTCATTTTAAATTCTACACAACCAATTAATTCTCACAGAGTGTTTTTGTTGATTTTGCTAAATTTCTGCAAACTAGAGTTGTAGGTGATGAAGGGGTGTAGTTCTGACTGAAAGGCTGGTTGATATTTTCATTTATGTTAGTGAGTAAGGCAAAGTGAAACAACTAAGACCTGTATCAGAACTTTTTTGTTCATCACACAAACAGATTCCTTGCTGAATCTGATAATAGTATTTTAACACTGGAAGAATATTTCCTCACTTTTTGTACTAGTCACAATGTAATGACTACAAATATAATACACTTTCAAGTTTAACTTGCATGATTTACATTTCTCCATCATTTTCTTAAGTCTAGACCATCAACAAAGCAATAAACCAAGTTGTACTTTGTAGTGCTTGTGAATTTCTATAGTATAAAGCATGCACCTTGGCTGATTTCAAAGTGCCAACATGATATCACTGAACACTAACACAGAGCAGGGAAGAGATGTGCAGTAACACATCGATGTGTCGCATTTCCACTATTCAGCCATGAAAATGCAAATAACCTCAAGAACATAAGTAATCCTAACATAACTTGGGAAGTGAAAAGCTTTGAGTATTTATTACCTTTATTATTAATATAATTTATTTAATTGCAAATTAATATAAATTTTAAATAATATCTATATATAACAACCAGCTTATAGGACTTCTAAAATTTTAACCGTTGGCCCTCAGGAGCAGATAGAAGACATATCTAACTTACCACTTGTGATGGTTAATATTAAGTGTCAACTTGATTGGATTGAAGGATGCAAAGTATTGTTTCTGGATGTGTCTGTGAGGTTGCTGCCAGAGGAGGTTAACATTTGAGTCAGTGGACTGGGAGACGCAGATTCACCCTCAGTCTGGGTGGGCACCATTCAATCAGCTGCTAGGTAGAAGAAGGTGGAATGAGCTGACTTTCTGAGTCTTCCAGCCTTCATCTTTTTCCCGTGCTGAATGCTTCCTGCCCTTGAACATCAGACTCCAGGTTCTTCAGCCTTTAGACTCTTGGACTTACACCAGTGGTTTGTCAGGGGCTCTTGGGGCTTCGGCCACAGACTAAAGGCTGCACTGTCAGCTTCCCTACTTTTGAGGTTTTGAGACTCACACTGAGCCACTACTGACTTCCTTGCTCCTCAGCTTGCAGATTGTCTATCGTTGGACTTCGCCTTGTGATTGTGTGAGTCAACTCTCCTTATATAAACTCCTTTTCATACATTCCTCTATCCTGTTACTTCTGTCCTAGAGAACGCTGACTAATACACAACTGCTTCTTCTTTGCTGTGGATAGTCTTGGGTGGGAGAGAGGATCTTCTATAAAAAAAAATCAAAGTAAGCTAGCCTCCTCTCCCCTGTGGCCAGTCAGGAACAAACCCAAGCTTGGGAAGTCGTGCGCTGTCTTCTGGGACTTTGAATCTTGACTGAGTTATAAAAGGAGAAAAGAAACAGTTGGAGATGAATCATCCATCACACTGGCAGTTGCTGACCTGATAGCTCTTGCTATGAGACTAGGCCATGTTTCCCTTTCTACTGTCTGGAGATTCCTTGATTGCTGCCTCTTTCTATACTAGTTCTCAAGCCTATGATTCTCTTATGTTTTTCCCATAAATTACATTTTCCTTAGGTTACAGCAGATTTCTATTGCTCACAATCAATAAATCTCATAGGTTTTATCTGAGCTCCTCAGGAGAAATACCAGATAATTTTCTTGTTTCTAAGACTGTTTTTAAACTCTAAAGTGTTTCTATGCACTTTACATAGTTCTAGTACTAGGTGAGAACTCAATAAATGTTTGCTAACATGAATGTATGAACAGATTTTATAGTTAAAATAACATTTCTGATTATATAGGTCATATACAAGCCCCTAACATACTTAAAATAATAAAATTATGTGCTCAGTTCCAGAAGTTAGGAATAAATGTGATAGTACACTGTTTCTGCATAGAACATTATAAACATTTGTGAAAAGTTCTCAATAAGCCATTTCTATATATTAAGATATTGGTGATCTTAATAACAATAATAATAATGGTGGGATTGGGTAGGTGGGAGGCGATGTTTGCCATGGGATTGAATATTTCTTGTGCCTACTTTATATCCTCTCTGCCTACTTTTTACTTTAGTAGTTGATGTTGCAATGGACTTTACAGAGGTATAAACTGGTAACTCCTTACTTCAGCTGTGCCATATTCCCTGGTACATTCCTGACATCTTGGCATGGTTCACACATGCATATATAATCTGGACCTCAAAAGATTTAACAGCCATGGGACAAGCCTTCATTAATGGGGAATAGAAGTCAGTAGGTAATTCTTCAATTCTTCTCCTCCTTGGTCTTTCCAAGAGACAATTCTGAGTGGCAATTCACATGGCTTTTCAGAGGGTTCCAGTAAGACTGAGCCCCAGTTGTCCGTAAGAGTGATAAGAGAAACTGTACTGCGAAAAAATATTTTAATTATTTTCCTGTAACCCACAGTTAAATTTCAGCATAGAGTGACCATTGAAATATACTGAAGAGCCAGTCACCATTAACAGCATATGCAGAAATTTTATCCAAAACCCATGGGAGGCCGGGATGGACATACAAACATTCACAAGCAACTGAGTTACTGTGGCTTGACATCAACATAGCACTCATTGGTCACATTTTTCAGGATGCCAGTCTTAAATTCTCCAGAAAATCACAATATCTACCTTCTAAGAAAATAAGAAATAATATTTCAAAGGAATCCTTCAGGCAAGTTTCAGTATATTGCCTAAAACTGTTTTAATTTAAAAAAAAAAACTGTTTCTACCTCTGTAAAGTCCACAAGAACAGAGTACTTTGAAATTCTATAATACATAGAGATAGGGAAGTGACTTCAGCAGAAATGATACATTGTAACACCAGAGAGTACTAGTTATTACCAGTATCCATGCTAGAGGCATCTTATGGAAATATATAAAAAATACATTTTTGCTCTAACCTTACTCTAGTGAAGGAAAGCATCAAAAAGCCATTATCTATTATGGTATCCACTCATATTTTTAAAAACAAATAGTGTTAGATGGGCTGAGATGATCCTGTGGATTAAACACTCTGGCAAACTATGTATGAACCAATTGCCACCAGCAGAAGACTTTTGACTTTTGAGATGTTTAAGACAGAAATTGTAACACATTTCCCCAGGCCATTTTTTTTGTTCTTAAGTTACTATTTTACATAAAGAGTAAGTCATCTCAATTTTATGATGTTAGAGGACAATGCTTAGAGCATTTCAGTGTATTTACTTATGATTAATGAACTTAAACTGAATTTTTCATCTAATCCTATATAGCCAACTCTTTGTAATTCAATTCTCCCCACCCCAAATTATGAAACATGTTCTATTATAGCGATAACTATTTCAGACAGAGCAGACGCTTCCCTCAGTTGCAGGATTTGTAATATGAATGCACATGCATTTCGCAGCAAACATATCTTCTAAACACTTAAACCAGAAAGTGCCCTCAGTATCTCAGTATTTCAGCAAACTGATATTAAGTTAGTTCAGAAGTAAAACAACAAAGGCCATTTAAACAGATTTTCATGGAAAGCAACTTAGTTAAGTATTAAATAATCTTTACTATTTGCACATTTTTCTTGAGAGTAAGTGTTCTTAACAGAATTCATAGAAGATTTTCAGCATGTTGTGAACTCTCTGAAATGTCATAAAGAATTTGTGTGTATTGATTTATAGTTTCCTCTAGGGAGAGGACTCTTAACTTTCAGTAGCTTCTTAAAGCATCCATGACAAGCAAAAACAGCACAAAACAAACTTTGATTTCTTCAAAGCCAGTTCTTTTTCTTCCATTCCATGATTTAAACTATGGATCTTCTCCATCTGTTTTCAGATAAGGTCAAACATGATTTTTTCCTTACAGTTGTACAATTTATTATTTAAGACTTTTATTAGGAAACAGCCTGATATTCTTTTTTCCAAAAGAGAGACAAACAAAACTTTAGTGAAAAGAGTAATAGTTGAATGGAATTGTGTTAAAGGAAGTGAAAAAGGCCAAGTTTGAAGTCACTTCAGAGATATTTTGTGTCCACACTGGAGTCGCAGAGAAAGCTACAAAACTTATCGATTAATAATGTGTAACTTTCACAGTACTAAATCACAAAAGAATGTCAAGTCAGGTAAGTCATTAGGAAAGCACCTTTGTTAAGTCAACGTTTCCCTCAAATAGTAAAAGTTAATATTAACATGCTTTCCTAGAAAAATGCTCATTTCCCTATCATAAATCATACAACAAAGCAGGCATTTTGAACTATCTTTTAAAATCTCTATATTAAAAAAAAAGACAGAATGCATAGTAAAAGGCATGTAGCAAATTTTGTAAAATGATGATATTCTGCACCTTCGCCCCAAACACACTAATCCCAAGTACAGCTGCTCTTTCTCCATTAGTTAATGTAAGTTTAGAATGTGATCGCCTTATATGTGGCATTTTATTAAAGAAATTTCAAACCTGCAAGAGTAGCTCAGTTTTCAGAATTAATACAAAACCAAAGAACCCTTTATTCAATAGAAGTTTTATCAAACATTTTCAAGAAAAAATCAAATTTTTTCACTACTTTTCAGTTTTAACTTCAATATATATGGCAACAGGAGTGATATTTTTGTTTGTTTATTCTTAAGTCACTGAAATTAAACAATTATTACACCATTATATCCCAAATGCATTCATTGAACAAATCATCATAATGCCTACTATGTGTGAGACACTGCACTAAGTAAGTAATGGTGCCTAAGAGCATGTAGTGGTGATAAAGAACAGGCATGATTCCTTAACTGTAACGTGGACAAAACAGATGGTAAATGAGGAAATCATTTTATCTTGGAAAAACATGAATAGTGATAGGAAATCTTAGTAACTATAAGTCAGATATCATAAAGCAAACTGTGATAATAACAGCAACATTCTGTATGCTTATTAAGTGCGAGACATTATACTAAGAGACTGAAAGGTCTTATTGTCCCTAAACTTTGTAGAAACCCTGTGAAGTGGGTATATTTGTTGTAAGACACTGGGTCACAAGTGACAGAAATGCAACTCACAAAACCCAGTAATAAGAATGTAGTTGAAATCCAGAAACCACTAGCATCGAGTTCTAGAGGAAATGCTGTCAAGTTCCTTACTGTGTCTGTCGCCTCTCTTCTTCTTTTCAAGTCTCCCTTATTTTTCTTTTTTTGTCTGTAGGTGAATTTCCTCCAGTTCTCTGTGTATATGACAGGAAACAAGACCATTAATAACTCTCAAGTTTTACATCTTAAATTTTTAACACCTATCAAAAGGCTATGCTTTCTGAGTTGCAATTCTAATATTCCTGGAAAAGAACCACAATTGGCCAAAGTTAACTCAGACATCCAGCATCAGACCAACAGTGTTCATGGGTGGATTCTGTTACATCAAGGAAATAAGATCTTGAAGTGCCAGTCTTTCTGATTTTACTTTCTTTCATACGCTCTTACCTTTTCTCCAGTAAGTCAGAGGAACACAGAAGCATTACCATTTTTCTACAAGAGAAGTGAAAAGAAAAAATACATTTACATTATTGGTTTGGTTTAGTTGTTGGTTATTTGGTTGGTTGGTTGGTTGGGTTTGTTGTTGTTGTTGTTGTTGTTTCTAATGTTTTCTAACCAGTCTCTTGAGACTCAAAAGAAAATCCCTGAAGGGAGTGGGACAAAGAGATCACATAACAAAAATTTAAAATTGAAAAAGGGAAGGCAATAACCTCAACTCCTATACCTGGAAGGAAAATTGTTGAAGGTTATCTGCACTGAGAGAGAAGAAAGGAAATGAAGGGGCCAAAACCTCAGAAGAGGGCGGAATCCTCAGACCTAAAGCATCACAGGGGAGTTAGGGACAAAAGGGAAGAGTTACCATGAAAATATGGCCAATCATCACTAAGTGGCCAGCACTAGGGAGCAGAGTGGAAGCTAGGATAATAAACCGTCCTTACTTTGGCAGAATAAACCATTCAGTGGCTGTCGTCATCGTTGGGCGGATAACAGCTGCCACCATCAGTGGCCTCCACTGATGATAGTGAACTGTCCAGCATATTAGTATCTGTCTATGCCTCAAGACTTTGCAGAACCTCCATGGGAACTGTCATTATCATTAGGCAGGACACTCATAAGTGCCCCCAAATAGAGCATAGGACATTTGACCCTCCACAGACAGCAGTGGTAGGAAAGGGAAAGCCCCAGTACAGGTAAATGGGTAGACTGGAGAGTGGAAAACTCACTCTTTTTTTTTTTTTTTTTTTTTTACCACCTTGGCAATTTCCAGGGTAGCCATGTGGATGACAGGTTAGAGGAAGGAAGATTCCAGGAAAAATTGCTGTCATGGCTTGTAGGGCAGACGCAAAAAAATAGGAACACTCTAAAATGCAAATATTGTCATTTGACATGCAACAATTAATTTTTATAAAGTTAAATACTTTCCCAAGATCACACAGTCAGGAAAAGCTGAGCCAAAATGCAGATGTAAACCCAGCCAATGCTCTGAACCATGAGGTGACAGCAGCTCAATAACTAGATCCTTGTGGCAGCTTCTTTCATAAACAAAAATGTACATGAGGCATTCATGAAAATTTTTAGAATGATAAATCTAACTAATTGTGTAGCAAATCTAACTGATTCTGGCAGTAAATCTATTTTGGGCTACTATAACAGAATACCTGAGACTGGGTAATTTATAAAACACAGAGACTTATTTATTATTATTCTGGAGGCTGAGGAGTCCAGGATCCAGCGGCCCCCATCTGGTGAGGGCTTAGTGCTTTATCATCTCATGGTGGAAGGTGGAAGGGCTGTTTTCGTCTTTGCCTTTTGAAATAAAATGTAGTTATTATCGCTATCCATCATTGCTCTAGATCAGTATGTCTCAAACTCAGATTGGGGCACCTGAGATTATGTTTTGTAAAGATTTTATACATGCATGTCTTTATTTTGATGAAAAATCTATTTATATATAGAGAGAGATAAAGACAGAGAGAGAGAGCCATTTGGCCCACTAAATCACCAACTTTTAAGGGACAATAGGACAATGGGGCTTCAAAAGTCATACAAAGCATGTGATCTTAGTCAATCCATACACATTAAAAAAAAAACTTTTGGCCTGCCGCAGTGGCCGAGCACTTTGGGAGGCTGAGGCAGGCGGATCACGAGGTCAGGAGATCGAGACCATCCTGGCTAACACAGTGAAACCCTGTCTCTACTAAAAATACAAAAAATTAGCCAGGTGTGGTGGTACGCGCCTGTGGTCCCAGCTACTCAGGAGGCTGAGGCGGGAGAACCACTTGAACCCGGGAGGTGGAGGTTGCAGTTAGCCAAGATTGCACCACTACACTCCAGCCTGGTGACAGAGCAAGACTCCAGTCCAAAAAAAAAAACTTTTAAAATATTAAATAAAATTCATGGTAATTGCTATAAAAATCTTCAAATATAAATCATGATTCTTCTAAGTCATCATTCTAATATTAATCTCTTGTTTGACTATGGCATATATGTACTAAGTGCAAGTCAGAGAAACTGAATTCAAGTTAACTTAAGCAACTAATGGAAATTTTGGCTCATGTAGCTGTAAAAGATATTTAAAATGTGCTCACTTGCTTGCTCTCTCCCCTCGCCCTTCCCTTTCTCTCTCTCCAACCATCTCTCATGTCTTCCACTGTCTGCAGGGCCTCCTTCTCTTCTACACCATGCATGGATAAAAAGGCCCAACAAGCTCTGAAGTTGTGATATCACGGCTCATTATTCAAGCACAAAGAAGGAAATTCTTTCAGCTTTCAAATATTAAATTTGTTATAAAGCCTTTAATCCAAACTGGGTCACATGTCCACTTTTGGACCAATACCTGAGGCAAAGGGATTGGGCACAGGATTGTTCGTGTCTCTTTCCTGTGTCTGGCATTCTGTCTCAAGTACTGCAAATGTCAACCCCACAAGAGTCACATGTTTGCTAGGGAATATGAGTAGTGATGGGCCAGTTCCAGCTTGCTGGAGTTGACTGTATCTTTTGTCCAACTCCAGATGGTGGAAATATTTACACAACAGAAAAAAAGCATATGCTACAGACCAGGGATGTTTTATTTTCCTGAGAGTAGGTTGTTCAATACTTACCAGAAGCTACTGGATAGGAGCATTTCTCCCTAGGGCTAGAGTCGGGAAGACAAAAGGGTGTTGAATAGAGATATCAGTATGCTACTACAAGACCCATTTGTTCTCTATAAGTGCAACTAACAAGTAATATTTCTAAAACTAGGAGATTTATCAATGTTTACAGTGGTTTTTCATGAACAGAATGCTGAGATAATGAGGTCTTTTAAAGGTTTTTCCTGTTTTCAGACTACACAAAGCAGAGTTTTGAGATTGTTTTTTACATAGCATCTATTCACCTCATTAGTGTTCAAACACAGAAAAATAATGTTCCCAGAAAATAATATGCTCTCAAAAAGGAAAAAAGTTATATATATTCAGATAATTTTGTAAAAACATTACCTGTATACCATGGTATCTCACTTGAAAATAGTCATTATTAGTCTTTCCATGGGTCATTTATGGAATGATAACATTTTTGGATTTTTTTTTTTTTTTTTGCCAAGAAAAGCATCATGTCCTGATACATGCAACCCATGGTGAATAAGGATATATTTTGAAAAATTCCTTTAAAACTCTTTCAAATATCCACATGCTATACAAAAGAATTCCTTTTACAAATATTATTTGAACATCATCTATATACAAGTCCCAGTTTCATCTTAATGCAAGACTGAAAGTAAACAAACTCCAAAGATTCTCTTTCAGTGCTGATTTTTCTAAGATTTGTTGATAGTTCTTCATACAATGGCTTGTGATCATGGATTAGGCTGTTTAATTGAGCCTATTTTTTTAATAGTCATATAATGCACAGTGTCTACTGTTTTTGTTTCAAAGGACTTTTATTTTACAGAGAGAAGCTTCCCTTTGTCAAATTTATATGTAATTTCACTTCTTGCACAACTATTAATAGTTATGAAATAGCTTATATTAACAGAGCAAACAGGTATTGAACATTTACTAACTTGCTAGGTATTGTGCTAAGCACTTTACTTTCATCATATTACTTAATCCATAGAACAGCCCTTTAAGACAGGAAAACTTATCCCCATTTAATATAGGAGGGCATTGAGAAATAAAGAAGATAAATAGCTTTATCAAGGTCACATAACAATTGGATAGCATTTCCAGGATTCAAAGCCTAGGGTGACACCAATATCCATACACCCAACTGCCTATATGTACTAGCTGCAATGTCAGGCACTAAGGTGCTCTCACATATGTTTCCCATTCAATTCCAATGCATAAAGTCTCTGTTATTCTTCTCCATTACAGAAGATATTACCAAGGCTCAAAAAATTTAAGAAATATGTCTAAATTTCCAAAGCAACAGATAATAACTGCCAGAGATGAAAGTCAAATGCAAGCCTGACTGACTCCTTGAGCAGGGCTTTTTCTACTACACTATGCACCTGTTAACAGAGTCAAATTATTCAAATGTGTTATAAGTTTAGTTATTTAAAAATTTCAAGGGACTAGCCTTAAATTATTAATATAATTGTGTTTGGCTATATTAAAATATGGCATTTGCTCAGATTGTTAATTCAATTACATTTGGGTGTAACAATAGAGAGTATGCACTACAGTTAATCACAGATGGCCAGCAATTTGTGGGAAGATGTCAGGGGAGACATCTATATGATAGAAGTTGTAATTTAACACCAGACAGTATAAATAGAAAGAGTTGAATAAACAAATCCAGGTGGCAGTGTGCCAACCAGTCAGAACTTAGGGAAAATAGATAAAACAAGGCAGGCAGGATCTAGAATCATTCATATACTTTAATCACAATAGTTAAGAACAGACCAAGCTGAGTTAAGGATCTGTCAAAGTCACACTAAACAATCTCAACCCATAGTCACCCCAGCCCTAGTACCAACTCCTTATTGTAACAGCCCCATAGTGAGAAAACCACATGCAAATGAAATAAACATTTATTAGAGACAGAGTCAGAAATATCTATTCCTTCCACTTTGAGGTAAGTGAGATCTAAGCCGGATTTAGGGGGTGGTTTGCCATGGAGAACAAGAATGATATCATAAAGATAAAGGATATGACAAGTATAAGAGTTACCTAAAACCTCTGCATCAAAGGGAGGGAAACAGACCTTCTGAGTCCTGCCAAGTTGTTGCTTCCCAAGCTGACTTCAATGGTGGAAAATATGAGTAATAAATCATGTAGATGTCCTTATTGTCTTGCCACACATAATCATTGATGCTTGGAAGGAAACCCTACAAGTCAGAAACAATGGGCTGGGATGAATACTTGGAAAGGTATACCATCTTCCTCTTAGCAGAATCAACATCACAAAGATGTCAATTCTCAACTTGCTTTGAAAAGCAAATACAGCACTCTCCTTTAAGTTTGGAGATACAAAGAGAGCCAACAACTTGGTCACTTTTAAGCACCTCTAGTTCTGGAAATTACAGAGGAAACTTAAAGAAAATTCTCTAGCAGAACAAAGGTAATTGATCAGTAGAGTCCCTGAACATAGGTTGGGAAGAAGCTTAACTAACAGTAAATCTCATTTCTCACTAGAAATTTTACAATCAAAGAGAGGGTATGGTAGTTTGGCTTCAGCTGGGGGAGGAGGTTGTTGTTGGGAAAGTGTTTGAGGAGGTGGGCAAAGAGGGAGCCTCTAATAATGGCAACAGGCTTAGAAATAGACCATGAAAATTTCAAGATCTACATTTAGATGTCATGTATACTAGCAGACTTGTGGGCTAAGAAACCTGGAACTTGTGCTTGCTTTTTGGAATAATAAGCAAAGCTGGGAAGCTTTCCCAGACTCCTAAGCTAGAAGAGAGATAAGGTAATAGCTCTTCCTGCATTTTTGCAGTCAAATTTATCTTCTCCCACTAGATTGCGAGCCCCTCACTAATAAAAGGTCTCCTAACACAGCAGGAGCTAAACAAATATTTATTGGTAGGAACTATTGAAATATACTAGTTTACTTGTCTTGCCCTAACTAATCTTAAAATTGCCCACTTCAGAAAAGAAATGACATGCCTCTATAGAGCTCTACGCAGACATTCCCTTCCGCTTTAGACCCAAACTAGTTTAAAATCTGATCATCTTAGTTTTTAAATATTTTTTTTTCTTGGGAAATTGTTGCCTGTTTGAGATACCCAGTTTGTTTCTGTCGCATTTTTCTTGCCTCTAACTCTGGATGGGTGGTCAGAGTCCTATAGTGTGGACACCATTCCACACAAGATATATGGGATCGGCATGGTCCAACGTGCCCTTGGACAGAAACATGAAGTCATTGAATTGTGACTTTGCCTTCTTCCTATGTCATCTATCTGTGGTCCTGATCAAGAAAACATTTTGTACATTTTCTTGTTATCATGACACTCATGTGAGTCTGTTGGGATCATACTTTAAATTCATTTATCTATTTCCTAATATCCCTGTTGAGGGTGCTGTGAGACTAGTCTACAGGTCAGCATGACTACCTCCATGAATGAGGGAGGGAGCAACGGACTCATATAAATAAGAAGAGAGAACATGAAAGTAGGTTACAGCACAGGTACCCATGCCTGAAGCTATGTTTTTTTGCCAGAATAGGATCTTGAGGGAGATAGGAGAGCCATCTAATTGAAAGATAACAGATAAAATGGAAACTGATAATAGGTTAATGACCTTATAGTGCATTCTGTGTGAGAAGGCAGCAGAGGTCACACTTCATCTGAGTCTCTGCTCATATGCTCCCCAACAAAGAAGCCTTCTCTGACCATGTTACTAAAACAATACACCTCCCCTTGCCAATCTCAGGTTCCTTACCCTGTTTTTTGTAGATATCTCACATGGATTATTGAATAAGGGCCAGACTCTGACTCCACGCTGTTTGGATTGAATCACAGCTTCATGATGATCACTCTGATGATCACTCTGATCTTATGACAAGCTATTCTAGGAAGCAGTAAGATTGGAATTTATAATAATTAATCTTAGCATCCAATCATAAATATGTGTAATTAGTCTGACTGTATAATTCTGAAACACAGCCCATTCTTAAAACCTCCTATGAGTAAGAAGAGACATGGGAAGAGTGAACTGGCTATATATACATTTAACAATTCACTTATTTAGCAAATATTTATCAAGTGTCTACCATGTGCAAGACATCCCTGGGCTCCTTGAAAGTTGTTCAAGAAGGGATGCAGACTTCTCTCAGCCACTCTTGTGGGAAGAAGTAGAAGGGGACTGTGAAGTTCTAACTTCTGAGTTAAGGTTTAAAGCCTCTATCTAATCACAGAACTTTCCTAACTCTAAAAATAGGAATAGTGCCTTGCTGATCATCTTGATTTTTTCTTTCTTAATAAGCTGTCTACTTCCTGAATGCACATGTGTGCGCACACACACACACACACACACACATCCACAATCTTTATTCCTGAATAACCTGGATTCTATAGTCAGAAGGAGAAAAACATTAGCAACCTACAATGTTAATAGTTCCAATTAGTAAAATTAATGGATTTGGATACTTCTCTAATTTTGCCTTAATTTGTTCTACATGTAAGTTATAAAGATGGAAAAAATGCACTCAACTAAGAGATCACAAGCAGATGTGAGACAGGGAGATAAGCAGGACTCTTCTTCTCCTGGGATTGCGATAATGTTTCTCCATGTTTTCTACAGATATGAAGAGAAGTGGGTCAACAGTGTGGAAAGGGAATTTTCTCTCAGTTTAGATATTCTATATGTGAATCATGCCTTTGCAGGCCTTTCTCTGTGGTTTGATGTGGTATCTCAGATCATGTTGGCATAATATTTGTAAAATTAAAGAGTGGTTAATTTACCATATTATTTTCACTGAGCATGAAAGTATTACAGACCCCCAAACAAATACATTATTTCTAAAACATTAAAAGAAACACATTCTGAGGCAGTTTCCATTACAAATAATCGTGGACTTCTATTAATGTAACACAGACCAAAATTCACTGTAGACTATAAATAACATCTAGAACTTGATTGCTATAGTTTAAAAACATGAGGAAATTTCCTGAGCAGTGATGTTAGCAAGATGGCAGAATAAAGCATCCCAGCCCTTGTCCTCCATACAAATAACAATTTAGCAACTATCCACAGACAAAAGTACCTATGCGGGAGTTTGTAGACGCAGGTAGGAGCTTGTAACACCCCAATGAACCCAACACTGAGAAGAGGTGCTTTGAGAAAGCAGGCCTGTACTCCAGTAGTGGGTCTATCATTACAGACCCTACTACAGATCTGAAAACAGATCTAGTAAGAGGAATCAAAAGATAAAAGAGTGAAGTAAATCTACAAGTCTTATAGGACACTGTCAATCAAACTAATGTATGTATTATGAAAATCCAAAAAGGAGAAAAGAGAAAGACTGTGACAGAAAGTGTATTTAAATAAATAATGGTTTAAAATGGCCCAAATCTAAAGAGAAAAAATGGACATTCAAATTCATTCTCCTGTGAAAGTGGCTTCAGCTCTGCTTATTTGTGGCCACAGAGGAAGGCTCTTTCTGGGAAGGGGCCTGGCAAGAACCATATTCACCTATGCCCCTAGTAACTGGCTTGCTGACAGTAGACCCAGCTGCAGATACAGAAACAACCCCATGACCTAACTTTATCCCCACTTGACCACAGTTCAGAGGTAGTCCTGTCTATCTGGGGACCCTTCAGTAAAAGATCTGAACAAGTCAATAAATTCTGGAAGAAGTGACTGCTCCTTCAGATGCACAAACACAAACATGAGGCTACAAGGATCACAAAGAATCAGGCTACCATAATACCACCAAAGGAAATTAATAAAGCTCCAGTAACCAACCGTAAATCAATGTAGATCTATAAACTGCTTGGCAGAGAATTCAAAATAATCATTTCAAAGAAGCTCAATGAACCACAAGATTACATAGGCAGACAATTCAATGAAATCAGGAAAGCAAGACATGAACAAAATGAGAAGTTCATTAAGAGATACAAACCAGGTGGGGTGCGGTGGCTCACGCCTGTAATCCCAGCACTTTGGGAGGCTGAGGCGGACAGATCACGAGGTCAGGAGATCAAGACCATCCTGGCTAACATGGAGAAACCCTGTTTCTACTAAAAATACAAAAAAAAAAAAATTAGCTGGGCATGGTGGCGGGCGCCTGTCCAGCTACTCGGGAGGCTGAGGCAGGAGAATGGCGTGAACCCGGGAGGCAGAGCTTGCAGTGAGCAGAGATCACGCCACTGCACTCCAGCTTGGGTGACAGAGCGAGACTCCGTCTCAAAAAAAAAAAAAAAAAAAAAAAAGAAAGAAATACAAACCATAAAAAAGAAAGAAACTGAAATCTTGAGGATAAAGATTACAATGACTGAATTGAAAAACTCAATAGAGAATCTCAATAGCAGACTCAGTCAAGCAGAAGAAAGGATCAGCAAAATCGAAGACAGGTTATTTGAAATTATCCAGTTAGAGAAATCCAAAGAAGAAAGAGTGAAGTAAGCCTACAAGTCTCATGGGACACTATCAACCAAACTAATGTATACATTACAAAAATCCAAAAAGGAGAAGAGAGAAAGACTGTGACAGAATGTGTATTTAAGGAAATAATGCTTTTAAAATGGCCCAAATCTAAAGAGAGAAAATGGACATTCAAATTCATGAAGCCTAAAGACACCTAGATAGGTGGAACCCAAAAAGGTTTACAGTGAGACATACTGTAATTAAATTGTCAAAAGTAAAAAATAAGAGAGAGAGAGAGATAATTTTTAAAGTAGAAAGAGAAAATCAGCTTATCACACATGAGGGAAGTGTCCTAAGGCTATAAGTGAATTACACAACAGAAACCTTGCAAGCTAGGAGAGGGTAAGCTGATACTCAAAATACTAAAAGAATAAACTGCTAATTAACAATACTTTACCCACCACATATATCCTTTAGAAATGAGGGAGAGATAAAGACATTCTCAAACAAAAACTATAGGAATCCATCATGACTAGACAGGCCTTATAACAAGTGCTAGAGGAAACACTTCAAGTTAGAATAAAAATATGCTAAACAGCAACACAGAAACATATGAAAGTACAAATCTTACTCTTAAAGGTAAATATAAAGACAAACACAGAATACTGTAATGCTGTAATGGTGGCATGTAAGTCATGTTTAACACTAGTATTTAAATTACAAAAACAAAAGTAGGTATAATAACTATAACCACAGAAAATTTTTAATAGAACACCATATAAAAAGAAGTAAAATCTAACATGAATTATATAACAGGGAGGAGGAAGTACAGAGTTCCTGTATGAGATTGATATTAAGTTATCAGCTTAAAATCGACAGTTACAACTATAAAATGTTTGATAGAAGTCCATGGTAACCACAAAAAAATATAGTAGATACATCAAAGATAAAGAGAAAAGAACCAAAGCACATTACTATTTAAAAACATTAATCAAAACACAAAGAAAGGAACTAAGAGAAGAGAGGAACAAGAGAAGTACAAAAAAACACAGAAAAAATTTAACAAAATGGCTTACAAATCAATAATTACTTTAAATGTAAATAAACTAAACTCCCCAGTATTCCAAGCAATTGGTAGCTAAAAGAAAGTGGGAGTGGCTACACTTCTATCAGACAAAATGGACTGTTGGTTAAACAATGTCACAAGAGACAAAGTACAGCATTACTTAATAATAAAAGTCAATTCAAAAGGAAGATAGAACAGTTATAAATATGTACGCATCCAACATCAAAACACCTAATATATAAAGCAAACATTGGCATATATGAAGGGAGAAATAGATAGCAATACAATAATAGTAGGAGGCTTCAATACCCAACTATTTATAATGGATAAACCATTCAGACTGGAAATTAATAAGGAAATAGCAGAACTGAAAGAACTGAACTATACTATAGACCAAATGGACCCAACAAGCATATACAGTACATTCCACTAAACAGCAGCAGAACACTCACTTTTCTTAAACGCACATTCTCCAGGCTCAGTTACATGCTAGGTCACAAACAAATCTCAACAACTTTAAGAAGATCAAAATTATTCCAAGTATATTTGCAATAACAATGGAGTGAAACCAAAATCAATAATTTAAAAATGGGAAAATTCACAAATATATGGAAATTAATAAATACACTCTTAAACAACTCTTGGGTCAAAAAAGAACTCAAAAAGAAAATTATAAAATAACTCAAGACAAACAAAAATGACACAACATACCAAAATTTACAGAATACAGCCAAAGTAGTACTATGAAGGAAATTTATAATGATAAATACCTACATTGAAAAAGAAAATAGATGTTGAATAAATGACCTAACTTTGACCTCAGGGAACTAGAAAAAGAACAAGAAGCTAAACCTAAAATTAACAAAAGGAAAGAAATAAGATCAGATCAGAAATAAATGAAATAGAAAATAGAGAAAAATTCTAAAAATTGAAAAAAAATTGAGTTGGTTTTTTGAAAAGACAGCAAACTCAGCAAACCCTTAGGTAGACTAAGAAGAAAAAGAGAGACGATTCAAATAAATAAAATCATAAACGACAGAGGAGGTATTATAATCGAGCCCATATAAATACAAATGATCTTAAGGGGCTATAATGAATAATTGTACACCACCAGATTAGACAACCTAAAGAAAAGTGGAGAAATTCCTAGAAACATACTATATTAGGGTTTTCCACACACACAGACACACACACACACACCACAGCAATTAATATTAATTGCTTACTTGCCATGATATAGGCAAAACATCAGTTATCAAATAAATGATACAAACAATAAGAGTGATATCAAGAATGATACCAGGGCAAGCTTTACAGAGGAGGTAGTATTTGATATGGACCTTGATTAAAAGGTAGGATAAAAGGGAAGGATTTAGAGACAGAAAAAAATGACTCCAGAGCACAGACTGGAATTATGAGGCTAGTTTGGCTGAGCAAAAGATGCATGCAGGTGAGGCAGGTGACTAGAGGGAGAAGTTATTGAAAGAAGCAGTTTATAAAGCTCTCTGGAGTATTTGTATTTATAAAGATTACTAACCCTGGGAAATTAGACAATGACAAACCTAGATTGAAAAGATATTTTAAAGCAGCAGAATCCTCAAATCCTACCATCTAGATCAATTTCTACTTTGACCAACTCTACAATGTCTGTTTACCCTTGACTTACACAGACATGTGTCACTTAACGACAGGTATAGGTTCTGAGAAATGCATTAGGAGATTTCATTGTTATGTAAACATCATAGATTGTACTTACACAAAGCTAGACAATAAAGCCTACTACAATCTAGCCTGTATGACTAGACTGCTCCGAGGCTAAAAATCTGTACTGCATGTACTGTACTGAATACTATCGTTAATTCTAACACAATGGTAAGTATTTGTATATTTAAACACATCTAAACATAAAAAGGCACAGTAAAAATATAATATAAAAGAAAAAAATGGTACACTTATACAGAACATTTACCATGAATGGAGTTTGCAGGACTGGAAGTTGCTCTGGGTGAGTCCGTGACTGAGTGGTGAGTGAATGTGAAGGCCCAGGACATAACTGGACACTACCTTGGACTTTATAAACACAATACATTTGGGCTACACTAAATTTATTTGTAAAATTTTCTTTCCTTAATAATAAATTAATCTTAGATTACTGTAACTTTTTTTACCTTATAAACTTTTACTTTTTTAACTTTTTAACTCTTGTATTAATATTTAGCTTAAAACAAAAACACAGCCGTACAAAAATATTTTCGGTTTTTATTTCCCTATTCTATAAGCTTTTTTCTATTTTTAAATTCTTTTACTTTTTAAACTTTTTTTGTTAAAAACAATAACACAAAGGCACACATCAGCTTTGACATACACAGGGTAGGATCATCACTGTCACTGTCTTCCACCTCCACATCTTGTCCCACTAGAAGATCTTCAGGGGCAATTACATACATGGAGCTGTCATCTGTGAAAATGCCTTCTTCTGGAATACCTCCTGAAGGACCTGCCTAAGACTGTTTACAGTTAACTTTTTTTTAAAAAAATGAATACACTCTAAAATAATGACAAAAAGTATAGTATAGTAAATACATAAACCAATAACATAGCCATTTATTACTATATCAAATATGTACTGTACATAATTATGCGTTCTCTACTTTTATACGGCTGGCAGCACAGTACACCAGCATCACCACAACACATAAGTAATGTGCAGTGCTATGACTTTACTACAGCTACAATATCACTAGGAAATAGGAATTTTTCAGCTCCATTATAATTCTATGGGACCACCACCATATACAGGTCTATGGTCACTGAAACACCATTATGTGGGCATGACTGTATTTAAGTTAGTCTCTTACTGAAGCAGGGGAAGCACCACTAAACCCAGTAAGCAATTCCAAATCTAACATGAATGTCTTTTAAGACATCTTTCCCTCCAGACTGAAAACTCCATGAAGGCAGGCACAACAGCTATTTTATTCACCAATTTTTATTAAGCATATGCCATAATACTTGAAAATAGTAAGTGGTCAATAAATAAATGCTGAGTTCATTTTGAATAAATTCTCTATGAATAGTTTCTTTGGAGTTCCAATTCTATATCACACTGTTTTATCCTTGCAACCTTCTCTTGTGACATACTAAAATATAAACTAATTTGTTTATATTTTTTAACTTTGAATTCGAACATTGTAACAACTTTCTGCCATCTCTTGAAATAGTTGGAATAACCCTGAATCACGTCAGGGGTGGGAAATCACAGCCACATGCAGTTATGCCAGAGAGATTTAAATACTCTCTTAAAACACTTCTGTTTTAGCCTTCAAAATGAAGGTTTTTTGTAACCTTGTGAAAGCTGTGCATGTGAACAGATGTACTCTGGAAAAACAAAATTTAATCAATATTGACCAGAGAACAAAGGGATTTAGACCTGAATGATTTCTACATTTGGCTACTGCATATCAATCACTGGAGACAGCAGCCACTGCTCTGCTGTGGCAGAGAAGAGCTATACTGATTTCCGTTAGACATGCTTCTGCTAAAATAGATTAATTCTTAGTCATCAGAATCTGATTAAGGCTGAAGCTTAGCAGGCTAATTTTCAGCCTATGGGAATAAAGTCACAGTAATTTTCCAATCATTTAATGGGAAAGAAACCAACAAAGATAAAAGAAAAACATGACACCAGGAGGCTACAAATGTCAAATATTTCCTGCCTGTCTGGCCCATTAAACATCATCTGGGTAGGCTTTACTTTTACAAGGCATAATTTCCCTAATAATTAAGAATGGGAAGGTTCTCAAAGTGCTTAGTTTACTATTTAGAAAAACATCACCAGCACAAGGCTAATTAAACCTTTGCTTTTCATCACAGTATATGGTTGCCATACTTCCCTGCGATTTGAAGCAATGGTCTTGGACTATATTTTACTTCCAAAAAATCCAGGTTCTTTGAAGCAAACAGTTATCAGAAAGGAATAATTTCCAATGAAAACTAGATTTATTTAAAGTAGCAATTGGTGGCTTTTATTCACTTTATTTTTTACATTGAAATGGCTGTGCTCTACTCCATAACCAACTTGGCTCAAACACACACGTATTTTTTGAATGTAGGTAAGCATTTTGCCAGCGGCATTTTGCCAGATACTGGGCAAAAAATAAAAATAGATTCTGGCTCTTGCCTTTGAGATTGCCCAGTCCACTGGGTAGACACTGTGAGAGGTGCAATTAAAAGGAGATGTATTAGTTTGTCTTCACACTGCTGATAAAGACATACCTAAGACTGGGTAAATTATAAAGAAAAAGAGGTTTAATGGACTCACAGTTCAACGTGGCTGGGGAGGCCTCACAGTTATGGTGGAAGGTGAAAGGCACATCTTACATGGCAGCAGGCAAGAGAGAGAAGAGAACCAAGTGAAAGGAGTTTCCCCTTATAAAACCATCAGATCCCATGAGACTTATTCACTACCACAAGAACAGTATGGGGGGACCTTCCCCATGATTCAGTTGTCTCCCACTGGGTCCCTCCAACAAAACTTGGGAATTATGGGAGCTATAATTCAAGATGAGATTTGGATGGGGACACAGCCAAACCGTACCAGCAGGTAAGTACCAGGTTCTATGGAAACCCTGTGTCTGGAGAAGTTACAGGAGGCTTCCCAAGGACATCACTGTCCAACTGAGCCTTGAAGCAGAAGTAGGACTTTTCCAGGATTATGAACTTCTGGTAAAACCTGGAAGAACATAGTTTCTTCTTGGAACTTCACAACAGGGATTTTTTCAATAAACTTCTTAATTTTAAATTTACAAAAAAGAAGTTACAAACAATACAGAGAGATTCCAGTTTCCCTTAAAGTTAACATCTTACATGACCTCAGTACATTTGTCAAAACAGACATTAACATTTATTATTAAGATAAAAGAAACTCTTTGTATTTCACCAATTTTCTCACTAATGTTGCAAGATTTAATTCAGGATACTACATTGAATTTAGTGGTCAGTTCTCCTTAGTCTCTTCTAATCTTTGACAATTTCTCAGTATTTTCTTTTTTTCATGACCCTGACAATTTTGGAGAATACTGGTGAGGCAGTGTCTGAGTCAATTTGGGCTGCTGTAACAAAATGCCTTAGACTGTGTAATTTATAAACAATAAAGTTCTTGAGGCTAGGAAGTCCAGGATCAAGGCACCAGCAGATTTGGTGCCTGGTGAGAGTCTACTTTCTCACAGATGGCATCACACTTGGTAGAAGGAGTGAACAAGTTCCCTTGAGCCTCTTTTACAAGAACACTAATCTCATTCATGAGGGCTCTTCCCTCAAGACCTAGCCACCTCCCAAAGGCCCTACCTCTTAATATTATTAAGAGGTAGAGATTATGTTTCAATAATATGAATTTTGGGGGGATGCAAACATTCAGACCATAGCAGGCAGTTTGTAAAACATCCTTCAATTTAGATTTGTCTGAGGTTTTCTCATAATTAAATTGAAATTATGAGATTTGGGAAACAACATCACAGAAGTATCCTTCACATTGTATCAAATCAGGGTGTATTAGTCTGTTTTCATGCTGCTGATAAAGACAAGATAATTTACAAAATAAAGAGATTTATTGGACTTACAGTTCCACATGGGTGGGGAGGCATCACCATCATGGCAGAAGGCAAGAAGGAGGAAGTCACATCTTATGTGGATGGCAGCAGGCGAAGAGAGAACTTGTGCAGGGAAACTCCCATTTTTAAAACTATCAGATCTTGTGAGACCCATTCACTATCACAAGAACAGCACAGGAAAGATCCACCCTCATGATTCAGTCATCTTCCACCAGGTCCCTCCCACACATGTGGGAATTGTGGGAGCTACAGGATGAGATTTGGGTAGGGACACAGAGCCAAACCATATCACAGGGTTACATGATATCAACATGACATATCACTGTTGATGTTAACTTTGATCACTTGGTTAAGATAATGTCTGAAATGTACAGTAAAGTTATTATTTCCTTTCCAAACTCTATCATTTGAAAAGAAGTCAATAAGTCCAGCCCACACTCAAGGGGAGAAGAATTAAGCTCCACTTCCTAGGTCAGGGAGTATCTACATATATTCTTTAGAATTATTTTGTAAGGGAGATTTATCCCTCCTCCCCTATTTATTCATTCAGTCACATATTTATATCAATTTGTTCTTATGTATATTTATCTAATACTTTTTGTATTGGACAACAACTTTATTATTTATTTTGCTGCTCAAATTTTTCCACCTTTGGCCAACAGGAGCTCTTTAGCTTACTGCCTGTGTTCTTTTACTATCTTCTGTATTTTTATCCTTTTAACAGTTTTTTGCATTTTGACACTACAAGATGCTCAAGGATCATCTTGTATCATCCATAACTAGCTCTAGAACCAGCTATTTCCTGGTTCATTTTATTGGAGAAGAGGATTAGAAACCAAGATATGACTACTTAGTATGTGTTTTTGTGTATTTACATGTTGAGATAAAACACAAAGATGAAGAAAAGAGAACAGATGGTAGCAAATAAAATAATGGAAGCTGGAAAGCAATGAGCCAACTAGAAATTGATTCAACAGATTGAGAAAAATAAAAGTTAAACCAGCAGTGGTGAAAATACAGAAGCAAGCCAACTGGTTCCACAGAACTCCAGAAAGTCTTGGAATTGAGGGAATGAGCTACCTCTGGGAGTGGAGATATGAGTGGGCTGAAAAGAGATTGGGTAAAAGTCTATGCAAGGAAATATCATATTTCCTTCCCACACCATGTATACCCAATATGGTTTGGCTGTGTTCCCACCCAAATCTCATCTTGAATTGTAACTCCCACAATTCCCACGTGTCATGGGAGGAACATGATGGGAGGTGATTGAATCATGGGGGTGAGTCTTTCCTGTGCTGTTCTGATAGTGAATAAGTCTCATGAGATCTGATGGTTTTAAAAATGGGAGTTTCCCCATACTAGCTCTCTCTTGTCTGCCACCATGTGAGACATGTCTTTCACCTTCCACCATGATTGTGAGGCCTTCCCAGCCACATGGAACTGTAAGTCCATTAACGCTCTTTCTTTTGTAAATTTCCCAGTCTCAGGTATGTTTATTAGCAGTGTGAAAATGGACTAATATAATACCCAGGCAGTATTCCTCCCCAGACAAGCACAAGACTGAGGCTTTATGCTTTATGAGGAGAATTAAATGAAACATTCTATATGAAATAGTGAAACAACTTAGCTCACTTCTTTAATTTATTTCTGAGAGCACTGTCAACCAGGTTAAGGATTCCTCTCTCAATAAATTGACGAAACCAAGAGAAAGTCTCCCAGGTGGTGAGAGTTGGAGTTTCAAAATACATAGCCCAATCAATCTACCTTACAATGAAGCCCACAGGTCAAAAACACCAATCCTTGCACACAAATTTGCAGTAACAACTATTTTCATTTTTTTGGTTAAAGGTATCATACATAATATATATAATGCGCATGAACACACATATACATGTATTGTATGTATGTGTATATATATATGAGATATATAATATATATCTTAAAAATAACTGTAAAATATTCTGTAGCTAATTGCCAGTATCATAGAAGGAAAACAATGATTCATATTCCGTTCCTTCTAGGGATAGCCATAATCCTGATTTGTAGGCTTTATTTTTACCATTATACAGGATATATATGCATCCTTAAAATGATAGTTTATTTTGCCTGTTTTTAAATTTTTATACACAGATTTATACTGGAGGTATTACTTTAACTTGCTTTTTTCCTTTAACATAATTTGAGAGATTAATTCATGTTAATGCATGTACTTGTAGTTTGTTCATTTCCATTTCTCTATATCATATATCTATCTATTTTAATATTGTTAGAAATTTGCTTTCTTTCCAATTGGGGATTATCATAGATAATACTGATATGAACATTCCTGCGGATGTGTCCCTGTACACATAAGCATACCTCTTTTTTTGGATGTATAGCTAGGAGTAGGATTGCTGTCTGATTTATAGATTTGGCACAACTACAATTTCAAAATTTCAGCAACGTTTTAAGAAATTGACATGCTTATTCTAAAATATGCATGGAAATTCAAAGTCATGAGTGCAGCCTAAACAGTTTGGAAAATAATAAGAGTTGAAAAACTTGCACTATCTGATTTTAAGACATTCTAAAAGTACAGTAATTAAGATAGTGTGCTATTTGGGTCAAAATAGACAAATAGATCAGTGAAACAGAATAAAGAACACAGTAAAATATTCACACATATAATTGTCAACTGATTTCCAGCAAAGGTACAAAGCAATTTCATGGAGGAAGAATAGTCTTTTTTATGTATAGTGCTAGAACAATTTACTAGTTATATGTAAAATAATGAAGCTTGATTCTTTCCTCATACCATACACATGTTTCTTGAAATAGAGCATGGAACTAACTATAAGAACTAAAATTACAAAACTTCTAAAATCTTAGTGGCCTGGTATTTGGTATAGATTTCTTTTTGTTGTTGTTATTTTGCTTTTTAAAAAATAAATTTTATTGTGTATATTTAAGGTATATAACATGATATATGGGACACATATAGATAGTAAAATGGTTACTATAGTGATGAAAATTAACATATCCATCATCTCACATAGTTACCAATTTTTTTTGTTTCTGTGACAAGAGCAGCTAAAAATCTACTCAATTAGCATAAATCTCATATACAGTACAATTTTATTACATATAGTTCCCATATTGTACATTAGATATCTAAACTTGTTTATACTACATATTTGCTGCTTTGTATCTTCTGATCTTTGTCTCATTTCCTCCTTCTGCTTCCCAGCCCCTGGTAACTACTGTTTTGTTCTCTGTCTCTATATATTTGACTTTTTTTTTAGATTCCAAATATAAGTGAAATTATGCAATATTCTTTTTCTGTGCCTGGCTTATTTTGCTTGGCATAATTTCCTCCAAGCTCATCCATGTTGTAGAAAATGGGAAATTTCATTCTTTTTTAAGGTTGAGTAATATTTCAGTATGTATTTGCACCACAGTTTCTTTATTTGTTCATCTATCAACAGACAGTTTGGTTGTTTCCATATCTTGGCCGTTATGAATAATGCTGAAATGAACATAGGACTGCAGATATCTTCATTTTGGTATATACTTGGAAGAAAAATTGTTGGATCACATGGCAGTTCTACTTTTTATTTATATAGAAGCTTCCATACTGTTTTCCATAATGCCTGTACCAATATCTATTCCCATCAACAATATAGCAGATTTCTCTGCCTCCACACCCTCACCAACATTTAACTTCTGACTTTTCGATAATAGCCATTGTATGGTTGCGAGATGGTATCTTATGGTGGTTTCGATTTGTGTTTCCCTGATTATTAATGATGTTGAACACATTTTCATATACCTGTTGTTCCATTAGTATGTCTCCTTTGGGGAAATACCTATTAAGATCTTTTGCTCATTTTTAAATAAAGTTATTTGTTTTTCCACTCTTGAGTTGTATGAGCCCTTCATAAATTTTGGATTTTAACCCCATATCACACTTATAGTTGTCAAATAATTTGTCTCAAGCTATAGACTTCCATTTCATTTTGTTGGTTGTTTCCTTTGTTGTGCAAAAGCTTTTTGGTTTTATGTAGTCCCATTTATTTATTTTTGCTTTTATGGCCTAAGTCTTTGGTGTGATATTTAAAACATTATTGCCAAGGCTGATGTCCAGGAGCTTTTTCCCTATGTTCTCTTTGAGGAATTCTGTAGTTTCTGACCTTATATTTGAGGCTTTTGTCCATTTTGAGTTGATTTTTATGTATGGTGTAAGATAAAAGTCTAATTTCATTCTTTTGTGTGTGGAAATTTAGTTTTCCTATCACCATTTATCGAAGACTCTCCTTTCTCCATCATGTCCTCTTTCATGCCCTTGATAAAAAGTGGTTGACCATCAATGGTTGGATTGATTTCTGAGCTCTCTACTATGTTTCACTGGTCTATGTATCTGCTTTTATGCCAGAGCCATACTGTTTTGGTTAATATAGCTTTGTAATATAATTATAAATCAGTAAGTGTAATGCCTCTGACTTTTATTTTTCTTTCTCAAAATTGCTTTGGCTATTCAGGGTTTTTTGTAGTTCCACACGAATTTTGGGATTTTTTCCCTATTTCCTTGAAAAATATCATTGCAGTTTTGGTGGGAATTACATTGAATTTGTAGATTATTCTGGCTGGTATGAACATTTTTAACAATATTAATTCTTCTAATCTGTGAACATAAGATATCTTTCCATTTATTTGTGCCTCCTTCAATTTACTTTATCAATCTTTTATAGCTTTTAATATACAGATCTTTCACCTCCTTGGATAAATTTGTTTCTACATATTTTTATGTGATTATAAATGGGAATGTTTTCTTTTTCTTCTTTTTTTTCTTTTTTCTTTTTCTTTTTTTTTTTTTTTTGAGATGGAGTCTTCCTCTGTAGCCCATGCTGGACTGCAGTGGCATGATCTCAGCTCACTGCAACCTCCGTTTCTCGGGTTCAAGGGATTCTCCTCTCTCAGCCTCCTGATTAGCTGGGACTACAGGCACACACCACCATGCCCAGCTAAATTTTTTTTTGTATTTTAGTATAGATGGGGTTTCACCATGTTGGCCAGGCTAGTCTTGAACTCCTGACCTCAAGTGATCCACCCACTTTGGCCTCCCAAAGTGCTGGGATTATAGGCATGAGCCACCACGCCCGGCCAGGAATGATTTCTTGATTTGTGTATCAGTTAGGTCACTATTTGTGTGTAAAAATACTACTGATTTTTCTAGTTTAATCCATAACTACTGATTTTTATATGTTAATTTTGTATCCTGAAACTTCAATGAATTCATTTATTAGTTCTAACAGGCATTTGTTGTGCAATCTGTGGGTTTTTTTTTTTTAACACATAGAATCATGTCATCTGCAAATAGAAATAATTTTACTTCTTTCTTTTGTGTTTGTATATATTTTGTTTCTCTTTCTAGTCTAATTGCTCTTGCTGGTACTTCCAGCGCTATGTTAAATAGAAGTGGCAAGAGTGGGTATCCTTGCCTTGTACCAAATCTTAGTGGAAAACTTTGTTGTCTCCTATTGATTATAATGTTACCTGCAGTTTTTTTCATAAATGGCCTTTATTATGTAGAAAAACTCTTTCTATGCCCACACTGTTGAGAGAGTTTTTAAATCAAGAAAGGATGTTGGACTTTGTCAAATACTTTTTTTGTGTCAATGAGATAATCATATGGTTTGTTATTATCATTCTATTAATGTGATGTATCATATTAATTAATTTGCATATGTTCAACCAGCCTAGCATGCTAAGTATAAATCCCACTTTGTCATGATATATAATCTTTTTGATGTGCTGTTAGATACAGTTTGCTAATATTTTATCAAGAAATTTTGTGTGAATGTTCATCAGAGTAACTGGCTTACAGTTTCCTTTTCTTGTGATGTTTTTGTCTTGGTTAGGTATCAAAGTGAGGCTGGCTTCATAAAATGTGCTAGCTCAATTTTTTGAAAGAGTTTAAGAAGTACCAGTATTAATTCTTTTTGAGTATTTGATAACATTCAGCTGTGAAGTCATCCGGACCTGAGTTTTGTTGTTGTTATTTTTGGGAGTCTTTTTAATTTCTTATTCAATCTCATTACTTATTATTCATCTGTTCAGGCTTTCTGTTTCTTCCTGACTCACTCTTGGTGGATTGAATTTCTCTATGAATTTATCTATTTTCTCTAGGTTATCTAATTGGTTGGAATATAATTTTTTACAATAGCCCTATTCATCCTTTTTATTTCTGAGGCATTTCTTATCATTTCTTCACTTTCATTTTTAATTTTGTTTGTCTTCTCTCTTTTCTATTAACCAGACTAACTAAGGGTCTTTCAATTTTGTTTATTTTTTCAAAAAACCAACTTCATGAATATATAAAACTTATAGCCAAACCCAGAATACTTCAATATTGTAATGGTGGTGTGTAAATCATACATATGTCTAGCATGAAGGTTAAAAGTCCAAATGATTAAAAAAAACCTAGAACTACAATATGTTGTTAAATAATGCACGACATAAAAATCTGTAAATCAGGATATCAACAACATAAATTGTTGGAGGGAAGGATACAACTAGTTTTTGTATGCAACTTAGATCTGCAAGGTAAGTCTTCTTGGTTGGAATATTTTTTCTTTCAGCATATTTAATATATCATTCCATTCTTAAATTCTTGGACACATACACCCTCCCAAGACTAAACCAGGAAGAAGGTGAACCTCTGAATAGACCAATAACAGGCTCTGAAATTGAGGCACTAATTAATAGCCTACCAACCAAAAAAAGTCCAGGACCAGATGGATTCACAGCCGAATTCTACCAGAGGTACAAAGAGAAGAAGGTACAATTCCTTCTGAAACTATTCCAATCAATAGAAAAAGAGGGAATCCTCCCTAACTCATTTTATGAGGCCAGCATCATCCTGATACCAAAGCCTGGCAGAGACACAACAAAAACAGATAATTTTAGACCAATATCCTGAGGAACATCAATTCAAAAATCCTCAGTGAAATACTGGCAAACCAAATCCAGCAGCACATCAAAAAGCTTATCCACCACGATCAAGTTGGCTTCAACCCTGGGATGCAAGGCTGGTTTAACATATGCAAATCAATAAACGTAATCCATCACATAAACAGAGCCAAAGACAAAAAACCACATGATTATCTCAATAGATGCAGAAAAGGTCTTTGACAAAATTCAACACCCCTTCATGCTAAAAATTCTCAATAAACTAGGTATTGATGGAATGCATCTCAAAGTAATAAGAGCTATTGATGACAAACCCACAGCCAATATTATACCAAATGGGCAAAAACTGGAAGCATTCCCTTGGAAAACTGGCACAAGACAGGGATGCCCTCTTGCACCACTCCTATTCAACATAGTGTTGGAAGTTCTGGCCAGGGCAATCAGGCAAGAGAAAGAAATAAAGTGTATGCAATTAGGAAAAGAGGAAGTCAAATTGTCCCTGTTTGAAAGATGACATGATTGTATATTTAGAAAACCCCATCGTCTCAGCCCAAAATCTCCTCAAGCTGATAAGCAATTTCAGCAAAGTCTCAGGATACAAAATCAATGTGCAAAAATCACAAGCATTCCTATACACCTATAACACACAGAGTGAACTCCCATTCACAATTGCTATGAGAATAAAATACCTAGTAATCCAACTTACAAGGGATGTGAAGACAACACAAGAAAATGGAAGAACATTCCATGCTCGTGGATAGGAAGAATCAATATCATGAAAATGGCCATACTGCCCAAGGTAATTTATAGATCCAATGCCATCCCCATCAAGCTACCAATGTCTTTCTTCACAGAATTGGAAAAAACTACTTTAAAGTTCATATGGAACCAAAAAAGAGCTCTCGTTGCCAAGACAATCTTAAGCCAAAAGAATAAAGCTGGAGGCATCACCTACCTGACTTCAAACTATACTACAAGGCTACAGTAACCCAAACAGCATGCTACTGGTTCCAAAACAGATATACAGACCAATGGAACAGAACAGAGGCCTCAGAAATAATGCCATACATCTACAACCATCTGATATTTGACAAACCTGGCAAAAACAAGAAATGGGGAAACGATTCCCTATTTAATAAATGGTGCTGGGAAAACTGGCTAGCCATAGGTAGAAAGCTGAAACTGGATCCCTTCCTTATACAAAAATTAATTCAAGATGGATTAAAGACTTACATGTTAGACCTAAAACCATAAAAATCCTAGAAGAAAACCTAGGCAATACCATTCAGGACATAGGCATGGGCAAGGACTTCATGACTAAAACACCAAAAGCAATGGCAACAAAAACCAAAATTGACAAATGGGATGTAATTAAACTAAAGAACTTCTGCACAGCAAAAGAAACTACCATCGGAGTGAACAGGCAACCTACAGAACGGGAGAAAATTTTTGCAACCTACTCATCTGAGAAAAGGCTAATATCCAGAATCTATGAAGAACACAAACAAATTTACAAGAAAAAAACAAACAACCCCATCAAAAAGTGGGCAAAGGATATGAACAGATCCTTCTCAAAAAAAGACATTTATGCAGCCAACAGACACATGAAAAAATGCTCATCATCACTGGCCGTCAGAGAAATGCAAATCAAAACCACAATGAGATACCATCTCACGCCAGTTAGAATGGCGATCATTAAAAAGTCAGGAAACAACAGGTGCTGGAGAGGATGTGGAGAAATGGGAATACTTTTCCACTGTTGGTGGGACTGTAAACTAGTTCAACCATTGTGGAAGTCGGTGTGGCAATTCCTCAGGGATCTAGAACTAGAAATACCATTTGACCCAGTAATCCCATTACTGGGTATATACCCAAAAGATTATAAATCATGCTGCTATAAAGACACATGCACACATGTTTATTGCAGCACTATTCACAATAGCAAAGACTTGGAACCAACCCAAATGTCCAACAATGATAGACTGGATTAAGAAAATGTGGCACATATACACCATGGAATACTATGCAGCCATAAAAAAGGATGAGTTCGTGTCCTTTGCAGGGACATGGATGAAGCTGGAAACCATCATTCTCAGCAAACTAACGCAAGAACAAAAAACCAAACACCGCATCTTCTCACTTATAGCTGGGAATTGAACAATGAGATCACATGGACACAGGAAGGGAAACATCACACACTGGGGACTGTTGTGGGGTCGGGGGAGGGGGAGGGATAGCATTAGGAGATACACCTAATGCTAAATGATGAGTTAATGGGTGCAGCACACCAACATGGCACATGTATACATATGTAACAAACCTGCACGTTGTGCACATGTACCCTAAAACTTAAAGTATAATAATAAAAAAAAATTAGAATAAATTTTATACAGCTTTTAAATATCTTCTTTCTTCCTGTCAAGACTAAGCTATTCTTGCTACATCAATTCTCTTATCAATAGTTTTCTCTGTTGTTTCTAATTTCCTCCATTTTAAGAAATCTATAGATGACCGAGCTTGTTAACATTTTGAATTAAATGAGCATATATTCTGAATAAGGATTTGAGATCTAAGGTGCTCAGGCTGTCATGCCTAGACCTTGAGAAAGATGATTTGGTATCTCATAGGGTTTTGTGTTCTACCTCCTAGTTTTCAGGGGCATCAGGTAGGATATATAGCATAATGAAGGGTTGGTAAAAATGCAAAAACACATGCAAAAGTATACTCTTTTCCATAATATACTAAATTTGATCTAATTTCTCAACTTTTATTGTTATGCGTGGCAATATTATTTAATGAATCTTCTGTGTGTATGCTGAAAATTCAGATTCTCCCATATTAGAATTTATTCTGTGTGTGGCTTCTGCTGCTTCTTTCAGCTCAAAGATAAACTCCAAATCCCATTCCCTAGCCCCCATTATCACCACCACTATCAGTCCCCTCATGCTCAGAGCGATTCTGTTATGTTTTCAGATTGAAAGATTGAGCCAATGTCACTGCCTCATTAATTTTGTTTTTACGTCACCTTTTACTGCAACCAGAAGTTCTCTTTCATCACTTCTATTATTTGTTCCCCCTCCCCCCACCCAACACCACCACTCTCTGATTATAATTTTGGACTGAAACTACCTAGAGAATTTTAAATAGTACACAAAACCTTGGATAGGCCCAGCAAAAGTGTATATAATGTATCTTCTGTGAAAAATCATTCTAAGATTTCATTCAATTGAACAATTATTTTTTAATAAGTACTTTTTGTGCTTAGCAGTTTGTTTTTTGTTTTTTTTGTTTTGTTTTGAGAATTAATTTACTGTATACCTCATCCTGGATTCAAGAAAGTGGTATTTTATATTTCACTAACTTTATAAAAGAAGACAATACTATCTTCTCAAGAAAAAATTCCTATTGCTCTTAGTTGGACCTATTTTTTCTTGCTTAGAATCTTTGCATAATAGCATTTCATTAATACTTAGATAATTCTTATAATCTTTTTAAAAATATAATTTGGACACTAATTTTATCCTCCTGCCTGGGGTAACTAAAGCAATCTGGGGACAGAGACTCTGACTTGATCATCTTTGTATTCCCTGCAGCACCCAAAGAAGTAAAATAATGGGCATTTAACAATTATTTGAGGAGTTGAACAGAAACACTTGACAGTCATAAATGCATAAAGTTACTTTATTTTTAAGTATACATATAATTTTGAAAAATATAAATGCTAAAATATCTCATCTTCTTCATCTCTTAATTCCATAAAAGTCACAATAGAAAGCTTCATAAAACTGTAAAATACTATGTTATAGGAATTTTAGGATTTATATTGGAAAAAGTTATTAGTAATATATTGAAATGTTTTCTGTTCTTTATCATTTTGTTCCACCATGTTGATCTACTTCATTTAAAATAAAAAGATGCATCATTTCTCTCTCCAAAGTTAATAAAGACTTAAGAGAATAAAAATAAGAATATCTGAAAGTGCGTATTGATTCTGAAAAGTAATGCGTACGAATATGTACCAGCCATGAAAATGGCTAAAAAGAGGCAACTATTCACTCTTTTCACATTGTAGGACTGGGACAAAGTTACTTCTGGCTCTAAAAGTTTCACTGGATGACTTTAGCCCTGAGTTGCAATGTTTGCCTAGGAAACAGAATTCTTGCTTTTTATACGTACCCATAGAGCACAATGAAATGAGCCAGGAAATTGGACATATCTAAATCTCTGGCCAAAACACAACTTGACTGGTTGGCGTATTACACAACTTTTTTAAAATTTCAGGCTGCAATGAAGCTCAATGAAATCATCTGAAAACTCATGGCCTTTCAGATAGTGAGGTGCTACAAAATATCACTTGATTGTACCCAGCCATTTGGTGCCACTGGGCTTCATGCTCATGCTGTGAAGAGCAAATGTGAAATATCATGAAATATAAATCAGAAAATCTCAGGTTCCTGCACCAAAATCATTAAGTAGTATGAAAAGGATTGAAGAAGGCTTTGTCCCATCCCTGAACAATGTCAACCTCTGTAATACAACTCAAATTATTTCATTTTGTTTTTAAAATATAGTCAGCAGTCAATACATTTCAAGTACTTTAACACAGTTAAAAAAGGAACCAAAAAACTCGGAAGACAATCATTCTCTATTAAACACCAGTATACAGTTGATAAAAGATTTACTCTGTATGGGTTGGTGCATGAGCATAAAATACACGCAAACTGAATTACAGACAGCAGACAACTGTTTTTCCTCCTCTCTTGGAGGTGGAAGGCTGAGGAGAGAGGTTTTTGTTTTCCTACTTCTTAAGTCAGTTAAGTCCTCTCCCCAGCCCCACTCCTCAACCTTGATTGGGAGAAGAGGCAGGGACATTACTGCCCCTGGCACACAAAACAATTAGAATTCCAAGTATTCATTTCACACAGTAGAGAAGATGACTTTTATCAAGGAAAACAGTGCGTCCAAGATACTTTTCTCCCAAACACAAAACCAGAGGCATTTTTGCTCTTTTGATAAGGCAGACACTTGACTTAGTCATCTCTTTTCTTCCAACAGTGTTTCTGCAACCACAGCCAGGACTTTCTGGTTAACAACTCTGAGCGTACTTTGTCTTTATCTTTTGAATCCTTTATCTCCGGAAGTCACATCATGGAGAAGGGAGAAGCACTTATAAAAAAATTTACTGTTGTAATTTGTGTCCAGTTTGCATAGAAACAAAACCACCACCAAATCTGGTTCATTCTTAGTCAATGGGTAAATTCAGTTAAAATACCGATAATTTGGTGTCACTAGGTAAACCTCAGGTTTTGCTTGTTAGTTTGGTTAACTACTTCTGTTCCTTTGAAAGTAATGACATTTTTAAAAACTTCCCTGGGTTCCCAGAATATTGAAAGGATTTGATATTAACTGTCTGTTTAGCAAATGTAAGGTACTATTCTGTGTTCATGTCATAAATATCAATATGGATCATAAACAGAAGTACACATAGGTTTTACCTCTACTCAGAGGCTGAAATGATGAGTTAAGTTGCTTCAGGAGTTCTTTGAAAGGTATAGAGAGGGGCATGAAACCACAGATACTTGATTCATGATCAGAAAAGAAAGTTTTATCTAGAGCTTTTATAAAACAAAAGTACCTTTAACTTAAGAAGATCACGGGTTAAGCTGAATTTACTATACATGGTTTTTAAACAATTTATTGATGCTTCCATGCATAAAGAAAAAAGGAAAGTCTTCTTATACCAGTTTATATTAGGGTAATAGAAAGCTAGATAATATAGACTCATCATTTTAAGGATAGCCCTAAATACAAATGTGAAGCCAGAATTTGGCAAGTGAGGTTTTAACACAATAACATATAATTCACCACTATTATTTTAATGAAAAAATTGGGGTCATTATTGACTAATTTGTATAAGTTAAAAGTTTTAGGAGTATCAGGTACTGTAAAAGTAACAGCTAACTCAGGATAATAAAATTTTTGTAATCAAAATTACAAGGAGACAGAATAATAACTTAATTAACATAACAATGAGTGGGAGTCAATAAGTGCATATTATCAAACCAAAAAATGTGGTTTCATTCTGCTTCTAGTATACCCCTCAACAACTGGTTATAGTTAGGATATATCACAGTTGTGGTTATATGAATCTGAAATTATAATTTTAACATTTAAAATGTTTTTTTAGTATACATTCACAATATGTAATGTATCATATTAAAAATATTACCTTTAAATACCACGTTAAATTTGGTTAATAAATGTCTAATTTTCAGTGTGGTACTTTGAAATATACATACATATAATATGTACACAAATATATTCTAAATGTCCCGCTTACAAAGAATAATTGCCTTTGCATCCTGAAAAAAATTGCATGAGAGTACTGTTACACTGTACTCTGCAGCTCTGCAATCCCATTACATTTTATAGATGTGTAAATGGGCTATTAATACTCCTATGAATTTTATATTGCATGTTAGAGCTATTATATCAATTATAATGACTGATACCTGGGAAATAAACTATATTTACCCTCATTTTCATATGGACAGACTTCTTGGACCCTTAATGGATTTTTTCATATGTGGTTTGGGTTTTATGAAAACTGGCATAAGAGATTCAATGACTTTGCCCTCTGCCTACCATCACTCTTTTGCCTTCTAACATTGCACATATATACACCAGCCATGGCACAGAGCACATACACAAACACACAAATATTTCAAAATGAGAAAATGTCTAACAATACTGCATAGGACATTGACGTGGTAATACAACCAGCATCTGTACCTAGATGCTACTATTATCAGAACATCGGTTATTCTCATGACATAGGAGTTTGTCTCTTCTCCCTCAATCTCCTTCATAGAACAGTTAAGTTTCTTTTAAAGAAAGGGAAAAATGGATGCTTAGAAACATGGTGTTTTTAATCTGATCTTGCCTTCTGGCTTACCCTAGAGATTGTGTATTTGTGTGTGTATGTATGTGTAAAAATCACATTATATACAATACAATTTTTACAGAAAGCCTGGCAGCTACAAATAAGAGGTAGAACTACTCAAAACTATGTTTCCTGCTGCAGGAAAAAATTCATTTTCTTTACAGTAATTAAAAAAAAGTTTTAAAAATTGACAAAAAATAAGTGGCAGGTTAGGCCCCATAATTTAAACAACAAAATCTAGGAAGAAAAATATTCTTCAATGTACTCAACAGATAAGTTCATTAAAGGGTTAAAAAAAGTTGCATAGGAAAAAAGGGACATTCCAGCACTTGCTACAATGATGGCAATGGTTTCTCTATAGGGAGTAAAGTACCTTCAGTTTTTTCTTCTTTTGATAACTCTAAGATTAGGATTTACAAGCAAGAGCAAGTTAAAATAGCAGCACTTTTTCCAGTCCTGGAGAGCTCTATAAGTGAGAAGGGACTCTGTCTGGAGGTCAAGGTTTGTTCTACCAGACAAAGACAAGCCAGTAAGCACAGCTCCAAAGCTAAAGTTTTAAGTTCCTTCAACATTTTCATAAAAGGTGTTACAAAATCCTTAATACTTCCATCCTCTGCTTAATAGAGGCAAAGGACAGGGTCTGTGCGTGTCTGTGTCTTGAGTGACAGAATTTGGTTATCAAAGGACACATCTGAAAGTTTAAGAACAAAAGGGGGATTCCTCAGATGCTGTTTTTAAGGAACGGTGCACTATTGTCTTGATTGTGTCTATGCAAGAGAGAAGCAGAGAGAGCGCTGTATTATTTGGCCTGTGACCAAAAACTGAGACGAAATAAAAGTTAAAAAATAAACAAACAGCCAAACAAAAACAAATGACATTAACAACAAATGTCAGTTTTAAGAAAGACAAACAGGTTACAATGTAGTTTCTGTTCCCTTGCTCCTCCAGAAATAATCATTGTCTTCAGGTTCAAGTTCTATTCTAATTTGAGGCACAACTTTTACTGGAGTTCTAGGAGGACTAGAGAAAAAGGAAAAAAAAAAGTAGTAAGTAAATCAGATTTCCTTCATCATCTGTCAAATGTTTATGCATTGTATAGAAGTCAAATGTGTCCTTCTTTGTTCTCTTTTAATATTTATATTCTCTTTGTGTATTAAAAACAAACATTTTAAATGGGATGAAGGTTACCAGCAGAGTCAAGAAATTCAAGTAAAAAAATTCATAAGATCTCATACCTAGATTAAATTAATAAAAACAACAAACACAAAAGGAAAAGAGGTACTACCAGGTGGGTAATGCTGTCAGAAATTAAAGGACAAAAAGACTGACATAATAAAAACATTCAGAGATTTCAGAAAATCAAGTAGAATCTGAAATCCCTAGAACTTCATTAAGAGGGAAAGAAACCACTGGAGAAGAACTGTCAGAAAGTGCCAGTTACCTCTTTAAATCAGGGACGATACTGAAATTAAAAGAGCTAATGTTGATCCTGGGTTGTAACTTAATGATACTGAAAGATTCCATTATTTGTAATAGTAACTAGGTCTCTTAGAATGCTTTCTACTAGTAAAAGCTGGAACAAGTTTTGGTCACTGGGTAATTTATTTAAGATAAATAATAGAGACGAAGGAGAACAAGAAGTTCTGTCAATAACCCACCATTAACTACATTTCTGTGGGGCAATTATCCCACAGAAAAACATAAAATACTGGGCTCTCCTTTACCTTGGCATACCGAGTGACTGAAGGAAAGGAATTTTATCAGCATGATGTGTGGCGTTCAAGGAATGTTGGTGATCTTTCTCCTGGAAAATAAAATTTTTTAAAAACATAAATGGTAGATCTTTGGTGAAGTATAAAACAAAAATCTTCACAAAATTGATGCATCTTCCATAACTGGTAAGAGTAAAAAAGACAAGTTTAGGCATTTCAATAAACAAGGTATTAAGCTAAGACTCTAGTGTGATGAAGACAAAATCACTTCATCTCTTTTACTTTAGGTTTTCTGGGATGGATCACTGTTGTCTTGTCAGTGAGAAGGATAAGAAGCAAATCATTTTTAGAGGGTGATAGCATTCTCTTAATGCCTAAGGCTTGCTTTTGGATTTCCTTCCATCTTCAGTATTCCTAGGTTTGCCTGCTGTTGTTCATAAGGAAAAAAAGATTTTTTTTTTTGAGGCACTTACTCATACTGCAACACTACTTCTATCAGTTTTGTTCTTTCATCATGGATTATAAAGATAAACATGACATTAGGAAACATTTCAGGCAAAATGCTCAAGTGTATTTTGTTTAAGTAAACTTCTAATATCATATCAACTTGCAATTTATCCTTTAAAAGGGGTTTTGAGAGGATGAAGGGCAAATGGCACATAAACTTTTTCCATGAGCCTCAAATTCTGGCTAGTAATTTTTTTAAAAAATAGCTTTTACATTTCTTTATAAGGGGCTATACCAGGTTATGATGCCAACAGAAGACATACATGCTAGGCACATGTCTGTTAGACTGTGCTTTTGCTATTAATGCTCCATGGAGAAAAATGAAGTCAGAACATGGTTTGAGGAGTTTAAACTCAAAAAGAAATTCATAACCAAACCCCATTAATAGGGGTTAGCAGAAATTAGCCTCGGTTACAAGTTATAGGTTACAAACTGGACACCAAAGGTAAGACTGCTTTAGTTCTTTGTTCTTCAAATCCAGGCTGGTAGCCAGCCTCCAAGATGGCTCTCAGTGATCCTGTCTCCTGGTATTTATGACTTTGTGTAATTCCTTCCCAGTGTTAACAGTGTGGGGCTGCATAACCACCAGAATATGACAGAAGTAATGGTCCGTTACTTCTGAGATTTAGTTATAAAAGACTGCAGCTTCTGTCTTGGTTTCTTTCTCTTTTATCACTGGCTCTGAGGGAGGCCATATCATGGGGAGCCCTACGGAGATACCCACAGGTAAAAAACAAAGGTCATCCCAAGGGCCCCATGAGTATGCTTTTGGAAGCAGACACCCAGCTTCAGACACTAAAATATTTAATGGGAACCTCAGGGGGTGGATACCTATGCTGTCAAGAATGTTTGTTACAGAGATTTGCAGAAGAAGAAACAAAACCTGCTCTGTTCTAGAATTCACGTGTTTCCTTACAGTCTTAGCACAAATGACTTCATTTTGCTTTGGTTTGGTCTGTTGGGGCCCAGTGCATGAGCTTAGTTCAAAACAATGGCTTCCCAGACTTTTGTTTAAAAAAATTTCCCCTTTTTAACCAAATTCATTTCCTCTTGCCTAGAGACCATCAGCTTCAGATGATCACACAACAAAGGTTCCAGCCAGTTCCAGGTGAAGACAACACCCTGGCCATCAAGAAGCTACCCTGCCTCCACTAGACAGAGCAGGGTGAGAGTTCAGGGATCCCCAATAGGTAGGAGTATGCCCCAAGCCAGCATGAAGCAGTTACAGAAAAAAGACCATCGGTCCCTCTGCCTCCCATGAAGATGTATGGAGATCACATCTCTCAGTGAGGAGATGTGGCAGGAAAACAGTGTCTGGAGGCAGGGAACATAAGGCCAATTCACACTTCGGCTATGACAGGAAATATCCTCTCCATGGGGCGTGGGCCAAATAAATGAGTTTGTAACTTTACTTCATCCTCTCCATTTACATAGGGCGTACCCCAAGTAGAGGGTATTTAAACTCCCAAAAATTTTGTAATGGGGCCCTTGAGTCCCTATTCTTGGGCCCACTCCCACACTGTGGAGTATACTATAATTTTCAAATCATCCTTTCATTTCTTCCTGGAAAAAAAAAAAATAGTCTTCAGAGACTCAGCCCCAGCTGACAGCTTGACAGCTCTGACGGCAATCTCATGAGAGACTCTGAGCCAGAACCAAAATCAGCTGCCCCTGCATTCCTGAATGTGAGGAATTGTGTAAGAAAACATGTTTGTTCTTTTAAGCTGCTGAGTTTTATTGTAATTTGTTACTCAATGATTGATAACTAATATACCCATTATTTTTTATCAATAGATATTCATTCCAAACTTTTCTTGATAGCAGTAACCTCTTATTGTAGTTGAGGTGGCATGGTAAAATAGAAATAAAAGTGTCTTAACTGTCTTTTTCTGTAACAGATCAGTGTACTCTGAAGTGCATCTGAATCTAAAAGGATGCATTTTCTTCAATGAGAACGCAAAGTAGAAAGTAGCTTGATGGCAATTGCTACCTGCTATTGGGAAAGTCTGAAATGGTCACTAATATTACTAAGTGGCCTGTTAATTCAATTACAGAAGAGAAAAATGTCACAAACCATTGCACCGTAGTCACCAGGCTATCACCCTAGAAAGATCAGTGCAGTTATAATAATAATTTTGAAATAGCAAAAGGGAGAATGAAGAGATTAGAAAGCAAATGCATATAAGTTATATCTAGAAAGTTGTACTAATACTTCATGATTGCTAATTTAATCAAAATTAAATTTTTCCAAATTCTCAATATTAACAATTGATTTATTGATCACTGAGAGACCAATGATGCAATTTCTCTTTTGAGCTGATTTGATCACTAGTTAAAACCTAAGGAAGACAAACAGTGACAGTGATGTAGTATTATAAGCTGCAATTCTCAATACCAACAGAAAAAAAAAGAAAAATCAATTAAAAACATGGTTATTAATTTAGCCATTGGAAAAACTGGGGATGATTTGGGTAAGAGAAAAGACTACCAAATAAAAATTTAAAAGTTTATGGATAAAAGGAAGAATGAAGCTTAGGGTATGTAAAAACAAAGTTTTATTATAATTAAGTGTAAATCTTCTCATAGAAAAAGGAAAAACAAAATTGAGGGAAAGTTAATGCAGATGGCCATTCTAAAGTGTTTTCTCTGTAAGTGCAAATCATATTCAAGCAAGCATGCAAGAGGTTAGTTCTACTCACTGTCAGAAGGTTTGCTATCGCTTAGGAAAGGTTGCTGTTCCATGATGTCCATTGGAATTTTAATACTTGGAACTTTTTCTGAGTATGGGCAGTCAGACTGTGAAAAAAATGTACAAGAGGTTTTAGAATGTTTTTATTATACAGCCCTTCCTATCTCCTAGCATCGATCAAACCGTTTTCTATAATCATTTACATACTACTAAGGAGAAAAGCCTTATAATTACTTCCAGTTTGCCATCTTTTAACTGCATTCCTTCTTTCCCCCTCACATTTGTTTTCCACTCTTCTAAGTTAATGGTATTGAGTCAATTAAAACTATAACTGCACAAAATAGAGATCGATCTACAACTGAATTGTAAAGCTTTCTATCAGACTCCCAATCAGCAATGTTTATGAGTTGTATGTGTGAAGCAAATGATCTCAATGCAAAAACAGATTAAACATAGGAAACTTCCCAGGTTATAATACGGTCTTGAAATTCTTGTTTTGTTTATGCTGATTCCGTCTCTAGATAAAATCATGACCGATCTTTCCTTCTAGAACAAGTGACAGACTTTTTATATATCCACTATCAAGAAGCCTTCTATGTACACTAGAAAATAAACTTTCCTCTCTTACTTTAAGTACTATTTTATGGATAAAGGTTCATTTCAATTAGCTTGTGCCAAAGATATCTGAAAATGTAAGCAAAACATAAGAAAATAAAATGTTTAAAAAGGTGTCTATGATGGTCAGATAAGCAGAGAATCATAATGGAAATGACAAAACCAGGCAGCTAATCATGGGACTGCTTAAAGAACAAGCCACCTAGCCCAAATTATAATAGATTTCCCAAAGATTACCACTTTGTTTTTTTTAAATGCATTATATTGATTCCAAGTCTATGTTTGGGCTGAAAGACCCAATATATCTCTTAATTAAAAGTACCAAAAAGATGGTTTTTAGTTGAAAATAAAATGAGAATTAATGTTAATAAAATCTTAACATAAAGCCTATTACCTACATGGAAAATTCCTTTATTTATGACTCTAAAGAGGTTAATGAACAACAGTATCCTTTTAGAGAACTAAGATAATGCATTCAACGAGCAAAAAAGAAAAAAAAATAAAGATGCCACACATAAACAATATTAATCTTAAATGTAAAGGGGCTAAATGCCCCAATTAAAAGACACAGACTGGCAAATTGGATAGAATCAAGACCCATCGGTGTGCTGTATTCAGGAGACCCATCTCACATGCAAAGACACACATAGGCTCAAAATAAAGGGATGGAGAAATATTTACCAAGCAAATGGAAAGAAAAAAAAAAGCAGTGGTTGCAATCCTACTCTCTGATAAAACAAATTTTAAACCAACAAAGATCAAAAAAGACAAAGAAGGGCATTACATAATGGTAAAGGGATCAATGTAACAAGAAGAGCTATAATTTTCACTAATTGTGCTCATAAATATTATATTATAGCTGTAACCCTCATGTCCCCGCATGACTCCCTATATCCATGGGCCCCAAACCCTATGACTAAAAAGTAAACTTAGGAGAACCACATTTGTAATGTGGAGCCCCTAAATAATGAGTTCAACACACAGAACATACTGCACAGACGTACTCTAAATTGCCTAGCTGGATTCACTGCCTAGGAACCAATGTATATGTTTATTTGTTTGTTTGTTTTGGAAAGGGTAGGATGAAGAGGAAGAGGTAAAAAACAAGTACGACACTTTGGCTTCAAGAAATCTGTTGGAAACACAGAGTTGAACATGGTAAATATTAATACAAAAAAACACTTTAAATGAAATAGGATTTGTTGGAAATCATATCTAAGAATTGGAAGAACTTCTAAGGAGTTCTTTTGATCCAACTTTTGTCACTAGAGAGCAGTACATTTAAAACATTCTCCAAAGCTGATATTTTACTATTTTTTCTCAAAAATCATTACAGAGGGGGATTCCATAATCCCCGACTTCACACACTCATAATGTGTAATGAACTTTAAATTTGATGTCCAGGTACATAAGTTGACATATTTATTTTGGACAAAATACTGCTTTAATTATTTTAATATTTCAGGCAGCCTTTTATTTTTTTGGTCTTGAGTGGTCCAGAAATTCATTTCAAATTTTAATTTCTATTAAATGTGTAAACACATCGTTCTTCGGACTATTACGTCTTAGTCTCTTCTGTAGTTTAAACACATTCTTTTTCTGTCATCATTGGAAACAAAATCTATATACCTGTTCTCATTGCAGATGGATGATGACAGACATAAAGCTCTTTTCACCTCTTTTTCTCTTTAGCTAAATGTGCCTCATGCATTAAGCCTTTTTCTTATTGAATCAATTTATGTGAAATCCAATTCTGTCTCTTGCCTTCTTTCACTGTACTATTTCCAAGTTCTACAAAAAGAATACAATCAGATAGCCTGACCAGTTAGAAATAACCAGAGAGGCCTGGATTTGAGTTTTGGCCTTGCCACTATGGCTGTGTACAATTAGAAAAATGACTTATATATGTCAAAGCATCACCTTACATATATACAATTTTATTTGTCAATCGTACCTCAATAAAGCTTTAAAATTTCTAAAACATATTTAACATTTCTCAGTCTAAATCTCCTCATCTGTAAAATGGGAACAAAAATAAATAATGTGATAACAAGCTATTGAGACAATTAAGGATAAAGTATGCAATGATCAATCAAAGTTATCAAGTACTAAGTAGAAACTAACAATTAACAATATTCCTACTTTAGAATGGGTAATGAGGCACAAAAAATCATTTGTGATACTGCACTGTGTAAAATCCAGAGCAAATTTTCAAATGGAAAACATTATTTTGGCAATCTTTTCAAAAGGCTACTGGAATAAGGTGTCCGCATGTGTTAAAGTAAACAAATCCCAGTTTTCCTCCTAGTACTGATTACAGATCCCTGCTGGAGAATCTGTATTTCTGTGAGCTGGTCTCCTAAAGAAAAAACTGGGCAACAATTTTACTTCTCAACTTAATCACCTAATTGGAGGAGGACCCTCTGGACTATGACACTAACCACTATAATTATGTAAAAAGACCCCAAACTCCCATTCCCTTTTCTTTTTATTGAAGAACTACAGAAAAATAATGCTGAATCATATCAGTATAAATATAATGCTAATATTAATATAACAGCATAGAACTTTGGTGGAGAGCCTACTCAAATAGATTCACAGATCACGTGAAGTGAGATCATTGACATCTATCCACATTAGGCTTAAAATTACATAAAATTGAGTTATTATCTCAAATATAAGCCCTGGGTTATTAATAGAAACCAAATACATTTTATAGCATTACTAAGCAAACTTCCTTTATATCTATGAGATCAGAATTTTTTTAATGTGGTGGGTTTTTAAATTTTTTAGAAGTCATTATTAGTCATTATGTCATTATTAGTGTATTAATGGTTACAGAAAGAATTCAGAAAACATAAAAAACCAGAGAATATAAAGGGCAAAGGGAGGTGAAATGAGTAATACACCACATGTCCAGATAAACATTCTTAGAACTCAGCCCTCCATTTCACATCAGGTATAAAAAGGGACAATTTTCACATTTGTTTCTTTAACTAGCTTTCCTTTGGAATTTGGAAAGTTCCTTACATCATCATTGTCACTGTCCAGACTTCCCTTCTTCTTTTTCTTTTTCTTCTCATCCTCCTTCTTTTTCTTGTCCTTTTCTGGAATGACATCATCCAGGAAGCTGAGGTCGTGCTGGGAGAAGAGGTAGTCCATGCCTTTTCTGACAGCTACAAGTGCCAAGATCTGAAAGAGCAAATATTAAAAGTATGAAAGAAACCATGTCAGATGAAGTCACAGCAAGCATAGATACTCTCCTATCAAAGACCACAGAAACCTACTTTGTGTAAGGCTAGATAGAGTATGACAGACCTGATCTTGACGGTATGGACTTATACCGAGTGAACTCTCATAATTTTCTACATGGGGAAAGTTGTTTTATAAAAGTCTTAGTTGAAACTCACTTTGTTTTGTTCACCAAAATGCATGATCACATTCAATTAGAATTTTAATGTGAAAAGATTGTTTTTCAAAACCATTGCCTTCCATGTGAGATTTTAAATAAAATAATTAAAAGTTTAAAGTAAAAAAATAGCTGGCATATGATTTCTAAGTATTAAAAATTAAAACATCATAAAGGTTTTTAGCAATCAAGAAAATCTGTACGACACATATAACACTAAGACATCTTCAAAGTATTCACAATGAGGTAGTATTTGAATATGCATAGACCATTTCATTCACTGGGCTACTTCAATCACCACCGTTAACTGAATATTTAACATGTCCCAGACATTATGTTAAACTCTCAGGCAATATTATCTCATTTATTCTTCAGAACAAACCCCCAAAATAGGTATTATTATTTTTATCATACAGCTGAGGAAATTGAAGGTTAGAGACATTAAGTATGTTGTCCAAGGTCCTTAATGTCTGTGAGGGAGATGAACCCAGATAACTGAATAATACAAAGGGTCCCAGTTGTCTGCTTCCAAAACAAATATTCTTGACCTGTGTATTTTTGGTTCTATGAATTGCTCTTGAAGAATAACTTCTGAAGGTACATTAAAGATATCTTTATTCTATATTAAAATTAATATGCAGCAAGTTATAGGCATCCTGACTTGCTTCAAATTAAGCAGTTGTCTTTATCAGCATCGTGCTCTCTATATGACAGTTTCCTCATCACCTAGAGAAATAAATAACATCTGTCCTAACTTCTATTACAGAATTATTTTGTGACCAAATAAAAGTTCTGAAAAGACAAAAACACTTTGGAAAAGTAAACCATTTTAAAATTATTATTTAGCACAAGCAAAAAGTGATTTATTGGATATAATTCAAATGTATCCTGGTCTAGCTTCAATTTTCTTGGTTTCAGCAAAATTTGTAGGTAGGCAGATAACACTAATAGGTATATTTGAGTGTTTCTCATACTCAGTGTGCTTTTCAGTAAGTTAATATAGTTTTTTTTTAAAAAAAGGAAAGAAAGACATAAGCCACCATTAAGAAAAAAATCTGACCTAACAAATATCACTAGTATTTAATATCCATTTTTTCTTGCATCCTTGGACGAAAAAAATTTCAAACAACAAATATGAAAAATAAAATAATAATACTGGCTAAGAGTAAGAGGATTCTTATAAAAATAAAATGTGGTAAGTGTAGGAAAATTCTGTTTTCAAAGCTGTGGGGGAGATAAAACAGATTTGAGGCTCCCTTTGTGACTTGTTTTAAGTGTACATATATGCATTTTCTTGCAAGAAGTAAAGAGTTATGGTAAAGTATAAAATTCAGTAGTGATGCCAAATACAGAACTCCTTTTTCTCTTCTTTCACTTGTGACTCAGAGTGAAACGTTAGTTGCTTTACCTTGTTTCTCATCATACTATGACAAGGATAGAGAGTCCCACCTTATCTTTAAACTTACCATTATGCAAACCACAAGAAATGTAAAAAGTGAACTTCTCACTCCATTTCCTCTAATGTACTGGATGAGTTCTCACAAGTTGCCAAGCACTTCTTTATTACTTGAACTGAAATGTCCTACACTCTTACTTAGATTAATTCTATTATACAACATTTAAAAAGTAATTAACATGCACTGGTGTCTACTATGTGTCAGGCATTGTGCTACATGCTTGATATTAATTTTTGATGCTCAGAAAAACAACAATGCAACTCCCATTTTACTGATGAGGTAATAGTAGTTCAAAGAAGTTTACTGCTGAGCATGAACGAGGGCCAGTATCTGAACTTAGGTGAGCCTGATTCTAAGGTCCATCCTAGACAACCATAAACATGGGAAATGTAAATTACAACTGATCAAAGTGATGAGGTCAAAGCTGGAAAAATTTGGAACAACACATAAAAGACATGTGTGTCTTCCATATAACAATAACCACATGATACTCATATAATCTCACAGGTACGTTCAATTAAAGGAATCCCTACCATTACTGGAAAAATGATAGCAGCCACCGTTGACTTGAGGATCCAAAGCAGGGCCAGACACAACACCTGCAGGAAAGTGAACAGGTGGACTCTGCGCAGAGGAACATGACGCAGGTAGATGAAGTCAGGCTGATGCTTCAGAGGCATCAGAAGCAGCTTCAGACGATCCATGAACTGGGGAGGAAAGAGGAAAGGAGTCCAACTGCATTACTGCATTACATTTCCACTATGCCTAACTAATCACTACTGATTTATATTCTATAATTTAGGCAAGCAGTGTCCTTTTCAGAGGACAAAGGAATGGTCAAGGAATGCAGAAATTTAGTCAAGCACACTAAAGCACAAGTCTTCAAATCTTTATTATTATATTGCGGGAATGTTATGTAGATGTATAAGAAAAAGTGGCCACTAAAGAATAAGGTCACAAAGAAAAAAAATTCTAGGAGCTCATCTCCTAATTTCTATTTTTACTCTCTGAGTCTCAGGAAAGTGGATCTTTTGCCTATTTTAGTACTAATATGCTGAAGGAAGATGTCTAGCTCATGTATCTTACTCTGCCTCAGTTGTCTTATCTGAACAAAGAGGAGATGACACTATGCATCATATATTAATACATTTCCAGAATGTTTTAAGGATATAAAGGAAGTATCCAACTTAAAAATGGGAATACATTATGTTTTCATAAATTCCATATTACTTATCTGAGTGGCATACTTTGACTAATACACTCAGCAATCTATCACCATTTCTTTTCAGAGAAAAGCCATATGAATACTACAGTGAGTTTCAGGGTCAACATCTGAATCTAAGGGATGCTATCGTATGGTGATGTATAAACAGCTATTGAAATAACTACTGAGCATCTGTGTGTCAGGTGCTGTGCTTCAAAGAATAACTGCCGAATTGACCTTGCCAGTGACGAATGGGAAGATATTCAAGAACCTATCACAGGATCTTTCAATGAAAGATGCTCAGTAAATAGCTATTGAATTGAATAATCATGCAATATGAACTCTGAAATAATATCTCTATTTTCTTTCTGGAGGGAAAGAAGTGCAAAAGTAAATTAGACCATCACAATCTTCTCTAGTGATTTCCTACTTAAAGGGTTTTCTTTTTCCCTCTAGAACTATTTTTGACTGGTGAGGACCTTCTCATTTATAAAGTTTGGGTTACAAAATTTCTTTACAAATTACAAAATTTTCTAAATGAAATCTTACCAAAAAGGTCTAAACAAGGGAGAATCGAGAAAGAAAGAAAGAGAAAAGCCATTAGGGGCAATAGCATTGCAGAATTTAAGAAATCTACTAGCTGGACCCTGGTTGTTTTTCCCCATCATTATTATGTGGTTGATTTTTTCTTCTTTTTAATTAAATAAACATGCACTGAGTTTCAACCAATAAAGCCCCTAAAACACATAGAATTAAACTTCTGATCTAGACCAGGTAATTAAGAGCAAATAAAAATAAGAACTATTTGTCTGTGGGCCATTTCTGTTTCACATTTTTCCATTTTGGGAAATAAAGAATATTTACAATGGCAGGTAAAAATAAAATATTTTTACAGATTTATGCTTCCCAAAAGTTTCATGAGCACAAATAAACTCACATTCATCTAGTCCACTCTATGAAGAACCACCTTGTATTTTGTAACAAATATCCAAAAGATGACGAACTCTACTCAGCAGACCTAAACAGAGAAAAGTAAAGTAGCCTTTTCTCTTTTTGGTAGTCTGGCCACTTGCCCAGTTCTATCTGACTTTAAAACCAAATTAATCTGAATTCAATAAGCAAAAGCAAGGACTATTTTGAAGGGGTTCAAATAAATTCTTATGATGTTCACAGGACATGCAGTCTTTTCCCATTAAAATATTACTAAGTGCTAAATAAGGCTACAGTTAACAAGGTGCCAGAAAACAGCATAAGTACTTCCAGTTTCCTGGTGCCAATTTAATTAAAACCCAATTGAAAGACAAAGTCCCTTACAAAGTTCTCCCTAATGATTTGGTTTTTTTAAAGAGACAGGGTCTCACTATGTTGTTGAGGCTGGACTAAAACTCAGGTTCAAGTGAACCTTTCACCTCAGCCTCCCAAGTAGCTGAGATTAAAAGTGTGCACCACCATGCCCAGTTGATAATGATTTTATTAAAAGTGTGTCAGTTTTCCCAAAGTTATGAATAGCTGAAGTTTTCAACAAAAGCAATACATCAACCACATTGACTTTATTCTTTTATTGGTAAAAAAACTTTTGATTATTGATCATAGCCATGTGAAAAGCAAATCAATAGCCTGTTTTTAGTATAGAGTTAAGGCAAATGGATAAACACTATCTTTAAGAACACACAGAAAGAGTTAGGTATCCTTCCTGAGACAGTAAAAAGGAGATAAAGATGGGTAAGGGGAAGGAAAAGAAAGATTATAGCCTCTTGCTTTCTTGGTTAAATGACTTTTAACAGCCTATTTAAACAATGGGTATGTATGGCAACTTTTCTTAATACTGGCTAACTTGTTGATTAAACCAGAAATGAAAAGCAGGTGAATGGTGAAGTAGAAAATAAATGCATTTTAAAAACTCAGCAGTTAATAATGATTAGCACTTTTCTTCAAAGATCTGTTACTGGACTATTCTTACTACTAGAAAAACACTACTGTACTTACATTGCTATTCAAAAACTTACCTGCACACCATTAAGGGATGCTACTCCCATATACAGGAACACACCATAGAGTACAGGCATGGGTATAAACTAGAAGGAAAAAAATGGATACAACTTAAAAATGATAACAAGAAAAAAGAGGAATGAAGAGGAATCATTTAAATAAAGGCTAAATCTAAAACTAAAATATAGGATATAATAACTTAGTGACCTCTAACTAGTATGCTTTACTAGTCAATTGATGAACTTCTAAACTCTTTGTAATAGAAATAAATGAAGAAGGGTATAATGGACTTTCAATTTTCATTGGATGCTTGTTTTTTTAGTGAGCATGCATGACCTTACTAATAACTTTTTTTTAATTAATGGAGGAAAAGTTATGTTTCCCTTCACCCTGAAAAGGAATAACTATGTAAACAAGATGCTTCTATGGACTGTGAGGTAGACAGAAACAGAGGTATTAATAGATGGTTGCCTCACTCTTGAGATCAAGTTCCTTTCAATATAGTCTGTTCATTTTTGTCCTTAATAATTTTTGCCAAATAGTCTATCAGCTTGGTATATAGATGCCTCTTTCAATAAAATAAACATCAAAAGACTATCCCCTCGCTTCTTGCAAATATTATGAGAACTAACTAAAGAGAACTGCTTGAAAGGACCTTGGAGCACTTGGAAGCAATTAATTACACACATGGATTAATACACATCTTTTAAAACTGAATTAATACCTTTTCATGCATTAGCAAAAAATATTTTATATTAATACAAAGTGTTTTAACAAGGAGAAGTGATGTCTGTAAACTGTATCTATTCCTAGACCTTTGAAATGTCCCTAGTACTGAGGAAACTAAGCAAATCAAGGATGATTCTGTTTCTGGGAAGTCTTCTGTTTGAAAAACAAAAGGTTCTCAACCTTAGAATTTGAAAAGAAGTTCAAGTAATTTCAGGATTTTTCAAAGCTAAAATACTAAAACCGCAAGTCAATTAAGGCCAATCTTACCAAATCCACATAAAGGAGGCTATTGTAACCAGAAAACATAGTATGGCTTTAGAGTAATTTTAAAAATACTGCACGTACTAAGTGAAGCACAATTTCTATCAGCCTCTCCTTGTGATTGCCTAAAGTAGTTCCATATCTGAGACTCTTTGGCCACTATTAGAGAATGAGTAAATTCTAAAATGTGTAACAAATATTTCCAATTTTTATTGGCTAGCCATAGGGATGCTTAAATTTATATGAAATAAATATCCTTATTTATATATACAAAACATCAAATGCTTCTTCAAAAAAAGACTAACAATTTTAATGTAGCTAATTTTGCTCTTGATGTCAGAAAAAACTAAAAGTGACATAGAATGTTGACGGGGGTAGGAGGGATGATGTTCCTGCTGGGGAAGCTGTAATACCTAACAGTCACCACAAAGAGGTGAACACATCACACTCAAGCCTCTTTATTTCTGACACATGCCTTCATTTATTTTGCAATGTGCATGTTTCTATTCCTTGTGATTCTTGTGTATAAATGTACCATAAAGTAAAAAAACTAAGAGAAGGATCATTGCATAGCTTTGATTCATTTTTTAAACATCTCCCATATTTCTTTCTTGTCATTTCATTTTCAATTTGGTGGGTGGTGGGGGTGGGGCAGCTGGAAGGAAAGAAAAGTAAGAAGGGAAAAGAGAAGTATAGTTCAACCATGGAAAACTAGTTAGAATTCCTGCAGTAGTTCCTTTTTAATCTGGGTAAAGCATTTTTCTTGCTTGAAAGAAAGCCACCACAAAGGGACCATCCCTGGCCTCATCCTCATCCCTCAGCTAGGCTTAGCTAAATGTTTTTTCTAATGTGGTTCTAATGTCAAAGTGAAGGACACTTTTGCCTTGGTGCTTAGTTCCATTCTCTGTGAATTTATTATTACAGATATCACCAAATCTACCACAAAATAAAATCAGAAGGTATCAGTAACATAGAATGGCATGGGTTGTGGGTAGAAAAATAGCTTTAGATATGAAGATGTTTTTTAAACAGTTATTCTTTGTTGAAAAGGAAATAATACATATAAAGAAGGCTATTAAGTTGACTTTGGGCCAACTTCAATGTGATAAAAATATGTCTTTTGAAATTTGCCATTTTCCTTATGATAATGCAACATCTCAATAAAAATCTTCCAATATGGAAAACTTGATGAAACTTGACAGAATTATTGGGTTAGAGGATACTTTTTATTGGATTTAGTTCATGGGTCACAGGAGGTCAATCCTTAAAAATTCATCACAAAATAATCATTTCTTGCAATAGAAATTTCTCAAAGGAGGAAAGAGAAGATGCATTTTAAGAAGATGGAACTCCATCTTAAGTTAAACCAGTATAATTTACATAGTAATAGTAGGTAGATATTTTTACAAAGCAAGACAGGAGTAATTAAAACATAAACAGCACAAAGTATACCATACAGGCATATCAAGAATTGCCAAATGATAAAATTATGTAAAGGAAATTTTATGGATAACCAATCATACCCAGAAAGCACAAAAGTATAATTATAAATAAGATTACCATACATGAAATCAAGTATTGACCCTACAAGCAGATGGAATAATTGAGATAAAATCAAAATAGGAGTTAACATACTCAGACCATGTCACCAAATTTTTCAAATTCTGGTGAATGCAGTTCTACTCTTTTTCACTTATACCTCCCTTTGATGTGCTGATAGTATTTGAATATTCCCAGAAGAGTAAACGAGAAAAGGGTAAATTTAAAAATAAGGGTAGAGTGTAGTTGTCCAACCAGAATTCAGTACAGCAGTGAGACCTTCTAGCAGAATAATCGTCACTGTATGTGTGTGTGTGTATGTGTGTGTGTATGTGTGTGTGTGTGTACATGTGAATGTACAATCCAGAACGAGATCCTGATTAAGAGCATGGGCACAAAAGTCAGACAGGCCTAGTTTCAAATTCTGGCCCTACTACTTATGTAACATTGAGAAATTACTAACTTTTCTTATCCTCAGTATTCTCATTTAAAAGAGGGTATGATAAAGAGTATATCACATAAAATATCTAGTCCAGGGCCTCATTCTGAATAGATAATAAATGATAAATGAGGTATTAATGTCATAATTATCATGAAGACCTGACTGGCAAGTCAAGAAGCCTGCTGCAATTGCCCAGCAGAACTCTCCTTGGTCCTCAGTGGTCAGGGTGGAAAATGGCAGGAGTACAGACCAGAAGAATGGCTGCAAAGGTCAGATTCAAAGCCCTGGTCTTATTTAAGTTCTACTATATTGCCCTTTCAGCAGTAACAACTATATTCAGAAACATGTTATTCAAATAATATCCTAATTCCCTTAAATCTTGAAAATCTAAGCTGATAAGGAAGTACTGACTTGCAATCTGGTTCCTAGTCATTGAAGAAACTGGAATGAGGTATGATGAGGAGTTTGTGAAAATGCTGTATTTATCTGCACATGAAAGGACTGGAAGTTGGATCAAAGAAGCTGGAGAAGATCATCTCATGGAAAATGAAAGTGAATGAGTTCTTTGAGAGCAAGTACTATGTTTTGTTTTAAATGGTTGTAAACCCTGAGGGTTATGAGATTGGCTTTCATGTCAGAACTGCCTGAATTCACATTTTGACTCTATTATTTACGAACTTTGTAACCTGGTAAGTCATTAATAAATTTTCTTATGTGTAAAAGAGAGACAATTTTTTGTAGGTGTCATTCATTGAAGGACTAAATTTTAAAAATCTGTGTTGAGCCCTTAATCAAATGCCGAGCTCAATAAATGGTAGCTACTACTATCATCATCATCATCACCATTACCATCATCTCTACCATTTTGCTTTCCCTGGCACTGAACAAAGTGACATATTGTGGCATATTGTAGAAGCTCAACAAATATTTTCCAAATACAAATTAAATGCTATCCTGATTTTAGAACACTAAACAAATCTTAAAGATAAATTTGACTACTCCTAATTAACTTGAATTAAACTATTTCAAGCAAAGGCAACAAAAGTAGCAGTGAACTTCACTTGATTTTTATTTCTTCAGACTTGCCAGAAAAATGGTAAAAGTAAGCTCAAGGAAGTGCCTTTCATCTTTTTGATGCTCTTTAGCCTCCTCTAGTTTCCCCATACAGAATACTCACTTACCAGGCAGTATTTCTGCTGCAGAAACACAGAACTAAGCTGTTTAACCAGCCAGGGGCGCCAGTTATTCTTGCTTCCCAACAGTTCAGTACCGAATCAGTGGTTAGATTCAGTGCTTTGAGGCATGTATGACTGTTGCTGGCTAGGGTCAAGGGGTATCCTCGTGAACTTAAAACTGTAATTCCTTACATTCTTCCACATAAAAGACGGACCTCAGCAAAGAGATCAGAATAAAAATGAAAAACTTCATTTTCAAAGTAAGCTTGCATAAACAGGCAGGAGAAACAACTTCCTACACTGCTTAATGCATGAAAGAAAATTACTAGGATCATCTGAGACCATTAAACTTGTGAGGGATATATGGAGTTTGCAGAAATGGTGTTGAGCCATTTCATTTTAAAAAGTAAAAGTAACACATTTCTCTTTTCCCATTCATTTGATCTGCCCTTTCAAAGACAGACTCTTAAGTAAAATGATTCTCTTAAGTTGTCCTCTGGTTCTCTAAAAAAACACATAGTCACAAAGGGGAGGAAAAAAGGTTTCCTACTCCAACATAACCCCTGACACCACTTTCTTTGTGAATTCTAAGGTTAATTGTTAATCTTGACTCTTACTTAGTCATAACTTAGGTTTTAGTTAAACTGTACCCTCAATATCTGCTTCTTCCTGTATTGACTTTTCAAATGAGCTAACAAGGGATTTGTGATAAACGCACTTAACTTACCAAACCTCAATGGTACATAATCTGAAAGTAGCTGACTTTATCAGGAGTTGTGATTCCCGAAGTAAGGAATAGCCTAACTTACTGAAGTAAAGAATCACAACTGCGAATCCTTGACTGTTTTATTCTTGTTGTTTTTAAATATAGGTTGTGTACAGTATGCTATAAACTATATTGCCAAAACAATTCCATTTCCCACATTTTGGGGAAAACCTTAACAAAAACGTTTGCTGGACTGCATTTTTCATTTATTCTTACAATGACTACTTGGGGTAACTCAAAATTGCCAGGTGGAAATAGCCACAATCATGAACACTAGCAGCTGAATGAGGATGAGCCCAGGTATGGATCAATTAAGGAAGGTCAAAGGGAAAGAAAGCTCATGCTCACTGATCTCTTACAGCTCTCTGCCTTCTTTCTCTCATTCTAATCTGTTTCTGTAAATACTAAGGCACTTTGCCTATCAGGGGTGAAAAGAATCATTGTAAAGAACAAAAGAACTTTCAGCTTTAACTCCTCTGCAGCCATATTTGGGTGCAGGGTGAGAAAATAGTTAGGAAGAGGCGTTGTTGAAAATGTAAGTCTTGCATCTCTCCTAAAAATAGTAATTATACAGTATCTATTCTCTGTGTCCCCTTGGAATCATCCATGATTACTCAACTGTCAGATTCTCTAGGAATAAAGCCAATTTGCTGTAACATATACACACAAAAGGAACTTTTAAACACATCTGACTTTTTTGAATTAGGATTTTATACTGTATTAATGAAAAGAAATAATATAAAAATAAAAGAAAAATGGGGGAGGCGATGAGTAAATTAGAACTGATGAAAAGATTCTGCCCATTTATCCCTCACTAGTGACTGAGCACAAAGAGAGCTCATAAAAGAAACTCTGCACCTACTTGAAGTGAGCCCACCTTCAAGGAACCCACAGGGAAAATTCATTTCCAGGAGAGCTTCTCACAACATGGGCTCATAATTGTCTGCAGTGAACTCTCTAAAAATGATCTCACTGGATGAGGTTCCATTGCCTAAAAGGTAACACTGTCATTAGGCTTTCCACCAGCTGATGTGCTGGTGCCTATAGGATAACGGAAGAACATAAAGCATTTGGCAGCAGATTCAATGCTGTGAAAGTCACCACATCTTCACACTTATCCCATAACTTGCTTTGCACTGGCAAAGGTGACAAAAGGTTTCCCTCTGTCCCTGCAGAACATAAGCTCTGTACTCTTTTACAGCCCTCTGTACATAGTCAGAAACAACTTTTCTGAGGTTATTTTTAATCTTAATGTCTTGTCTAAGATGAGATACATATTTCCTCATGAATCCAGTCAGAAATTAATTAAACCAGTTCATTGACATTGTGGAAACCAAGGAAAAAAGATGAATAATTACATATTTTAACTGTTTAACAAGTATTTTGTGCATACTGTATACATCAGTCTAAATACCCTGAAGGCAATCTTAGTCTTATTTACAGATCAAAGATATTACAGTTCCACTTTCCTCAATTTCATCTGATTGGCAACTGACATAAAATTTGCTAACTTTAGATGAACAGAGGGCTTTTGCTTTTCACTATGTGTACTTCTATATTGTTTGAATTCTTCAGAAGATTGTACTGCCCCATTACTTATGTAATTATATGAGCATTTTAAAAGCCTTTAAAATTAAAATGTTTAAAAATAAAAATTGTAAGAGAAAATTTGGAAGGATATCGTTAACAGTGGTTGTTTATAGCTGTTAGGTCCATGGGTGAATTGCATGCTTTGTACTGTAGTATAAAGCATAAGATACAAACTATCAATAATTCGCAAGCATGTTTATATGATTGAAAAAAATAAAATGTTTGCATCATAAAAGAAAATTGGAAACTTCATGAAGAGGTATACACTAACTTTCTTTAGTTTTTAGTTTTAGTTTACTTCTTAATAGGTTGTCACATACAGTTTGCATTTATCTATCTAGGCAGATATCCAACCCATCAATAAACCTATATATTGACCCCTAATTTTCTAAACAACCAATATCATATAATTTTTCTTCTTCAAAAGTTCATTTCTAAAGCTTTCTAATTATGAGTCAGTAATTTTACTCTAATTTACCTTTGTGAATTATAAGGCCATCTGATTCAAATAAAATAGAAACAAAGTAATAATTAAGAATAGTCGAAAAATATCAAAATGGTTATCCTGCATCACTCATGTTATTTAGGAGCCTAATGAGGGAAGAGGGACAAGATTTGGATACAAGCAAATGGAAGGTGATAGAAGAAAGAATGTATAAAAGACAAGGAGAATAAAAAATGTGTGTGTGGAGGAGGGGGAGAAGATCAGTCTGATTCAATTGCATGAAACTACTATTTTCACAGATCAGAAAGTTTGGATATTGTTAATTTAATATAGTTCAATCAAATAACTGCAAAACTAAGGATAAGGGAGGGGATGAAAGAGTGAGAAGGAAATCAAGACAAAAGCTATTTAAAGCTCTCTTTCTACTTGACCCCTGCTTCAGTGTGTTACAGAACTGATGAGAATCTCGCAAATATCTCATGAGGAATTTCACTCTTCACATGTCCAATTATATGTCAGTGTTCTGAGAAGGAAGAGGTGAATGTTTCACATATTTACCTTCAAGATGGGAGCCATAAAGACTGACAGACCAGTCAGAATAAACACAAGGGTTCCAGTGACTCTTTGTTCCCTGAAACCAAATCAAAAGATTACCAATCTACCTCTTGTCTTCATAAACATGCTCTTGTCTTTTCACCTTCAAAAAAACTACACATTGACAAAATCAATGTTTGGCTAAAACAACAAAGGTGTTGATATCATGTAAATAATACCTCAAGGATAGCGTATAAACCCAACGTAACTATAAAAAAATCTCTTAAAGTGACTGCAATATGTGATTTGAATTCACGAAGAAAGAAGTAATCCTGCTAAATTTTTTGCTCCTTTTGGAATCAAGAAAGAAAAATCACTTGCTCTTGGTCCATCAATTACTGGACTCTTTGAAGACCTTATTTTTTAAAGCAATTTATCCTCTTGTGTAATTACCCTTACACCTTCTTTCATAGGAGACAGATATTACATTGTCCCATATTCCAATTAACAAACAGCTCAAGGAAATTTCATTAGCACAATAAATCACATCAGTCTAATTTCCAAATCTACAACAACAAAAGTACTTTTCAACAAATATAATTCCCATCCTACACCCCCTCCCCACCCCAAAAAAGAATCACCCACTGTTTTGCCGTGGGAAACGATGGCTCTGTCATGTGAGCTCTCTACCCAAGCACTTATGAGCAGAGTTTGCTGTAAAAAGTGCTCAACAGAGTATAAAAACCTTCTACTCCTGCCCTTCACAGCTACCCAAATTGAACGTCTGGAGGTTAAAGTTTCTCAGTGTTTATGGGGACAGAAAATGAATTGGAAAATAAGAATACCTTTCCCATTACAGAATCTTAAAAGTCATAAGCAGACTCAAGAGTTTTAGGGCCTTCACATATGACTGTGATACAGTAAACACTGCAGCACCAAAATCACCTGCATGTTGAAAAAAAGTAATCTGGTTGTAGTTTTATATTGCAACATTTAGCCTTTTGGAAATCCATGAAAATGATATATCATGAGGAGTAAACTAAAAAAATCACTGAAACCTCTGATGAAAATTTAGTCCTTTCTGGAACAAAAAATATAGGAATAAATTAATCATCACAAGCCCTGTCTCCTCCAAATCTGCCCATATCCTTATGATTGCCACATAGATGTGTGCACAGTGTGTTTTCGGGAGCCATTTTCCTCTGAGTTAACACACCTCACTCCTAGAAACTTTGGTTGTTCTCCAGGTGCAGAAGTCTCTGTCTCCATCTTCAAACTGTCGATGTGAGCAATGGAGATGACCGTAGCAGCTACATACCACGGAAGAGCCATGAGGGAGCATATAACCATGAGGATGGCCACCCAAAAGAGATCCAAGTGATACCCTGCTCCTTTCTGTAGAAAGAGATAACAAAACCATGTGAAGAAAAGACTCATATTCGCTATCTAGTCATATTTCCAGAGGGGAATTAAGATGACCAAAGGAAACTGACTTGCTTTGCTTGGTAAGTTAAACTCCTTGAAAGAGGGGACTTTATCTTCTTTGTATTATTCCCCCTAGCAATTAAACACACAGCTGCATCTTATAGCTGCTATGGTAGAGACCTTCTGTACTATAGTGTTGAATAACTGTTTAAGACTTAAGTCAAAGATACACTTATTATTTGTTTATTCCTAACCTATCTGTATACAATTTTCTAATCAGAACAATGGAGATATATATGCCCACTCCATAGAGGACTTAAGACCATTCAATGAAGTAACACAGGCAAAGCATCTTGTAGCAATTTAAACTGTAGTTGTTAATGTCATAGGTGCTTAATAAATGGTGATAGCGGCAGTAGTGGTACTGGTTGTTTTTGTTAAGATAAACATAATAAGCACCTTGAAAGCAGGCACCCTGCCTTCTCTACTGGACAGCGCTGAGTAGTATGCTGTTCATCTAGACAGTACTCAACTTATGTAAGGATCCGAAAGCAAGATTGAGAAGGTATGTAGGCCATTTCTCAGCTTTCATAATATGTGAAAGTAAATGTTTAACAATCTATTATATATCACCATTAACGTAATAAACACTCCCTTAATCAGAATAGGCCGATTTCAAACATTGCCCAATGGTCACAATAACATTTACTGACTGGAAGAGCAGACAATGTAACAAAAGATCTAGCTTTTTTACTCATTAAATAAATATTGTTAAATGTGTCCGCAATGTTATTCTATGGTTCTATTTCTTTGCTCTATTTATGAAGAAATCAAATACTTGATACCCCTATGGAGCCTGAGAAAATAGAGCAGTCCATTTTCACAGCAGGGAAGCAGCAGTGCCAAGAGCCAGAGTATGACCAATCCAAGGAATAAAGAGGTTGGTTTTAAAAAATGAGGATGTGATTTACACTAGGAACCTGGTGACTGTTATCATTCAGATCTTGTTACAGTTCGTCACAACACTGCTCTCCTCTCACTGAAATGCCAAGATTTCACCCCTGGCTCACGCACATGGATCTAATCATGTTCTGAGAACTCATCACAGGCAAGGGAGCTAGTACAAGAAAGAAAAGCATGTATTCACCTAGTCCAGGCTTGGCTAAGAACAAAAATCTACTTGGGATTATGAATAGATATAGGTTAATATACATTCATAAAACCAGTTCTTTTCAGGAAGGCATAATAGTTTGAATTGAGAGTGGTGTAAGGCAGAGGAAAGGAGGGCAGAGGTGGGATGAGCTGAAATAAATTTGTTCAATAATGACTAGTGAGGTGAATACCATGATATATCTGAGATTTCAGTCATTCATTCTTTCAATGAGTATTGACTGCCAACTTAGTACCATGCTGGTGACACATCTGTGAATAAAACAGACAAAAAAAATCTTGCCCTCATGGAGTCTCCATTCTACTGAGGGAGACAACAATGAATACCATAAATAAATAAAATATGCAGCTTCTCACCTAGTAATAAGTACTACGGAGAACTATCAGAACCTAGGCTTGTAGAATGAGTATAATGGGAAACCACTGGAGGGTTTGAAATGGAGGAGAGTCATGGTTTGCTTATGTTCTAAACACACTGGCTGCTGTGTTAGGCGAATAGGGAAAAGATAGTAAGACTAAATAACCATTGGAAGAAACTGTGATGATTAGAACCAGAGTGGTGGCAGTGAAGATGGTAAGAAGCGGTTGGGTTCTGGCTATACCTTAAGGTGGAGCCTACAGAATTTTCTCCCTCCTCCCTATTTGTGTGTCTAAGACCCCACTATGGTTCATTCATGATCTGGCCTCTGTTCACATCTGCAGCCTCATCTTTAATCTCTCTCATGCTTGGATCCTGTGCCACCACCACTTTCAACCACCTGCAATGCCTCATATGTGTTTCTTTCACTGATGCTTTCTGTGTCTTTGCCAACATAGCCTCTTCTACCCGGAATAACCTCTACTCTTCCTTTGTTCTTTCTCTCGCTCAGTCCTATGTATCCTTAAGGCTTAAATTAACCCTCACCTTTTCTGGTTGGTTTTCCTTCCTCAACCTAGGTGAGATAAGTAAGTCAAGTTAGGTTAGTTCTCCTCCTTTATGTTTCCCTGCTTTGCATTTTATGACTTCCTCTATCACAACACTCGTCACACTAATTCTGAAATTATGTATGTATTCATCTGTCTTTGACATTAGACTGTAAGTAATATGAGGACCGGACTGTATCTTTTTTTCTCTGTATTCTGAATACCTTAGCAGAGTGCATGATGCACAGCTGATTCTCAATAAATGTTTATTTTTAGAAAAGGAAAAATAGCATGCATATACTCCCCTTACTGGCAATTATAAACTCTTGTTTAGCCATGAAAAAAATGTAACACTTTATTGTAAATTCACAGACATGAGAAACATTTGTGGGGAGGTAAAAAAGGAGAAAAACAGTAGAGACATCACAGAATTTTTATGCCCTCTTTAGACTAAATCACTGAAGTCCATATTAGAAGTACCAGCAGGGTAATAATGAGAAGAATCCACAAATCTTGTTACCAAAAAACCTGTAGTAATCTAAGGATGTGGACACTAGCCAGATGAATGGGTCAAAAGAATAGCTTATGTAAAAAAAAGTCACCCATGTTACCCTGCATCATCTCGATGCTTTCTGGATCTATTTCCACTAAAACAAGTTTGAGTTACATATGTCCAAGACTAGCAAAAAGGCCCATATGAAAGAGGGTGAAATGAAGATTTTAGATGATGGACTATAAAGGTAACTATATATAACCATCAGAATAAACAAAGGTTCTGGGATAAAATAATTACAGATAGATAAGTACTCTGTTTCCCTTGACATCACTGCTTTCAAAAAGTCTTCCATCTCCTCAGCCACACTGGACTTCTTTTTGTTCTTAAGGGGAAGGGAAAATCACCAATGTGACCTGAAGGCCCTACCTGGTCTGCCTCTACCTCTTCTCCAGCCTCAACTCTCTCATTGCAGCCACACAGGATTATTTCAATCACTGGTTCTCACCAGGTACCTCCTTTTGTAAGGCCTATGCATACACACTGATTTCTCTGGGTGTCCAAAATAGTCTTCCCACCCAGCCTCATTTAGCTAATTCTTGCTAACATTTTAGGTCTCAATATAAGTGCCATCACATTAGGGAACTCCCTCTCAACATACCATCTCCTTCTCCTTCACAACATCAGCCACATTTGCGGTGTCACATTGTGCATAATTATGTGAATTGTGCCTCTCTCTCTCACAGTTCCATGAGGACAGGAACCATGTATGTTTTTGTTCACCACCAAACTAGCACTTGGCACAGTGCGTACCACAGAATGGATACTATAGATAAATGTTTGATGGATAAATGAATAAATGCTAATTCGCTCATTCAATGGCACTCTGCTAGACCCTGGAGGTAAAGTTATAAATAATACACAGTCCTTCCCTCCAGTGGTTTACTGGAATGGTAGAGCTGGTCAAAACAACAGGTGTTTATAAAACCACAGTGTTAAAGGCCTACAGTAGGGGTGAATTCAGGGTGCTAAGAAAGCATCCAGGAGGGGTACCCAACTTAGCGCAAAGTCAGGGATGGTTTGCATGGGGGTAGTATTTAGGTTGAGTTCTAAAATATGAGCCATAACCAGCTCAGAGATAAGAAGTACGTGAAAAACTATGTAAAGCAAGTTGCCATTCTGAGAAAATGAAATAGATTTGGTGCACAGGAGAAGATGGGGGAGGTAGAAAATTAGGCTAGAGAAGTTAAGAACTTTTATGTTTTGCTAAAGGCTTTGGAATTTTTTATCACAAGAGCAATAGGAAGTCACTGAAGGGTTTTAGGCAGGCAAGTGATATAATCAGATTTCTATTTAGAAGGATGGCTCTGTTGGGACTATAAACGGTATATTGGGAGTGGTCAAGATTAGAGGCAGAGGACAGACACGACAACACTGTTATAATCCAGGTTTGAGAAGATGCAGTTTAAACTAAAGGAACAACACTGGGGAGAGTTTATGGAGAACAAGGTCAAAGATAAAAAAGTGATAAATTTATTTTGCCAAATTTCAACATGTAAGGCTTACCATGTCTAGTACAGTGTCCGACAAACATTAAACTCTGGAGACACATTTGTTGAACAGAATGGTAAAAGCTATGCTTCAAATTCATGTTGCCCCAAACTATTGCCATGAGACCCAAGAATGCAAATGGTTATGTCAGAGAAGTTGTTTCTGCAAAACCACCTATATATGCATAAAAACAAGCCACTTCTAAGATGTCCCTTTGAGTTAAAAGTATCTGAATGACTAGATTTGAATGGAATAAAAATAATATTCAAATACTGGTCCTTTTTATATAAAGAATACTGCAAGAAATATGGAAAACAGTATTTTTCAAAAATAACATATGAAACTTTTTATCTGTTCTGTACTCCTCCTCCCCACTGCCATTACCTTTTTCAGATTCTCATCCTTTCTCTCCTGGATTATGCAGCAGCCTCTTCCCACCCACCTTCCCTTTCCACTCAGCTCCCCCCACCCACCTCCACTCTTGTTCCTCCCCCATCCATCCTCACTGCTGCCAGACTGAGTGTTTCAAATGCAGTTCTGACCCCATCAAGCCCAAGCTGGATATCGCTGAATAGGGGAGGCCACAGGCAGCTGAGAAGGCCGAGCAATACAAAGCCTCCCTTTCCATGCTCCTGCATCTAAAACTCTGAGGAGGCCCTCAGGGATTCCAGAAACTCTACAAATCCCTAAATGTGCCTTGCATATTCTGTGCTCCTGCACTTTCCTATGTGCCACTCTTTGAATTGGGATTCTGCTTCTACTCCTTGACATTTGCTTAAAGCCATTCTCTCCTTTCAGTGCTCCATGCAAATTCCCCTTCTTCCTTCACACCATCCAGCAACCAACCCTCAGCCCTCAATGCTGCTCTCACCACAAACGTCCCTGTTTTTCTCTTGTCCCTGACAACCCACTCTCCTCACGAATGAATCTTTTTTAAAAATCGAAATCATTATATGCCACTTCCCTGTTTAAAGTGATTCCTGTTTCACTTAGAATGAAAAACTAAACGCTGCAAAATTATCTTTAAGTTTCTACATCAGAGCCTCCTCCCAGAACTATTTTGCTCTCATCTCCACTCCCAAGGGACGTTTGGCAATGCCTGAAGACATTTTTGGTTGTCACAGCTGGAGGGTGTAAATGCCTCTACTGGCCAGAGACTAGAAATGCTGATAAACAGCCTACAATGCACAGGAAAGCTACCACCAACAAAAAAATTTCCAACTGTCAATAATGCTGAAGTTCAGAAACTTTGTTCCATGTGACCTGGCCCCGTTAACTTTGACCTCATCTCAATGAATTAATTCCCCAAGTCTTAGTCACACTGGCCTACTATATGTTTCTCCATATACCAAGCTCCTTCCCTCCCTGGGCCTTTTGCATTTGCTCATATCTTTGGATAGGAAATGATTCTTTAATAAGTATTCATTGACAGATACAGATTATTAATTGAGGGCAGACATGAAAACAAATAATTTAATGTTCATGCAAGGTACAAGGCACAAAGAAAGGCATGGTCAATTCCAACCTTGGTGTTGTAATAGACAGGTGGTGAATAGGGAAAATCCATTAAACTCCTTCAGGGCACAGACGGCAATGTAGAACAATTTTTATCTTCAACATCTAACACAAGTGTTCCATACATAGCAAGCACTCAATAAATGCTCAAAAGGTTAAATATGCCCTTTAAAGTTTAAAAGACTTCTTGTTTCCATGAATACAAACCAAACGGTTGTTCTATTTTCTGAAACTGGAGATTATTTTAAGTACAAGGAGAGAAAGTGAAACTTTATTTCCTTTTGAAATTGTATATGCTTTACTAATACAGAGTACAAATCATTTAGGAATAAATCCACAGAAATCAAAATCTATGAAAGAAAAAGACTAGCCCAGCGGCCTAAAGTTTACATGTGGTACATAGTTGATAACAAAGGAGAGGTGAGGAGCAGTAAACACTGGGACATGCAGGGACACAGAATAGACGTTCATGCTAGGGGCCCACAAAGATCCAGACAATATGCTCATTTATGGGGACACTAAGAGCCATGACATGGTTCCTCCCACCAAGGGGCTCAGAATTGAAGAAGGGGACACAGACTTGTACACAAATTATAATGCACTCTGAATAGAGATTCAAAGAGGTTTGGAAACGATAATAAAAAGTACAGATAATGAAGTGTTTAACTATGTCTACAGTAAATTCACAAAAACTCCCTGCAGTGATGACATCTAAACAGGGCTTTGACCAATATAAGCACACACTTTGAGAAGTGGAGAGTTTATATGTTTTGCAGTTATCACCCATTTCACACAGTGTAACAACTGAGAGCCATGTGGGCCAAAGAGAATAAAATTCATCAACATGTATTTATTGAGTCTACCATATGAAACTGGTGGGCCAAACGAGAGCTGAAAAGAGGAATAAAACATGGTCCTGACCTTGAAAACATTTTGGCCAAGAAAAGGGATAAAGTAATTATACAAAACAGATACTGTAAAAGAAATATGTGATCTGTGCCACAGAGTAATACAAATATACTAAGAGCAAAAACAAGAGAAATATAAATTACATTAAAGGTGAAAGCTACACTGAGAAGTTTTTGTATTTGAATTATCTTAAAGGATGGAGAGGATTTTGAAAAATAGCAATCATTAGGAAGTAAGGAGAAGAGGTTTCTGGCTGGAGTACCTAGCAGAAGAAACTGTCACGCTTAAGGAAAACTCAACTGTTCATTTGACTAGAGCACTGGCTAGCATTTGAAGAAAGCCATTTTAAACTTAGGTCGTGGTACTCTGGCAAAGAGTCTTAAAACCCAGGCTAGGACAAATGGAAGTTCTTTGAGAGGTAAAGATTTAAAGGGGCCAAAGTGTGAAAGTTTAAAAACACAGGACTGACATACAAGAATAGCATTTAAAAAAAAAATGAAGGCTTTTGGAATGAAGCAAGGAAGATTGGTTATTATGGCTAACCCTTTAGAAGAGTCTAGGCATAAAATAAAAGGACTGAGTCTATAGGATTATGAGAGTAGAAATAAAAAGGAAAAATGAAAGTAGGGCAAAAATAGGAATTTGGGAGTTATCCAAAAAGAACACCCTCAAATTAAGGGTTTTCCCATAAAAGATATCAGAGCAAATTGGTTGCCACAACCACCTCATATCTATTTCTAGATATCTATCCTAAATTATTTCTCCCTCCTACCCCCAATCTATAACACTCTCGAAATCACCTTCCTTGTGAGAAGTATCTCTGACTTTGCAGTCTGAAGCTCAGACTCTATTCCTTCTTCTGCCAATGACTCAGGGAATGACCTTAAAGGAATCATGACCTTGCTGACCCTGGCTTGCTTTTGAGCACTCTGCAGGGCTAATGCAGGGCATAAACAACCAAAATAATGGTCAAAGAAAGCCAAGTGTCTTGGCGTTCCTACATCAATACTGAGGTGTTCAGCAGAGTGGAAAGGTGGATCCCATCCCAAGCAGAACAGACAGCCAGAGCCACTTGACCGGAAGCCAAAGCAAATGCCACCCAAAAACATGCTGTTTTTAATACCACAATGCTTCTATCTCTCTCAGTTTCAGCTTTCTCTTTTGAAACAATTTCATAGCAGTTAAGGCCCTTTACAATTTTAGACAGAATCTCCAGTGTTCATATTCCACAGCTCTCCTTTCCTAACAAAATATGAACAAAACAATTTTCAGAGTGAAAAGCCTTTGATTAATGATGAAATGTTCACTGGTATCATTAGATTTGTGACAAAAGACTGACACCTATTCCATAACTCTCATTATTCAAAAGAATGATTTCAAGTGGCAATTCTGAAGGTGATGAAAACTTATTTTTTATATATTCAACTCTTATTTTAAGAGGCAAACCCTAATAAACCTTGATTTTCTAATGTTTTCTACTGAAAATAAGATTAAAAATGTCTGTATTTTATCATTCCTAAACTTCCGAAATTCTAAATTCTGAATTTTATCAATAAGAAAACATAGTGAGTAAAAATTAGTAGGAGATTTATTTACCTCCAAAGATACAGGATAAATCTAGCCAACCGTAGATCATAATTAAGAATTTGTTAACAAATTTTTTTCAGAATAAAAATATTAGTCAACAACCATTTCTAGCCTTTGGTAAACTAAACCAACATCAGAAACCCTCTCAATACAGAACATCTGAAAATGCTCAAAAAGACACAGAAAATATATTTTAGAAACTATGGCTCATCCACTAGAAAGAGGAACAATTGGATACAAAAAACAACAGCCACGCGAAGAAGCAAATCCTTGGAGTTAGTAAGCCCTGGAGCCTGGGACTGCCCTGAGAGAGACCGTGCCAATCCTTGGAGGCTTACGGCCTGAATTAGAATGACCATCTGAACTCTTGGGACAGAGACCAATTCTCGGGCTCTGTGGGAGAGGGCATAGATGGGAGATACCACCCAAAATAAAACGAGTACACTCTAAACATGGCATACTCAGTTGGCCAATCAAAAAAAAAATACCCCACAGAGAAAGATAGTGGGAACACATGCCTCTCTCAGCCTTGCCATTGGGTATAATGCCAAAAGAAGGGAAAAGAAAGAAAGAATCTCCCAGGATAGGGATATTCCTAACCACAACTCTACAATTGGGTTTAGAGCTGGAATTCACATTATCTCTGTGGCCTCGAAATTCCTAAGGCAAACTTGTAGTTTAAAGTTATCTGGCCTTTTATAAATTAGTCTTGGGCTTCTCTCTCTCTTTCTCTCTCTCTCTATATATACACACACACACACATATATGTATATATACACACATATATGTATAATATATACACACACATATGTATATATACACACATATGTATATATACACATATATGTATAATATATACACACATATATGTAGACATATGTGTATACATATACATATATGTAGACATATTTGTATTATATATTAACTCATTACCTTTTCATAACCACCATATGAGGGAAGCATGAAAACGCATTAGAGTCTGTTACCCAGAAGGAGAGGATATTACTAAGAATAGAGTTCAGCACAGTAGGTATAGCAGGAAAAATATTCAGGAAATATAAAGAATTGGCTGACTATAGAAACCCATTGAGCAGAGGAATGAGAGAGATGAGGAAGATTCTGATAAACTATCCAAGTAGGGAGAACTTAAAAAGCTGTAGATCGTGGTAAGAAAGGATATGTATATGTATATGTGTGTATACATATACATATACATATAAGAAAGGATATGTATATACACACATATATACATATATGTGTGTATATATTATATGTGTGTATATATACACATACACAAAGATAGATAGATATGCAATATCAAAACTATATCTCCTCAAGCTTCTAGATCAAATGGCCAATTTAAAGGAAGCACAGAAGACAGAAGAATATGCTTAAATGGGCCAGGCATGGTGGCTCATGCCTGTAATCCCAGCACTTTGGGAGGCCAAGGTGGGCGGATCACGAGGTCAGGAGTTCAAGACCAGCCTGACCAACATGGCAAAAACCCGTCTCTACTAAAAATACAAAAATTAGCTGGCATGGTGGCATGCCCCTGTAATTCCAGCTACTCGGGAGGCTGAGGCAGGAGAATCACTTGAACCCCGGAGGCAGAAGTTGAATTGAGCTGAGATCAAGCCACTGCACTCCAGCCTGGGTGACAGAGCAAGACTCTGTCTAAAAATAAATAAATAAATAAATATATACATATATATATATATATATATATGTATATATGTATATATGTATATATGCTTAAATGATACCACGGGGAAGCAATCACCAAGATCTAGACTATGGCAAATTTTTCAGTACAAATGTAGCAGATTTTATTTTCCAAAAATGGCTGGAAAACATCTCCTATCTTACACGGTTTTCTGTAATACGACCTTGCCATTCCCCCATTAAAAGGAGAATTCCCCCCTCACCCCCTTGAATGGAGGCTGCCCCTGTGACTATTTTGACCCATTGACTACAGCAAAGTAAAGAAGTAAGGCTGTGCCAGTTGCAGATATAACCATTTAATGGCCTAGCATCTTCCACTTCTTAATTCTTAAGTCAGCTGCCATGTAACAAGTGCAAATAACCCAACATTACCAGAATGTGAGAAGCTCAATGATCTTAGAATTAAAAGTATCTCAGAGCAGTACAGTATCTACTCACGGCAGGAGTGGGCATAGGGGGAAAGTCATTTTAATGTAATTTTCCAACTGAATTTGCAACCTTTTCTTTCATCATAAGTGAAAACCACTTGGTTTCCTTTGGGAGCACTGATTTCTTGCAGAGATTTGTTCTTTAGTGACAGTCTAGTTTTTTTGTTGGTTTGTTTGTTTTGTTTGTTTGTTTTACTCTCCATGTTAGATGGGAGCATACCTCACTTGTTTTCGTGCTTTATGAACTGCCTTGTATTGAAGCCCAGTTATTCTTCATTCTGCCCTTCCACATCACTAAATATGCCGACCTCCAGGACAGTTATATACTTTTACTTATGGTTTTAGCAACTTTCCCATGATGTTCTTCTCTACCATGCTCTGTGCCACTTTCCAATCATATCAATATTGAGGCAGGTGATACTTTCAGTTCACCAGACTCACATTACTCTAACTTACAAGTTTTGATGGACGTCATTGTCAACATGCTTCGGGAGCTAGCCACATGCTTTGGACCAGTTCATCAATCTCAGCTTTCTCTCCTTCCAAACTCTCAAAATCTAAACATCTCTTCTTTGACCAAAGCTTTTAATTTTCTTCTCCTGGTCTTATTATTATGGGATTTACTCCTTTCTTACCATGATCTACAGCTTTTTAAGTTCTCCCTACTTGGATAGTTTATCAGAATCTTCCTCATCTCTCTCATTCCTCTGCTCAATGGGTTTCTGTAGTCAGCCAATTCTTTATATTTCCTGAATATTTTTCCTGCTATACCTACTGTGTTGAACTCTATTCTTAGTAATATCCTCTCCTTCTGGGTAACAGACTCTAATGCATTTTCATGCTTCCCTCATATGGTGGTTATGAAAAGTTAACGAGTTAATATATAATACAAAGTGCTTAGAAGATGGCCTGGCTCATAGTAGCCCTCCACTAAATAATAGCTCTTATTATTGTTACCATTCATATCTCACTTCTTCAAATGGTATTGTAAAAATCCATTGCAACTAAAAAAGTCACTGGAGCTGGAAAAACATTATATAAAGTAAGAGCATTTTAGGCAGCTCTCTTGAAAGATATCCCAGACCACTAAGGCATTTTCTTTAGACTCATAACAAAGTTAATAACTGATTTTTAAAATGTCCAAAATAAAGCATTTTTCTCCCTTCTTTATGGTTAATAACATACTGACACAAGTATGTGAAGACAAAAAACAGGATGTACACCACCAGCTTACAACCATGAACTATCTGAATAATCTTTAAGAATAAACCTGAGTTGATTTAAGAGAAAGCAGATGCTCAGTATAAATTAATTAAATCTTTGATTGTCATTGTCTTTATTGAGGATAGTTACTCCACTAAAATCAGATGTAGGATGACTGTGGCTAAATAGTAAATTATGTTTGTATTCTCTTTGCTGGTGAAAGAAATATGATTTGAAACCTTTTTTTTTTTTCAGATTTAAATGAGCTCTCCCTAAAGTGTTATATTGAAGACATGTACCAATACAAAGTGATCTCTGGTTCTGCGGACTCTTAAGGAACATTAGCTATAGTAACTCCCAACAAAGCTCCCTTGGTTTTTAATCAATTAGTGTTTTCAAGTACTAAAAAGAAAGTAGAAGGCAATGACAGACATTATTATGGACACTTACCTTGAGTTTATGTTCTTTCCTGTTTACAATCACAGCTGTAATTTGTTGGTCCATGAAAATCAGTATAGTGACCAACAAAGCCGGGATAGCAGCAGCAAGGCACACCCACCAGGGGTTTTCTCCAAACGGTGGAACGAACCAACCTCGGTTTGGACTTGTTGGCTTGAAAAAGACAGATGACATTTTTCAGAAAATTATCAGGTTAATATATACTATTTGGTGAAAAAACCAACGGGAAGACATGCTTTTATATTTGGATAACCAACATATTGAGAAATATAAACAGTTATGAGCTAGAGAATGAAGATTATTCACCAAAACTCTCCCAAAGGATGTTATTTTTGAGGCAATTCTTTAAAGAAAGTAGAGAAAGAGTATGGGCTGTTGGAAAATAAGTGAATGGCATTTTGCATATTTGGGATGGTTTAAGATAAGGACTCAAAATGGAAGAAACTGATTTAAGTTTAAAGAGTAGCCAGAAGAAAACTCCAAATGTAAAAAGGTAAAAAGGTAGCAAGTAAAAAGTAAAAGGTAAAAAGTAAAAAGATAGCAAGAAATTCAGTAAAAAGGTAGCAAGAAATTACCAAATCACCATGAATTTTGTTCATGGGTTTTAGCAATTATAATGAAATTGTTTATACTATTGCCGAATTTTAACAGCTTCATAATATATATAAAAAGCCATAACTGTTTTTATATAAGTGAACTAATGTAAAAATTCTGGTCTCTTATTTTACATATGAAATAATGATCTATAATAACTGGGTAAATTTTAGGAAAATCACAAAAAAAAACTGGAAAAAACTGTCATTTTTGCAGTTCTTAGTCTGTTTTCCATCAGTAGATCATATATGTCTACTACAGAAAAAAAAGGGTTTCCTACGCTTTTCCTTACATTCAACAATGCAAATAAAAAACTAAAATAGAACACTGTGAATTATTTTCTCCATATTTGCTATCAAGAAAGTCTCACTTCTCTTCTGAGGACATTCCCATCATCTGTCTCATAATTCTGTCACTGAATCTAACCTCATTTTACTACAATTAGCAGATGTGAGCTTGTCAGGGAAAAAAATTTGTCTTACTCATCAATGCATTTCAAATTTCCAGCTTAGAGCCTGACTCAATATTCAATAAATATTAACTCAAATGAATTAATGGTTGAATGGGTGAGAACTTATCTTTACTAATGAATATGTGATAGCAGAGACAATTCAAAAAATAATGTGTGTTATAACATATATATCCCTTCCTCATTAAGCAGTTATTAAACTAAAACTGCAACTAGCTTAATAATTCTTAGCAAATATATGATCTCAGTAGTGGAGGGAAGGAGGATTATTCTAGAAAATAGATAAAAGACTTGTAGTGAAAAATTAGCTAGGAATATATTTAGGAATGACTGGAATGTAAATTTTATCCATTACCTACACATATCAATAGGTTCGTAAGTTAAGTAATTATTATATCTACTTTGTAATAATTACAATTCACATTATATATACATGCGTGTGGTAGGTAGTTTCATAGCATGAAAAGAGTATTAGACTAGACTTCTGGAGGCTTGGGTTCTAACTTCACATCTTGACATTACTAGTTCCATAATCTTAGGCATTTTACTTAATTCTTTGAGCTTCAATCTTAACTTTATAAAATCAGGATGATGACCAGACTGGGTAATATAGTGAGACCTTGTCTCTACAAAACATTAAAAAATTAGCTGGGGGTGGTGGTATGTGCCTACAGCACCAGCTACTTGGGAGGCTAATGTGGGAGGATTCTTTGAACCTAGGAGGCAAAGGTTGCAGTGAGCTGAGATTGCACCACCACACTCCAGCCTAGGCAACAGAGCAAGGCCCTGTCTCAAAAAAGAAAAAATCAGGAGGATGATAGTTACAATACGTATTTCCCAGAGTCATTATATAGATCAAGGTAATAAGTTATATAAAATATTTTGGATATTTATTCTAAAACTATAAGCCAGAGTTTATAATAGTATTATCAGTTGTTTTAAATAAAAACCCTAGTCTTGACATTTAATTGTAGTGAAGAAATTAAACTACATGTATATATGAGCCTAAGAGGGACTGATTTTGGAAAAAAAATATGGATAATTGTACAAAACTAACTCAAAGAGAAACACAATAAATTAGAATAGGGGGAAAGAAAGAAAAAGAGTTCCAGGAATGACCAAAAGATAGACATTCACCTACCTTGAACTCACTTGGCACAATTAGTTTTGGGGTGTCCACGCCTACTAGGGCATCTATTACACAAAAGATGAGAATGGACAAGATAATGGCAAAATCACTGATCAGTTTTCTTGCCTGGAAAAATAAAAAAGAAACCAGGAACCATTTAGCACCAGATACATATATTTGTCTGTGTTTGAACTGAATGAAGAACTTTGTATTTGCTAATAGTTTATAGCAACAGCTTCATCAACAAATTGAAGGAGGTATCAGAGTGCAGAAAAATTATTTTTAAAATTGTTTTTGTATTAGTACATCACCTGGCTAGATAATGTAATGTATCCCAAAGAACAGGTTGCGCTCGCTCTTTCTCTCTCTCTCTCTCTCTTTCTGTGTGTGTGTGTGTGTGTGTGTGTGTGTGTGTGTGTGTGTGTGTGTGTGTAGGCAGGGAGGGCAATCAAATAGAACGTACCCCTGAGATACTGTATAAACTCATCCTGCTTGCAACATGAAGGTCACCTGCATAAGAATGAAAACTAAGTACATATTATAAAAATCTGCACAACAACATAGAAATTCTGTGTGTTATTTGGGAGGCAGCACTGTGAGTACAGAGTAAGATAAATCTCATAAGACAGCCTGAAAACACCAAAAATCTAGCATGGGAGGGCTTAGAAGTTTCTGTCCCTTGAGTGAAGTAAATATCAAGACCTCAAAGTAATGTCAAGTGATGAAAGATAGAAATGTCACAGCTGCACTAGTTTTGTCAAATAAAATATTTCTCAATCCAGGTTAGTACTTAAAGTCTCACGTATGTGGGACATCTCTCCTCTACCACTTCTTGCATGTGACTGCCATTATCTGATAACTCTCCAAATTTCTCTGGTCAGGACAAGGTCTGGGCTTTAAGGAATACAGCATTAAACTATGACCATTCCCATGAAGTGGGTGAATAATGGCCATTTGCAAGTTGGTAAGGGGAGCATATACCATTTGTTTGCTTGAGATTGTTCTGTAGTCTCTAGTGGCACTAATGAGGACTAAGGGCATTACCAGAGCACAGATACCTGAGCTTCCCATACGGTGCATACACATGTTAGCACATAATTTAATCATTCAACAAGAATTTACTCAGTTCCCAATACTTTTCTTGGTGCTAAGGATACCACAGTAAATAAAACCGATACAATTCATGTCCTCATGAAGCTCATAGCCAAGTTATATACAAGGAAGCCTGCTCCTAAATAAAACCAAGGTTGAGTCAGAGGTTATGAAGTTATCTCAGGGTGAGCAGTCAGCTTCTGATGCTGCTGGATGAAGGAAGGGAGATCAGTGATGGGCTGAGTGGATGCACGCCTCTGAAGACAAAGGATTTCTTGAAAGAGAATAGTATTACTGCAGCCAGGTAGTCAACAGAAACTAAAATGAGGAATGAAAATTACTTGGCAAGGTGGGTAAGGTAAAAGCCCTAGTGTTCAATGCTTGACCTTTACCAGGTGTCAGGAGCCTGATACTAACTAGCAGCAGGATCAGAGCTGTTCCTTTTGGCCTGGAGTTCCTTTCTTTCTTGGAGGGCTAGATTTGCTAGGTTTAGCTTTCTTGAAAAGTACATACTGAGGAAGAGAAGGCCAGCCTTTTATGAGCAACTTAACATCAATTATACACAATAATGTTAAGAACCAATAGATGGCAGGAATCAATTTGGGTAGATAATATAGTACAGCAGTTGGGAGCACAACCACTATTGGAACTCCTGCACCATTATTTCCTATTTGTAAATACCTACCCTTTCTTAGCTTCAATTACTTCATCTGCAAAACATAGCCAAAATAATCCCTACAACTTCATTGGTTTGTTATCAGAATTAAGTAAGAAAAGCCATGAAAGTGCTTAACAATATTGCCTGGAACATAATAAACTCTCCTAATATAAGTTAATTATTGTTATTTCAAGTTCTAGAAGTTCTCATGGCTGCAGACCACTGGAATAACTAAATGATCTACTGTCAGGTGGTCTTTGAAATGAAACTTCAAATCCAAGAAATAAAAAATTAAAAGCCCATTAATGACATGGAACTGCCACTCAGAGCTAATTTTGGTTAGAAGTATCTGGAGTCACAGCAAAAAAAGGATGTTTCTTAGGGGCTCAATACTGGAGAAAACTCATTTATTAAGTTTTGTGCAAGTAGTGTTGACACTGGCAGTTCAGGGTGGTCTGGCAAAAGATGGTCCTATGAAGCAGTTCAGGAGTATGTCAGGAAGTTACAAACACCCCTCTAGACCAGTAGGTCATAAATCACTGGAGGACCAGAGGTCATTGCAAAGGCAAAATGGAAGTTAGTTCTTATTTACCACCCTTACAATCCTCACCTAGAAAATGCAACTAGTGGGCAACACAAATATCCTATAAGTTGTTCGAAAGAAGAGAAATAGTTATTTAAAAGGCAGATAGCTTTCCTCCTTTTTTTAATAAACAGGAGAGGGGAAATAGATGGGAGCAAATAAATTCAATCTGCAATTCTTTGGTAGAAATTCCCATAGGACATATACCTCTGGTCCTGGTGGAGGACTGACTTGCTTGACCAAAGTCACTACCAGGCACCTGGGCAATTCTGCTTCTTTAGTTGGTAGAGGAGGCATTCTCAGCTTTCCATAAACTGGACGCCCTGCAAAACCTACATGGCAAACTGAACCTCATCACTGAGAGCCCATGTATGGGGCTGCTAATTTGGCCACACTACTCCAAGAGATAGTGAGATCAAGACGCATGATTCCAAGTACCAACAAAGAGAAAATGCCCTGAAAGATCTATACTGCTTTAAGAAATTATTTAAGGTATAATACTGTTGAAAGAAAAACAATGATTTTTTTTCAGACAAATATACCAGCTGTATTTTAATTTGGATGTTGGTTACACAAATGTATAATCTGTGAATTTTACTATGCAAATTAAAGCTCAATTTAAAATGTACCCCAACACCCCCTCAAAATCCCAGAACTTCCAAATCCAAATCAGGGCTGTTTTTCAAATTATTCTCTTTGGGAAGCTATCCATTTCTTTTAATGGTGTTGCTATTGTTCCAAAAATTAAAAATTCCTTTTATAGTTTTAGTACTGAGCAAAGACTGTTTGATTACCCACATTAACTATCGCACATGCCTGAAGAACCATAATTCTATCTTCTTTGAAATATATTTTTTGTTTCAAAATTAATATATGTTCATTGTAGAATATTTAGAAAAAATAATGAAAAAAGAAAATGTTTTTCAATTCTACTATGTAGAGATGAATTTTAACACTTGCAAATATATCCTTTTCTACATATTTATGTCCATATATATGTGTACATACAGAATTTTTCACATACTGTTTGATATTTTGATTTTTCCACTTTTATTCTATTTCATTTGATATTTTCCATAATATTATACGTTGTTGACTCCATAGTATTATGCTGAATGGTTATCCTAAAATCTATTTTTCTAATACTCTACTGTTTAGATTGTTTTTAACTTTTCACTATAATGAACAATATCATAAAAAAAATCTTTGCACATATATATAAGACTGTTTCCTTAGAATAAATTCCTGTCAGAAGAGTTACTATATCAATGTCTATATAAAAATTTAAGTGTTTTGGTATATGATGCCAATTACCTTCTAGAATGTTATATTGATTTTCCAATTTTCGCTCTATTCAACAACACACAAATTACTGCAGATACTCTGTAAAGTTAAATCCATTCAAAGCAAAAGAAATTTGTCAACAATGAGGATATTCAAAAGAATATAAAATTGTCAAATCTCCTAAAATTATAATTTCTGTAGCTTAATGAAGCAACTGAATTTCTTACTCCATTCTGAACTCTCATATTTAATACAGAGCCTACACAGATATATCACCCTCTAAAGATGGCATTAACATATATTCTCAAGAGTATCTCATTAAACTTCAAAAACCTCATATTACATGGACAGAGAGTAAATGCAGAACTATCAGTGGATCCGGAAGGAACTCTGATAGCAGGATATGTGTATGGAAATAGTCCAATTATCCAATATAATTTTTCAAAAGCAACTGTCTGTAATATACCAGTTACCATGTTCTGATCTAAGAATACTATGGCATTCTGAAGACATTTTGGAAATCAGATCTAGCAGACCTGACTTGCATCCTACTTCACTGGCTACTCTAGTTCTTCTTTGCTGGTTTCCTTTCAACTCCTCCAAACTCTTGAGATTGCAGTGTTCCAGAGTTCAGACTTTGGTCTCTTCTTTCCTATCTATATTCTCTCCCTAAGTGATTACATTCACTCTCATGCTTTAAAATGCCATTTACATGCTAAAGAACAAAAAATTTATATTTCTAGGCTAGACCACTCTTCCAAATTCCAGAATTATCTATCTAACTACCTGACACCTCCACTTGGATTTTTTATATATACTGAAGGAAGACAAATAGTTATTTAAAAGGCAGATAGCTCTCCTCCTTTTTTTTTTTAATAAAGAGGAGAAGGGAAATACACGGTGGCAAGTAAATTCAATCTGCAATTCTTTGGCAGAAATTCCCATAGGACCTATACCTCTGGCCCTGGTGGAGGACAGACCTGCTTGACTAAAATCACTACCAGGCATCTCAAACTTATGCAAAAACTAAGTGCTTGATCTCCCCCTGGCTCCTCTTCCCTGGCCCACACTGCCCCACCACTGACACCCTAAACCTGCTCTTTGAATAGTTTTCTCTATCTTAATTAATGCCAGCTTAATTTTCCCCATTGCTCAGACCTAAAACTTCGGAATATACTCAACTCTTCTTTCTTTTATATCCCACATCTAATTGGTCAGCAAATTATGTTGAAAATATGTCTAGGATCCTGCCACTTCTCATCACCTCCATTGCTAGTACCACCCTGTTTAAGCCACCATTTTATCTCATATGGTTTACTACATTAGCTTCCTACATAGTCTTCCTGCTTCTGCACTTGCGCCCCTTCAGTGCACTATTAACATAGCACCCAGTGTACTCATCTTAAAATTTAAGTCAGATACTGTGGTAAGCAGATTAAAGTATAATATACCCCTAAAGATGCCCACGTCCTAATTCCCACAACCTGTGAATATGTAATGTTACATGGCTAGGGCAAATTAAGGTTGCAGAGAAAATTAATGTTGCCAATCCACTAGTTTAGGAAGATTAGCCTGAATTAAACAGGTGGGTCCAATGTAATCACAGGGGTTCTTGTAAATGAAAGAAGGAGGCAGGAGAATCAGTGTCAGAATAATAAAGTGTGAGAAAGACTTGACTGGCCACTGCTGGCTATAAAGTTGAAGAAAAGAGTCATGAGCCAAAGAATGCAGGCAGCCCCTAGGTGGTAGAAAAGTCAAAGAAACACATTCTCCCCTAGAGCCTCGAGAAGGAATGCAGTCCTGCCCACACCTTGATTTTAGCCCACTGAGGCCCATTTCAGATTTCTGATCTCCAGATCTCAATTTTGACATCCAGATCTGACCTCTCAGATATAAATTTTGTTGTTTTAAGCCACCATGTATGTGGTGACTTGACAAAACAGCCATAGAAACTAATAACATATAAACAAACAGAGATATGTTAATGATACGTATAATATGATGTATATACATAATACATATGTATATACGTGATGGCACTTACTTGTCAAGTGTGGCATTATTACAGTACAGGCATAAAAGTAGCTAAAAACACTCATGTTAATACATGTCAGGATTACAGTTCTTAAAATTTATGGAGAAAAAAGCCACCCTATTAATAGTGTTGCTTAACCTCATTAAAAATCACAGTCAGGGTGATATAGTCTGCATAACATACAAACTTCTATTTCCACTTCCTTCCCCTTAAATTGTATAATATTAGTTTAATTACAGCAGAAATCACTCCTGGAGAGTGTTTATTATTAAGATATTCATTTCTGAGATCTTGAATCCAGTTTAAACTTCACAGTCAAGGAAATTGATTTTCCCCAGACCACTGTTATATTCAACTCTAAATCCCCTAATTAGAGAAGACAGGTAGGGGTGCTATTTTAGCAGGCTATTCATGTCTTACTCTATACTAAAATGAAACTTTAATTTGAGCTAGGCAAAACTGACATAGTAGAAGTAGAAAGTGCCCTAAAAATGTCTAGCAATGAGTACATAGTCTACTAGATACACAATGGGGTCTGTAAATAAGACTTCTCAGTCCGACTTTAAGGAGATAAGAACTGCTCTCTTTGGGCCCTTCTCACAGTTTTAAGCGCATTTAGAAAAGAAGAGTATGTGATTTTCTTTCATCATTTGTTTTCCCTTTCATTTCATCAAACTTGATCTCTTTCAAAAACTCCAAAAACATCCTGCTATGTAGGTCAATATATCAATAAAGATATCAAATTAGAAAGTCATAGTTCCTAATTCTCTACTATTAACAGCTGTTACTGGTAATGGTTAAAAGTAGAAGTGCCAAGGTTTTCATGAGAAAACCTGTTCCCTCAAGAGTTCATGCCCAAACCTGTGGCTTCAGAGCCCTCAAATCTAGCTTGAACAAACATCATAAATTGTGGTTGTCCATCCAAATCAAATGTTAAGTCTCTCCAGGCTCAAACTTCAATATCTTAGGAATATAAATTATCACAATCTAAGAGAACACAAATTAAGATAATTAATAGATAGCAAGAGCTTGCCATGAAAAAAGTTTTTAAAAATGATACATGGATGTGCTACAGCATATAATTTCTACCTCAATTTATGAAAGACGGAAAGAGAAGCATGTCTCAGTTAAGACTGTAATGCCTTTTTTATATCAGACTAGTTTTGAACTCTTTCATTTTTGTTTACTATTTTTAATTATAAAAATGAAGAGGAGAATAATATTTCTGTCCTCTGCGGGATTAATTAGACAGTATCTCAATTAATCTAATAAGAAGCCAGCAGCTTAAATATTTAAACTACCAAAGCAAAGAAGAAATTAAGTGGATGGAAAAGGAAATTCAAATAAACATATGCTGTTCTCTCCTTCTTTGGCAAAACAACTTAATAAATCTATTATAAACATAATATCCATGAAAGATGATACTGTATTAATTATTGAGAGAGTCACAATCATAGAGACACTAACAGTGAGAAGCCAGTTAATTTACAGTGGAAAAATGAATTAGGTTTCTTGGAAATCCCAGAGGACATTTGGTTTTCACTTTGCAAGGGCTGCAGCTGCTCCTAAATTAACTGGAGGGAAAGGGCCATGAGTCTACAGAGCAGTTCTCAATGGATACAGCTGTTATAAAGAGACAAGGACAACGACAGGCACCCTGTGGGCTCTCAGTACATTTTAACTTATGATGTCAATTCCTCTAGTGATTGTGGTGCTTGGAAAATGCTAAACAGCAGTGTAAAAAAGCATTTATTTTACATGAAAGAAAAATTATGCCAGACAATTATGGCTATTTTGGTAATCACAAAAAGGCACCAAAATACCCTAAAAGTTTGAAATATGACCCCCCAGTAGCCAATGCTATAAAGCACTATGCAAAAAAAAAAGCATTAATAGTAGTCATAGCAATAATCCTAATTCACTGTACTTTGATTCAATAATACCCACTATAATCAGAATTTAATAAAAGGAAAGTCTGATTTTGACTCTACGATTTTAGTGCCATAAGTTCTAAGTCAAAGAGATTTGAGGAGCAAAGAAGAGAGATGAACTGGAGAATTTATCTGGGTCGGGCTTGGAGCTTGACAATGGAAGTCTACAGGAAGGAGAGTAAGCCTAGTGAAGTGGTTCAGCAAAGATGCTGAGGAGACTTTGGCAATCACTAAAAGACCTTTTCTTCCATTCTGTCTCAAAAGAACACAGTAGAACAAGAAACCCAATGTGTGTATACCAGAAGCAAATGATCAAACCACATGGAAAATACTACATCTCAATCTGGTTACTATCTTCTAAATTAAAACTGAAAATCTGGAGCTAATCTAGAAAAGGTCAGCCGGAGGATTTGGGAATACAGAAAACACATCACAAGAAAAATGATGGCAGGCCTAAAGACATTGCAGGGAGAATTTGTCTTCAACTATGTGAAGTCTATCACAGGAAAGAGAAATTAACTTGTTCTGTGTAGCTCCAGATGGCAAGTGCAGACCCTGTGGACAGAGGCTACGGAAAGGTAGATTTGTGTTTCTATCAAGAATGCCTGCAGGATGCTAGGTTCCTGTTCTAGGAAGCATTCAAGCAGCATGAAGCTCACATGTCAGCAGTGATGTTACACTAGATGGTGTTTAAAGTCCTAACACTAAAATTCATTAAGACCAAATTATCAACATTCCTTGAACCTCTAATAGAGTTATCTTAGATAAAACTCAAATAAATCACTATCATAAAGGGTTCCAGGGCCTAAAAAGAAGATGGTTTTACAATTTATATTAATACACAAGAGTAAAAGTTTAAAAATAATAATTAATCAGTCATATGTATAACTTAGACAATCCCAAAATGGGATAGGAGACCATTTTGTGTTAGTGCAGGGATTTCAATGTTGTTGACTTTTCTCTGATGGATAAATAAGCTGAAAGTGCTCAGGACCAAGAGGTTTCCATGGTTAAAGTTATTACTTCTATCCACAGACTACCTCTTTGCAACCACTAAAAGCTTTCTCGAAATGTTTTGGCCAATCACTGCTCCCAACCTATTTTTCTTGGGGCTCAATTCAGGTCGACTGTGTTTTTATTTTTGGTCATATGTCTGTAAGAACTGAAGTATTTGTATAGTTTTTGTTAAATGTTTAACAGACTAAGTTGCATTTATAACTAAATATCCCTTTGTCATTCTTAAGAAAATAAGTATAAAAACAATTTTGGATTAAAAACAAATTTGACTTTAAAAATTATTTTCCTTGATATAAAATACCTCAAGAATTTGAAAATCTGGTTCTCCTTTAGTGATAGCAGAGTCGTTTGCTTTGTTGTCACTAAAGAAGACAAATGCCACCCAAGATGGCGAACACTAAAGTGAGACATATAATACATGCCCATTATTTCTTACTCCTGTTTTAATATATTGTTTTAGTTTGACAATTTTTACCATTCACCAAGATAATTTTTGAGAGCAAAAGAAACCAGAATGGGGATGTCATCTGATTCTTGTAAAGGGCTGTTTATAACCTAAACACATGCAATTTTAATAGAATGGCCACAGACCAAAATGTCAATTAAAAAAATGGTTCTAGAATACAGCTAATTGTACAATTCTAGACTTTCCTGTGTCTTACATCAATAAAAACTAAATGCTGTCACCTAACTAAAATGCTCATTATGTTTTCATTAAAGTTTCTGAAGCGCCACACTTCAAAGAACATTCTGCATTATCTAAATATAGCATAGAAGGTGTTACAGCTATTGATGTTACCTGGAATTTAGTGATTTTGTTTATTTAAATGACAATAACAACAAGGAAGTATATTAAAAATAATCTTATGATTACACCAATTCATGTGAGGGTTAGAATTAATGCATATTCTAAGGAAGAAAATTAGAAAATCAAGAAGTTCCTTAAGAATGGCATTCTTGGGCCTGTTACATATGCCAGCCACACTGAATGTGACTATATCAAAGTATCAATAATTTTGCCTAATTCATGCGGTTCTGTGACTTTCTGATTTCTACTAGTCCCAATACTGCTGTTTTTAAACTATGGTTTTCATTTTGCCACCACAAATCTGTGGCTTTCTGATTTCTACTAACCCCAATCCTGCTCTATTTTTAAGCTATGGTTTTCATTTGCCACCACATAGGCACATAAGGTGCGTGATGGCATCTTTGTTCCATGTTTATGATCATTTGTTGGTGTAGGACTCTGGAAGAACATTTCATGTTAATGCCCTGAGCCACCTGCCACAGAAAATCACAGATTATGCTGTGATATTCCTAATGGAAGTCTTGATGCTGAAAGAATTTGACTAAAGACTCTGACTAAAGACTCGAGGCTGATAGAACAGACCAGTTACAGTGTGGGATAACAGACTGATACACCCCTTTAAAAAGGATGGTGAATACAAAAAAGACTGTCAATGGAGTACTGGTATTTGACCCATGTTCCACTGAGCATTAGGGCTCTGTAGAACTGTCTAATACACAAATTAAATACCTGATAGACAGGGTAGAAAAGGTAATCTGTTTCATTTTAAGTGTTCATACTGAGGGATTGCTAGTGGCTCCGTGAGGTATGGAAAGAGACTGGGTCATTGACCATGGGCCTCAGCAAAGGTAATGGGAGCCAGAACGAGTGGAATCGAAGTGTAAGTGTAAAGGAGAAAGACTGCAGTGGAATAAACTTATCAGAAAAGGACTGTGATAAGTTTAATTTGATAAAGAAAAACCTGGAGTGCCACATGCAATGGACATCTTTCTTTGTCACACCAGATTCATCCTCTATCCCCCTCTACCACACTCTCTGCCTTAGGAAGTTAACCTGTGTGGTCGACTATGGGCTCCCCAGTCTCACTGTCTGGGACACCACATCTTCTGTGGTTTCCATATACTCTAACCTCACCTTCATAAATAGTGCCTTTATTAAATCCTCAAATTACCTTAATTTGAGCATACCATTTGCTTCCTGCTGGGATCTTGACTCATACACCAAATATGACTTAAAATTTTGATCAGACCATGTGTGGTGGCTAAGATCTGTAATCCCACTACTTTGTGAGGCTGAGGCAGGACGACTGTTTGAACCTAGGAGTTCAAGACTAGCCTGGGCGACACAGTAACACCCCATCTCTACAAAAATAAAAATAAAAAATTTTCCAGGCCTGGTGGAGTGTGACTGTAGTTCCAGCTACTCGGAAGACAGGAGAGAGGATCGCTTGATCCCAGGTGGTTGAGGCTGCAGTAAGCCATGATTACTCCACCGCACTCCAGCTTGGGTTACTGAATAAGACCTCATCTCATTTAAAAAAAATAAAGGAGAAGAAAAAAGATTTTGATCTTGGGTGGCCCTAAGGATAGGTGATGTTATTAGCTGAGATAAGGAATATAAGGAGCCAGATGTGGTGGCTCATGCCTGTCATAAATAATGCCTTTATCAAAACCTCACATTATCTTAACTTGAGCATATCCTTTGCTTCCTGATGGAATCCTGACTCATACACCAAATATGACTTTAAAATTTTGATCAGACCAGGTGCAGTGGCTCATGCCCATAATCCCAGCACTTTGGAAGGCTGAGTTGGGAGGATCACTCAAGGCCAGGAGTTCTGAGGTGGGAGGATCACTTGAGGCCAGGAGTTTGAGATCAAGCTAGGTAACACAGTGAAACCCCGTCTCTCTCTCCCACCCCTAGCCACCCCCCCAAAAAAAAGAAATACAGAGAAATGAGTAAGTTCAATTTTGACAAGAAAGTCAACCATGTTTTGAATTTGCCTTTGCTGTATGACAATTGTGAATCATCCACAAAGAGAGACTGGCAGATGTGATATGATGGAGATAATTATTTTTTGCTAATTTGTAAGGTTCAATCATTGCTATAAGCCTAGAAGAGTATAGGAAATGGAGCCAGAAAACTCCTTAAATTTATAAAGTACTAGAGCTCAAAAGGCTGTTAATTGTCATCTAGCCAAACTTTCCCTTTATAGGTGAGGTAACTGAAGTTTGTAGATAGCTATCAAAGAGCACATTGTTAGTCAGTGGTAGTGCTGGCACTAGAATCTACAGGTCCTGGATTCTCACACATTGTGCTCTTCCCACAAAATGCAGCACTAATCTGTACTTGACTGGTTTCCACTAGTCAAGAAGTATTGAGTACTTAGTCTGTATCCGACCTTGTGCTGGTTGATCTGACTAATAAAAGAGAAGTCTAAGTGTTTTAAAGTAGTTTAAAGTCTTAACAACTCATACAAATGTTTAAAAATGAGAGAACAAAAGAGAAATGACTGTGTAAGCTAAAGGAGAATGAGACATTTTGCATGGCAAGAACATTGTCACTCAACATGAGCATTTTGAGTCTTTAGAGGTTTCATGTGAATTGTTGGTGTGAGGAAGGAACTAAAAATAGCCTTGATTGTTTCCACAGCTATAAAAGCCTGTCTTATGTATAATGTTTAAGCATATGTTTTAATTATAAAACACTATTTAAGAATATATATTAGAATCTATACACCTGTCTGCACCTACCTACAGAAACCACATTTTAAAATGTCAGCTTAAATTAAAACATATTTTGGCGAATGAGAGATAAAAATGATATTCTTGGCCAGGTGCAGTGGCTCACGCCTGTAATACCAGCACTTTGGGAGGGCAAGGCGGACAGATCACTTGAGGTCAGGAGCTCAAGACCAGCCTAGCCAACATGGTGAAACCCAGTCTCTACTAAAAAAACAACAACAAAAAAATACAAAATATGCTGGGCATGGTGGTGTACACCTGTAAACCCAGCTACTCAGGAGACTGATGCAGGAGAATTGCTTGAACCCAGGAGGCGGAGGTTACAGTGACCCAAGGTCATGCCACTGCACTCCAGCCTAGGCAACAGAGCGAGACTCTGTCAAAAAAAATGATGTTCTTAATATTCATTTATGTATGCATATGTATTTATGTATATATTATTACTTAGCTGTAAATGTGAAATGAGTTGGGGTATAAGGGAGGATGACAGACTGAAAACCTACACAGTTACACACTGACCTTTAGAAATCACACATACTTTCTCCTCTCTGTGTATTTTATAATTTGGTATATACAATTCTAAACTATGCTGAGAACTTTCTTTAAAAGAATTGTAACTAGAATGCTATCATTATTCTAGTTTTACATTGTCATGACATTCTTAGCAATATTTATCAATGACTGAGAAATTACCTGCTTAGGCTCTTATGAGGGGAGAATTTCTTTAAGTCTGAAGAGTTATCCTCAACTTGGGTGTTACTGCCAGAAGGAAAAGGTTTTGGATACATAGAAAGTTAAAATGACCATTCTATTTAGTCTGGGAAATGATATCAGCAAGATGGCAGACTAAGACTTTCCAATGGTCATTGCCCTGCAGAAACATAAATTTGAACAACTAGGCACTGATTAAAATACTTTCACAAGAGCTAAGGGAACAGATTAACATAGAAATAAGAAAAGACACATTGAAGAAGGTAGGAAGGACAGTTTTACACTCTCCACATTACCCCTTCTTCAACCTCAGGCAACACATCCTGGAGAGGGAAACCCTCTGTTTGAGAGGAGAGGGAAATGAGTACCAGTCTTTGCCTTGGACACCAACACCAGGTCTGTCCCGGTAAAACCCAAATGAAGGGTAGGCCCCCACAACCCCAGACTCTAGTTGGTAGAGAACCCCAGACTCTAGGATCAACCACAGACTGATCCGGGTTGCCCCCACACCAGGCTGGCTCAGCAATCCCATGCTCCTGGCCTGCTCTGGGGACTTGGTCTTTGGGCCCACCCCACTGCCAGGCCAAACCCAGTGGCCCTAGGCTCCAGATGAGCCCCAGGTCCAGGGTAACCCCAGGTATAATAGGCTCTGAACACCCCCAGCACCAGGCCAGACTCTATGGCCCTAGTCCTCAGGTCACCAGCTGCAGACCCAGCCTCCAGACCAGTCCCTGCCAATACAGGCTCCAGGCCTGTCCAGCATCACATCAGCCCCTGTGGCCTCAGGCTCCAGGCCCACCCCAGGTTCCAGACTAGTGTAGAGTGAGGTCAGCCCAGAGAGCCCCAGACTTCAGGCCTGCTGCAGAACCATGCCAGCACCCCTGGCCTTAGGCACCAGGTAAGTACCATGCATATAGGCTCCAGGCTTGCCCAGTACCAGGTCAGTCCCTGTGGCTCCACCCTCCAGGCTAGACCCTTAAGCCCCACACTCCAGCAGATCTAGGATCCAGGCCCACTTCAGCAGACCCATGTTTCAGGACAGCCTCTGTGGTTGCATGACCCACAATAGCCCTCACAGACTTAGTCTCCAGGCAAGCACCCATACAACCAGCTTCCAGGCTGGCCCCCACAGCCACAGGCACCAGACCAGTCACTTTGGCTTCAGGCATTAGGCCAGCCTCTATGATCCCAAACTCTACACCTACCCCAGCACCAAGCCAGCCTCAGGCTCTAGGCTGGTACCCATGGAGCCAGGCTCTAGTAGACACAGGGTCCACACCCACCCCACTACATCCTGAAGCCAGGAAGACTCCTTGAACCAAGGCTCCTGGACCACTCCTACAGACTCAAGTTCTAGGCCAGCCCTCATGGACCCAGGCCCCAGGCCTGCCCTCAAGGACTTAGGCTCCAGTTCCAAACCATGGACCCAGGTGCCAGGTGCACTCACCTGTTTACACAAGAACCAGGTCAGCCTAACTGGGAAGTCCTGCAGCAAGCCTGCCTGTGGAACACAACAGAAAACCTGCCATAATCTCTAGACAGGCTGATTGGTGAAAAACTTTTCCAGACAAAGACATTCTGCAAGGACTGAAATTAGTCTCTATGTCTTCAAATGCACAGAAACAAATCAGGAGCTACAAGACCAAGAACAATCAAGGAAACATGACACCACTAAAGGAAAAAATAAAGCCCCAGTAATCATCCCTCAAAAATGAAGATATATGAACTATCGAAGAATTCAAAATAATTATTTTAAGGAAGCCCAGCAAACTTTCTAAAAAGACAGGATGCTACAAAATCAAGAAAACAATAAATGACCAAAACTAGAAATGTAACAGAGACTGAAATTACTTACATTCAAAATTTTAAATGAAATTATTAAAAGAAAAACAAATAGAAATTCTGGAGCCAAAAAATATAATTAAGAAAATTAAGAAATGCAATAAAGAGCATCAACAGCAGAACTGATCAAGCAGAAGAATCTGTGAACTTAAAGACAAGTTATTTGAAAATATATAGTCAGTAGAGAAAAAAAACAATAAAAAGAATGAAGAAAGTTTATAAGATTTATGTGACAGGATCAAAAGAACAAATATTCAAGTTATAGGAGAGCAAGAAGAAAAAGAGAGAGACAAAGGGGTAGGAAGTTTATTTAAAGAAATAATAGCAGAAAATATTTCAAATCTAGGGAAATATAAATATCTAGCTATAGGAAGGTCAAAGGTCTTCAATCAGATTCAACATAAAAATACTATATCAAGATATAATGAAATTGACAAAAAATATAATACAAAGAGAAAATCTTGAAGCAGCAAGAGAAAAGAAGCAAATCACATACAAGAGAGTTCCAACAATACTAGCAGTGTATTTTGCACCAAAAGCTTTACAATCCAGGAGAGACTGGGATGATATATTCAAAGAGCTGAAGAAGGATTCTGATGCAAGATGGCTGACTACAGACACCTACTCTTTCCAGAAAGAAGAACCAAAATTATGACTAGAGAAACATACCTCGAATAGAACACATAGGAGAGACCACAAGAGTCCAAGAAGGAACTCACAGAAAACACCTGAGGCACAGATAAGGAAGAAAGCAAGTGGCTAGAAAGACTAGAGGGGTTCCATATTGCAGGGAAAGGGTAATTAAGAGAACTTCAGTGGTCCACATCCCTTACACAGTCGGCTGCAATCTGAAATACAGAAGAGCTCCTCTACCCACATGAACACTGACATTAGCAAGGGTGGTGGTTTAGAAACCCAGTGGGGCAGTACACCAGACTGGGAATTTGCACTGGGTCACTCACACCCCACTAAGACCTGAGCAGCTATGGCAGGGCACCATTTTGGGAGCACAGCCATTACTGGTGAAGCAATCACACAAAAGAGTAAGAAAAAGGACTCAAATAGTACCACTAACAGAAATCCCTTGGCTGGGCGCGGTGGCTCACGCCTGTAATCCCAGCACTTTGGGAGGCCAAGGCAGGTGGATCACGAGATCAGGAGATCGAGACCATCCTGGCTAACACGGTGAAACCTCATCTCTACTAAAAATACAAAAAAAATTAGCCGGGCGTGGTGGCGGGTGCCTATAGTCCCAGCTACTCGAGAGGCTGAGGCAGGAGAATGGCGTGAACCCGGGAGGCAGAGCTTGCAGTGAGCCAAGATCATGCCACTGCACTCCAGCCTGGGTGACAGAGCGAGACTCCATCTCAAAAAAAAAAAAAAAAAAAAAAAAAAAAAAAAAGAAATCCCCCAAACCACAAATAATAAGAGAAAAAGAAAGGAAGAAAGAATATACAAAACAACAGAAAACTATTAGTAATATGACAGAAATGAAGCCTCACATATAAATAATAACTTTAAATATTAACAGATTAAATTCTACACTTAAAAGATATAGAACTGCTGACTGGACTTACAAAAGTAGCATCTAACTATATGCTACTTATAAGAAACTCACCTTACCAGTAAGGACATATAGACTGAAACTAAAGGGATGGAAAAAGATATTCCATGCAAATGAAAACCAGAAGTGAGCAAGAGTAGCTATACTTACGTAAGATAAAACAGACTTTGAGTCAAGAACAGTTTTAAAAAAGTCATTTTATATGAAATAAAGCAACCAATCCAGGAAGAGGATATAACAATTCTAAAAATAGATGCACCCAACAATGGAGCACCCAGATTCATAAAGCAAATATTACTAGACCTGAAAAGACGGAATGCAATACAATAACAGTAGAAGATTTTAACACCCCGTTGTCAGCATTAAATAGATAATCTAGATTTAAAAAATCAACAAAGAAACACCGATTTAAACTGAACTTTAGACCAAATGAACCTAACAGACATTTACAGAACATTCTACCTAACAACTGCAGAATATATATTTCTTTCATCAGCACATGGAATGTTATCCAGGACTGACCATAGATTAGGCCACCAACAATTTCTAAAAATTTTCACAAAATGAAAATCATATCAACTATATTCTCAGACCACAATGGAATAAAACTAGAAATAAATACAAATATAAACTTCGGAAATTTATAAAAATATATAGAAATTAAACGTGCTTCTGAATGACCTTTGAGTCAACAAAGAAATTAAGATGAAAATCAAAAAAATTCTTGAAACAACTGAAAATAAAAACCTAATATACCCAAACCTGTGGAATTCAGCAAAACAGTATGAAGAAGGAAGTTTACAGTAATAAATAAATAAGTAGAAAGATTACAAGTTAACAATCTAAAAATGCACATCAAGGAAACAGAAAACCATGAACAAACCAAATCCACAACTATCAGGAAAAAAAGAAATAATAAAGATCAGAGCAGAACTAACAAATACAGACTAAAAAAATACAAAGAATCAATGAAACAAAAAGTTGGTTCTTCAAAAAATATACACAGCCAATAAACTGCTAGCTAGACTAAACAAGAAAAAAAGAAAGAAGACATCCAAGTAAAATCAGAAATGAAAAAGGACACATTACAACTCATACAACAAAAATACAAAGATCGTGAGAGACTATTATGAACAAGTATAGAATAATAAACTAGAAAACCTAGAGGAAATGGATAAATTCCTGGAAACATGCCAATTAAAATTGAATCAGTAAGAAATAGAAAATCTCAAAAGATCCATCATTAGTAGTGATTTTGAATCAGTAATAAAATGTCTCCCAATAACGAAAATCCCAGGACTAGATAGATTCACTGTGGAGTTCTACCAAAAACAAAGAACTAACCAATCCTCCTCAAACTATTCCACACAATTGAAGAGGAGGGAATTTTTCTGTATTAGTCAATTATCGCATTACTTTAAAGAATTACCTGAGAATGGGTAATTTATAAAGAAAAGAATTTTAATTGGCTCACAGTTCTGCAGACTGTACAGGAAGCATGGCTGGGGAGGCCTCAGGAAACTTACAATCATAATGGAAGGCAAACGGGAAGCAGACATGTCCTACATGGCTGCAGCAGGAGGAAGAGGGTGAAGGGGGAGGTTCTACACATTTTTAAATGACCAGATCTTGTGAGAACTCACTATCATGAGAGCAGCAAGGGGGAAATTTGCTCCCATAATCCAACCCCACCTCTGACACTGGAGATTACAATTTGACGTGAGACATGGGTGGGGACATAAATCCAAACCATATCATCCCCTAATACTTTCTATGAGGCTAATATCACCCTGATACCAAAAACAGACAAGAATAGAAAAAAAGACAAATACAGGTCAATACTTCTGATAAGCACAGATGCAGAAATTCTCAACAAAATACCAGCAACCCAAATCCAACAGTACATCTACAAGATAATATACCACAATTAAGTGGGATTTATCCCAGGGATGCAGGGATAGCTCAGCACAATAAATGCAAATCAATAAATGTGACATCACATCAACAGTATAAAGAACAAAAATCATACAGTCATCTCAATCAATGCAGAAAAACAATATGATAAAATACAACATCCTTTCATGATAAAAACTCTCAATAAACTAGGAATAGAAGGAACATACCTACCTCAAAATAATAAAGGCCTTGTACAACAAACCCACCACTAATGTCATACTGAATGAGGACAAGTTGAAAGCCCTTCCTCTAAGAACTGGAAGAAGACAAGGATATCCACTTTCACAACTCCTATTCAACACAGTCTGGAAGTCCTAACTGAAGCAACCAGGTAAGAGAAAGAAATAAAAGACATCCAAATTGGAAAAGGGGAAGTTAAATTGTGCCTCTTTGCTGACGATACAGTCTTACATCTAATAAAACCCCAAAACTCTATCAAAAATCTCTTAGATTTGATTAAAAAAATTAGTACAGTTGCAGGATACAAAATCAACACACAAAACCCAGTCGCATTTCTATACACCAAGATCTAGCCAAGAAAATAATTTAAAAGGTAATTGCATTTACAAGAGATACAATACAATAAAATAAAATACCTAGGAATAAATTTAACCAAGGGGGTGAAACATCTCTAGAAAGAAAACTGCACAACACTGATGAAATGAAGAGGCCACAAATAGAAAAACTTCCCACACTCATGGATCAGAAGCATTAATACCATTAAAATGACCATAATGTACAAAGCAGTCTGCAGATTCAATGCGATCTGTTTCAAAATACTGCCACCTTCACAGAATTAGAAAAAAAAATCCTATTTAATAAAACTCATATAGAACCACAAAGAAGCCTGAATAGCCAAAGCAATCCTGAGCAGCAAAAAGAACAAAGCTGGAGGCATCACATTATCTGACTTCAAGATATATTACAATGCTGTAGTAACCACATCAGCATAGTATTGCTATAAAAATAGACACGTAGACCAACAGAACGGAGTAGATAATCCAGAAATAAAGATACACTTACAGCTAACTGATCCTCAAAAAAGCTGACAAGAACTTACATTGGGTAAAGTATACCCTCTTTGATAAATGGTGCTGGGAAAATTGGATACCCACATCCAGAAGAATACAACTGGACTCCTACCTCACCATATGCAAACATCAACTCAACATTGATTAAAGACTTATATGTAAGACCCAAAACTATAAAAATACTGGAAGAAAACCGAGGGAAAATTCTCCTGGACATTGGTGTAGACAAATAATTTATGATTAAGATCTGAAATTCATTGGCAACCAAACAAAAATAGACAAGTGGGATTTAAACCAAAAAGCTTCTGCACAACAAAAGAAATAATCTACACAATGAAGAGACAACCTATGGAATGAGAAAATATATTTGCAAATTATTCATCCAACAAGGGACTAACCTTAGAATATACAAGGTACTTAACTCAAGAAAAGAAAAACAAATAATTCCATTTAAGTGGGCAAAGGACACGAATAGACATTTCTCAAAAGAAGACACAGTAACAGCCAACAGGTATATGAAAAAATGCTCAGCATCACTAATCATCAGAGAAATGCAAATCAAAACTACAATGAGATATCATCTTACCCCAGTCAGAGTAGCTATTACTAAAAAGACCAAAAATAAGATGTTGACAAGGATGCAGAGAAAGAGGAAATGTTTTATATGGTTGGTAGAAATGTTTTATATGGTTGGTAGACTGTGGTAGACTACCACAGTCACTATGGAAACACTATTGAGATTTCCCAAAAACCTCAAAACAGAATTGCCACTTGATCCAGCAAACGCAGTACTGGGAATCTACCCGAAGGAAAGGAAATCACTATATCAAAGGGATAGGAAATCTGCACTCACGTGTTTACCGCAGCACCATTCACAATAGCAAAGGTATGGGATCAAACTATGTGTCCATCAACAGATAAATGGATAAAGAAAATGTGACATATACATATATAATGGAAAACTATGTAGCCATAAAAAGAATTAAATAATGTCATTTTCAGCAACATGGATAAAACCGAAGGTCATTGTGTTTAGTGAAATAAGTCAGGCACGGAAAGACATATAGTGCATGTTATCACTCATATGTGGAAGCTAAAAAATTTGATCACATTGAGGTAGGGAGTGGAAAGACAGTTAACAGAATCTGGGAAGGGTGATGGGGGTAGGGCAGAGAATAAATTTGGTTATAGGTATAATGATACAGACAGAAGGATCAAATTCAATGTTTGATAAAAGGTTAGAGTGACTATACTTAACAAAAATGTATTGAAAATGGGTGATAGATACCCTTAATACCCTTATAACCTTTTGTTATACACATATAACAAAATCTCACACATACCCCATAAATTTGTGCAATAAATAAAATAAAATAGACCAAAAGTATCAAAGGCCCAGATCAAAGTTGTATTTTTTAAGTTTAGAGAAAATTAGCACTCAGCTTTATTTACATTCTAATAAATACTAAAGACACCTTAAAAAATGAAAAATAAAAGACAAATCTCCAAAATAAAACAAAAAAAAGAGCATAAGGGGAAAACATTGCCAAAAAAGAATACCATCTATCCTCCAAAAATGAAGGAGAGATACTTTCCCAGACAAATAAATGCTGAGCAAGTTCACTGCCACCAGACCTGTATTACAAGAAATGCTAAAGAGAATTCTTCAGGGTAAAAGAAGAGGATTCTAATTAGTAACTGAAAAACATTTGAAAGTATAAAACTCACTGATAAAAGTAAGTGTATAGTTAAGTTCAGAAAATTAATACTGTAATTGTAAGGTGTAAATTACTTATATATTTGATATAAAGGATAAAGACAAAACTATTTAAAATGATAATTGCTATAATAATTTGTTCAGGGATATATAACATTAAAAGATATACATTGTAAAATCCAAAACATAAAAAAATTATTGGGGGAGATATAAAGTAAAAGTACAAAATTGTTTTATGCAATGAAAGGTAAGTTGTTATCATCTTAAAATAGCCTGTTATAATTGTAAGATGTTTTATGTAAGCCTCATGGTAACCACAAAGCAAAAATCTCTAGAAGACACACAAAAGATAAAAAGTAAGAAATCAAAACACAGTGGAAAAAATTATCTAATCACAAAGGAAAACAACAAAAGAGGAAGGAAAGAACGAAGAATCTACAAATTAACCAGAAAATAATTAACAAAATGGTAGTGGAAAGTCTGTACCTATAAAAGTTACCTTGAATGTAAATGGGTTAAATTCTCCACTAAAAAGACAGAATGGCTGAATGGATTATTTTTTTAAGATCCAACTATATGCTGCCTAAAAGAGACTCATTTCACCTCTGAGGACACACGTAGTTTAAAACTGAAAGGATGCAACCAAAAGAAAACAAGGATGTCTGTATTTGCATCAGATAAAATAAATTGTAAGTAAAAAAAAACAAGACAAAGAAAGTCATCATATAATGATAAAGGGATCAATTCATAAGAAGACATAAAAATTTTCATTTCAGACTTCATTAAGATGGCCGACTAGAATTGCCTGGCACTCATCCACTCCACAAAAAGGGACCAAAATAGCAAATAAATAATTACATTTACATTAGAGTGATAGAAATTATGTTGGGAGAGATCCGGAGAAGCAGTGAAATCCCTATGGAGTGTGAAAGCCCAGGATAGACAAAGGAAAAGGCATCCTTCTGCTTCGTCACACTATCTTCTTGCTGGGATTGGCTCAGAATCAAGGAAGATTTATTATTATGACAAAAAGACAAACTGGAGGCCCCCAGAAATCCCCATAGCCACCAGAGATACCAGAAGTCCTTGCTACAGGAGAGTCCCCTGTCCTCACAAGTCCAAAATTCAGATTAGGGAGTTTCTAGGAGTTTACACAGCTGCATTGCCCCAGAGTAGGAGCTCAGGTTGTATATACTCTACCCTGCAAACTAAGGTGCTATGGCATGGCACCATCTTTAAACTGGACTAACTGTTAGAGGGAATCCTGTCCTGGGACCCAGAAGCCACTGCTTCTCTCCATCCTTGAGGCCTCACCCTCATTTCACCATGTTTACACAGGTGCCTGCAGCACCACAACCCCAGGTGTACAAAGCATAGAACCAACAGTACAACTAAGAACCCATTGCTCAAACCCATGGGGCATCTTCACCCATGAGGAACAAGAGGACCTGCAAAGCAGGAAAGTCACTGAACAGCTAGCCAGTCTGCCATGCTCCTTACCCAAGAGGCTACCTGGTGGCACCCCTGGTCCCCAAACCCCAGATTGCTGGCCACACAGCCTGCTGACCCATCATGCACAAATGTTCCCAGTTCTGAAACTGGCCCAGGCATTCTAAAGAGCCTAGCAAAACCACACTACCACCATCACAAACCCCCATGAAGTAGGCCACTAAGGCAATCACAGATTGCTTACAAAAATTAAGCTGAAGAAAATGTATGGCAACCATGCTACTGAGTCTACCCAGAATGAAAGCCAATATACTATACCAAATGACACCCTAAGACCCATTTACAGAAAAAAAAAAATCCCTCCCTACAAAAGATACTCCATGAATTTTAAAAAATGACTATTTCACTAGATGTGTGATATCAACATAGAGACACAAGAAATATAAAAAGGCTAGTTTGACTTCCTCTCTTCCAATTTGAATAGCCTTTATTTCTTTCTCTTGCCTGATTGCCCTGGCCAGAACTTCCAATACTATGTTGAATAAGAATGGTGAGACAGGGCATCTTTGTCTTGTACTGGTTTTCAAGGAGAATGCTTACAGCCTTTGCCCATTCAGTATAATATTGGCTGTGGGTTTGTCATACATGGCTGTCATTATTTTGAGGTATCTTCCTTTAATAACTAGTTTATTGAGAGTTTTTAACATAAACGAATGTTGAATTTTATCAGAGGCCTTTTCTGCATCTCTTGAGATAATCACATGGTTTTTTCCTTAGTTCTGGTTGTGTGATGAATCACATTTCTTGATTTGTATATGTTGAACCAACCTTGCATCCCAGAGATGAAGCCTACTTGATCGTGGTGGATAAGCTGGACGTGCTGCTGGATTTGGTTTGCCAGCATTTTGTTGAAGATTTTTGCATCAATGTTCATCAAGGATACTGGCTAAACTTCTCATTTTTTGTTGTATCTCTGCCAGGTTTTGGTATAAGAATGAAGCTGGACTCATACAGTCAATTAGGGAGAAGTCTCTCCTTTTAATTTATGGAATAGTTTCAGTAGAAATGATACCAGCTCTTCTTTGTACATCTGGTAGAATTCAGCTGTGAATCCATCTGGTCCTGGGCTTTTTCGGGTTGTTGGGCTACTTATTACTGCCTCAATTTCAGAACTCATTATTGGTCTATTCAGGGATTCAACTTTCTCCTGGTTCAGTCTTGGGAAGGTGTATGTGTCCAGGAATTTATCCATTTGTTCTGGACTTCCTAGTGTATGTGCATAGAGGTGTTTATATTATAAACACTATTAAGGGATAATATTCTCTAATGGTTGTTTGTATTTCAGTGGGGTCAGTTGTGATATCCCCCTGTATCATTTCTGCTTGTGTTTATTTGAGTCTTCTCTCTTATCTTCTTTATTAGTCTAGATAGTGGCCTATGTATTTTATTAATTTTTTCAAAAAACCAGCTCCTGGATTTGTTGATCTTTTGAAGGGTTTTTCATGTCTCTACCTCATTCAGTTCAGCTCTGATCTTGGTTTTTCTTGTCTTCTGCTAGCTTTCGGGTTTGTTTGCTCTTGGTTCTCCAGTTCTTTTAGCTGTGATGTTAGCTTGTTAACTTGAGATCTTTCTAGCTTTTTGATGTGGGCTTTTAGTGCTATAAAGTTCCCTCTTAACACTGTTTTAGCTACATCCTAGTGATTCTGGTACATTGTCTCTTTGTTCTGATTAGTTTCAAAGAACTTCCTGATTTGTGCCTTAATTTCATTATTTTCCCAAAAGTCATTCAGGAGCAAGTTGTTCAATTTCCATGTTTTATGGTTTTGAGTGAATTTCTTAATCCTGAGTTCTAATTTGATTACACTGTGGTCCGAGGGACTGTTATGATTTCAGTTCTTTTGCATCTGCTGAAGAGTGTTTAACTTCCGATTATGTGATCAATTTTAAAGTAAGTGCTGTGTGGTGATGAGAAGAAAGTATATTCTGTTGTTTTGGGGCAGAGAGTTCTGTAGATATCTATCAAGTCTACCTGATGCAGAGCTGAGTTCAGGTCTTGAATACCTTTGTTAATTTTCTCTCTTGATGATATGTATAATATTGTCAGTGGGGTATTAAAGTCTTGCACCATTATTGTGTGGGAGTCTAAGTCACTTTGACGGTCTCTAATAACTTGCTTTTTAAATCTTGGTGCTCCCTTATTGGAAGCATTTCTATTTAGGATAGTTAGCTCTTCTTGTTGAACTGAACCCTTTACCATTATGTAATACCTTTTGTCTTTTTTCATCTTTGTTGGTTTGAAGTCTGTTTTGTCAGAAACTAGGATTGCAACCCAAGCTTTTTTTCTGTTTTCCATTTGTTTGGTAAATTTTCCTCCATCCTTTTATTTTAAGCCTATGTGTGTCTTTGCATGTGAGATTGGTCTCTTGAAGACAGAATACAAATGAGTCTTGGTTTGTTATGCAGCTTTCCACTCTGTGTCTTTTAACTGGGGCATTTAGCCCATTTACATGTAAAGTTAGAATTGTTATGTATGGATTTGATCCTGTCATCATGATATTAGCTGGTTATTTTGCAGACTTGTTTATGTGGTCGCCTTATGGTGTCACTGGTCTGTGTACTTCAGTGTGTTTTTGTAGTGGCTGGTAAGGGTTTCTCCTTTCCATATTTAGTGCTTCCTTCAAGAGCTCTTGTAAAGCAGGTCTGGTCATGACGAATTTCCTCAGCATTTGCTTGTCTGAAAATAATTTGATTTCTCCTTTGCTTATGAAGCTTAGTTTGGTGAGATACAATATTCTAGGTTCAATTTTCTTTTCTTTAAGATGTTAAATATTGGCCCCCAATCTCTTCTGGCTCATAGGATTTCCACTGAGAGGCCCACTGTTGGTCTCATGGGCTTCCCTTTGTAGGTGATCTTGCCTTTCTCTCTGGCTGCCCTAAACATTTTTTCTTTTCTTTCAACCTTGGAGAATCTGATGATTATGTGTCTTGAGGACGACCTTCTTGTGAAGTATCTTGCTGAGGTTCTCTGCATTTCCAAAATTTGAATATTGGCCTGTCTAGCTAGGTTGGGGAAGTTCTCCTGGATGATATCCTGAAATGCGTTTTCCAAACTGGGAGTCAAACTACCTAGTTTGCAGATTATATAAAACTGTATCTAGAAAACCCCATCATCTCAGCCCCAAAGGTTCTTGAGCTGCTAAGCAACTTCAGCTAAGTCTCAGGATAAAAAATCAATGTGCAAAACTCACTAGCATTACTTTAAACCAACCACAGGAAAGTCGAAAGCCAAATCACAGATGAACTCCCATTCACAACTGCCACAAAAAGAATAAAATACCTAGGAATACAGCTAATGATGGAAGTGGACCTCTTCAATGAGAACTACAAACCACCACTCAAGGAAATCAGAGATGACAGAAAAAAATGGAAGAGCATTCCATGCTCATGAATAGGAAGAATCAATATGTTAAAATGTTAAAATGGCCATACTGCCCAAAACAATTTGAAGATCTAATGCTATTCCAGGTAAAATACTATTGATATTCTTCACAGAATTAGAAAAAACTATTTTAAAATTCATATGAAACCAAAAAAGAGCCCAAATAGCCAATGCAATCCTAAGCAAAAAGAACAATGCTGGAGGCATCATGCTACCTGACTTCAAACTACAGGGCTACAGAAACCAAACAGCATGGTACTGGTACAAAAACAGACACATAGACCAATGGAACTAAATAGAAAATCAAGAAATAAGACCACACACCTACAACCATCTGATCTTCGACAAACCTGACAAAAACAAACAATGGTGAAATAATTCCCCATTTAATAAATGGTGCCAAGAGAACTAGCTAGCCATATGTAGAAAATTGAAACTTGTCCTCTTCCTTATACCATATACAAAAATTAACTCAAGATGGATTAAATACTTAATCATAAAACCCCAAACCATAAAAACCCTAGAAAAAAATCTAGGCAATACCGTTCAGGACACAGGCATGGGCAAAGATTTCACGATGAAGACACCAAAAGCAATTGCAACAAAAGCAAAAATTAACAAACAGAATCTAATTAAACTAAAGAGCTTCTGCCCAGCAAAAGAAACGATCATCATTGTAAACAGACAACCTACAGAATGGAAGAAAATTTTTGCAGACTATGTATCCGACAAAGGTCTAATATCCAGCATCTATAAGGAACTTCAAGAAAAAAACAAAAAATCCCATTAAAAACTGGGCAGAGGACATGAAAAGACACTTCTCAAAATAAGACATACATGTGGCCAGCAAACATATGAAAAAAAAAAACCTCAACATTACTAATCATTACAGAAATGCAAATCAAAACTGCAATGAGATCCTCTCTCACACCAGTCAGAATGGCTATTATTAAAAGGTCAAAAAATAGCAGATGCTGGCAAAGTTGTGGAGAAAAAGCCTTTGGGTATATATCCATTACTGGATATATTTTAAGTTTTATATATATCCATTTTATATATAAAGTTTTATATATCCATTACAGGATATACACCCAAAGGAATATAAATTGTTCAATTATAAAGACACATTCATACATATATTCACTGCAGCACTATTCACAATATCAAAGGCATGGAATCAACCTAAAAGCCCATCAGTCATAGACTGGATAAAGACAATGTGGTACATATACACCATGAAATACTATGCAGCCATAAAATGGAACAAGATCATGTCCTTTGCAGGGACATGGATGGAGCTAGGGGCCATTTATCCCTAGCAAACTAATGCAGGAACAGAAAACCAAATACCACATGTTCTCACTTATAAGTGGAAGTTAAATGATGAGAACACATGGATACATTCAGAAAAACAACACACTCTGGGGTCTGTTGGGAGGGGGAGGTGGGAAGAGGGAGAGAATCAGGAAGAAAAGCTAGTGGATGCTGGGCTTAATACTTGGGTGATGGAATGATCTGTGCAGCAAACCACCATGGCACAAATTTACCTATGTAACAAACCTGCACATCCTGTATATGTACCCTGAATTAGAATAGAGGTTGGATATTTAAAAAAAATACAAAAAAAGCAAAAAAGAAAAATAATAATAACACCCCCCCCCCCATGAAACACAATAAGTCTTCAGTAGGAGGTCCAAAAAAAGAATATTTATAGAATAGATCAAAAGGAATTCAAAATAATGATCTTAAAGAAGCTCAGAGAGATACTATAGAATACAAACAATTCAGTGAAATCAGAAAAATAATTCATGATCTGAATGAAAAATTCAAAAAAGTGAAAGATATCATAAAAAAGAATCAAACAGAAATCTTGGCAGTGAAGAATTTAGTGAAAGAAATAAAAAAAACAACTGATAGCATCAAGAACAGACTAGATCAAGAAGATGAAAGAGTTCCTGAACTTGAAGTCATCTTTTGAATTAACCCAATCAAGTCAGAGGAAAAAATAAATAAGAATTAAGTGAATAAATCTTTGCATTATATGTGTGACAGTGAAAGAAGAGACAAATAAAATAACAGAAAACCTATTTAACAAAATAATGACTGAAAACCTCAAAGTCTTGGGAGAAATATGGATGTCCTGATCCAAGAAGCTCAAAAGTTCCCAACTGGACTGAACCCTAAACAATGTTCTCCAAGGCATATTAATACTCAAACTGTCAAAAGCTAAAGACAAAGAGAGAATTCTATAAGCTGCAAGAGAAAAGCATCAAGTCACATATAAGAGAATCTCCATTAGGAAATTAACAGATTTCTCAGCAGAAATCTTGCCAGTCAGGAGAGAATGGGATAATATATTCAAAGTGTGGAAACAAAAACCAACTGTTAGCCAATACCACATCCAGCAAAGCTATAATAAAGATCTTTCCAGACAAGCAAAAGCTGAGGGAATTCATTATTGCTAGATCAGTCTTATAAAAAATGCTTAAGAGCTACAACTGTAAACAAAAGGATGATATTTATTATCATGAAAATACATGAAAGTATAAAACTCACCAGTAGAGGTAAATTCATAATCAAACACAGAATTATAATGGTGCTACATAAATCTTTCAATCTCTAGTATGAAGGTTTAAACTTAAAATGGTCGAAAACAAGAAAAGCCATAATTAGTGACTAAGAAACACACAGTAGATAAGAAAGTAAATTAAGGTAACAAACATATAAATTGTGGGAGGGAGCAAAAAAGTCTAAAGTATTTTAACGTGACCAAAGTTAAGTTGTTATCAGCTTAAAATAGAGTATTATAATTACAAGACTCATTATGTTAGCCCCATGGCAACCACAAAGATAGAAATTACAGCTGATAAACACATGAGAAAGGGAAAAGAAACAAAGCTTAGCACCAAACCACAGAGGTAAACAAGAGAGGAAGAAAAGAATGAAGGATATTAAAATAATTAAAGTACAATTAACAAAATGATAGGAGTAAGTCCTTACCTATCAATAAAATCCTTGAATGTAAATGAAATTAAGTTCTCCAATGAAAAGATACAGAGGGAATGAATGGACAAAAAAAAAAAAAGACCAAACTATAGTTTGCCTACTAGAGATCCCCTCACTATTAAGGACAACAGACTGAAAATGAAAGGATGGAAAAAGATACTCCATGCAAATGGAAACCAAAAGTGATCAGAGGTATCCATATAAAATATACTTAAGTCGAAAACTGTAAAAAGTGACAAAGAAGGTCATTATATAATAATAAAAGAATCGATTCAATAAAACAATTATAAATCTATATGCACCTAATCACAGAGTACCCAAACATATAAAGCAAATATTATTATTCTATCTAAAGGGAGAAACAGAAGACAATACAATAATAGTGAATTTCAATACCCCATTTTCAACAATGGACAGATCATCTATACAGAAAATCAACAAGGAACATTGGACTTCAGTTGCACCATACATCAAATGGACCTAACAGACCTTTACAGAATATTCCATCCAACTGCTACAGAATACACATTCTTCTCAACTGCATTTGTAACATTCTCCAGGACAGATCATATGCTAGGCTACAAAACTAGTCTTAGAAAATTTAAGAAAACAGAGATCATATCAAGTATCTTTTCTGACCACAATATAAAACTATAAATCAACAATAAGGAAAACTTTGAAACCTTTACAAACACATGGAAGTTTATGCTCCTGAATATGTATGCTACTAAATAACCAATGTGTAAGTAAACAAATTAAAAATGAAATTAATAAATTTGAGACAAATGAGAATGGAAATATATCATACCAAAACCCATGGGACACAACAAAAGCAGTTCTAAGAGTGAAATTTATAGCAATAAATGACTACATCGAAAGAAGATTTCTAATAAACAGCCTGAGGAAGCATGTCAAGGAGCTAGAAAGACAAAAACAAACTAAACTCAAAATTGTTAGAAAGAAGGAAATAATAAAACTCAAAGAAGAAATAAAGACTAAGACAAGTTAAAAAAATTAACAAAACTAAAAGTTGAGGTTTCTTTAAAGATAAACAAAATCAGCCGGGGTGCAGTGGCTCTCGCCAGTAATCCCAACACTTTGGGAGGCCGAGGCTGGTGGATCACTTGAGATCAACAGTTCAAGATGAGTCTGGTCAACATAGTGAAACCTCGTCTCCACAAAAAATACAAAAATTAGTGGGCGCGGTGGCAAGCGCCTGTAATCCCAGTTACTCAGGAGGTTGAGGCACAAGAATCCCTTGAACCCAGGAGGCTGAGGTTACAGTGAGCTGAGATGGCACCACTGCTCTCTAGCCTGGGCAACAGAGCAAGACTCCATCTCAAAAATAAAATAAAATAGGCCAGGCATGGTGGTTCACGCCTGTAATCCCAGCACTTTGAGAGGCCTAGGCAGGGGGATCACAAGGTCAGGAGATCGAGACCATCTGGCTATTATGGTGAAACCCCATCTCTACTAAAAATACAAAAAATTAGCCAGGTCCCATGGTGGCACGCCCCTGTAGTCCCAGCTACCTGGGAGGCTGAGGCAGGAGAATCGCTTGAACCAGGGAGGCAGAGGTTGCAGTGAGCTGAGATGGCACCACTGCACTCCAGCCTGGGTGACAGAGAGGGACTCTGTCTCAAAACAAACAAACAAACAAAAAATATTAACTAATTAATTAAATTAAAAATAAAAATAAATAAATAATAAGCAAAACCAACAATCCAATATCTAGGCTAAAAAAAAAAGAAGACTGAAATAAATAAATTCAGTGATTAAAAAGAGACATTACACCTGATAACAAGGAAATAAAAAAAACTCTAAGAGATACTTATGAACAATTATACAACAACAAACTAAATAACCTAGAAGAAATGGGTAAATTCCTAGACACATATAACCTATGAAAGGAAGGAAAGGAAGAAGTTAAATTGTCTCTGTTAGCAGACAACATGATCTTACATAAAGACTCCACCAAAAAAATTTTAGAAGTAATAAAAAAATTAAGTAAAGTTGCAGAATATAAAATCAACATACAATTCAGTAGTGTTTCTATAGACCAACAACAACCTATCTGAAAAAAAAATCACAATCCCACTTACAATAGCTACAAAAGAATAAAACATTTAAGAATAAATTTAACCAGGGAGGTGAATGTGCTATACTTCAAAAATTATAAAGAATTGATGAAAGATATTGAAGAAGACAGGAGTAAATGGAAAGATATCCTGTATTCATGAATTTGAAGAATTGGTATTATTAAAAAGTCCATACTACCAAAGCAATCTACTGATGCAAAGCAAACCCTATCCAAATTCCAATGATATGTTTTACACAAATAGAAAAAGTAATCCTAAAATTTGTATCAAATCACAAAAGACCCCAAATAGCCAAACCAATCTTGAGCAAAAAGAGGAAAGCTGGAAGCATCACACTAATCTACTACAAAACTATAGTAATCAAAACAGGATGGTACTGGTAGAAAAACAGACATCTAGACCAATGGGATAGAACAGAGTCCAGGAATAAATCCATGCATTTATGGCCAACTGATTTTCAACAAAGATGCCAAGAACACACAATGGGGTAACAGCAATCTCTTCAATAAATAGTGCTAGGTGAACTAGATATCAACATGCAGAATAATGAAATTAGACCCTCATCTCATACCATATACAATAATCAATTCAAAATGGATTAAGGCCACGCAGGGTGGCTCACACCTGTAATCCCGGCACTTTGGGAGGCCAAGGCGAGTGGGTCACGAGGTCAGGAGTTCAAGACCAGCCTGGCCAAGATGGTGAAATCCTGTCTCTACTAAAAATACAAAAAAAAGAAAATAGCCAGGGATTAAAGACTTAAATATAAGACCTGAAACTGTAAAATTATTAAAAGAAAACATAAAGGAAAAGCTCCATGACATTAGTCTGGGCAAAGATTATTGTTAATATCAAATAACCTATCATTACACTTCAACATAAGGTTATTTTTTGACAACAAAAGCAAACATAGACAAACAGGATTGCATCAAACTAAAACTGAACAGCAATTCACCTAATAAATAGACAGAGGACCTGAATAGATGTTTTGCAAAAGAAGAAACATAAATGGCCAAAAGATAAATGAAAAAATGCTCAACATCATGAAGTATCAGGGAACTACAAATTACATCCACAATGAGATATGACCTCACACCTGTTGGGATGGTTATTATCAAAAAGACAAAAGATAAGTGTTGGTGATGATGTGGAGAAAAGGTAACCCTTGTACACCGTTGGTGGGAATGTAAATTAGAACAGCCATTACAGAAAACAGTATGAAAGTTTCCCCCAAAAAATAAAAACCAGAACTACTATATGATCCAGCAACCCTACTTCTGTGTATGTATCCAAAAGAAATGAAATCATGATCTCAAAGAGATGTCAACACTCTCATGTTCTTTGTAGCATTATTCGCAATGGCCAAGATATGGAATCAGCCTAAGTGTTCATCAACAGATGAATAAAGAAAATGTGGCACATATAAACAGTGGAATACTATCCAGCCATAAAACAAAGGAAATTCTGTCATTAGCAATAATTTGGATAACATTATGTTATCTGGAAGACATTATGTTAAGTGAAATGAGCCAAGCACAGACAGACAGATACTACATGATCTCACTTACACGTGAAACCTAAAATGTCAAACTCATATAAGTAGACAGTAGAATGGTGCCTACTGGAGGCGGGGAATGGGAGGATATTGGTCAAAGCGTACAAAGTATCAGACAAGAGGAATATGTCTTTGAGATCCACTGCACAGCATGATGACTATAGCTAATAATAATGTGTTGTATATTTTAAAATTGCTAAAAGAGTAGGTTTTAAATGTTCTCATCACAAAAAATAAGTATGTGAGGTAATGGATATGTTAATTAGCTTGATTTAATCATTCCACAACATATACATATGTCACATTGTACTCCAGAAATATATAGTTTACATTATTATTGGTCAATTAAGATTTTAAAATTTAGAAAAAGGATCTCCATTCATCTCAAAGTTGAAACTAGTTTATTTTGCAAATTATGACTTATAAGTGCTTCACAAATTTTCCACTTTTCTACTTACTATACTTAAATTATATCAGACTTTGGCAGGTGGTGATGATTTACAAAGTATAAGCCAAAAATACAAACAAACAAAATCCAAGATGCCCAATAAATTACTTATTAAGAAGGAAAAACCTCAAGAGAAAAAAAAAATTGTCCTCAAAGACTTTTACCCAGGAATCTGTTCTACACAAAACCCACACAGTTGAAGAGGTGTATCAAGAAAGCACATTTCCCAGTGTCTTTAAGAACAGGCAGTTAATCTGAATGCATGAAACAGCCAATTCTTAGACAACACAGAGCTGGGAAAACAGTAACTATCTGCAAAGTACAGATTCTACCAAAAGTCTCAAGTAAGAGAGAGAGAGTGTGTTTTTTTGTATGTATACACACTGTGGGCTAAACAAAGAATGGCTGTGGGTTGAATTCTTTCTGCCTGTGGATCACCAGCTTGTAATGCCCATGTTAAGCAGACTAAGTTGAATGCTTCTTTCTAAATTTCACTTTGTGGAAATTTTTCATTCCTTGGGCTATCTACTTCTAGACATTTCATTATCAACCCTTCTGTTTATTTTCAATTTTGTAAGAAGAATCAGAGAGTCAAAAATTTTCTAGGTGAAAGTAAATATATTTTCATTTCCTAGAATTTGGAAAAAGGAATTTCATCAAGTGCATCTCATATTTTAAAATTCTTCCATTCCTTTTACATATAATGCAAGAAGAGCTGTTTCATGAGATGTCAGCTGTACAGAGCAGGTCACTGATATAAATCAGGTGTAATCAAGATTGCCTAAGAAATACTGACATCCTAAACACTAAGAACTGAACTGTAAAGCAAAGGATTATCTTAGTTTGATTCTGCAGGCAAAAAACCAAAATGCCATTAACTAAATATTAGTCTTTTCTTATAGCATCTCCATGAACCCACAGTTTGGACTAAGCTCACTCAGGCATTTTAATGGGAGACAGGATGTTTGCACAACCCAGTTTAATTATCTGTTTCTCTGTACTACGGCATTCATCATTACGGGAAGGAAAGTTTGGCTCATATGACAGTCATATCTTACACCAATACTTGTGTAACAACACAATTTAAGTTTACTCCCACAGCCCATAATTCAAGTACTAAAATACTCAAATGTACAGCTGCTGAAGAAATTCTACACCATGGAAATTCCTGATAAACATGAAGAGTTTTTGATTATGTACTTAAACACAATGAATTTAAAAGGTATTTTTCTTCACTCATGCATTTTTAAATATAATTCATCTCATTTTTTTTCCTTTCAGCACATTCAGAATTATGAGAGGTATATGACAGAATTATGTGAGAAAGTCCTTGGAAGGTTTTCCAAAGCTTGACTAGACTTACGTTAATAAGTATGCACATGAACAAAGATTGAAGTGTAATGTTTAAAACGCACAAAATTATATTGGACACATTGAATTACAGGTGCCTTTTTCACCTTGTAAAGTTGTATTATTGTTGATACAGTGTAAATCCAATGAAAATCATTTAAAGTTCAGGTACTTACTGTGGTTGGAAAATAAGGACTAGTTTTGAATTTTTTCAGAGCCATGGAAGAGGTGTAGGTTCCCAAGAAGAGGATAAAAGACATGAGTGTGATATCAGGAACAAAATTACAGTTGTTCCCGACGAGGTTTCCTCCGTATTTTGAACACTCCTTCTTCGACAAAAATGCCCAGTCAAAGGTAGTATTATGGTACTGAAGAAGAAAAACATTAAAATTTTTCTAGAGAACATTGACATATAAAAAGCAGCCTTTGATACTTGATGAGCTATAGGAATTATACCAAAAGTTTCTGTAAAACAGTTTGAAAATAAGCACTGGAGGGTGAAACTTGATGAGGTGTTCATGGAATAACAGATAAGATGGGCCAAGAGGGTGGCAATTGTTGAAAATACAATGAGAATGATGCAATTTGTTACCTAGTTTGGGCAACAGCCTTAAAATCGCCCACTTGTTCAATAGAAACCACAAAGTACTTCTTTCCTGCACACCTTCCTGAGAGTAAACTGAGACACATTAATATTCTAAGTCTCAAAATGTAAGACTCTCTAAAACGGTTCCCTTTTTCAAAAAGTACTTACCTTTGTAAGGCACAGCTTCTTACGTGTCTACCTGATGGCCCTATGGTTAATGCTCTAAAAGTTGTAATAGGTTAACTACTCACCAAGCACTTTCACAACTATTCTGTTTCTTTTCTAAATAACTAGGGACTGGTGATTTAAGCAATTAAAGTATAAAAATATGGATGGTCCCTGCTTTTTCAATTGCATATTCTAATAAAGTATAGATTTTTTTCTTCTTGACTCTAGGTCAGCATTATGAGCATCTGTTCTTTGTATGTGCTGTGATGCCTTTAAGGCTATGTAGTTGTGTATGGAATATCCATCTCCATGTTACATGGCCTCAAACATATGGTCAGTTTTCATGTATGGCTGTTGTGGGGTCAGTGCTGTGCTTCCCTCTAGCAGCTCACTCTTGTTCCTATTTTTTGTTTCTAATACATAGGAGAATCCTTTTGCTAGCATAGTAGATAGGGCCAGCACACCCATCCCCCAGTTGCTCTGAGTACTAGCTGCTCTTAATTCACAGCTGTCTTTTTCTCTAGAGAACTGCCATTAGCCATTTAAGAGCCACCTCACCTGCAATGTAGTGCCCTCTCATAGCCGATTACTGACCAATACTAACCGGGGTCTAAAACTATACCCTCTTCGTCTCCAGGTGAGAGCAACTCTACGCACAATTTATGCTCCACAGCTCCCATGGGATCAGGCTGAAGCAAAACTCAGCTGAAACCATATCCTTGTTTAACTACTTCCCTGTCTTATACTGCTTCTCTCAATCTGCTTTTATTGAGACCACTGTCTCAATAAAGTCACACGCACCCCAAATCCCTATATCTGAATCTGCTTCTATAACAGCCGACTTACTTGAATTACCAGTCAACCAAAAGTTAATGGCCTCTAAGCCTAAGAAACCTTTTCTAAAATATCAGAGTTTGGAGGAAACTTGGATGATTTAATCAGATCTATCACCCTTAGTATTCAATAGTCCTGAAAGATGAACATTCATTCTCTGCCTGAACATTTTATGTGACAAGCAGTCTCCTGGTTGCTCATCCCCTTGCTTAATAAAATTTCTGCACAGATCGCCCTTATACTGATGTTTGAATCTTCTTAAATATCCTTTACCTAAGTTTCTTTTGCTATGCACAACACTTTCTTGCATACTGTGACAATCTGGCTCTTTCCTGGGAAGAGATTTTCAAAATTGTACCTATCTAAATGGATGCCAATGTGGTTGGGTGGAAGGGACTGGGTGTCTCAGCTTAGAACCATTCTAAATACCCATAACTTACTCCTCTTAGGTCCAGGGCTAATGGATATGTCATATGCTATCAGAAGAGTTATTTGAAAACACCTTGCAAATAAATGTGGAAAGATAAATTTCTCCTGTCCTTTGAAGACAAGAGTTCTACCTCACACCAAACACATCATCAATGTCTTTTACTATTCAATGAATTGTCATGATATGAGTAATATAGTCATAAAAGAAGAATCTCTTCCCAGAAAGAGTTCATTTTTTTATAGAGCTCAAAAGGTAAAGTGCTTACATAAGTCAATAAAAAACAAACTATATATCTTTCCCTGAAATATTTTTCCTATAGAAGCTTCAACTTGTAAACAGCTGAACTGCATTCTTGCTTTTATCAAACTCTGCTTCTGAAAGGTGATTAATCATATCTCATTTTGTTTTTGAGGTTTCTGCATATGGATGTTTACAGCAGCATACATTTAAAGTTTAGAAGTCATAATAGCTAACAGGTTTCTTTGTTTTAAAATCAGCAAAAATTTAACATAATTTCACTTCAGCACTTTAATACCAGCAGAATTCTTCTCTATAACTAGAGTTGCCCACAGATAAGTTGCATTAAAGCAATCCTGACAGGAAGTTCTATTGATTTTCTTACAGAGATTCAGGTTGAGGTGAAGACTATACAGATGTACATGAAATGACAGACATGTCTTCTTGCTTACATCAACTTAAAATGCCAAATGATCACTATTTTGTAAGCCTCAAATGATTCTTTGTATCACTATCCAGAAACTTGAGTCTCCAAATACCACCTTTCATTAAGGACTTCAGTATAAAAACTGTAGGTGGCATGCACATATCTCAGCATATTTGGCATTTCAGAATACAAAGTTTCCTACTCCCATAAAACTTAAATTCTAGCTAATAAACAATTCTATTTAGATATCACTGAAAACACATCTATATTATCTGTATTATTTCAATATTATTGTTCCATATAAGCTGATGTCAGTGAAGGTTAATTCCATAAAACTTCAGGCAGGGTCCATTTCACCAACAAACTTACCTATGACCACTGCTACACCTGATGTTCAAGCCACTGTTGTCTCCTCTGGCCTTAATACAGGAGACCCTTAACTCATCTCACTGCTACTGCCCTCTAGCCCTTACAAGTGGTTCTCACATCTCTATGGTTTTGATCTTTATTTCCTATGCAAAATTCTATACATACTGTTTAAACGGTTAAATCAGAACTTTAAGAACAAGACAGTACTGGCATGGTGGCTCACATCTGTAATCCCAGCATTTAGGGAGGCCAAGGCAGGAGGAGCACTTGAAACCAGGAATTTGAGACTAGCCTGGGCAACATAGCAAGACCTCATCTCCATTATTTTTTTTTTTAATTAGCCAGGCTAAGTGGTGCATGCCTGTGGTCCTAGCTACTCTGGAGACTGAGGCAGGAGGATTACTTCAGCCCAGGAGTTTGATGTTACAGTGAGCTATGATTGTGCCGCTATATGCCAGCCTGGGCTACAGAGCAAAATCCTGTCTCTGAAGAAAACAAAGAACAAGACAAATGGGAACACAATCTCAGAAGTCCTTTCTGCCTGTTAGAATTCTCTTAGCACATTATCTGTTTTCCTTACGATGCGTGTAATGTTTTATTACAATTTATTGTAGCTTCCTCAATGTTCACTGTTGTAAGTTTGAAAATATTCAGAGAGATATCTAGTGGGTCTGAGACCTAGATCTAGGAGAGATGTCAAGTTTAGAGACATCTACTTAGGAGTCATCAGGAAAGAGCTGATCATTGCAGTTGTAAGACAATAAAACTACAAGGGAAAAATGTGCAGGAAAAAAGAGTGTAAAACATCTAGGGTATCCACAATGGAAGTGAAGATACCACAAAACACTATGAAAAAGTCATCAGAGTGATGGGTAAAAAAAGTACAATGAGCTGAGAAATGCGTGGGAGTGAAAAAATTGCAACAGCAATTACAGACTATTTTTTCAAGAAATACTATAACAAAAGAATAGGTTAGAATATGCAAATTGCAAGGTTAAGGCAAGTTCTTTGGGGTTGGCAAAAACTTTTGAGGTGTTTATAGTGGATGAGAAATAATCTGGTTAGGGGGATGAAAAGGAAAAGAGATTGATGGGAAATGCAAGAATGGAGAAAGGAGAGAGAGAGAGGGAGGGAGGAAGAGAGAGGGACGGAGAAAGAGAGAGAGAGAAAGACAGAGAGAGAGACGTCCCAGGACTTAGTAACTGTTTTGACTAAGGATGGATAAAAGCTAAAAATGATAAATGTATGGTGCCTGAGGACCAAAGGGACTGTGCATCAATAAGGAAAAAAAAAGAAAAGAGCAGAGCAAGACAGTAGCAGAATTCAATTTGGGATACATTAGGCACTGAAGAAATCATTGTTGATTGAACAAACGAAATCTGTCATCATGTCTGGAATATATGACATATTCAAGGAAGATATCTACCAATTTATCTACTCTTTTTATCTGGAGGACAAGATTAAATTAAAATAAACTTTCAATTTAGAGTTGCTGGGTAAAATGTAGGATGCCCAGTTACATTTGAATTTCAGGTAAACAACAAATAGTATTTTCAGTATAAGTGTTTCATATGTAACATTTAGGACATATTTATACTAAAATTATTCAATATTTATTTAAAATTCATCTTTAACTGGGCATGTTTTATTTTTGTTTGCTAAATCTGGCAAAACTATTTCAATTAGATATAGAATATTTTGAGTTAACAGTCACATCTAGAAAATAGAAAAATGTGGCCACAGGAAAATAGAAAATGCACTGAGACCTAAGTGCATGAATGAACGAATGTAACCTTTACAGGTACAATAAAGATAAATAAAACAACAACTTTTAAAACTTTCCCTAGAGAAATAAAGTATGTTAACTTAAATATTAACTAATAATATAACCCAGTAAAAGGAAGTATCTAAATGAGTGGTATGAAGATCAGATGGTCAGAAGAGGGAATAATCATCTTCATTGAGTACAGAGAAAACAAAATTTAAACTAAGCCCTAAAAGAGGGACTGGTTTTTGCAGAACTCTCGTATTCAAAGGGCAGCAGGAGTAAGAGCAGAAGGACAGCAAAACTGTAACAAAAGGGAATAAAAGCGACAAACTTTAGATGTGCATTTCTTTCTGCACTGGCAGCAAAAAAGAAGTAAAGTATTAGAGAGAGAGACATCAAGAGCAAAGATGCTGATATGGGAACATACAATGCTTCATTCAGTTTTAAAGACTTACTGAATGCTCACCTGTGTGGGGATCTAACAGCGGATAGACCAGATGGGCTGAAGCAGATTGTTTAGGTAAATGGGTACTGGGGGAAAAGATTTAAAGAAAATGATCAAGTTGCTGAGGATCTTAACTGTGGTAAATCTCATGAAAAGAGATTTCAATCTATTTTTTGAGATATCTTTTTCAAGAGAATTACCCTGTTATACTGAGTGGATCTGCTCGCAGTTCTGAAAAGTAGTATGCATACCAAAGGATTTATTTTAAAATTTAAAAGACCACAGTATCCTCCCTAAAGGAAAAAGTGAGGGATAATATGAGACAGGATGGACAAAATGTTCAAAGCCATTGAGGCTAGGTGATGCGTATATGGGGCTTCACTGCTTTATTCTATTTTAGTGCATATTTAAAATTTTACGTAATACTTTTAAAAGTAGGAATATGTAATCTTCAAGGAGATTTAAGGACAGAATGGTTTTTACACTTGACTTTCTCGGTGAGAGAAAATCACAAGGATGCTTTGCACAAGAATATTAATACGACATTCCATTTCCCATGAAATGAATGTTAATTCCTAGAATCATCATGAAGGTTCTTAGTCCCATGATTAACAGCATCTCTGGGTAGTATAATAAGTAATAATAATAATAAAAATAATAATTAAAGGTTCTGTATTACAGTAGATCCTCAGTGTCATCAATAGGTTCATGGAAACTGGAACTTTAAGCAAAATGAATGTATAACCACCAGTTTTACCATAGGCTAATCACTATAAGCAAGAGTTAAGTCCCTATGGCATATTCCTGGTCACAAAAACATCACCAAACTTCTAAATAAAGATCAAAACATTTCTAATATTAAATGTTAAAATAAATGTGAGCTATACATACATTTAAGAAAGATTAGTAAAAATAAGTAAGATAATTATTATCATTCCAGGTCAGGGTTGTGAGTGGTCAGAGCCTATCCCGGCAGCTCAGGGTGCAAGTCAGGAACTATCCCTAGACAGGACACTATCTCATCACAGGGTGCACTCACACACACACCCACACTCAGTCTAACTGGGAAATTAAGACACGCCAATGAACCTAATATGCATGTGTTTGGGATGTGGAAGGAAACCAGAGTGCCTAGTGAAAACCCATGCAGACATGAGAAGAACATGCAAACTCCACATAGGCAGTAGCCTGAGAGTCAATTTCTCTTTTTTTCATCAACGTTACAATGAAGTGGTGTAATCTGAGGACGTGCTGTAGCCCTTTTGAGTACTGACTGATAAAATATGTGCTTTTAAAAATATAAATGAGAGTGATACCACTAATAAAAGCCTCAAGGTTAAGTTGTTGATGTACTTATTTAGAGTTTTTTCCCCCACAGTGGTGAGCCAGATTTGCAGTAATCTGAAATCTTACCTTATCATCTACAGCATGCATTTGAGTTACAGTTGTCTATACCATTATAAGACATCAAGATAAACTGGTTGTTCTGCTTGTGATTGGGATTATAGAAAATTGTGAGAGGCCATCACTCCCATCCTAACAACCAAAGCAAGCTAGATACCCTATAAAAATCATAGTTTTAAAAAACTCACCATTAAGATGAGGAAAAAAGTCAAACATTTTTTATTTTATTATTTACTTATTTTTAAGATATTAATACATAGTCTCACTCTATTGCTCAGTCTGGAGTGCAGTGGCATGATTGTAGCTCACTATAACCCTACAGGTGTGTGCCATCATGCCCAACTAATTTTTCTATTTAACGAATTTTTAATGGCTACATGCAGACTGGGGTGACAGAGCAGAATTCAGAGGAGTCCTAGGCATAGATCAAGTCTGCATCCACTCACCAAATTTTCTCACGGTCTTTGCCAAGTGCATGGGTAATACACGAAAGACTGGGGGTTGGACAGGAAAGCTAAAAGAGTTCCCCCTTAGATACATGGAGCCTCTCTTAAGTGTAAGGAAGCCACTTTCTTAAGATGGGAGGCAGAGAAGCAGAGCTGAGAGAAACTTCTCTGAGGCATTCAACCACTTTGGAAAGGGCTCAGGTATCTGCCATCTGAAGGCTAGGGGCAGAGTATTTGGGCAAAGAAAGATCCCCCAAAAAGAAAGCTAGGGTATCAAACAAAATACAGCATTCCATGGGACCTTCTGGTATGATGGAAATGTCCTGTATCTTGTTTGGATAGTAGTTACAACCATCAAAACTCATTTCAATGAATACTTCAGAACTGTGTATTTTAAGGTATGCCTCAATTTAAAAAAAAGGAATCTGATGTGGAAAAACAAAATACTAACTGATCCTTTCAATCACTTCTTCAGAAGAAACTGACATTTGATTTTGAAATCTGGTGTCTCACACTCTGAGAGCTGGAAACTGCAAGCCAACAGGTATTAATGCTCATTATCTAGATACAGTGTGAACAAGCTGTGGCTAATTTTAAAGGTTTACAGGAACCTTTTAAGGAATTTGGTTTGCAAGTTAAAGGGATATACCAAGCAAGAAATCTATAGAAAAATTGGAGAAAGTGAGAAGAAATAAAGACACCATTCCAACAATAAATGGAAATTTTAAAACCTGCCTTTTTATCTTGAGACATAGTTATCCTAGAGTTCTAATCTCTGTTTAAATGCTCTAATACCCCTCTCTCCTGCTCTTTTCCCTGAAACATATCCCTACCACCATGAAAAAGAAAGCTTGTCTTCATGCTAGTGAAGCTGAAGGGAAAAGACCTTCCTTCATCTGACAGGATGTACTGAAGGCCTGTGAGAGCAAGCCTTGCTGGCTCCAGGGGATGCATGTCACTTTTCCTGTACCTTCTCTCACAATCTAATTATGGCTGAAATGAAAAAAGGAAAATTAAGTCCTGATGACTGTGTGTCCTAGGAAAGGTTCAGGATAGGAGAGCCGGCTAGCATAACCAAGCAGACGGAGGACGCAATAGCCTCTCAGAAGATGGGCTTCCCAATTTCCTCTCTCCATTAAACTTCTGAGTTATGGAGGCTGCATGACCTAATCAAATGATAATACCTAGAAAGAACAGTAACAATACCTAACACTGACTGAGAGATGACTACATGCCATCCATTATGCCAAGTTCTGCCTATCTATTAAGTTGACACTCACAGTACCTTTGAGATAAGTACTATTACCATCCCGATGTTGCAGATGGGAAACTAAGAAGGTTCCACAGCTTATTAAGTCATGGAGCCCTGCACTTGAACCAGGCAGTCTGACACAAGAACTCAATATCTGTGAGTTCCTCTACATAAAACACTATGCTGCTTCCTGAAAGGACAGAAATAAGGCAGATTCTAGAGGCAGAAAACCCTGAGTTCAAATCCTCATTTTACCATGTACTTGTAATATGTATGGTCTTTGGGAGGTCAGTTAACTTTTCTAAGTCTCTGTTTCATCTATAAAATAGGGGTAACATCTAATAACTCATAAAGTGATTGTGAGAATTATAGACAATTACTGTGAAGAGTCTGGCACCTAGTAGGTGCCTCAATAATTGATCATTATGATTGATGGTAATAAATCATATTTAAAACTCATTTCTGAGTCATTTACCTATATTGTATGTGTGTGTATACACAACATATAAATACGGGTAATGATATAAATGAAAAAGGAGAAATGAAGGATAAAATAAAAGTTGGCCTTCATGACCACACACACACACACACACACACACACACACACACACACATTTTTTCTTCTAACTTCTTTCCCTAGAGGTGCTGAACATAGCACCTTCACATTTTAATTAAGGTATGCAATTGATGCATATGAAGGGATTGCTGCCCTGGAATATGGGGCATCTATAGGAACTGGAAGGGTAAACATTGCCATTTGTGTACATTGAAGCATCATGGTATACGAGGAATGGCACCAGTCTAAGAACCACCCAGACTTCACTTCAAATCTTTGTTCTACTAATATATGGCTATGTGACCTAAAGCAAGAAAGGTGATTTACCCTCTGGAGCTTCAGTTTCTCTCATGTATAAAATAGAAGTAATTAACCCTGGTAGTTTATGTTGATGGTTATAGTACATATTAAGGTCTACAATGATGAGAATATGTGTAACACATGTGGTCTCTAGTAGGTGTTCTATAAATAGTAGCTAAGTTGAAATGACATTATGCCTCTATGTCTCTATCACAGTCACACTAGAAGTCAATCAGAACTTCCATTTTTTTTCAAGAACCTTATTGTAACATTTTGTTTTAATACATATCAATTGCTGGAGTTTCTGCCAGGACTTCCCAACGACAGGGCTTAAAAGTTCATTAATTTTAATGATTCCCTTGATTAGTTACAAAAAGAATTAAGTTAGATAACAATTTCTTTTCTTAAGTCAGTGGAAGTGAGTGTTTCACTAATATTTATTACAAATTAACTTATGTTTTTATTAACTATATTAGCTATATTTTAATTAAAATATATATTATTAAATTATAGTTTATTAATTATATTTTTACTATAAGAATTTTGAATAAAATTCTTTCAAATCTAGAAGGAGGCAGTTTTGCCTGTATTTAGGCAAGACCTTTTAGGCAATAGGCTGACCAGTTGAAAGACTGAAAGTTGAACTCCTTTCTGTATGCATGTGGTAAAACATATACACATACTTTTTCACACACCTAACATCAAACATGGAAGAAATAGAGAAGTAAGTTTGAGAAAAGTCAGAGAAGACTTTAACAGCAAAAAAAGCAGTCAAGAGAGCCACAGAATATAAAAACAAAAAAGAGGGTCACGTGAGAGTTGCCCAGGAAAGATACAAAACATCATCTTTGAAAGGGATGTTAGGGCACTCACTACATAATATCTGTAGAAATGTCCGGGTCTCCTGAGAGATGGGCACTCTATCAACACAAGGTATTATGGCTTCTGTCTTTATAACTGAAAGATTGATATTCTTTGGTAAGATTCCATGTTCAGCATAGAAGGAGCACAATTGGAAGTCTGAAACAGCACTTTCCCCTTTTTCTCCAATACAAAAGCCTCCTTCCAGTGTGTGACCTTCCATGCAAAACAGCTCATTTTTAAAGCTTAGTTCCAGTCTCCTAAAGATCCTTGGTTACCAGCCATGGGAAAGGATATCATGTGACAGAGGCACAGTCCGTTCTAAGTGACAGGGGAAAGGTCCTGCTACAATCACTCTTAGTGAAGAGAACACAGCACCATTTGGTTGGTAAGAATTCTTAACCATACGAGAAACAGAGAGAGGATACTGTGCTCTCATTTTCCAACTTCTCACATTTTCCCTTGTGAAAATATTTCGAGGTTACAATTAATGCAATGTGGCAGTTAAATTCTAAGAAGTTTTAAAAAGCATGTTATAGAAGTAAATATTGGCTTCAGCTTTTTTTAAGGCAAATAAAAAAAAAGTGCTGACTAGAGCAAAGGAAAGTGGCTTTTTTTTTTCCCGTCCCTCCACTGTCAATAATTGTTACGTATGTGTTCATGCCAGAATTGCTGAGTGGTAGAAGACATCATATATTATAAGTATTATAAACAAGTATACAATATGCAGTCAGTATGAAGGTAATTTAAAATAGTAAGTCACTTACCATGTCAGTAGAAGACATAGTTGGCAAATACTCTGGGGCCAGTGTGGTGTCATTAGATATTGAGATATTAGCTGTAAGCAAAAGATAATTATTTTATACTATAAAACTAAAATAGAAAAAGACCTTAAATGCATAATTAGGTATTTTTAAAAGCAGGGTTATACAGTAAAAATGTCTTTAATAACAACATAAGGGCACAATGAATTTTTATTTATTATAAATGTGTTCACCTTTCACCTAGATAAAACAAAGATTTGGACACATCTGCTGTGCTCTAATCTGATAAGAAATGATGGTGAATATTTAAAGAGACGGTATTAAAATTTGTTTCAGGTTTCAAAAAAAAAAGAAATAAAACTTCCCTGATACTACAAGGTACTCAATATATTTTGCTAGTGGAACAAGGGCTGTTCATAATTGATTAAGTTGACCACTGGCTTCAGAATGTACAGGAAAATTTCCCATATTGAAGCTTTACTAATTAAGACTTAAATAATTTGTAGCTTTTGGAAATTTCAACAGTGTATGAGAAAGGTTATCTTTGCAAAATGTGTGAAAACAAGAGACAGTATTAAATAATAAAAATATAATGGAGATGAACATTTAATCTAATTTTAAAAATTATTTTCATATAATGTGGCGTCATTTATAGGTTGAAGATGGCACTTGAAGAAGAACCTAATTTATTAAACCAACGTTCCTCTTGGAAATGTTTCATTCCTTTTTTAAAATTTTATGTGTCTGAAAATTAAAAAACAGTATTTAAAAAGTATTCTATAAAATATTTTTCTTTATCAGATAAGCCTTTTTCCTATTTTGCAAAGCTTTATGTATTATAAAATAAACTATTAGAGCATATTCCTAATTTATAGAAATATTATAAAACAACACATCAGGGTTTTTAATTATTTGTTTGTTTGTTTAGGGTCCCATAGTTTATTTAACATCTGAATTGCTAGCTACTGTTTGATCCCTACTCCAGTCCCTCTGAGCCACTAGCTTGCCTTTTTAGTTTGCCATGCTTCAAGTCCTGCCTATATAAACCTTTAAGAAGAAACACACAGGTTTTGATAGCTGACATTAGAGTATGAGATCCATAAGGGAGGGACAGAAGAAGCTTATCTCATTCACTGTTTTTCCCTAAAATCTACCCAGTGTAGCTCTTAACAGGAACTCAAAAATATTTGTTTACTGTCAATAAAGGAAGTTAGAAAAGAGGGCATTTCATGACTAAAAATGAATGAGAGCAGATAAATTGGGGAAGAAAAAAAACAAGAAAAACAACTAAAAGAGATAAAATATTTAGCTTGAGCCCTACTTTTGGTCAATTTTGGAATTCACTCTGGTCTTTCAAGACTTTAGATTGTAAAACTGTTAAACTAAAGCTAGCTGTTGCCAGAGTTTCTCTATTTCAGCAGTAAAGCAAGTACATGTGCATTATTATCTGTGTTCTTATTCTGTTTCATTACAGATCACAGAGGGAATTAAAATAGGCTGAAGCACATCAGAAAGCTAATCCACCACGATCAAGTAGGCTTTATCCCTGGTATGCAAGGTTGGTTCAACATATGCAAATCAATAAATGTGATTCATCACATAAGCAGAACTAAAGAAAAAAATACCAGATTATCTCAATAGATGCAGGAAAGTCTTTGGATAAAATTCAACATCCATTCATGTTAAAAAAAACTCTCAACAAACTAGGTGTTGAAGGAACATACTTCAAAATAATAAGAGACATATATGACAAACCCACAGCCAACATCATATTGAATGGGCAAAACTTGGAAGCATTGAAAACTTGTGCAAGACAAGGATGCCCTCTCTCACCACTCCTATTCAACATAGTATTGGAAGTAATGGCCAGGGCAATCAGGCAAGAGAAAGAAATAAAGGGCATCCAAATAGGAAGAGAGGAAGTCAAACTATCCCTGTTTGCAGACAACATGATCCTGCATCTAGAAAACCCCACAGTCTCAGCCCAAAAGCTTCTTAAGCTGAAAAATAACTTCAGCAAAGTCCCAGGATACAAAACCAATGTGCAAAAATCACTAGCATTCCTAAATATTAACAACAATCAGGAACAAACTCCCATTCACAATTGCCACAAAAAGAATAAATGCCTAGGGAATACAGCTAACCAGGAAGGTGAAAGATCTCTACAAGGAGAACCACAAACCACTGCTAAAGAAAACAGAAATGACACAAACAATAGAAAAACATTCTACACTCATGGATAAGACGAATCAATATTGTTAAAATGGCCATAATGCCCAAAGTAATTCATATATTCACTGTTATTCCTATTGAACCACCACTGAGATTCTTCTCAATGTGGAAGTAGAAAAAACTATTTTAAAATTTATATGAAACAAAAAAGAGCCCAAATAGCCAAAAAGAACAAGGCTGAAGGCATCATGTTACCCAACTTCAAACTATACTACCTGGCTCTAGTAACAAAAACAGAATGGTACTGGTACAAAAACTGACACATAGACCTATGGATCAGAATAGAGAATCCAGAAATAAGACTGCACATCTACAACTATCTGATCTTCAACAAACCTGACAAAAAGAAGCAATAGGATTCCCTATTCAATAAGTAGTACTGGGATAACTGGCTGATCATAAGCAGAAAATTGAAACTGGACCTCTTCCTTATGCAACATAAAAAAATTAACTCAAGATGGATTAAATACTTAAATGCAAAACCCAAGACTATAAAAACCCTAGAAGACAACGTAGGCAATACCATTCAGGACACAGCCATGGGAAAAGATTTCATGACAAAGATGCCAAAAGCAATTGCAACAAAAGCAAAAATTGACAAATGGAATTTAATTAAACTAAAGCGCTTCTGCACAGCAAAATAAACTATCAACAGAGTAAACAAACAACCTACTGTATGGAAGGAAATTTTTGCAAACTATGCATCTGACAAAGGCCTAATATCCAGTATCTATAAGGAACTTAAGCAAATTTACAAGAAAAAAAACCAGCCCTATTAAAAAGTGGGCTAAGGACATGAACAGACACTTTGCAAAAGAAGACATACATGCAGCCAATAATCATATGAAAAAAAAAGCTCAACATCAATGATCATTAGAGAAATGCAAATCAAAACCACAGTGAGATACTATTCACACCAGTCAGAATGGCTATTACTAAAATGTCAAAAAATAACAGATGCTGGTGAGGTTGTAGAGAAAAAGGAACACTTATACACTGTTGGTGGGAGTGTAAATTAGTTCAACCATTGTGGAAAACAGTGTGGTGATTCCTCAAAGACCTAGAGACACAAATAACATTTGACTCAGCCATCCCATTACTGGGTATATACCCAATGGAATACAAATTGTTCTATTTCAAAGACACATGTACACCTATGTTCACTGTAGCACTATCCACAACAGCAAAAACATAGAATCAACTTAACTGCCCATCAATGATAGGCTGGATAAAGAAGAGGTGGTACATATACACCATGGAATACTATGCAGCCATAAAAGGAACGAGATCATGCCCTTTGCAGGGATATGGATGGAACTGGAGGCCATTATCCTTAGCAAACGAATGCAGGAACAGAAAACCAAATATTGCATGTTCTCACTTATGAATGAGAGCTAAATGATGAGAACACATGGACACATAAAGGAGAACAACACACTCTGGGGCCTATTAGAGGGTGGAGAGTGGGAGGAGGAAGAGGATCAGGAAAAACAACTAATGGGTACTTGGCTTAATACTTGGGTGATGAAATAATCTTTAAAACAACCCCCCATGGCACACATATAGCTATGTAACAAACCTGCACATGTATCCCGAACTTAAATGAAAGTTACAAAAACAAAAACAGGCTAAAGGACATTTGGTCTAAACAATAAAGCCGAATGAATCCATTCTCAAAAGGAAGAAGATGTTAGTAAATAATTATTAACAAAATCTAGGTTTATATTACTATGTTGTTCTAAAAAGCTGAAAGAACATTTTCTTACACTGTATTTCTTCATTTTAAAACATCCTAGAGCATATAATGGGTATACTTTTATACCCATTTCATATTGGATGGGACTCTGAAGCTTGCTATGCCAGTTACTTGCCCAGGGTTATAGTTTATCAGAAGCAGAGTTGGTAGCAAGACCTTGTTCAGCATTCTTTCTTGTCTTACACAGCATTTCTAACCATCAAAATCAGATGACTTATGTGGCCACAGAATTCAAGATGAGATAGTACTTGCCAATGTTAGATGATGTGACTCTCAACTGTGATCTGAAATGTCTGATCTGTCTGAGCTTTTGAGGAAAGGCAACATATATGAAATTACAGATACTATTTGGATAGTGTTGAGAAGCTTCCCTTCTTGAGCTAGATTCTTTAATGCAATTTTATCAGCTTCCTGTCACGAGAGTTTGAAGGTCTTTTTGCAACACACTTTTCTGCATAAAAACAAGGAGTAAAGACTGAGGAGGAAAGATATTCAAGGCTCTTTCTTCATGAAATGAATGATGGATAATAAAGGCCAGGGGTGTACTAAAATAGGATTGCAATCTGAACTTTTAGTAGCTGCTCTCAAGTTTTGGATAAGCATCAATTCTGCTCATTTAAATTCCTTTTAGAATTTCAATTTTTTTCCCCTAAGACAAGCTATTAAAGCACATTGGCTCTCAAAATCCCAAAAGACCAGCATCAAAAGGACAGTAAAAAGTATATAACACTTTCCATACTTATTTTAATAAGTATCTGCTTCAGAAGAAAGACTTGAAAATAAATACATTTAAAAAGCAGTTTCATAATTGCATATTGGCAGGGTATGTTAGAGTCCATAAACAAGATTAAAAGTAAATTTCTTTAGGCTCACAGAAAAGAAAATGATCAATCCCAATTGGAAGCTTGGTCTACAAGAACCGTTGGTTACCATTTGGATCCAGGTGCAAATATTTTGGCAACCAATTGCAGAATGATCCATTTATATGGAATCTGCAATCTCCTTAATTAGGATTCTGGAAAAGTCAAATGGAAAAGCCAAAACACTCTACACTGTCTCTCCCATTTACTCAGCATCCTGGCTCATGAGGCAAAGAAACCCTTTGCCCTAGGAATCTGGCTAACTTAGATGTAGCCAATTACCACTGGGACAATCTCTGTTTCATACTGGCTTTCAGAGAGCTTCCACAGGTTGATCGTTTTCCATACTTGGATTTTCATATCTCTTTCCTCCTTCCCATGTATCAGATTTTAGCTGATTTTCTGGAATGAGGGAATGAATATTGTAAGTAATTGACATTTACAAATGTATCTGTGACTTTTCCTTCTTAGCCTATTTATTCCAAAAATTTTTTGTGTGTGAAAAATCAGACCTTGGCGATGACCTTGAGCAGTAGGATATAAATAACTCCCACAAGCTTAGCATTCCAATAATGGAACACTAGGCATTTAAGCTGACTTCTTCATGTTTAATGAGAGATTTAGAGAAAGAACAAGTGGATCAAGTATGGCTGCAGTTGTGGGAGCTGTGAGAGAAAAAAGGAGGTGACATCCATGTGTCAGTGTTGGCACACCTCTTGCATAGGGGAGTATCTGTTGCACTGTTAAAGGTTCTTCCCCTTTATCTTCTAGTGACCTGGCCCCAGGAACTACCCCATGGCTCCTCTGCTTTACATATTAGCAGGAACTGTACCATCAGGAACAGCTACAAACTCACGTGAGACTGTGAGGTCAAGTGTAAGCAACAACTGGTCACTAAGGTCATATCTGTCTGCTTTTATGTATCACCTAATACAATGTGGAGAAGGGGGTACTAGAAAAACTGGGCTTGAATTCTGGACCCAGCACCTTCTGAGCATAGTGCCCTTAGGCTCCCACACCACATAATCTTGAGGAGTTACTTCACACCTCTTGACCACATGTTCCTCATTTGTAAAACTGGATTTGAAACCATCTACCTCATAAGGTTACTGTGCAGATAAAATAACACAGTGTAGGCAAAATTGTAAACACAGGATAGATCTAAATAAATGGCAGCTAAGATTACTCCTAGCTCTGTGACCTGGAGAAAGCAGACCTTGTCCCTGGGATGAATGTCAGCTATCTCTCAAGATTTATGTGATGGTTAAATATACAATGTTATCAAGATATAGTTGATTAAAATCCCCTAGTAAAATGTCTGGCATTTGGATGGTGCTTAATAAATATTAGCCTAATCTGAACCTGTGCCCTCAACATGGCTTCTTAGGGTTACAGCTATGTGGCACTGATTAACCCGATGTGAACAAGAAAAACTTTAAGACTATTTTCCATGATAATGAAACTTTAAAGTTTTATTCCATTACATTTAAGAAACATCTTAAGGCAATTAAGTAACTAGAAAATAGATAAAGGATAAAATTAAATAAGCTCTGCCACATGGTCATGTCAGATTTATTTAAGGGTTCTGGATAACTTGAGCACACTAGTACCTTTTGATTAAGTTAAATATGTATGCTTTTAATTTCTAGGTCAATAAAGGCAACAAAGGGTAAAAATGGCTTTTGAGGGAAGACAAAGGAAAACTGAGAGAAGTAGCTTCTAGGGAAATTATTTGCTACTATCTCAGCCTTAAGTATTAAAACAGACAAAATCAGTAGTAAGTTTTTCTTTTTTTTTTTTCTTATTATCCTTTTAGTTTTCCCAAGTATTTTCAGCAAGACTTAATGATTGAGATTTTCACCACAACTAGGCAAGTTCAAGTTGTATACTCTTTAATCTACAGGCACTCTTCACAAGTTCATCTACGATGGTGTGCTGGAAGTTAAAGAGCTGAGCTACTGTGGAGATATTGAGATGAATATATTTAAGCTGGGCATGGTAGCATGTGCCTGTAGTCCTAGCTACTCAGGAGGCTGAGGTGGGAGGATCACTTGAGCCCAGTAGTTTGAAGTTGCACTGAGCTATGATCATGCCACTGCATTCCAGTTTGGGTGAAAGAGTAAGACCCCACCTCAAAAAAAAAAAAAAAAAAAGATGGGCATATTTTGTCCCCAATTTCACAAAAACTTCTCTTTCATACCCACCCATCATTACATCTTGGAGATGTGTTATAGACATTACCATGGGGAAACTTTTACAAATCTGCTTTTACACAACCCAAAACTAGAGAATTTTCCAGGTCTGATGACAATCCCATTTTCTGATTCCGGCAAGCATTATGCAGAAACTGCTAAAACATAGGTTAAGACAGTAAAAGCAAACTAAAATGATGGGTCTCTTCCAAAACACTATTACCATAAATGATAAAATGTCAACTGTGCCGGTAAAGGAGTCTCACAAATGCAAGCCTGAGGGATGCTACAGCAGAAGAACTTATACTTCCTTGTTTTACCATTAGTTTATGATTTAAACCTACCTCATAAAGAGGGAATGGCACACAATAAAAATAAAATTGCATATATTATGATATAGTTCATGGGAGGTAAGTTAGGATGATCTTTTATTTTCTTATTTTCTTTTAATGGGCTTTCTAATTAAAAAACACATATTGACTATAATATGGGAACACAGGGGATGCAATCCAGCAGTTCTTTTGAATGGCTATAACATATTGTTGCACAGCGCTTATTAATATATTAGAAAAATTATGTAGAAAGAAATGATGTTGAAACTCCAGTGACAACTATTTTAGAGCATCTAGAAGCCTCCTTATGCTGTGAATGACTTAAAGGTATGGAACTGGAAGCCATGGTTACTTCCAGACCAGGCTTGGTCTTACAGTTTTATACCAGGAAAAAAGCCAACTATTACTTGAAGATAATATAGACAGGGATGCACTTGGTTCCTGAGAAAGAATTTACTCACCTTACTTACACATATATTGTTAAGCATGTTCTCCTGGAACAGTCAACAATAAATCAATAAAATATATCCCTTTTGTTAACAATATAGTGTCTATCCCTTTGAGGCTATTTTTCTTACTTTTATAGTTCATTATTTTTAGCAAAGTTTCTTTTCCCTCAGGATGTAAAACTGACACCTGGTCAGAAAATTTTCTTTGACCCTTTTCAAAATATTAATGTGCCTTGAGTATATAGTCACTGCAAGATTTACACATTAGGCAAATGAACAGAGGTATTAGATTAGAAATTTATTTCCAAAGTTTGGATTAAATGAAACTCTCACTTTTGTTCATTCAAAAAGCAATTAACACTATTTTAAAAAACAATACATTTTATAATATGTGTTTGTATATGTGTGTATTCTACTTCACTGCAAGTAGCACAATTCTTTTTATTATCATTATACTTTAAATTCTGGGATACATGTGCAGAATGTGCAGGTTTTTTACACAGGTATACATGTGCCATGGTGGTTTGCTGTACCCATCAACCCATCATTAGGTATTTCTCCTAATGCTCTCCCTCCCCTTGCCCCCAACCCCCTAACAGACCCCGGTGTGTGATGTTCCCCTCCCTGTGCCCATATGTTCTCATTGTTAAATTCCCACTTATGAGAGAGAACGTGTGGTATTTGGTTTTCTGTTCCTATGTTAGTTTGCTGAGAATGATGGTTTCCAGCTTCATCCATGTCCCTGCAAAGGACATGAACTCATCATTTTTTATGGCTGCATAGTATTCCATGGTACATATGTGCCACATTTTATTTACCCAGTCTATCATTGATGGGCATTTGGGTTGGTTCCAAGTCTTTGCTATTGTGAATATTGCTGCAATAAAGACACTTATGCATGTGTCCTTACAGAACGATTTATAATCCTTTGGGTATATACCCAGTCACGGGATTGCTGGGTCAAATGGTATTTCTAGTTTTAGATCCTTGAGGAATCACCACACTGTCTTCCACAATGGTTGAACTAATTTACACTCCCACCAACAGTGTGAAAACATTCCTATTTCTCCACATCCTCTCCAGCATCTATTTCCTGACTTTTTAATGATCTCCATTCTAACTGGCCTGAAATGGTATCTCATTGTGGTTTTGATTTGCATTTCCCCAATGACCAGCAATAATGAACTTTTTTTCATGTTTGTTGGCAGCATAAATTTCTTTCAAGAAGTGTCTGTTCATATCCTTTGCCTACTTTTTGATGGGATTGTTTGTTTTTTTCTTGTAAATTTGTTTAAATTTTTTGTAGATTCTGGATATTAGCCTTCTGTCAGATGGACAGATTGCAAAAATTTTCTGCACAATTCTTAAAAAGCAGTGAAACAGGCCCTCAGAAAATTTTTGTTGATGAATGAATGAGAAGTAAAAAAGGACAGAGGACAGAAGAGAAAACAAGTGAAAGTTGGGGGGATGCCCATGTTCTTTTCCCTATTTCCAAAATTCTAGTATTTATGCTTTTGAATAAATTAAAGAGATTCCTCTTAGAAGAATTGAACACCTCGCCCCTAGACTTTAAAGCCTTTTTCTTAATGACTATGTATAATATACAACACTTTTGTAGCCTCGAGATTCAATGCAATAGTATTAAATACTCTAACTACAATGCAATGAAGCTTTAACTTTTTTTTGTAAATACAGCTTCAATGTTTCATATTTATCTATAACAGCACACTGGTTGTTAATTTTGGGGGAGAAGGCAGACTTGCAGTAGAAGCCTTGTTAGTATCTTTCCCTAGGAAAATTTATGGGAAAATTAAATGTTTGAAATCTTTAAAGAATACAACTATTATAAGATTAAACTCACTGGGGCATCTTTTGTAGGATAGTGAGAAATATGAAAAAGAACAAATTTTTACTCAGTGTCCATTAGGTGCCAAACTATTTTGCATATACTATCTCATTTAACCTTTATAGTAACCTCTAAGAATAGGCACAATCACTAACCCAGTTCAGAGTTTATCAAACAAAGAGATTAAGTAATTAGCCTAGTTCTGGGTAACACTGAAATTCAAACTCAGTTTTGTTTACTCTAAAGCACATAGTATTTACACTTTATCACATTAACATTTCTAAATTGGGGTGTTGGTGATGAAATTAGATATTGTGTATTATTCTTCAATTGGATATTTTTCAGTTTTCACTTTTGGCTTTTGAACTAAATTATCGTTTTTCTTACACACTCTGCTATGTAATCATCAAAGTACAGTGGGAAATTTAACATCCATTTCGTCTACTAATTAATAGCTATCCCATTTCTAAGAAAAGCAAATCTTAGCACAAAAACCACCCATGTATGGCATGTATCCACTCACATATGTCAAACTTTCTGACTGATTTTCCTACTAGCACTTGCAACTAAGCTTCCTTAGTTGCTCAGTAAACCTATGTATGTGACTTGGGTTACCAAGCAGTAGTTGGGAGCAAAATGAATGGAGAAAAAAGTGCATTTAGAAAAGAAAAATTAGGAAATGATTAGGCTTTTTGGAAGCAAGTGAGAAGACGAAAGAAAAAAAGAGAAAAGGAAGTGTTGCCTTGACAAAGCACACACATATAAAAAAGCCACAATATATTGTGGCCATGAAGAGAGGTTTCTTTAGTAATTAGTGGCCCCTATTTCCATTCCTGTAAAATCATTTCTCAGTTTGCAGGATCACGACTCCATCTGTGCAATTGCTGGTTCACTGTTACATACTGTCCCAGTGTTGAAAAACAAGTCATACGCCAGTTTAACTATTATTGACTCATTGAATTATTTTACTAAGAGTGCACGTTGTGATGAAAGGCCAGTCTTTTGTTATTTTTAGAATATTTACTTGAGCTCTATATGCAACTGTATTACTCTCTCACTATCATCTTTCAGTTTGATATCAAGAAATACTAAATTGATGATGAATGTATTCAGTTTGCTACCAAAAAGCAGTAAGGTTATGGAGAAGTATTAACATTGTCAAAAAGTACTAAGGTTATGGGGGAGATACACAATCATTAATCTTATGGGGTTTTGTTAAATATGAAATTGTCATGAAAGTGCAAATAACTATCCACTGCCTTTTTCCAAACCACAAATAGATTTCATCTCCATAGACTTAAAAAATTCTTCATGTTCACATATATATCTTTCATGAGTACCAATAAGAGGTACAACCAACAGTCTTGTTGCATAATGGGCCAACTGCCCTACAATGTATGCCTAGAAGGAAGGATGATGAAGATAGGTCTGTTTATTCTATTACTTACACTTCAAGGCTAAATACTAACCCTAAATTTTAAGGATCAGTAATAGCAATAATAATGGCAGCTAACAGTTGATTACTTATTACATATTAGAAACTGTCCTAAGAATTTTATCTGTAATAGCTCTTTCTTTTCCTTCAAAATAAATCTATAAGGTAGGTACTATTATTAACCTTAGTTTACAGGTTAGGAAGATGGGGCTAATATACCTTGGGAAAAGGAACTTGCTGAAAGTCACACATTTGGCCTGAGCCAAACCAGGACTTGAATACAGGATCTTCTGACTTCAAAGTCCTGTGACAGTACTTTATTGGTACCAACTAGAGGTAGCAGGAATTGTCAGAGTCCTTCTGGACAACTTCCTAGTTACTTAGCACTGACTTTTTACACAGCCTGGGAAAAACTGGACAAAGGAAAAGCTATCACCACTTATGTCAGCACTTGCTATGCAAGTGTAAAATAGATTCCACCCTTAACGTCACTTTTTCAAAAAAAACAAAGATCCTTCTTAGAAGGAAAATTACATGTAAAACCATAGTACTTTTTATAATTTGAACACATTTAGATATGTCTTCCTTGGTTTCATGTTACCTTCTCTGCCAACATCCAAATTATAAAACAACGAACACAAGTTTCCATTCGCCTCAGGTAGGTATGGGGTTGACATTAGATGTTTTTTTCTGTGTGACAGGTGTGTTGACAAAGCCCACATCTGGCTTCATGAATATCTCAAAGTGTTTTTTTTCCTTTAGAAAATCTTGGTGTATGATTACTCAAACCTGCCTAAGAAGTCGTAAATAAATAAACTTACACATATATTTATGTATAAATTAATAAATGTAAAGGAAGGCTGAAAATCTCACAATTAAATGTTTGTGAAGCCAATATTTTGAACAGCTGGACTTCCCTGAAGCACTGACTGAAGGGGGAGTTTTATCCCCCTTCTTTCCTAGGAAGAGCTCCATATAGTTGAGTGACAATAACATCTGTGTTTCTCTGGGGAGCACATTTAATTGATTCTAATAATAATATATATCATGGGTTGAATGACACATATTGTGCTTGTTTCCAAGTACTTTTTAAATTATCAAATATTTCAAATCAGTATACAGCTGAACGCTAGTTAGCTTTCATAACTATATGGCATTCTTATTAGTTTGAATCTTTAAATTTCTACTTTATATAACTTTCTGCATTGCTTTTAAATATGGGTTTTATTTTAATGTGTGCTAATTTATCTTAACACAAAAAGAATCCATGAGCACACAGCCCAACAATGCCCTAGCTTGTCATCAGTGTTACTGACTGCCTATTGTGAGGGAAGTAGTGTTCTCTTTTTTCTCAATTCAAGACACATATCAGTCTTCTAAGACTTCTTCACCAACGTAGCAGAGAAGAATGCATTGCATACCAAAATATCTAGGAGCAATCTGAAACAGCATGCCACAAGCATAAAAAGTAGTATCTTGCTTATTTTTTAAATTCATAAGCATTCTGCATTCTAGTCTATAACCATGTTTGTTTTACGGTAAACATTAAGAGCTTTTTCCTCAGAATCTGTAAGTCGCAGTGGATATTGCATGAATGTGCCCCACATTTGTGTCCCAGCCCTTTGAACACTGCTGTACTTCTGGTGCTAAAAGACCTTAGTAAAAAGTATGGACTGTATATCAATTTTTATTTTAAGGGACATAGACCTGTATCTAATTGCGTAACCTAGAATCACTAGTGCTACTAACATGTAATTGTCTGACACAAATGCCTATCCCTTTCTCTTTTTTTTTTTTTTTTTGACAGGGTCTTGCTACTCCCTCAGCCACTTGAGTAGCTACAGGTACGTGCCACCACACCCGGCTGGTTTTTCTATTTTTTGTAGACACAGGGTTTCATAATGTTGCCCGGACTGGTCTCAAACTCCTGGGCTCAAGCAATCCACCTGCCTCAGCCTCTCAAAGTGCTGTACAAAGAATAATACAGACTTTAATTCCTTGCAAATACTGCAATTTGAGTTAATTTCAAAATTACAGGCATGAGACACCACACCCAGTCCCTATTCCTTTTTCTATGAGAGAAGATCTAAAACAATTTCCCTCAAAGTAAATCCTTTTTTGAAATGCCTTTCATATTATAAAATGGAATTTTATAATGGAATTACTCCAAGAAAGAATTCCAAAGACCAAGCTGAACATTTTTTTATTTTTATTTTTTTGTGAAAAAGTTCTGATGTCAACTCATGTTTGGTATGATAGATTTTAAAGGGCTAAGATATAGAGAATCACATTCCTTTCCAGGAGTTACTTTTGCTGTTATGTCCTTCTGGATTCTACAATATAAATCTACTCCTAGAACATCACATTCCTTCTTTCATTTCTTCTTCTCTCTTCCTTTCTTTTCTTATTTGTCTAGTAGAGATAAACTATAAAATTCTACCAGTAGGCAATTCCAATCTGAATTTCTTTTTTTCATAATTTAATTCTTTAAATTATCTGAAGTGGATTAGTATCTTTTTCTTCTATAAGTTTAAAATCATGTATTAAAGGTTTACTTAAAGGAAGACATTCCTACACCAATAAAGAAGCAGCAAAGGATAGGTTTGTCACATATTTATATCTGTTAATACATGTATCCAGGTTTCCCCACTTATAAAATCAAGAATAATGTACACATGAATTCCTTGCAAATCCCACAGTTTGAGTTAATTTCAAAATATTGAGTTGGTTATGTTCACATTCCAGAGCTCCTGGTCTCCTTCCTGGTTGAATCATACAGCTAAAATACCTCAGGCAATGAGACATCAAATTCAGTAGCAGAGTTTTTCAGAGAAAAAAACAAGACTAATTCCTGAGGACCATGACAGCATGTTGAAAATTTGCAAGCATGGAGCCTACACCTTCCTCCAAATACAAAGCGAGCATAAACACAAAGCGTAATGCCCTCACCTGGGTCAGGTGGCACACAGGTACAGGAAAAGAGAGTGTTGTAGCCCACTTTGAAGTTGGAGTTGATGGGGTAGTAATCTGCAAGCTTGATCATCTTCTTGAAAGCATCATAGATAAAGATGAAGCTAATCAGAGAGGAAAAGCCCTCCTCCGTGAAACGTGTGAAGTATTGAACCAAGAAGCTGGCATCAGTGGCTACCAAAATGAGACATAGGAAGGCGGACCACAGGCCAATCCAAAGGCGAAACTCCAAATAGTCAAAATTATTGTCCCTGGAAAAAAGAAAGAAAAATGTTTAGATTCCTCCTCCTTGGAACACAAAGAATAATATAAAACTACCAAATGTCTACAGAAAGATTGACAAAAATACAAGATCACCTTTAGCCACTAAATGTGAAACTCTACTTTAGCCAGAAAGCACTAAGTTTAAGAATTTAGTTTAATGATACAATTTTTAAAATAGCAATAAAAGTTTGAGGAAAATGCATTGAAAGTAGTTATATCATTTATATGTGAAAACCTTATTATTTTTCTCATTCAAAAAATATGGTCCCTACCTTCATAGAGTTTATAGAGTAAACAATTTGCAAGCATAGCACTGGTACCTAGAATGTGTTCAATAAACGTTTGTATGAGTTTTATGGGTTCATAAAGACATGAAGATCAATATATTTTCTGTCCCTATGTCATCACGGTCTACTGAGGGAAACAAATCGATAAATGTAATCGCACTATAAAATACTAAGTGATAATGTTACAGAAGAAGGAGTAACTAATTCTGGCTGGAAGGAAAGATGAAGTCGCAGAAAAAATTCAAGGTGTTCAAGGATAAGTAGTAGAAACTTTCTGGACAGACCAGAGAGAGCAAGGCCAGGAAGAGGAAAAAATAGTTAAAAAGATAACGTGGCACAAGATGGCCTGTAATGCTCACTGTGTGTGGACAGTGTGCCACCAACATGAGGTGGAATTAGAAATATGATCTGTCATCAGATCAAGAAAGGCTGTCTTGCCATGCTACTGCCAGACCCTTCCACTTCTTATGAAGCTTGCTCACAGATCTGATATTCTTCTGCTGAAGCTGGGTGTGAAGCATCTTGCGACCAACATCTTTCTGTGTTTGTCCCACAGCAGACTTAGAATAGGCTACTTCTATCTAAGGAGATCACTGTCTTTTGAGGCCTTTCCCATTTCTTACAACTGATTGATTAATAGTTCAAGATTCACAACTCTGAAAGGATGGGTCAAGTGTTAATGTCTTACCATTTTATACTGATCCCTTTAAAATTATGTGGAGAGTGCTTTACAATGATTTTTTAAACTCTATTTATTTGTGACGAAAAAGCGGGTAGTAGGTATTACTTGCATGAGAATAAGAAATAAGTCAAGGATTGTGCATGCTTGACACTCTAGAACCTTGCTTTTAGACAATGAGTTTCTGATAACTGCTAATGATATATCTTAAAACTTTCCCATAGGCAGTCAACTCTCCACCTCTACCAGCACCAACCCAATCTTACCCAACCCACAGGTAAGTTTTTGCCTGATACAAACCCCCTCATTGATATCCTTACTGATATCTATACTCGCCTCACTCAAAGCCATTTTCCACACCACAGCCAAAATTATCCCTTTTAATGAAAGTCAGACACCCTAGCTTAAATCTTTCAATAGCTTCCCATTGCCCTTAGAATAAAATTCAAATTCTTTACCTAGCACAGTGCCTGGCACATAGAAAGTGCCCAATAAAGACTTGCAGGATGAATAAATGCATGTCTGTAACTTAAGACTTGGCTGAGACAGTTACTGACACTGACCTATGAACTATGTCTCATGCAACCAAGACATGACTGTTCCTATGATAGCTCAAAATTATAGAATATTAGAATTTAAAGTTCTTTAGGTACTGTGATGATTAATTTTATGTCCTGACCAGGCTACGAAGCACCCAGACATTTGGTCAAACATTATTCTGGGTGTTTCTGTTAGGGTGTCTTTTGAGAAATAAACATTCAAATTGGTGGGCTTTGAGTAAAGCAGATCACCCTCCATAGTATGTGGGAGGAACTCATCCAATCAGTTGCAAGCCTGAATAAAACAAAAAAGATTGACCTTCCCCAGGGCAGCAGAGAATTCTCCAGCAGACTGCCTTTGAACTTCCACAACATCAGCTCTTCCTGGTTCTACAGCAGACAGCCTTCAGACTCAAATAGGAGCATTGGCTCCCCTGGGTCTCCAGCCTGTCAGCCTTGTCAGCCTCTATAATTGCATGAGCCAACTCTTTATAATAAATCTGCACACACACTCACATTTTATGGGTTCTGTTTCTCTGGAGAACACTGGCTAATACAGACACCAATCTGTCAAATTACAACTCATTTTATAGATAAAGACACCAAGACCAATGGAAGTTAAATCATTTATCCAACATCAGAGTTTTAAGGCCTTTCCTGACAGAGCTTGACCAGAAACCAAATCTCTTGATTCTTAGATTTTCCTTTTAAAAATTGTAGCATGATTCCCCATCTGATTTGTATTTAGCTCTAGAGAGGGTGAATATTAAAGTCAATGTCTTTTGTTTTTCTCTTCTTATCTAATCATGCAAATTGAAATACATTACCGAAGAAGGAGATTATTAATACTGGGGTAAAGTTATCTTCAATAGACTTTATGGGATCCTTCTGAAGATAACTTTTACTTTCCTTTGCAGTTTGCTTTGTGTCCGGAACACCACTGTTTTCATCCTATGCATGCCTATGTGAGATAAGTAAACTATAGAAAAAACTGAGTTCTAGAAATTTGATATAATTTACATTATCATACAATGAGTCAGTGTCAGAATAACAACTAAGAAATACAGTTCTGTTACTTCTGAGACAACATACTTTTTCCTTAAATTAAAATAAAAATTTTAAACAATTACCTAGTTTTGCTACCCTAGCAAGAAGATGAAAGAGCAATCTTGATTTGTTCTAAGAATGCTAGTAGTTGTTTATAGATTTAATGTTTACAGGATAGGATGAGAAACAAATCCATTAACTAGCTAATGGTTAGGAACAACATTAGTTTGGGTACAAAGGAAAAGATACATGTATAAACTTAAACCTTAGAATCTAAACAATATGCTAAACTAGCTGCTTTAAAAGACTTAAGCAATACTACAGTAGTTCAACAAGAATGACCCAAATAAAGTCAATAAAACCAATGGCACTTCATTATGAAAGTGATATGTGTAGAGCATCAAGAAGAAAGAGGAATAAGGGATGAGAAAAATGTAAATAAGTTGATCATCAGTAATGATTACAGTAAAATGGTATTATTACATCCAATAAATTCCCTTGGTGCCAAATTTAAACAGCAATTAAGTTTTAAAAAGCAACAGGAAATGATATTAGAGATCAAAGAAGAAATTATGGTGAATTAAAAGGAAAAAATAGATTCATATCATTATGGTACCACTCAGTGTTCCTAGATTTTTTGAGTCATAGTTTCTCAGTAGCATAAAACCAAGGATACAAGACAAACTGAAGAAGTCACATCTGAAATATGCTACAGAAATTAATGTGCAGCCACTGACAAATAAATATAAACTCCCTAAAAAAATACATCCGGTAATATCATGGACGAATTAAAAATTTGAAGGCTTAAAAGTAAACTGTTTAAAGAATATAGGGAAAAATACTGAATGACCAAATGATAATAATACAAGTTAAAATCCAACCTTAATTGTGAAGTTTTTATATACCTTAGAACACATTGCTGAAACATCTTTCAGATTCCTCACCCAAGTAAAAAGAAGGAATCTAATTATTATTGTGATAAAATGTGTAAAAATAATGCAAAACAGATTGCAGAATTTGGGAAATAAAACTACAAGTATCTTTGAAAAGTTGTGAGCTATTTTCTTCCTTCTATTACTGATTTTAAGAGATGGCAGCATATCATTCATATTCCTTTATAATTCTCCAGTTTACAGGGCAAATATCAAAACCTCAGAAATAAATCCATGATTATGCAGAGTTTGAGTCCAGTGAACCTACAAAGCAAGGATCTACCTATTCTTCAACAGTGGTAAAATATGTTGGGGAAAATCTGGGCAAGACAAAGTAAAATAGTTCTTAACTGAAGGACTTTTTCAGATCACTTGCATGCTAAAGTCTAAAGTGAACTACCAAGAGGGGGGTATATAGTATACAGCACTTCCCAGACTTACTGGGACCACAGAGGTTTTTTTTTTTCATGGAGCATGGAATGAGTCTAGTAATTGATGAAACACACTTTTGGAAATAGTGATCTACCCAAATATTTTGTATCTAGACAGAAGATTATCACTGCTGCTGCTATAACATAAACAAATGATATAGCATTGAGATTAAAATAACGCTTGCCACATATTACTAAGTGATGGATTTAAAGCATGGCTTCTCAAATGTTTCTTGTTGATGTACAACTGTTTTCAAATAAATCACTTGGAACTATGTTATGTTACCAATTATGATAGAAAAAAAAGGGAGAACGAGAAAGGAACTTGCTTAGTGAAAGGAAATAATCTGTATCTCACAATTACTTAAAACAAACTGGGATGCAAACATTTTCTGTAGATTAAGGCTCTGATCACATTTCATCCAATAAATCTTTCTGCAAAGTTTGTGCATGTTTGTTCCTGTTTATAGTACATCCTTGTTTAATCTTTCCACAAAGGCTTTCTTGTCTCACACAATGTTTCCTTAAACATATAAAAACTGTTTGACTCTTTCTATAAACTAACATGAATAAAATTCTTTCCAATGTTCTTCTGAGAATTATGATAGAGAAGGGATTTATAATAATAATTACCTACAGAAAATTCACAACACTACTTAAAATTTGGAACTTTTTACATTCTCAAAAGACTCCTGCTGATATCCTCAACCCTGTTTTCAAAAAGCTGGTTTTAAATCCTCATTCCCTCCTCCATCTTATGACTATTTTTGATAACACACATACTTTCAAAGGCTATATATGAGTCCATAAGTCCATGATGTACTATGAAGGTAATGACAGTTCTAAAATTAAAATCCTAAAAATGTATAACAATATGACTATGGGAATGCCAACAAGGAGTGCCAGCAGGCCATGAGACATTCTTCAATCTACCTAAGGATTGAGATCTGCCAGTAAAGGCAATTCTCTCTTAGAGGTATCAACTACATTAGAAAGAGGCTGGAATACCCAATTTGATTTTGAATCTATTTGTGTATTAATGTGGCCACTTGGGGAAACTCACGTTTCCCCTTCTTAAAATGATCCATAAATTTCTAAAAGAAAATGCTGATATCATAATTGCAATGTCCATTAGAAACTTCTAGTGATTCCTGAAGAGACTTGGACTCTGGAGTCAGAAAGCAGGAATTCATATCCCAGCCCCACCGATGACTTGTGATATAATATTAGGCAATTTACTTATTGTTCCTGTGCTTGTTATTTCATCTATAAATCAGGATGTGGTCCCTACCTCACAGGATTGCTGTAAGAATTAAATGAGTTAGTACATGTAAAGTGCCTAGGATAATACTTGGTACATGATCAACTCTCAATAAATGTTAGGTATTTATTCAGCTGAGTTTTGGAAGCTATCTTTAGTTAAGAACATGAAACTGGGGTGAGGAGCAGTGGACTAAGTAAAGAGCATCCAGTCTCTTTCATTATTGAATGATGTGAACTTAATCAATTTAATTTCTCTAGCATGTCAGTCAGGATTATGGCAGGAAATAGAAGGCATTCTGAAGTAATAACAAATGGCAAGGCACTCAGGGACCATCAACAGCAGGAAGCCACTACTAACTTCAGGCTTGAAAAGGCCAAGGAAGGAATAGAGCTACCAGAGCCTGGTGAGGGCTAGAGTCAAGGTGGATGAGCCACTTGACAGGGGCTAAAGTCCTCGGGGATAAGCACTGCCAGAATGCTGTGCTAAAACAAAGACGGTGAGCTGGGGAAAGGCAGACATACTCAGACCTCTCTCTCTCTCCCTCTCTCTCTCTCTCTCTCTCTCTCTCTCTCTCTTCCCGTCTTGTTGGTACTCCCCATTAGCCAAACCCAAGAGGAAGCCAGAAGGCAAAGGGGCATGGGTGTTGCTGTCCACAGGCATCAGCCCCTAGAGCACAGGGCAGGACAATGGGAAAGAGAGTAAGTGGGAAGGGAGCAAGGATACACACAACATAAGAGCCTCAGTCGAATCACATCTGAAACAAGTGGTGACTACCTAATTGCTAAGGCCCTTTCACCTCTCACATCTGAACATTCCAGTATTCTGAGTGATTCTTGGATCTGCCTAATCACTATTCTATGCTCTATCTAGCCTATAAAGGTTCTACAATTAAGCAATTCTAATTTGCAATTAAATATGTATGTACATACTTGCTGAAATTAAATAGAAGCCTCTCAAAAACTAGGACAGGTCCGGTGCTGCTCAGAATAGTGAGTGGTTGACCAGCAAAAAGGCAAAAGATGGCTCCAGAGACAGCAGTGCCCAGGAAACTCTCCAACACGCCCTAAAATAAAGAAAATATAGATGTTAAATGAAACACATCTTTTTTCTTCTCATTTGTGATGTCACTAGGCAAATAAAGCCACGTGAATATACTATTAGGAGGGTCTTAGCAAACATATCAAGAATGAAGAACAAAGTCTTTTACCCATATGCATATTGCCACCACTTATTTCACATTTATTTCACCTACAATTTAGTCATGGTTCCCTACTCCAAGGGTCGACCTGCTCTAAAGCACTATAATTACTATGATGGCTGGTGTGTAGAAGGCAAAAGGTGGCTCCGATCCTTACTAAAATACTAACTGAAGCTTCTACACGTCAGAATCAAATGGTTAGAAGTGACTTGGTACTTTTGGTGGCAATTTCCTCTTTGTGGTTCCTTTCAGTGTTTAGCCTGATTTCGCCTTGCACATAGTAGGCACTTATCAGTAGCTCTCTTTTATGTACAAAAGCTATTTTTTTCCTAGAGAAACACCTTTGAAATAGAGAGGGGCACAAAGGGGACCAAAAAAGTGATTTGTCCTCCATTCTGCAATTTCTAAGACACCAATTTCAAAAGACATTCTCATTACATTTTCATTGTCCAATGTAAACTTATAGAAGAGCTTCAATTAACTATTTCTAGAGAAAATATATGTGCTGGAACATAAATAAGTAGTCTTTTATGGCCACATTTCCTTTTAGTTACATCTCTGGAAATCAACCCATCATTTTCCTTTAGAATAATAAAAACAAAGGTGACGTGTCAACGAGGATCACTGACTTACAAAACGATCCTAACTTTCCTAATCACGTCACTCAGGACCAATGCTTTCAAGGATGACAAACTAGGCTGTTTCCTATTTTTTCATTATTTCAAACTTTAGTTATTAGTTTAGTTAGTAGTTAGGTTGGTGCAAAAGTTATCGTGGTTTTTGCCATTAAAATAATTAGGGTAATGGCAAAAACCGCGATTACTTTTGCACCAACCTATAGACAAGCACATGTGTATTTGTAGGAAGGTTCTTTTGTAGACATAAAATAATATTTTATGAAGACATGATTTTTAAACATAAAAAGATGACAGAAACCCTTTATTCATACATGAAGCTATAAATCTGAACATTAAAACTTTTAAAATAAAACATTTTCAAATGAGTAAAGAAATTCTATAGCTTTAAAGGACACAATAATATATGCAGTGGTAGATAAAACAGTGGAGCAAAATCATGTGATCTCTTGGTATAGGAAGAGTTCTCTCTTCAATTAAACAATAAATTACATGTTGTTAGAAGTATGATTTATGCCACATAAAATAAGCCTTTTAATTGAAATGACCCCTTGACTGGAGCAGAGTGGATTTCTGGGGAATCTGCAGTGTCCCTCAGTCATTTCCTGTGACCCTCAACCTCCGAGTTAACCTATCCATCTGTCAGCCTCACTAGGCCACCTCTTACCACTGTCCCAAAAGTTCTCCAGCAACTTCTCATTCACTTATCATTTTTAAAGAAAATACAATATACATAAAATGATTATGAAGAAATTGTTTTTTAAATCAACTTACAAAACTTACACAGTAAGTGCCACTCAAAAGCTTAGGAGACCATTATTACAATAATTACTCAAAATATTTCTTACAACACTACTTCAGAGACAGCAACATTCTCCATAGATTGACATTAGCAATAGCACATCCTCCTATTTTAAGGGTGGAATTCAATTCAGAAAACAAACAAAAATCCTTTAGAGCAGCACTAGATAATAATGTAGTTGGGATGACGGTGGATAAAAAACAAGACTTGACAATTAAATAGTAAGATTGGCTTCTCTCATGGCAAATACACACACTCTGAAACAATCCAGAACAACTCCAGTTCATACACAAATCTAGGTTTGAAGCCTGGCAGGAAGGTCTCATAAGGACTTCCATTTACATGGATGTAGGTCCAGCACATGGCTGAAGGGTACCATCTCATTATTTATAGCCATTCCGTAGAGAGACTATCTTGCTCATTCTTCCTCACAGGGACAGAAACCAGAATAACAAGGAAGGGCAGCAGAACCAAGATGTATTTATGCAGAGAAGACAGAAAAAGGTTATCCTAGGCCAACAAATAGCATTTGCCTTGATTTCTGAAACATTTAGACATTGAGATTCAAGGGAGTTAAGTGATATGAACAAATTCACATTCAATGTGACACAACAAGTCTTTGGGTCTTTAGTGTATGTACTTGCCCAACCAGACTTCACCCCTGGTAAGGATAAAAGGTGTACCACAGACTAGGATTTCAACCCTTGTGCATAGACAGTGGGCTTTCTATGTCTTTATAATTTATCTTTCTTTTTTACAACTTACACCAGTGTATGCATAAGATGAAAGGTAGAAGCTTGAATGCTTCCTGTGGCAGGACAAGCTACACTCTGGGTGCATGTGATAGGCAGATATACTACAACATTCTTTATTAAGCAAAGAGTGATATTTCTTATCACTACTATGGATCAAAACAGCACTGACTGAGTGTAAGGGAGAATATAAAGGGGAAAAGAGCAATACAAAAGAAGAGATTTTTGCATTCTCTACTTGATTTGACATAGCTATTAATCTTGGGGAGGATAAGAACAGGGTCTTCTGGCATCATCCATGTTTCTCTTTCTCTCATCATGCTATCCACCATCTCTACATGTGGTCTGTAGACACTCAGCAAATGTTAAAGGAACCAAGAAGCAAGACCCAAATGACACTCTAGGTTCCACTTATCAAAGGTCAACAGGCATTGTTGCTCATTCGGTAAAGATAACAACCAATTTCTTCCAGAAAACCACTTTGATTTATGGAAGCCATATGACTGTTAAAAGGCATATTTTTATTTCAGTACTTGATCCTTTGGTAAGTGCTACAGTTTTCATTCTGTTGCTGACAATCTTGAAACACAGACAGGTGATTTATTATACACACTGCACTGGAAACTTGCTTAAACTTAGAGATGTTTCCAGTATTTCTGAGAAAAGAACTATTTGACATCTTCCTCTTCACAATACAGAAATTTAAAAAATAACATGTAATGAATAACTGTAGTTTAACTGTAAAGTTTAAAGCAATTTATAAGGTGAACTATCAGAAACCTCTTTTCTGATTTATTATATTCAGTGTTCACTCATACAAAAAGGAAAACAATGTGTGGATATGTGTATTTTTAAAAGCCATAACTCATAAAGGCATTTCTACACCTGATTTCTCAGAGGAACATATTCCCTAGCAATTTATGAGGCTGCAGACAGCTAAGCTCTGAGGTGTGGAGCAATAGGATGCCACAAAGTGCTCTAGTCCATTTTGGTTGGGCTTTCATTTTATTCCACTTCTGATGTGACACCACTGTGGAACAGTAGAAAGAGCAAACAACTGGCAGTCAGAAATCTGGAGTCTGGGCTCCGTTCTGCCAAAGAGAGCTGATGGTCTTAGAAATGTCACTTCACCTCAGTAAATTTCAGTATTTTTATGGAGAGGAAAAATTGAGACACTGTAGTGGAGCACCGGACTCTGGAGTTAGACAATCCCAGATAGACATCTATACCATATTATTTCCTGGATCAATGACTTTAAGCAAGTTATTTAACCTACCTATGCTTCCTGGAGTTAGTATGCACATTAGATAGATAATGTATGTAAGGTGCTTAGCATAGTCTCTGACTGATAAAAACCTTTTCAATACATGGCAACCATATGTGTACTGTACTTATTTAAATATTAGATGACAGCCGGGCATAGCGGCTCACGCCTGTAATCCCAGCACTTTGGGAGGCTCAGGTGGACAGATCACCTGAGGTGAGGAGTTCGAGACCAGCCTGGCCAACATGGAGAAACTCTGTCTCTACTAAAAACACAAAAATTAGCCAGGCATGGTGGTGCACACCTGTAGTCCCAGCTACTCAGGAGGCTGAGGCAGGAGAATTGCTTGAACCCAGGAGGCAGAGGTTTCAGTGAGCTGAGATCACGCCACTCCACTCCAGCCTAGGCGACAGTTTCAAAAAAAAAAAAAAAAAAAAAAAGATGAGGAGGTTGGACTGGATAATCTCTAAGGTCTCTTCCAGGTGGCTCAGCACAAAGAGCATGTCTTGGAGTCAGGGACATCTGAATTTAAATCTCAGTTCTACCAGTGACCAACTGGGTAACCTTTCTAAATCCTACTTCTCTTCTGTAAAATCAATAGCTACTTCACGGGATAATTATTTGGATAAAATGAAAGAATAATATGTAAAGAGCTAAGAACAGAGTCTCATATAAAGCAGAGATACAATCTAATGTTGATTTCTTTTCCTTGGCTGCTTTTCACCACCTTCTTTTCAGCCTCTCTCTATTATTTCTCTTTCCTTTAAGAGACGAAGGAGAGAAAAAGAAATTCAAAAGAAATGATGTGAAAAGATAAAAATTAGTCTTCAGAAGAAACAGGTAAAAAAAAGCCTCTTTAGGTCTACAGTATTTCCCAGAGTAAATTTTAAATCAACAGAAAAGTCTTAGGCGGCAACACTACGGCCATTAAGAGACGCTTCTTTCCATTCCTTTGCATCACGTGCAAGTCAATGATAATAAACAAAATAGCTTGCTTTACTTTACAGCAGTGAAGTCAAAATCGATATCCAAAAACATTTGTGAATATTTTTCAGCTTGTATTAGGGTATACAATTAAACCAAGGATGGCCCGTGTTTGGCCCATGTTTTTTTAAAGTCAAGAAATTAGGACAAGTCCCAGAATAGTAAAACATATTTTTTACTAAAAGAAATCAGACCATAGGAGCAAGATTCTAAAAAAAATTAAAAGCCAACCACAATTTGTAATATCAGCATTTTATGTCTTTCAGCAACTTGGGGCAAGGGCTGCCAAGGCCACCAATACCTGTCATGGCTAAGGCAACGCAAGCACATTCAAGATGATGAAACATCAAATATTAAAAATCTATGCTGTCAACTTGGATTTATCGCAATTTGGTTTCTTCGTATAACACTAAAAAGTGACTTTTGTTGTTTTATGTCCTTTTTATTAAGGACTTTATTATTTGGATTAATAATTATAAACCTGTTTAGGGAGGCTGAGTGACAATAACAGAAGGGGAAAAAAGGCTAAGGAGAAAAGTGACAGAACAGCCTAGGAAAACAAAAAATTTTCTATTTTTTTTGACAATTTTCCACCCACTAAAGTATGGAAGATAAAGGTGGCATCAAATGATAAAGCATTTACCAACATTACTGTCGTGTTTCAGGCTTTAGAATTTTGTTTGTTTATAACAGCAAAAAGAAACACCAGTCTTTTTGGTGGTGTTCATAAGGAACTCTGCAGCATATTGAATAATAAATAATAAAATTAAATTTTGCTAGATAAGCCTTTGAAACTAAAGTTTAGTCAAGAATTATGAGGTAGCCCAATGTCACTGGAAATAAGCAGTCAGAGCAGAATTAACCTATATGAATTTTGATGTCAGGTCACCAGCATAAGACAAACCACACGATCAAAAATAAGTGGAGAAATGATTCAAGTATCTAAAGCAAATTTGGGTCACATGAGAGTCATCTCAGAAGATTTTTTAATAAAAAAAATACTGATTCTTTATTTCCACCCTAAACAATTAAATCAGAACCAATGAAGACAATGCCTAGGGATTCAGTATGTTTTTAAGTCCCCCAAGTGATTCCCATGTGCCCCAAATGTGAGATGTACCTCCCCTTCTCCTTCAGAATATCAGTAACGATTGGTCACACAGACCATTCATCTACATTGGGGAAGGAGACTGGATATACAACCCTCATTTTTTTATTTCCCCTGTGTAGCTACAGCCAATAAATCAGTGATTTCTGTCCTGACAGATCACAGCTGCCAAATCCTTATTGCCACCCGCTCTGCCTAAAGTACTTTGTCGTCATAAGCAAGGATTTCTGTTTACAATGCCCAGCAGGAAATGAAAAAGAGGCAAGACTTGAAAGACGAATTATCTCCCTGCTTGAAGAAAAGTTTGAGCCAAAAATCTTACCAAGAGTTCCAAGTCTAATAGGCTGGATGAGCAAGACATGGAGGGCTTTCTAATATTTTTTTTGTTTGAAGAGCTGTGAATACGTATCTGGATCATCGGAAACATTAGGCCAGTATAACCTTACACAAAAACCAATTCCAGATGGATAAAAAATTTAAACGAAAACAGAAAAGAACTAAAATATGTGGGTAAATATTTCCTTTATCTTGGGGTAGGGAAAACCTCTCTAAATATATCATGAAAAGAAGAAACTATTAAAAAATTGACGATTTTGGCTACACAAAAATTAAGATCTATACAGCAAAAGAAATCATAAATAAGGTTAAAAGACATATGGTAACCCTAAGAAAAATATGTTTTGTAATATTTCTCACAAGCAAAGAGAAAATATCCTTATTATACAAAGAGTTCTCATAAGGCAATGAAAAAAACCCTAATGCCCCAAAAGGAAAATATACCAATGATACAAGTATAAAGAAGTATAGACAATCAATAAAAATGTAAAAGGAGATTCACCCTCACTAAGTAATCAAAGAAATTAGAATTAAACAAAAATGAACCATTATTTTTCAACCCACAGAACGACAAAAAATGAGAATATGGGACAAAATTCTGTTTTTACAAGGGTATAAGCAAGTGGACATCCTTGTCCGTTATTGGTAGACATATGAACTGGTATAGCCTTGTGTAGTGTATTTGAAACAAATATCAAAAAATAAAATGAGCACATCCTGCTATCATTCTGCTAGAAATTTGCCCTAGGAAGGTAATCACAGATAATAAACATGTAGTTAATCACCTACATTTTTTTGTTTATAAAAAACTGGGAAAAACTAAAAGTCCACTAAGAGGGGCTCTGTTATAGTAATAGCACATGCATCATGTGCATAAATATATGTGGTCATTAAAAATGATGTTAAATATTCATACTGAAGTGGAAAGACATCCATGAAATACTAAAGTTATGTAACAGCATCCTTTATGTCAATCTATCTGTATACACATGAATTTTAAGATGTATGGGAAAGTGTTCATGACAATGTTAATAATGATCAATTCTGGTTGATGGGTTTAAGGGCAAAATTACCTTCTACGTAATTTTTTTGGATTTTTGGAATTTTCTACAATACATAATTATATCTTATTCTCAAAACAGTTGCAAGTCAAACACAAAATAAGAATTAGAATTTAGCATCAGTTGAGACTCCCCACATCCCTGCCTAAATCACTATCATTTTCTGATCATCAAGGAAATAGGGTGACAAAGGTCTTTCAAATAAAAAAACCCACCAAATACACATTACTTAACCTCAATCAAACAGGATTTAATTCACAACTTGCCCATGAAGCAAAGCACATTATTTAAAGCTTCTTTAAAGAAGAAATAGCTAATAAGTTTTAAAGGCAACCAGGTAATGCAGAATCCTTATTTTGTCACTAAATATGTCTATTTATTTTTACCTACCAAAATTGTGTCATTCCAACAGACAATCTCTACCTAACTTTGAAACTGGAATATGTTGATAGTGTAGATTAACGTCACCTTATATTTTCACTTCAAGGAGGAAATGCATTTTGGTGCCAAAGTACAACACTCAGCTAAATTGAAATTCTTGTACAATTCTCAATATAGTAAAGCAATTACCAATTTGCTTTAATCTTGCTGTTATAAATTACACATAATAGGCTTTGTAAAGATTTGTCTATCTTATCAAGGAACATCACATGTAAATAAGAAATGATATAGTTCCAACTTAAGCAGATTGATTAAATATTCTCAGCACAGCTTTATGTTAAAATAAAGTCTCAAATTTGGAGATGGCAACTATAAATGTTCCTTATTATGAGACAAGTTCCCTTAAAATGTGCTCTGTTAAGCTCCATAAATATCACAAAATTCACAGAATCTAAAAATCTTACTGTATTCTTTTGCTAAAAGGTTTGTGAAAATAGGATTATATTTACTCCTGGAAAAAAATTAAAATTACTTTCTTCACTCAGTCTTCACTCTAGACTGTGCTTATTCATTCACAATCAACAATGTAGATTTAAATTAAAATACTTTTCTGTATCTCATAACACTAAAAGGAACAATTTTTTAAATAATATAAGACTTTTCACAAGGTATCAAAAATTATTCCTTATATAAGTATCTTGCCCATAGACTAAGTAATCCATAAATATGTGTTGATTTAATTTGCATAGGTTCCATTCAGACAGTACTTTGAATGAACAACCAATAGTAGTAATAAATTCTACTGAAATATATTTATATGCTGACATTTAACAATTTAATTAGAAGTAGCTACATGAATTAAGCAGTATACTTGTTTGGCAACCAAGAATATAAATGAATTGGCCCATCCATATGAATGGGTTCCACATCAGTGGATTCAACCAACTGCAGATCAAAAATAGGAAAAAATAAAAATAAAACATAACAATATAACAATAAATGCTAATACAAAATTTAAAATATAGTATAACGTATTTCATAGTATTTGCATTGTATTAGGCATTATAAGTAACCTAGAGATAATTTAAAGTATATGGATGTGCAAAGGTACTACATAAATAGTACTCCATTTTGTAAAAGAGATTTGCACATCGATGAATTTTGGTATCCATGGGAGGAAAGGGGGTCCTGGAACCAATCCTCTGCTGATATCGAGGAATGACTGCAATAATGTAGTGAGTTGGCATGCATGGTTACAGAGAGTTTAGTTATGAAGGGGACACGTTATTTAGGATGGTAAGGATGAAAAGCCTTTGTTTACCTGACAATATGGCAAGGAGACCAGAGTATTAATGTGGAACTTACTATAAGAAAAGGAAAATAAGAATGTCACATAATTCTCAGACTTCGGAAAGCTTATGTTCTAGTCCTCCATTGCTGTACCATAAAAAAAGGAAACAGTCACAAGCCAGGGTTGCATCTCAGATGAATGTAATGTCAACTCTTGGCTGAGTGGTTCAGTTACTCAAAGAAGCCGTAGCTAAAGTTTACTGCTGACATTTAACAAGAAATTTGTGAATACCCATTCTGTAAGTCCCAGAGTTCTCTCAGAGCAGCCTAATGGGCAAAATGTGTACGCCAAGCTAGTGAATTCATGCAATCATCTATGTCAGCATTATAACTGTATGATTGTACTTAGAGTCACTGTAGCCTCAACTGTTCTATTTTGAACATAATTTCATGGGAAATAATCTACATAGCTCCCAAAATAATCTGCTTCTAATTATATATGTGTATATATATGCTCTAACATAAATGCTTCAAACAGGCAAGACCTTCTGAACAGAAGCTGGCAGAAGAGTTTGCTTAGACAACAGCCATGCAGTGACTCATCTGTGTTTTCACAACACGTTTCTACCCAGCACCCATGTCTATTTGTAGCCTGACAATAAAGGCCCTATGTGAACCATCTCTGAGCTGTCTGCCTTTAAAAGCAAGGACACTGTTCTCAGTTGACTCATTTGAGCTGCCTGTGCTTTTGTGAATAACCCACTGCCACATTTATGAAGGCATGTGACATAACTGCAGATTATTTCAGGCTCTGCCAATGCTTTTCTGCTTAGTCTTGGTCTACTGTTTAGAAAAGCAAGTGAAGCCAGAGGACTTCATCCCCTAAATAAGCCCACTACACCCCACTACTGGTATCTCTTGGGGGTGACTGAAAAAGACTGTTTTCATCAATACCCTACACTATAACTGGGATTCAAAATTGGAATTCCTGTCTATTTTGCTCATCTATCTTTATCTCCAGCACTTAAAACAGTGTCAAACACATAGTAGACACTCCATAAATATTTGCAAGGAATGAATCAACTTCTGCCATAGACCTGTAAAATGACCTGGGCCTTAGCACCAAATTTACAAAATATTTCCTTATCCTGGTCCCAGGTCAAGAAGACTTCTCCTGCCAGAAAATCAAAAATTTTGTGCGGTAAAGTACATACCCTTTCAATCAAGAGATTATCTTCCACCTTAAATTCCACATTAAATCACCTTACTCCCTAGTCCTTAAAATATATAAAACTATTAATATTTGTTAAGTTTTGGTTCAACAAATTTAAATTCATAGTCATTAATTTTCTATGCCTCTTTTTCAGTGTTTTTGCCACTTACTGTAATTTCTAGATGTATCAAAATTGTATTCTAGGAGAAAGATATTGCCAATATGTTTCTTAAAGGAAAAAAGCTTTGGAAGAGAGTGAAAAACATGTTCTTCAGTATTTTCAAACAATCCATCCACAGTTTCAGTGAAATTATCAATGGAGGTTAAAAAATCTATTAATAAAATAATCAAATTACATCTGGAAAATTTCCCCATAAATTTGAAAGTCAGCTCTTAGGAGTCACATCCAGCAAATGGTTATTTTAGTGGACTACTTAACATCCTGAAGCACTGAAAGTATTTACGTTCCTCTTGAAATCTTTAGAACACAGAAAATAGCTAATTCCACCAGCAAGGCCTTTCCCAGGTCATATATCACATAGGAGAAAAATACCAATTAACTATGTATGTTACATAATAGAGTGCTCTACTTTCCCAAAACCTACTCATAAAGAAGTTCATCCATCTAGGAGGGATCAAAACAGATCTGAACAGACTTCTTCTCTACAGTCAGATGCAGCATTGTAAAGCCAAGTCTTATGAGGTTGCAAAGAATTACAATTCAATTCAAAAAAGGCAATAAACTAATACACATAGGCAATATTGCAATGTCCCCATCTCAATGAGAATGTCCATCAAAAAAAGTTTAAAAATTATCTGCACAACACAAGAAAGTCTCTATACATTCTGACAGACGGAAGACAGTTTTGTTCTTACCGCCCTCTCAAAATCACAGCTTTCTTCTATTTTCTTAACATGTGGTTGCCTGTATTAACTTCTTCAAGCTGGCCGTAGGGTGTTTCCCCAGTGCCATCTTCTCCATTTTTTTTCTTGAACGATCTGTTTTAGTTATCCTTACGCTGTCATTTAGATGAAGAATAGCTGCCCAACTTGGATATAGATCAAATTTTATAAAAATTCTATTACTGACATCACTACTACAATTTAATGTATTCAGTTTTGTCTTACAAATGAGGGAAAAGGAGAAAAACATGCTCTGTCTATTTCATCTCTATGTCCTATTAGAGTTGGTTCTCATAACCCATGCTGCAGATCTCTCACTGGTAACACAGAGGTATGTGTTCTTTGACCAGCACGATATTATTTCCTAAAATGTTAATCAGTTGCCAATATTTAAAAATCACTGGTTTCACTAAGAATCAGAATTTTCAGCCTCTCTTTGAAGATCAGAAAATGAAGCAATACTGCGTACACATTTATGTGGGAAAAAGCAAAGCTGAGTGGCAACTGCCTCTTTCTGATGGAGCATGAGCTCTTAGACGTCATCACAGTCCCCCCACTGTGAGAAAGCCCAAGTTAGCTATGTGGAGAAGTCGTGTGGAGAGTATCCAGACCCCAAATATTCTGGACATCCTAGCTTAGGCACCAACACATGAGTAAAGAAGCTGCTGCGTGACCTCAACCTCTGCTGCCATCTGACTGCAAGTGAATGAGGGACCAAAGAGAGAACCACTCAGCTGAGCCAACCCACCATCCAGCCATGAAAGAGAGTAATAAAATGGTTGTTTCAAGCCTCTAAGTTTTGGGGTAACATGCTATGCAGTACTAGATAAGAACTAAAAGATAAAACTGCACTTGACAAACTAAAATACAATTGTATAATTTCTCCCTTTTTACTTAGGTCAACATAGATGTTATAATCTCCATAGTATTTTTGTATTTAGACAAAAATCTAAAATATGCATGTGCCCAGGAAAGAAAACCAAAGTAGAAAAACAGCAATCCTATGGAATCAGCTGCATTTAAAAAAAAAATAAGCTGGCTGGCATCACTTATGAATACCACATAGGTTATACAATAATATATAGTAAAGTGGAAGGAAAAGTGTGAAAAGGGCTTCAATCTGGTCCTTTTCATAGGAATATAACTTCATTCACTACTCGTATTCATCACCTAGCACAATAGCTTTTCTGAAAAGGATTGGACCAACTAAAAGTAATTTGGGACATATTTTTCTGGTTGGTGGAGGGAATCAGACACATCTTTTCTATCACCAAAACTTTATTATTGTTGCAAAAGGAAGATAATGCTATCTGAGAAGTAACCAACTAATTGTGGTTACAATTAATCATACAAAATAAGTCAAGCCAGAGTCGTTACAGCTTAATGAGAATCAGGTCCACCTGCAGGAGATATAACTGTTAGCTTATATTCATTAAAACCAAATTATACTGGTAAACATGCAAACCCAACTTTGAGCAAATCGCTCAATGGTTGGAAGCTATTTGCTCATGTGTAAAATTAAGCTAATCATACATTCCCAAAGAAAGTGTAATCATCAAGTTTAACAGAATATGTTCCACATAGTCAAACTAGTAGAAGATCTAAACCTTGTGCACTGTACAAAATTAAAGCAGCTGATATGCTTTTGCCCAAATAGAATTGTATATCCTCATTTCCTTCCCTTCCTTTCCCTACTTGTGACTCAAGCCAGATTTCATCGAGCTATTTTTATAATTACTAAAATGCTGGAAATACAGCAGCAGGCCAGAAGCAAAGTAAAATGCAGCATCCAGCAAAAGAAAGAAAATCACGCTGAGTAACTGAAAGGCCATCTGCTTCTAACTGAGCTGTAGGGGTGAGGAAGGCAATCTGGGCTGTACTATTTGTGTCCTCCTCAAAACCATACCCACCTGCATGTTGTCAGTGGCATCCCCAAGCAGTCCTCCAAAAGTGATAGCATTAGTTACAGTTGCCAGATAAATGAAGAGAATTGCCGAAAGAGCTTGAATATTTAAAGCATCATAAAAATCACTGGCAAAAAATGGCGCTTTCCTCTTTATGTCTTTAATTAGTCCACCACAGAACCTGGGCAGAGAGAATGCAAACATCCACTAAATGTAAAGTAAATTACCATCAAATTAATCAAGAGGTAACTCATTAAATCAAACACAACATATTTAAAATGCTTGAATCAGTGACAAGATACTACTTAACCACTTACGATGAAACCAGAAAACTATAAAGGAATAAATTTTCTTCTATCTCTTTCTTTTTGGGTCACCAAATTAGGTGTCACATTTCCTGAAGATCAGCCAGTTGGTCTTTAGAAAAGAGTGAACTGTGTAAATACATTAAAATGTTTCATTGCCTAGAGAAAAACGTCCTAATATGCAAGCAGATCATATAAAGGCCCTTCATCATCTCGCCATAGTACCCTTTCCACCCTCATTCATTCATCCATTCACTCACTCATTTATTCATCATTCATTCTTTCATCTTCAATAAATGCTACTGAGCACCTGCGATATGCCCACACTCTGGCACTCTTCTGAGTGCTGAGGACATAACAGTGAACAACATGCATCAAAAAACCTCTGCTTTCATGGAGTTTACTCTGGGGATGAAAAGGAGGCAGACAATAAATGAATAAATGCAACACATAGTGATAAAAATCAAAAGAAAAATTAAATGGGAAAGAGCATTATGTAGTACTGGAAAAAAGGTGGTTGAAATTTTAGATAGAGTGGCCAGAAAAGGTCTCCAAGAAGGTGACTTTAGGGTAAGGACCTGAAGGAACTAAGGGAGGAAGCCATGGAGGTGTGTGATGGGAGGAAATGCAGCTGAGTCCCATGACAAATGTCAGCAGGTCAGTTGAGTGACTTGCACGTCAGTCTACTCACCCTCCCAACCAAGCCTCAAACCTCAGTCTTCCCCAGGGCTTCTGCCTAGAATGCCCTATTCTGAAGCTCAACAGCTCTCCGAAGTCTTGACCTTGCACTTACAGTTCATATTTCCACTCTTGGCTATTACATTTTATTAGGATCGTCCATCTATCTGTCTGCACAACCACTGGACCTTAGCCGCACTCAGTGCCCTGCTTCAGTTTTCTTAGTATTCACAGGGCTATGCATGGTACCAGGCATACTACAGACATTCAATTAGTTTAGCAAAGGTGAAATATAAAAGAATGAAATATATTCTGATTAAATTAAAAATTAAAGCCCAGAACTCATGTCTGTAAAAAAAGAAAAGGATATTCCTAATGGAAATAATTTACAAAAAACTATTCAAAAAAAGGTTAGGGGAGGAGAGGAGAGAAGATTTTATGTTCTCTATCCTTTCAGAATAAAGGACAGAGGAATAATATCCTGTTAATTTGAGAGAGAAATCCAAGTGGGTCATCAGGAGAATGAAATAACTTCATTTCATTCACATTCAATTGCATATTATAATGACATACCTTTTCATGTTAAAAAAAAACCCTGCAGTGTTTTTAAAAAGCCATATCTTCATAAAATAAGTATCCCACTTAAAATTTTACTTAACACCCAATAAAAGGAACAATCTAATGGTAGGGAAGGAAGAGTTATCATGGAAAGAAATTAGCTGAAGCAATTTAGGAAACCTGAATTCCCAATTGCAGGCTAAGGAGGCAGAACAGTGAGAACTCATTCCTATATCATGCTACTCACTGTTGAATACACATACAGGTGAGAAATGGAATTATGAAAGCCAAGAGGTGAAGGCTGGTACATCTGTCAGTCCTCTGCCATCTCTCTGACCCTAACACACCCTCAGTCATTCCCCTCTAGTCTTGCTGGCTTTGATGCCAGCCCTGTCACACACCAGGCACTCTGTTGCAGCCCACCCCCACACACCCACCACACCCACCTGGTCTGTCTCCCACCTCCTGTAGCACTTTCTTCAAATGTTGCCATTCTTTGTAAGGCCTTCTCTGACCACTCTTATCTAAAATTGGAATACAATACTCCCATCCTCAAAGTCCCTACTTCTGCCTTAATTTTCCCCATAAAACCATCACCACATTTACTTATTCACTTACTGTTTATGTCTTGTCACTACAATATAAGATCCTTATGGGAATACAGTATCATTTAATTCACTGCTATATTCCCAGTGCCTGTGACAAATAGGTATACCATAAATATTTGTTGGCTGAACAGATGAACAAACTAGTGAATAATATGTTGATAGATGAAGGGAAATTTACATTTAAGGAGAACCTCATCATGAATGGCAAAGGAAACTGTCAGTTACCGTCCAGTTCGCTGCAATTCTTCACAATCCCCATGTCCTCCTCCTCCGTGACCTCCATCATGGGGCGTATCCCCATTCATCTGAACATTCTCTCCACCTGAGTACATATTCTTTCTAAGCAAGACAACAGAGCCCAAGAGTATATTAGTTTATTTTATTCATTCGCTTCTTAGCTGTATCATGCTCTGGCTAATGGGGAGATGGAGTGAAAACCCTTAAGGTGAAAGATTGTTATTTCTTTCTGCTATCTAACAGACAGTTCTTTAAGTGTTACATTTAGAACCAATACAAATGACTGGATGAATAGGAAAGTTGAATGAACTGTATGTCTTAAAAGAGGGAAACTGCTTCAACTGGGAAAAAATAGATTTCTAGAAAATTGTTTCTCTTCAACTATTTTACCCAATGTCTTAACCATGTACATCTACAAGGACTCATCTTCAGTAAATTTATGTTTCCAGATATACAGGGGGTCCCCAAAACATCGCCAAAGCATGTCTGTGATACATTCCCATGTAGTAATCTGAGATCTCCAATTTATAATAACTGAAGAACATCATACCACATAACATTTATTTTACAATGCCAAGGAAACGTGAAACCAAGGCACATAAGTGATCCATTTGAGAAAATACATCAAGTTAAACAGGAACCTGAAAATATTAGAACAACAGGTTGACTTCACTTTTTTTTTTTAACACAACCTCCTTCTCAGAGTCATCTCAGCTACTGAAAATTATCAACTGCCTATAATTTACCTTTTGTCAGAGGATGGAAGACTCTTAGGAGGCTCTATCCTAATTGCTGGATCCCATTCCCCAGGTGGAAGGACGATGACTTCATCTAGGAACTCATCAATACCAGCAATCAGGTCGTGCCTGTCTTTTGCTTTATAAGCAATGTCATGGAACACCTAAAGAATAATAAAAGATGTGCTCATCCAAAAAGATAACTCTGTACATGCTTCACACCATATCAAGCCTGAAGAATGCAGCCCATAACAACTGTGCTATTAATATTAATCCAGCCATGCTCTGATAGTCCCTATTATTCAGCCTGCCCCCCGAAAATATAGGCATTCAGATTATGATTTCAAAGAATAGAGGCAGAGGCCTGAAGAAACAGCTATGTTTTTATGTGGTTTTTTTTCCTACCAATAATATAAAACAACATTGCCTTTCAGCTCCCACTGGTATGTACCACTACTGATACAGTTGCTATGGGAGCCAGATTAAAATGGTTTGGAGAAATATACTGAAGAGTCATTCCCTGAAATAAAAACTACTGGGATAAAAATTGCTGATAACTCAAGAAGGAAAAGTTCAAGCTGAGTGTTAAGATCGGGTTAAGACCCAAACACTGAGCTCTCAAACACACAATGTGAGATATTTAAAAAAGAAAAATCTGGGTTATATCGGCAGCACATTAACCAAAAGGCCTTAAATAGTCAATCATCTGTCTATCTTTTAGCAAGACAACAACTAAACCATCTAATGCAGCAAGTGCTTCATATCTTTTATGCAGATCTCCAAAGAAAGAGGTTCCAAAATGTACACAATCTTTCTGTCAATCATTCCATTTTTCTAACAGAGCTGATGATCTGAAATTTCTTTACATATAACCTAAGTCTTTCATACTTCATAAGTCAAATTCTTTAGTCTTCAGAAGAGAAGATGGTCCCTGTTCAATACCCTTACCTATTCTTAAAGATTGTGACTAAACCACTTCTCTAGGAAAAGAATTTTTAAAAGCTATCAATTAAGTAACATTTAACAGTCTGGGGGTTGTGGGGTTGAGGGGAGGGTGACACAAAATGCCAGCACATAATCTGTGGCTGATATAGCCATCCTCAACCTTATTTTCTTTCTCTTGCTGTTTCTCATGATAGAGGCTGGAAAGTCACAGATTCACTTTCCCAGCCAACTGTGCAGATAAAGATGAACAATTCCAACTAATAAGATATAAGAAAAAGGCTGTCTGGGAAAGCTCTAGAATACCTGTTTAAAAAGGGAGATACAGCTAGCATTACCACACTGTTCTTCCTACTTTGAATAAATACAGATAAGATGACTGGAGCTGATGGTAGGCAATGTCGTTTTACCATACTGACAGGAAAAGAAAACATGCTATTTTAAGATCATAAATTTAGCAAGAGCCTTAGCTCTTGATTTATCATTAAGCCGTTATGTTAAAATAACCCCAGCAACTACCTACCTCCAAACTTCCAAATAAATCCCAAATTGTTTAAGCCACTCTAAATCTCACTTGTTAAAGTATTCTTAATTGATACATCTTAGGAGAAAGTATTTTTTAAAACAGATCTAAATTACAAAAATGCAAAAAATAAAATGAATGCACTGAGATGAATAAAATAAATGTTCCCTTGAAGGGAAAAAGCAGCATAGCCATAAAGCTTTCAGTCACAGAATAAAATAGCTACCTGAGTAATCACCACATGGAACATCTATAACTAAGGAGAAAGGTACCCCTTTCTCCACTTAACACACAGAAAAACCGACAAATCAAGCAATGAAGCAAAAGCAATACATTTGGGGAAATAGTAAGCCCAGAAAGACCCAGGAGCAGAAACTAATGATCCTGTATTCTAACAGTATTTCTCCTCCTATGGGAATAGTTCAGAATTTTCTCATATCTAAAATGCATGTAACATCCAGGCTGTTATGAAAATAAATGGGGTCATAATTCCAACCTGTACAGATACTTTGCCATAATGGTTGCTAATGCATTTTTAGATGTGTATCATTCCTTCCCACGAAATAAGAAAACCATAAAACATGTACTTTCTGATACCTAAGAAAAAATGCATTATCCATTTTATTAGACATTATTTTATAGAACCCATCATTTCTGAAATAATATAGAATATAGACATTTGAATTCCCAGAATTAGTGTATTAAAACTTCAAGAGATAAAGTTTAAGTTAATACAATGACCTTGAACCTTTTTTTTTTTTTTTTTTTGAGATGGAATCTCGCTCTGTTGCCCAGGCTGGAGTGCAGTGGCGTGATCTCAGCTCACTGCAACCTCTGCATCTCAGGTTCTAGTGATTCTCCTGCCTCAGCCTTCTGAGTAGCTGGGATTACAGGCATGCACCACCATGCCTGGCTAATTTTTTTATTTTTAGTAGAAACGGGTTTTCACCATGTTGGTCAGGCTGGTCTCGAACTCCTGACCTCAGGTGATCTGCCCACCTCGACCTCTCAAAGTGCTGGGATTACAGGCGTGAGCCACCATGCCCAGCTGACTTTGAACTTTTTAAAGAATATTTGACATATATCAGTTTTAAGAAATGAAAATGTTTGGTAAAAGAAAGGAAAATATGTTTTATTCCAACAGAGTTTAGAATCCCATAGAAAACCAAAATGCATGCCTTACTTTTTGCAAACCATATAGGATTCAGCTCATTTGTCTCAAATGACCGTACCTCATGCTATAAGGAAGTCTAGTAACCACATAATTCTAATTGAATAAATTGTGACAGCCAATTCACAGTATGACAACAAACAAGTAGGACATTCACAGAACTCCATCTTCCTGATTTCCTACCTCATCAGACATCAGGGTGGCAATGGCTCTGCCAATCTCGTGGTAGGACTTGGCTTTCCCCTTAGGACCTAAGAGAATGAACAAGAACCTAATGGAAAAGGAAAGAAGCAAAGGCTATAACACACATTTCATCAAACTCAACATACATAAAACTGAGAAATGTTTAACTTAGTTCATAAAAAGGTTAGGTCTAGAATTCACCTTTAAAACAAAGGTAATATATTATTGGTAGTACAGAATATACTCTTTCGCACTATTGCAAAACACAGTTCATTGTTCAGTTTATTTGGAGGCAAATGAGAATATAGCATAGAAACCTGAGAAGCTTCTTCACTGAGCAGGAAAGGTGCACTTCAAGTGCTTAATATGAGTCATTCAATCTTTCTATTTTAAACTTTTTTTCTCTCTCCATTTCTACTGATTTTCAGAATCTTTGGAGCAAACCCATCAAGCACAATAACTAGAAAGAGTTAGTGCATCTTCACATTTCTCTGACTTTTCCTTACCCAATATGGGCAGTGACAGATGATCGTCTCCACACTTTTAAGAAATATGTCTACTCAGAAGTGACTGGGAATCAGCAAAAACCAAGTCCTCTACAAGTAAGCCACATGGTGACAGCCAAAGTAAGGGAAGAGAAATATGAGAGAAATTCAAAATAAAGCATCATTCACAGACAGTCAAAATTATTTTGTGGGTGTCCTCTTGTCATTTACCAACATTTTTTCTTCATAATGCACAAAACATTGCTTCATAGCAAACAGGTCCTGAAACATACAATAACAAACTTAACCCCACTTAGGTTCACCTCTAACCAAGTTGGAAAAAATCCCTCACTTATCACACAGGGCCTTTGCCCTGTGGCATGTTGGCACTGTGGATGCGGGGATCTGATGAGTAAATGAGTAAGAAAAAATTTACAAAAAAATCTACAAAAGGTGACGTGGGATAAATCCCACCTTGATATTGATCATGTATCACCTAACGGGGAGATAATGAGGACAATAAAAATGATAACATCATATGCCTGCCCAGCTTATAAGGCCTCCAAAGCACTTCACATTCATCACTTTATTTACATTTCCATATGACCCTCTGCAGTAAAGAAAGTATCCTATTCCCATTTAATGGTGAGGAAAATGAGGCTGGTGGAGGTTAATGGAAGAGCCCAAGATCTGTGCCTAGTAAATGACAAAGAGTAGATATATAGGCATTCTTACCTCCTGTTCTTTTCACCACATATTTCTGCCTAATACTACCTGCCCAACTGATATACCAAGGTTGTGATTTAACAGAAGTCCAAAAATGACTTCCATAAGTCTTCCATAGGTCACTCTGGGTCACTTCTGGATGCTTAGCCAGGGACAAGAAATCTTAGGTAAGATTTTTATGGTACCAGAAACAGCTTGCCATTTTGCTCAGCAGAATTTTATTTTTAACTTACTTATTTATATCCCTCACTTCAAATAAAAAAGGATTGACAGCAAATACTTTAAAAAATGTTTGGGTCTGTTCCAAAATGCCCTTGAATGTATAATTACTTTTTTTTTATCATAAAATTCAACCCAAAAGGGATTCTAAAATCCCAGAAATGAAGAATGTAAAAAGGTGTCTGAAAGTTTGAATACTCAGGTTTTATACCAGAATAACCATAAAACCACTTAGTACTTATTTGCTTAGAAACCAGCTCTGAAGTGAAGCAGCACACTCACTTTCAAGTGTTACCAAAGTAGATAGCAATCAGCAGGCACCAAAGTCTGTTCAAGTATGAAGGAAGTCATTATTTGAATTGAATTTCAGCTCTTTTAACACTGAAGTTCAATTGACACTAGAACTTTTGTCCCTTCGAAGCTGGCCCCTAATTATATGCCACTACGTATAGTATTATAAAGTGCTTCTTTAGGACTGTAAAGTGTATTTTTCTAAAGGGACTGATCACTGATTTGAGTGCAACATGCACAAAATATATTTAATGATTAAAGCAAAATAATGCTTTAATCCCATTGAGAAACATAAGTACTGGTCACATTTCTCAATTTCGTTTGCCTGACTACAGATGGTCATGTTTCAATTCAATAAGGGTGTGGGTTTAGGTGAAAAGGGGCAGATGCTGTGCCACAAGAGAAAATATCTAACACCTGGATCCTTAGTACATTTTTAAATAATAGATTTCTTCTGCTTCCATTTTTATTATCTTCATGTATCTAAATATTAACTTTTCAGTAATGCATAATATCCAAAACTTTTCCAAACACTCTGTATCTCTTCCTACCTCTCCCTAGCACCTCCATCATGATTATAGCTTACAAATACATATTATGGAAATGTATTTATCAACTGACACTGATAATGAGTTAATTATCAGGTTGACTATATAGCAACAAAGCCAAAACATTGTCTAGTTAGTGAAAAAACATTCTCAGTCATTAATAGTCCTCAAACATAAACTTTGGCAGGCAGTGGGTATTCCAATAGCTGATAGAGTAATGGAGCCTCCAAGTTACATCCTATGAGACGAGGACAGACATTTTCTATAAAATATTTACTCTTTGTTCTCTGCTAAATAGAACCAGTCAAAGAATGAAAGGAAGCAGCAGATCAATGGTGTCTACACGATAGCAATAAACACAATATATGAGAATTATATTGGTTCAGTAACACAGATATAAAAGTAGTATTCCTCTTTCCTGGGTAATGCAATTTTTATTTTTTAAAGAAGGTATTTCTTCATTAATGGAATAACACCAAGGGCCAAACCAACATGGTGGACATACCAGTTAAAATTTTCACATTACTCCAATCAGGAATAATTCAGTAAATCTGCCTCCTTAAAATGATAAATAGAGAGAATCCAAGCATTCATAAGCAGCAGGAAACATAACCTCAAGCCAAAAATGTCATCTGGAGGAATGGACACCTTTAAGAAGCTTCTAATCTGGACTGCATTATTGAAATGGGATGAGAAATCCGAGAAAACTGAACACAAAACAATCCAACAAGTTGAAGTTCCCTCTGCCTGAAATATGTTTTCTCTCCTTTAACCTTCAAAGAAGCGAAAGCTGTTACAACTTTTATGATTGAAGTACATCCTGCCAAACTCAGCTTTTATAATGTACTGAAAACTCCTTTCATGACCCAAGCTGTTTTTTGTCAATGGACAGATGTTATTTTTATCCAGAAGCTTTTTTCTCTATTAACAAATTAGAGTAAACATCACATTTGTGTGGCTGCAAGGGCACAGCCTACTTTGACAGCTTGGAAAAAAAAAGCATTAATTTATGTTACTAAGTTCTTTTTATTCACTCATAAATAAATAAGTCAGAGTTACAATTTTTAATAGCGTCTAGTTATCTGAATAATCTTCATGAGGCCCTTTTCTACTTTTCTGAGTTTTTTCATATAGTTAATTATGCCTGCGGAAGATGCCTCCAGCATTCTCCACAACAAAAGGATGTATTAACCAAATAATCTGTGTCCGGAACCAACGGCCTATACTCACATTCACAAAATAATTATAAGCAGAAACAGAGCATAATATGAGAAAAGGAGCTAGCCTTCCTAAACCACTTGATGTTTTCGGAAAAGATATGCACCCCCCTCTTTCCTGATACATCACAGCTATTTCTAGCATAAACTCAGCATGTACCAATCCTTTATATCCTTCTCTCAAAACAACAGTGAATTCAATAACCCATTATTCATCTTTATCAGCTTTGGAAAATGTGGCTAAACTGTGGCTTCCATAATGGATTCATGAGGACCACAAACCCACCATAACCAACTGCATTACATGCGGTAAATATTAATAGCAGCTAGCAATTAAACTGGTGGATGTGACAAAATTGAACTAGCAGGATCTCCATCCCAATCCCTCTAAGTTTTTTTAATGGCTTTGACAATTAATCACAAACTACTTCTTTTAGATAAATAATTATTTGTAACATATATATATTATCTTACAGTGCCACTAAGAGGGTAAACATTCTAAATTTTTAACAGTCTGGAGCTTACTTAATAACCAATTACCTTACATGTGCAAATCAAGATTAGAAAAGCACAAACTAGGGTTTTATTCTTCTTTATAAGAGAACCCTAAAACATTTTATTCCAATCTTTTCTAGAATCTCCCTAGGCTGTCCCTAAAACTCTTGTCTCAGATTCAGAAATCTATTTAAAGTTCTATTCCCAGCACTGATGCTGAATCTTCCCTTTGCCTTCATCTCTCAACTGCAAAATGGTATAAGAAGAACATTCATCCCCTATATAGCTCAAAAATATGAATGAGGCTGGGCACGGTGGCTCATGCCTGTAATCCCAGCACTTTGGGAGGCCGAGGCGGGTGGATTACTTGAGGTCAGGAGTTTGAGACCAGCCTGGCCAACATGGTGAAACCCCGTCTCTACAAAAATACAAGAATTAGCTGGGTGTGGTGGCAGGTGCCTGTTATCCCAGCTGCTCAGGAGGTTGAGGCAGGAGAATTGCCTGAACCAGGGAGGCGGGGGTTGCAGTGAGCCAAGATCACGCCACTGCACTCCAGCCTGGGTGACACAGCAAGACTCTATCACCCCCCTTCAAAAAATTTATATATATATATATATATATATATATATATATATAGAGAGAGAGAGAGAGAGAGAGAGAGAGAGAGAGTAGTGGCCTCTGTGGATAGACATAAGATGACAGCAAGCAAAGTGCCTGTAAGATACTAGGAAAATCATAAACATATCCTATCCAGTAACCAAAGATCAAAGAATAGGGTTTGTTTCCTTTCACATGAATGGCAAGAGGGGCCCCTACATAGATAGACATTCACCCGGTTGATAGTCATCCAGCTGTAAGTGGAGGCTAAAACAGATCAAGCAAGTAAGAGAGTAAATAATGAAATTGGTGAACTCCGCACAAGAAATGGGAGCTGCTAGAGCCATATTTCCTAGAAGGTGCATGGTAGTAATACTGTTTATTAGAAACAGAAATAATCATAATAATGGCAGCATAACTTTCCTCCACCTTTAAAAAGAAAAATGACCATAAAAAGATACACACAAACACAGATTTTTCAGGTTTCCTTTCAGTACGATAGAGTAGCATGCACATTAAAACATATCATGAAATGTACATGCAGTCCTTCACCATGCCTACCACATTCCTTGTGGGATTTCCTTTATTGGATTTCACAGGATGCAGCCACTGTAAATGACCCCACATTACCTACACACAAAAAGCTAATGAGACTCCCTACTCAGTGATTAAGGCTTGTACTAGTTCAGAGGACAGCAAATGGATGAAGCTATTTCCTGGAAAAATGTTAACATGCAAGGATATATCGTTCAGATTATTGCCCTGAAATAGTTATATAATATTATTGAATTACGTTGCCTTGAATTGCCTGGCTCCTTTTGCTAATTTAAGTGATGCTGTATTTTACCTCTACACTAGCCCTACCATCCATTATAAAAGAAAAAAGTTAGTGAGCCAGACAGAAAGAAATGATAAGCAGGACACAAAAAATGGTCATGATTTGCTCTCAATGAATGCGTATTTTGTTAAATAAAAGTCTTTTAAAGCATTTTTTATTTGTACCTTCTAAAGAAAAATGGTAATAAAAATGAAAAGCCAAGAGCAATTTTCTTTAACACTTCTGGGCATGTTTTTTTCTTTCAACCCCTAGTAAAGTTAGTCTAGAGAGACATAAATAAAGCCATAGGGGCACAGAGCTGGACTCCAGCCATTATCTGAGTCAGCTGTTCGCCAGGTGACTGCACAGATAGAACCACAAGGCTCTGCTGGAATGTTTTCAAGCAAAAAGCTACGTTACAGAAAACACAAATCATCATAATCCTATTAAGTGAATAAGCTATGATCATCTCTTTTCCACTGCTATTTGTCCAATAACAGCCCTATGTATCATTCCTATTTTAAGTGTCTAAGAAATATAAAAATGGGTTTAAAAAATACCTGTATGATGAGGAAGAATAGCCTGCAATCTATGAATTAAGAAGCCTAAAGGAAATTTTCTCTTAATTTTCCTCCTAACCAGGCTCTAAAGAAATCTTGAGCCTCTTTACACTGTTGGTTAATCATGCTCAGACCGTCTGAGCTGAGGAGGATCCATCTATCACTGAGGAGGATTCATAGCCCTTCCTGCTCACATGAGGAAACCTAAAGGAACCTGTCCTTGCCCTGGAACCCACAGAAAACAACTCCCCCACCCCCCATCCCAAAAAAAAGTCCTATTCATATTTTAATTTTCTGTCAACCTGAAGACTACAAGTTTTCTTTAAACTGTCTGCAGCACAAATTTAAGTGAAACATTAACTTCTAGTCAACTAATTGCACTCCCAGGTCAAGCTTCCTAACTCTGTGGAGCTCAGTTTCAGAGGCGGATGAAGAGGATGACTTCTCAGGTACTATGCAGTGAAATGAGTACGTGATTATAATAACATTAATATACTTCACTTTAAAACAAAAATTTGTGACACAACATTTAATAGTGAAGTATGCAAACTTAAGTATACAGCTTGATGATTTTAATATATATATGTGTGTATAAACCTACTACCAATTTTCTGATAAAACAGAGTAAATGAAAGCAACTATGACCTCTGAACCATTTACTAACTGTATGACCTTGGACAAATTACTTAAACTCTTAGACCTTTTTTCATCTGTAAAACCAGATAACTATAGTTTGTCCCTTAAAATATTATTGTAAGGATTAAGTAGAATAATCCAAAAGAAGAACCTAGTACACTGCCCAATAAACTATTATAATTGCTATTATTATTACTATATAAGTGCCAAGAAATTTGACAGTATAAAAGTCAAACAGTCATTATTTCAAGTTAAACCTCTCCAATGTGTTTGCACTAAATATTTCCTCATTCTATTGATTCTCCAGCCTGAATGGGAGGAGATAACCCTATTAGCACATTGTAGACCCCAGGTAGGAGAGCAGCTTACCTTGTGGGCACAGGAACTTCAGTCAGGGCACCCAGCATGACAGCCTGCTGTAGCCTAACAAAGGCAATGAAAGGAGTATCCAAAAAGTCAACCTCCCCAACAAGCACGTTGGAAGCTTCTGCATCACGTGGCAATTTTTTCATGAACTTATTCTTCAGCTGCATGAGAAGAACCAAGGAAACACAATTTAGTTCCACAAGGTTCCTGTGGAATTACTATTAGTTCCAGAGAAGGGAACAAAAAGGGCCTTCCCATGTATCACTCACAGGAAATTCCTTTTTACAAATTGACATGCAACATGTTCTAGCTAGCCACTTTTACATTATGTTTAAACATTATATTATAGTAAACATTTATCTGTACCTTGAATTCAAAAATATTGAGGGATTAATCACATGGTTTACATATAAAACAATAATGTATCATACAACTCCATTCATTTATATATTCATTCACTCAACGAAAAGTTGTTGAAAATCTACTATAAGCCAGGCAATACTATAAGCCTTAGGGAAACAGGGGTGGATAGATTAATTACATGCCCTCTTTAGACTCATATTACCACAGAGGAAAAATAAAATATAAAGTGCTGATAAGTACTAAGAAAAAAAAATAAAACAAGTAAAAAAGGTACTATCTTAGACAGGGTGATAGGGGAAGGCCTCTGAAGAAATACATTTGACACTGGAGTAAAGATACAAGCTATGCAAAAATTGGAGGAAAGAACATTCTAGGCCAAAAGAATGGGAAATGCAAAGACTTTGTGAGAAGAAGCTGCTTGGCAGTTACAAGATAAGAAAGAATCCAAATGTGGTGGAAGCTGAAGGAACAAAGGAGAGAAAACAGCAGGCAAAGAAGTTGCATAGGTAAGGGGTGAACCAGATTGTAGGACCCAATAGGCTACAATAAGGAGTTTTGGAAGTTTTAGGCAGGAATTACCTACCAAAAGCCCAAGCAGAAAGACGGAGAGGGAAGACGTAAATTTGAGAGACATCACCATGTAAACAGTATTTGGTACCATAAGAAAGGATGGCACAATCCTGGCTGTGAGTGTAGATAGAGCAGAGGGGTAAGAGTTAAGTCCTGGGTCACCCTAATTTGTATAGGAATAGGAGAAGATATAGGCAGAGAACACTGAAAAAGGGGAGGAAAACCAAGACTTCACCAGTAGCCAGGTGAAGAAACAGCTCAATAAGGAGAGTGAATCAGTTAAATCACAGGCTGCTGAAGGTTCAGGTAAGATGGGAGCTAAGAATGGACGAATAAATTTGGCAAGATGGAGGTGCTGGGGATTTTCTTTTCTTTTTTTTTTTTTTTTTTTTTTTTTTTTTTTTTTTTGAGACAGAGTCTTGCTCTGTTGCCCAGGTTGAAGTGCAGTGGTGCAGTGGCGCGATCTCGGCTCACTGCAACCTTTGCCTCCCGGGTTCAAGTGATTCTTCTGCCTCAGCCTCCTGAGTAGCTGGGACTACAGGTGCACATCACCATGCCTGGGTAATTTTTTCGTCTTTTAGTAGAGAGAGAGTTTCACCATATTGGCCAGGCTGGTCTCGAACTCCTGACCTCGGGATCCACCCGCCTCAGCCTCCCAAAGTGCTGGGATTACAGGCGTGAGCCACTGTGTCTGGCTGGGGATCTTGACAAGAGCTGTTACAGTGGACACCAGAGAGTAAAGATAATTGTTTTGAGAAATGTTGCTATCAAAAAAAGCTGAGAAATGGGGAAGCTAGGGGAGGAGAGAATAAAATAGATTTCTTTCTTTTTTTTTTTTCTGAGATAGAACTATTATATTTACAAATAGAATGCATCCTGATACCAAATATTAAACAACTGGTTGAGAAGTGAAAAGATTCCATCAAATTTCTTATTTGGGATAATATAAATAGGTAAACACATATTAAGACTTGCCAACTTAAAGAAAATGTAGTTTAACCATTCATAAGGCAAAATTTCAGTATATTAGAGAAATATCATTTTAATTCATGGGTTAAGCCTTCTTGTTTTTCATAGTCCTCACTTTTTAATTATAAAGGAGATGGTGATTGGGGAAAGAGGCAGATATTTGATTTTGAATAAATGTTATTAAAGTTCTGGTAGAAGGATTTGAGATTATCTAAACATTACTAGTTATCGAATGATTGCATTTATCCATGACTATCTTATCTTCAAAAAAGCAGATAATTGAGGACTTCTAAGCTTTTATTTCTTTAATTTTTAATGCATCATTTTCATGAAGAAGGAAAAATCAGAAGACTTGGTTTTGTCACTGACTCAGTGACATAGTTTGTCAAATAGTTACAATACTCTTTTTAAAGCTCCCTAGACTTTTCACCCTGACTTTCTCACAGGAACCTTGTAAAGTAGTTAGGACAAGTCTTATTATCACATTGTAATATTGACTTTTTAAAAGAAGCTCACATAGTCAAACTTCTTCAAAGTCCAAGTGTGGAGTGGAGATTGGAATTCTCATCTCTTTGTCTTTGCATCTATCGTACTTAGTTTCAGCGTGTTTGAGCACCATGACAAAAATAATTGCAAAGGTGCAGCGCTTCTCTAAGCAACAAAATATGGCACTTTGAAAGGCAAAGCTAAAATTACTTTTGGCCTTAATGATCACAGTCCATTTTTTCGGAACCGTCTTAATGGTGTAAAAAATACCACATATTTGTAAAACTAAAAATAACATATTAAGGGGCCAGGTCTCTGTGAGCCCTGCACGAGCTGGGAGTGGCCTTGCGCAGCCACAGTAGCAAAGGGCGAGGAGGCCTTCAAACCGTCAGGGTTTCTTCCACACCTCAAGGAGATTTCTGCCGCTGCTTTCATCCATTTGCCTCTTGCGTGAGCTAACGACCATGAGCTGAGCTGCAGGAGTTCTGCCCACCAGCAAGAGAATAGGTGCTGCAGGAGCTCATTTCCTTTGTTGGGGGCTGGCTCAGTGCCCCCACGAGGCCACACACATCCCACTCAGGGGCGGCTGGACCTTCACTCCCATTTCCAAGATGGTGACTGTCAAGCTTGAACTTGCCAAGAATTTCACTTTGGAGGGGGCCGCTCATCCCAATAAGATCTCCATTATAGGAACTGGATCAGTTGGCATGGCCTGTGCTCTCAGCATCTTATTAAAAGGTTTGGGTGATAAACTTGCCTTTGTGGATGTTGACGAAGGCAAATTGAAGGGTGAGACAACGGATCTTCAACATGGCAGCCCTTCCATAAAAATGCCAAGCATTGTTTTCAGCAAAGACTACAGTGTCACTGCAAAGTCCAACTTAGTCATTATTACAGCAGGTGTTCCAGCAAAAGGAGAAACACACCTTGATATAGTCCAGTGAAATGTGATCATTTTTAAATTAATTATTTCCAGTATTACCCGATGCAATCCCCACCACAAACTGATAGTAGTTTCTAATTTACTGGATATTGTAACTTATGTATTCTGGAAATTGAGTGTATTTCCCCAAAACCGTGTTATTGGAAGTGGCTGTAATCTGGACACTCCCCATTTCCGTTTCTTCACTGGGCAAAGGCTTGATATCCACTCTGAAAGCTGTCATAGGTGGATTCTTGGACAGCATAGGGACTCAAGTATTCCTGTGTGGAGTGGAGTCAATATTGCTGGCATCCCTCTGACGGATCTGAACTCAGATATAGGAACTGATAAAGATCCTGAACAGTGGGAAAAAGTCCACAAAGAAGTGATTGCCTGTGGCTATGAGATAGTTAAAATGAAAGGTTGTACTAATTGGACCATTGGCCTATCTGTAGCTGATTTAACAGAAAGTATTTTGAAGAATCTTTTTTTTTAATAGAAAACAACAGTAAACATTTTTTAATAGGCAAACTCATTTCCCATTGAAATGTCTTTCACTGCAGTGGGAAAGAGCAGCCACACATAGCCTGGGTTTTAATGACATGACACTGTCAATGGGAAGTTACAAGGAGAAAAAAAAAAGGTGCATTTGATTTATTACTGAATTCTGGAAGGATTATGGACAACTTGTCAGAATTTATTTCAAATGAATATTTGTTGAGAATTAATTATCTCTAAGTCATTAAGCAATTAAATGAATCTAGAAATCCATCAGAGGAATTATCTTTGCATCTCCTAAGTAGTAGCCAGCACTGACTTTGGTCTCTGTTTCATACTGGTCAATAATTCACATTGTATGAGCTGATTAATCTAGTCATGTTTTACTATTAGGTTAGTGCAAAAGTATTTTTTATACTTTAAGTTCTGGGGTACATGTGCAGAATGTGCAGGTTTGTTACATATGTATACACGTGCTGTGGTGGTTTGCTGTACCCATCAACCTGTCATCTACATTAGGCATTTCTCCTAATATTATCCCTCCCATGACCCCTGACCCCCTGACAGGCCCCAGTGTGTGATGTTCCCCTCCCTGTGTCCATGTGTTCTCATTGTTCAACTCCCACTTACGAGTGAGAACATGCAGTGCTTGGTTTTCTGTTCTTCTGTTAGTTTGCTGAGAATGATGGTTTCCAGCTTCATCCATGTCCCTACAAAGGACATGAACTCATCCTTTTTTATGGCTGCATAGTATTCCATGGTGTATATATGCCACATTTTCTTTATCCAGTCTATCATTTATAGGCATTTGGATTGGTTCCCAGTCTTTGCTATTGTGAACAGTGCCACAATAAACATACGTGTGCATGTGTCTTTATAGCAGAATGATTTATAATCTTTTGGGTATATACCCAATAATGGGATTGCTGGGTCAAATGGTATTTCTAGTTCAAGATCCTTGAGGGATCACCACACTATCTTCCACAATGGTTGAACTAATTTATGCTCTCACCAACAGTGTAAAAGCATTCTTATTTCTCCACATCCTCTCCAGCACCTGTTGTTTCCTGACTTTTTAATGATCGCCATTCTAACTGGCATGAGATGGAATCTCATTGTGGTTTTGATTTGCATTTCTTTAATGACCAGTGATGATGAGCTTTTTTTCACGTTTGTTGGCCGCATAAATGTCTTCTTTTGAAAAGTGTCTGCTCATATCCTTTGCCCACTTTTTGATGGGGTTGTTTGTTTTTTTCTTGTAAATTTGTTTAAGTTCTTTGTAGATTCTGGATATTAGTCCTTTGTCAGATGGATAGATTGCAAAACTTTTCTCTCATTCTGTAGGTTGCCTGTTCACTCTGATGACAGTTTATTTTGCTGTGCAGAAGCTCTTCTGTTTAATTAGATCCCATTTGTCAATTTTGGCTTTTGTTGCCATTGCTTTTGGTGTTTTAGTCATGAAGTCTTTGCCTATGCCTATGTACTGAATGGTAATGCCTAGGTTTTCTTTTATGGATTTTATGGTTTTAGGTCTTACATTTAAGTCTCTAATCCATCTTGATTTAATTTTTGTATAAGGTGTAAGGAAGGGATCCAGTTTCAGTTTTCTGCATATGGCTACCCAGTTTTCCCAACACCATTTATTAAATAGGAAATCCTTTCCCCATTGCTTGTTTTTGTCTGGTTTGTCAAAGATCAGATGGTTGTAGATGTGTGATGTTATTTCTGAGGCCTCTGTTCTGTTTCATTGTTCTATATATCTGTTTTGGTACCAGTACCATGCTGTTTTGGTTACTGTAGCCTTGTAGTATAGTTTGAAGTCAGGTAGTGTGATGCCTCCAGCTTTGTTCTTTTTGCTTAGGATTGTCTTGGATATGCGGTTCCATGTGAACTTCAAAGTAGTTTTTTACAATTCTGTGAAGAAATTCAGTGGTAGTTTGATGGGAATAGCATTGAATCTATAAATTACTTTGGGCAGTATGGCCAAATTTTCACAATATTGATTATTCCTATTCATGAGCATGGAATGTTTTTCCATTTGTTTGTGTCCTCTTATTTCGTTGAGCAGTGGTTTGTAGTTCTCCTTGAAGAGGTCCTTCACATCCCTTTTAAGATGTATTCCTGGGTATTTTATTCTCTTTGTAGCAATTGTGAATGAAATTTCACTCATGATTTGGCTCTCTATTTGTCTATTATTGGTGTATAGGAATGCTTGTGATTTTTGCACATTGATTTTGTATCCTGAGACTTTGCTCAATTTGCTTATCAGCTTGAGGAGATTTGGGCCTGAGATGATGGAGTTTTCTAAATATACAATTGTGTCATCTGCAAACAGAGACAATTTGACTTCCTCTTTGAATAATCTTAAGAGGGTGCATCCAGTTTCCATCATAATTGAGAGCTTTTATGGGATAAATGAAGTAACATTCCTTAGCATTCCTTGTATCCTAGGACAGAATAGTACTACAGATCTTATAAAGATAAAGGTGACTTCTGAAGAGGAGGCCCAGTTGAAAGAGAGTGCTGAAAGACTTTGGGAAATTTAGAAGGAGCTCAAGCTTTAAAGTTGTTTAAAGCTACCAGTCTGAAGGGTTTTTTTTGTTGTTTTTTGGTAGCAATCATTTTATTTTAAAAATTGTTGTATTATGTTAGTTTTATACTTTTTACCTGAGAAAAATTTCAAAAGTAGCTGTAAAATAGAGTATGTAATAACAAATTCCTGTGTATCAACCACTCAACTTTATCAGATCTTACCCTTACGTCATGTTTGTTTCAATCTTCATTTTTAAAGAAAAAACATCCCACACCAACAGTTGAGTACATCCCAACTCCATTTCCTTCACTTTTTCCCTAGGGTTCTAAAACCAGTGTTTATAATTATCATGTAAAATGTATTATACATGTGTATGGGCATACACATGATATAGTATTGTTTCTCAGGCATTCAAGCTCTTTATAAATAGTATCATACTCAATGCATCATACTTTACCTTGCTTTTCTAATTCAACATTATGCTTTTGAGAGAAATCCACACTGATGAAAGTAGCTCTACTATATTCATTTTAAGGGCTGCATACTACTTCACTGTATAAATATACCACAACTTATACATCCTACTATTTGGCAGTTATAAATATCTCTGCAGTGTTGGAATGAACACCTTATAATATTTTCCTTATGACCTCAATATTTGAGATTGTTTAATATGTATAACTAAAAGTAGAATTCCTGAGTCTTAGAGAAGTTCCTCCTGCCTCCCAGCTAAAGACTTCATGACTAAAACACCAAAAGCAATAGCAACAAAAGCCAAAATTGACAAACGGGATCTAATTAAACTAAAGAGCTTCTGCACAGCAAAAGAAACTATCATCAGAGTGAACAGACAACCTACAGAATGGGAGAAAATTTTTGCAATCTATCCATCTGACACAGGGCTAATATCCAGAATCTACAAGAAACTTAAACAAATTTACAGATTTCTTTTTTTTATGGCAGATATTACAGCAATTTTGGAATGTGAGAATGATCTAGTAGAGACAGGTTAATGCTGCAGGAGAGATAGGGGATAAATGCAGAAGCAGTTTAAGTATCTTTAAACTACTGAAAAGAGACAATATCCAAATCACAGGCAGAAAAGTTAGCTTTAGATGGGAACACACAGAGTTTATCAATACTAACTAGGGAAGGCAGACTAGATGAGACTAATGGGGGTGATTGGGAGATTTGGCGGGATTATGATGCAGGTTTCTGAGGACTTATTTTTGCAGTGAAATACTAGTAAGCTAATGGTGAGGGGGAGGAAGTTGTGTGAGGTTTTGAGAAAAGAAGGCACAAAGTGGTTTTCTTGGAGAATGAAGGCTGCTTAACACAGTCACTTTGAAAGCTTATCTTATAGGTGTTATTCTGCAGTACAGCTTAAGGAAAATAATTCAACAATTATAGAAGAATGGAGATAAGAATTTCGGAAGACCATTCAAAAGACACAGACTTCTGATATATACTTATCCAATATAAATGTCTCTCCCCTCAAATCAAAAGTACCAGTGAACTTAACATTTTATACAATGGATTGTTGTGGAGATGGAAGTGGCAGGCATGACCCCATTTCCCCATTAATAAAAAGGTTATACCAACATTTTCAACTTCCATTTCAGAGTTCTTAATTAGGGAAAATAAGTGGCATGAGAACTAATCCCTAAGCTCCATCACCCTCTGTAGGCTTTTTAAAGATTTTTTTAAATTTGATACTTCATATAAGAAGAAAGCTGAGACAAAAAAGCAAGGAACTTAGGGCTAAGAATTTAGTGGAAACCAAGAAAGGAAAAAGAAAAAAAAGCAAAGAGAAGGTATATATATCTTACATGCTACAAACAAAATCACTTCTAAGCAGTAGGGAATTTTCCAAAGTTTCTCCCATTAATCCTTCAAGAAATACTAATATTTTTAAAAAAATTTACATCTTACAGATATGAAAAGAATATCCATGGGAAGGGCCTAAAAAAACATCAAGTTGCCAAGACTGTTATTATTACCTAAGGAAGTTGCAATTATAAATTGTCCCCTATAACACAGAGCAGAGTGTGGAATATGGCCAAGTGGCCCAAAGTGACACAACATTTCTAGAATAATCTTCCTCAAACTCTCTCCAGAGAGAGTTCCCGTTATTAACACAGAACACAAAGCTTTCTAATAATCTGATTTTACTTCCCATTTTCTCTAGCAGACTCCTTGCTCGAGTTAGGCAGGTGACCTGACCATAATCCTCTTCTGTTTTATATACTTACACTCCTACACTTCTTATCAAAAATTGCCTTTTCCTCACGTCTGCTTTTTATAAACAGCCTTTAGAGCTCAGCACAAGACTTCCTACTATCTCAGCCCAATTCCTTGGGAACTTCATAAGTGCTCATTTCTGAATCACATTTTTGCCAAAGTGTCTTTTCCCCAAGTTTCACAAGGTAAGATCAGTTCATTCTCCACTGTATCAAACATTTGCTTTGCATATCATTCAGCTGTAATAAATATTATGAAGGAATGGACTCTGTAGCACTAAAATCAGACCAAAAGACCATAAAATGCCCAAAAGAAGTGAGGATTTTAAGGTTCAATCTGGAACCTACTGACTGGATTTGTCACAGCAACTACCTGATTCACAACACATGCAGATTATCTCACAGTAGATTATATTCTTCCATAAATCATTTTACCAGTACTACAATCACTATACCCACACTAAAAAATTAGAAGTATATATTTTAAGGCAATAGCTAAGAGAAACCAATAGCTATTCTAAAATAAAAATGTGTGGTGCCTGAACAGCAGCTCTGCACATAATTCAGCTGTAATAAATATTATGAAGGAATGGACTCTGTAGCACTAGAAATCAGACCAGAAGACCATAAAATGCCCACAAAAATTCGGATTTTAAAGGTTAAATCTGGAACCTACTGCCCACACTCTACCCTCCATGTCCTCCATGGTCTTCTCCATGCCCACATTCTACTCTCTATGTCCTCCTTCAGACACACCAGGCACACTTGCCCCAGGTCCTTCACATCTGCTGTGTCCTCTGAATGGGATATATGCAGGGCTCCCTCCTTCACTTCCTTCCAATATTTAATTAAGTGACCTTCTCATCAGAGAGGCTTTCCCTGGACACACTAAAATTTTAACTCCCTTCTCCCCACAGATACTTCTTACTCTTCTGCTTTATTTTATCTGCCTTGTACTTATTGTAGTCAAACATACTGTTTTCCTTATCATTTTTATTCATTTTTATTAGAATGTTGCCTTTTTATTACACTGCAATGTAAGCTCCCTGGAAGAAGGAATATTCATTTATTTTGTTCAGTGTTAGGTCCCTAATGTCTAGAAAAGTGCCTGAGGGGCTGAGGAAAAACGTTCAATAAATATTTGTTGAATGATGAGTGATGGTTATTATTTCTGCTCTTCCCAACAAGCCTTCCTAACTCTCTTCTTAAAGAAGTGGGTTCTACACATCCTATCCAGGCCACATATGTGGACAAAAGACCTAGATATAGCCAATCTTAGTAAACTCCTCCCCTGACAAGAGTGGTTGGTCTACAGCATGGAGGCCAATCACAGGGATGAAACCTTTTGGAAAAATCAATATTTAGAAGTGTAGAAATCAACATGTTCCCTTTCAGCTGAGGTTGTTCCCCGTCGTGTTGAAAGGGCACAGGACTGTCCACACCAGGAAAGGGTGAGGTCAGCACCCAAAATGAAACCAGCAGAATCAAAAGAGGAAAATGGATGAAGAGAAAGACTGTTGAGTCCCCAGTCTCAGTCAGTGACATCCTGCAGCTTGTCTGTTCTGTGAACTCACCAAGAATTCTTCCCAGTTTCATAAGCCACTAAATCCCCTTTTGGGCTTCAATTAATTTGAGGTGCATTTCTGTCTACTGCAGAGCCCAGATACAAAAGTGTATTTGTCAGATAAATGTGAGGAACAGCAGGTTAAATGAAATTAAACAACTGTCTGTACTACAGATTTTTTTTTGGAAACTTTAGTATACCTAGGAATGCTTTATATCCCACTGGGAAATAAATAAAGCACATTATGATACAGAATCAGATTAGAAAATTCTGCTTTGGATGGAAATTTTCTCATCTTCCATCTAATCCTACTCTCAAATGTACTTAAATGTCCTCAGACTTTATGGGTGCCTACAATGTTCAAAGCTTAGTAATAAGAAGGCACTGTAGAAAACAGACACCCTGTAATGCTGCAATGAAAAAAGAAACATAAATACCATATAAAAAGTACACTGTCCAATGGGAGGTCACAAGACACACCAATCACACCTAGTAACAGAGTTCAAAAAAGGTTCTTCTCTAAGTCAAAGTTTAAAAATCTCTCCCATAATTTTGGCTCATCAAACACTGATTCACACATTATCTTTTCCAAGTACAATAACATCTCATAAAGGAAAAGTAATGGCTAAAGCATGAAAACCAATTCTAGGCTTACACAATAAACTGTGAACAATAATAAAGTACTAGAAAAAATGTAAAGATTAAACAAAGAGGTAAATAGGACCAGAAAATATAAAGAACAATAAAAGATAAAACAAGAATAGAATATACGGCTTTCATATCAGGTTGATATCGCTCAATAAATGCATTTGGACTGAATTCCTATGGTGAAGTTGAACATTCCTTTCTTATAGATTGTAAGTTGTTTCTTCAAAAAATAACCAGCCTGGATTTTATGCAGGGTCAACTACAAGAACACACAGAGTGAAAAACAAAAATTCCTTTAGCCAACCTAGGCTTCAGAGGAGTGAATTTTAAATGGCTGCCTTGTGGTACTACAATTATTCAAAAATACTTTGACTAGTTCACTGATTTTGTGATCTTTTGTCTTTACCAGGCTATTAACATCAGCTCTGTGAATCCAGATGTTACATTCCAGGTTCCTTTTACACTAGCCTGTATTCTTTCTTCCAGAGTATAGTGATGCTATAGTTACTCAGAAGTATATATTTTGCCTTCTGCTATAAATGTTTTATCTTACAATTTTTTTTAACCTTTCTTATTTTCTGAGTGGTTTTCCAACAACAACCCAGCTATCACAGTATTAGCATAAGAGGTCGCTTAACCTGAGATGACAGTTCTATGTGATGATGGAAAAGTTATTCATACACAAGTAATATGCATCACACATAGCTATTTTTAAAGTTCAATCTTTCACACTCCACTCAGGTCTTGGATTCTTCTGCCTTCTATGAAAGCAGTTCACATATTTTAGGTTATCTATATGGGTGGGATAATCATATCATTAATATTACGTCCTCCTAGCTTCCTTACCATTGCTCTCAGACCTGCAGCATCACCTGTAGATCCAGGATATTATAGTATTCCTCAGTCACTGGGCAGATATTTAAACACTACCTCCTTTTCTCTGCCATGTTTCTGCATGTGTTAAAATAATTGCATCAATAATAAAGTGTTATTTATAACCAGGAATACTCACAATTTGTCCTTTAAATCTAATTTACTAGAATGTTATCCTGTAGGCTCTTCAATGTCCTTGCTATAAATGATATTATAACATCATCTAAACTTGAGTATACTTTCTCGTTCTTTTTGCAAAGCTTATACCCATTGCTATCTCATTCTATACATTATTTTTTCCCCTCCATGATGATTTTAATCTTCAAATCTGTACCTGTTTTCTATTTACCCTGCCTCATGTCCACATGCTAACATTCACCTGTTTTCCTGGGCAAATATCTGATTTCTGGCATTCTTATTGTTCTTTCCTCTCTTCATTTCTTCTTCTTGGTTTATTTTCTCTTCGTCCTGCTAATTTTCTCCTGTCCCCCACCCTTCCATTGTCTTCGGGTATTTTCAGCTCTTATTTTTCAAACAAACTCATGTGGTAAGCTCAGAATCATTCAACGTCACCCAATTCCACGACCTTCCATTGCAGAAGGTATCTGTATCAGTAGTAAAGTAAGATCACCATACCTACCAGTTGGCCCATAACAGTCCCAGTTTACCCTATTGTCCTGGCGTAATGACTAATAGTACCTCTTTTCATTCTCAAAAATGTCTTGGTTTAAAAGGAAAATTATTATGGCCACCCTGCCTTTAAATCTCACTGAGACTGGCTTTTAGGCAGTGCTGAAAATAATAGTGTTAGAAAATAATTACATACTGTAGAATCTTAAGATCCAAGAAACTCAAAAGTGTAAGGGAGAGCCCAGGTCTAACAGCATCTTAGTAGGTTATTTATGCTCTCTGACTATGAATTTATTCATTTACCATATGCAAACAACAATATTAACTCTTAAGGTAGAAAGAAGTGTTCTCTCACCTTACCAGGTTCCGGCCTCTGCCTATTTATTCCTCTTCTCTGCACCTCAGGGAATGTGGCCAATTTGATGAATTAGAGTTTGATAAATTCAAGGGGACTTTCTTTCTAATGGGAAAATTAAAGTGTCATGAAGACAGGAAGCAAGCTGACTTCTTTCTCTTACAGTAAGACAATTAAATAGAAAAAAACAGACTTGACATCTTCATCTATGTGGCTGGTTAGATAAGTTTACTCGGAGTCTGTTTCATAGGCCCAACTATATTTCTCTATCATGGCGGGTATCTCTGAGACTGTGAATCCCAAGATTCAGATTCTGTGTGGATGGTTGTAAGCCTATGCACTTGGTGAACTATATTCAGCTTCCAATCAGCTTAATTCCAGGCTGAATATTAAGGTGACCTGCCCCTAACCCAAATGCCAGCCAAAAGCAAATACAATCTCTGAAGGAAGATAATATCATCTAGAGTATAAAATTATCTCTACTATGGATATTTTATATCTGACATTTAATCAGAAGTTGTTAGACATAACAGAAGACAAGATCAAATGACTGGAATCCCAAGAGGGGGTAAAAACAGAAATTAGAAATAACCTTAAAGGAGAATTATATACTATGGTTATCAGACACAGACTTTGAAATAACATCATATTTTTTAAATATTGATTTCAAGATGGGAATTTAAATGGAATCCATTTAAAAAACAAAATACTTGTCCTAGAGATAAAAATATTATATCATTGACTTGTTAAAGTCAATATTACTCATAATATGAACACATGACATATCAAAACTTGTGGAATGAAGCTGCAAACATGCATTCAGTAACATTCATGCCTTAACTGTCAATGTTACAAAAAAAGAAAAGCTAAAGTCTAATGATCTAAATATATTATCTTAACAAATAAGAAAACAGCAAATTAAATTCAAAGAAAGCAAAAGAAGAAAATAAAAACTAGAGATTAATGAATTTAAAAACAAATATATAACACTGCTCATGTTCTGTTTCATAATTTGAGTGACAATTATATAGGTGTGTTCACATTGTGAAAAATCATCAAGTAAACATGATTTTTGCATCTATCTATGCATACCCATATGTGTGTTTTACTTTAATAAAACATACTACAATGTATTTCTTAATAAATTCTTATTTCACTGCAAATATGGCATATATGTAGCACTCCCTTGGTGGGGAATACTTAAGGGTAATAAAGGACAGTGAAAAACTACAACCATATTTTACAGCTGTAACTCATAAAGATTTTTATAAAGATTAGAAGTTATAGGAATGTACACACCACACCCAAGCTATGTCTGAGTTGGTATCTTCCTGCCTTTACCCTCCAATGGTAATCAAACTCTAATATTCCATTACTTTAGATAAATATAATATAACCTTGGCAATTATATTTTTCTTAGGTTAAAATTAGCCTCCAACAAGGGCTGGGATGTAGAAGGAAGCCATCAAAGACAGCCTTGTGAAAATTTATCACTGGGACAGTTTTGAAATAGGTTTCACCTACCAAGAACTATACATATCTATGTGGAGCACACAGTATCAAACTCTGGAAATCTGAGAGCATGATGGTTAGAGACTAGTACGTTGCCTACAATTGGCTTCTTTGGTTAATAGAAGGCTGTTCCTATCTCCACCCTCCCCACACCTTTGAGCAGCATCCCCCTTATTCCATACATGGGGAAGTAGGCGGCTTATCTGAACTTTTTGAATTCTAAGACAATTATCCTACACCAGCTGTGTTTCGAGTATCAAGTGTAAACTAAAAATTCTAAGCCCCACAACCATCTAAATGGACCCCTCCTCTTGGCCAAGGGCATTCCAAAGTTAACCTGAAAAACTAGTTCAGACCATGATGGGAAGAGAGGGGTAAGACATGCCTCATTATACCCTCTTCCCCATGGAATTCATACACAAGTGACCAGCATTAACATTGAAACAGAGATTTTAAGACTTTTTGTAGCAATAAAAGAGTTTTATTGTAGCAATAAAAAAAATTCCAGCCTTACTTTAGTACAGCATCATATGGCACATAGAAGGCCCTGAAAGAAACTGAAGTATTTTACCCTAAAATATATTCCTTTGATATATTTTGAAATGGCCCTACAAAGCTATCTCTTGTGAGGATAATTGACATTCTATAGAGATTCCCTTTCCCTTTCCAGGTCTTTTCCCTGATCTTCTGGCACCTTTTTAAGTCTGCTAAGAAACATTTATAATCTATTCTCTCTGAAGCCTGCTACCTGGAGGTTTTATCTGCATAAGAAGAAACTTGTTCTCCACAACCCTTTATCTCAACCCAGATACTCCCTTCTATGGATTCTAGGTCTTTAGATAAACTCTTTCAACCAACTGCCAATCTGAAAATCTTGGAATCCATCTATGACCTGGACGCCCATCTCCCTGCCCCACCATCCACCCCCACTTTGAGTTTTCCTTGCTTTCTGGACTGAACCAATGTACATCTTACATGTATTGACTGATGTCTTGCATCTCTCTAAAATGTATAAAACCAAGCTGTAGCCGACCACCTTGCGCACATGTTGTCAGGACCGCCTCAGGCTGTCACAGGCATGTCCTCAATCTTGGCAAAATAAACTTATAAATTGATTGAGACTTGTCTCAGATACTTTTTGGTTTACACAAGACAGGAGTTTTTCCCACTGAAAGCTATATTCTAGCCTTTCACTGTAGAAGAGAAGGAAGACTCATGGTTCAGGTTTGGTTTCAAGTAAAAGAGCAAGCCTAGTACAACCACCAGCCTGTTTTGCTGCGAGGCTATTCTGAAGCAGAAGGCTCTATATAGTTTACCAGTGTTCTGCTTCTGGGTTTGAAGACAAAACCTCAGCCAACAATAAAGGGTTCCTTGGCCTTTGTTTCTCTGTGTACACATTTCTCCGATGATCTTCTGGAGAGAGTGTTGAGCTGAGGACAGGGCTTGCGTGTTCCTGAATAGCCTGGACAAATACCATCTTAAACACACCTCAACATTCCATTTCTAAATCTCGCTTCTTTGCATGGTTGCCGAACTAGGAAATGGTAGAAGAAGAAAAAGGATAAGAATCAGTATTCTCTAAACTTAATCAGCTATTACCTTTTATTCTTTTTTTTTATTATTATTATACTTTAAGTTTTAGGGTACACGTGCACAAGGTGCAGGTTAGTTACATATGTATACATGTGCCATGTTGGTGCATTGCACCCACTAACTCGTCATCTAGCATTAGGTATATCTCCCAATGCTATCCCTCCCTCCCCCGCCACTCCACAACAGTCCCCACAGTGTGATGTTCCCCTTCCTGTGTCCACGTGTTCTCATTGTTCAATTCCCACCTATGAGTGAGAATATGCGGTGTTTGGTTTTTTGTTCTTGCGATAGTTTACTGAGAATGATGATTTCCAATTTCATCCATGTCCCTACAACGGATATGAACTCATCATTTTTTATGGCTGCATAGTATTCCATGGTGTATATGTGCCACATTTTCTTAATTCAGTCTATCATTGTTGGACATTTGGGTTGGTTCCAAGTCTTTGCTATTGTGAATAGTGCCACAATAAACATACGTGTGCATGTGTCTTTATAGCAGCATGATTTATAGTCCTTTGGGTATATACCCACTAATGGGATGGCTGGGTCAAATGGTATTTCTAGTTCTAGATCCCTGAGGAATCGCCACACTGACTTCCACAATGGTTGAACTAGTTTACAGTCCCACCAACAGTGTAAAAGTGTTCCTATTTCTCCACATCCTCTCCAGCACCTGTTGTTTCCTGACTTTTTAACGATTGCCATTCAAACTGGTGTGAGATGATATCTCATTGTGGTTTTGATTTGCATTTCTCTGATGGCCAGTGATGGTGAGCATTTTTTCATGTGTCTTTTGGCTGCATAAATGTCTTCTTTTGAGAAGTGTCTGTTCATGTCCTTTGCCCACTTTTTGATGGGGTTGTTTGTTTTTTCTTGTAAATTTGTTTGAGTTCATTGTAGATTCTGGATATTAGCCCTTTGTCAGAAGAGTAGGTTGCGAAAATTTTCCCCCATTTTGTGGGTTGCCTGTTCACTCTGATGGTAGTTTCTTTTGCTGTGCAGAAGCTCTTTAGTTTAACTAGATCCCATTTGTCAATTTTGGCTTTTGTTGCCATTGCTTTTGGTGTTTTAGACATGAAGTCCTTGCCCATGCCTATGTCCTGAATGGTAATGCCTAGGCGTTCTTCTAGGGTTTTTATGGTTTTAGGTCTAATGTTTAAGTCTTTAATCCATCTTGAATTGATTTTTGCATAAGGTGTAAGGAAGGGAGCCAATTTCAGCTTTCTACATATGGCTAGCCAGTTTTCCCAGCACCATTTATTAAATAGGGAATCCTTTCCCCATTGCTTGTTTTTCTCAGGTTTGTCAAAGATCAGACAGTTGTAGATATGCGGCGTTATTTCTGAGGGCTCTGTTCTGTTCCATTGATCTAGATCTCTGTTTTGGTACCAGTACCATGCTGTTTTGGTTACTGTAGCCTTGTAGTATAGTTTGAAGTCAGGTAGTGTGATGCCTCCAGCTTTGTTCTTTTGGCTTAGGATTGACTTGGCGATGCGGGCTCTTTTTTGGTTCCATATGAACTTTCAAGATCAAGTTTTTTCAATTCTGTGAAGAAAGTCATTGGTAGCTTGATGGGCATGGCATTGAATCTATAAATGACCTTGGGCAGTATGGCCATTTTCACGATATTGATTCTTCCTACCCATGAGCATGGAATGTTCTTCCATTTGTTTGTATCCTCTTTTATTTCATTGAGCAGTGGTTTGTAGTTCTCCTTGAAGAGGTCCTTCACATCCCTTGTAAGGTGGATTCCTAGGTATTTTATTCTCTTTGAAGCAATTGTTAATGGGAGTTCACTCATGATTTGGCTCTCTGTTTGTCTGTTATTGGTGTATAAGAACGCTTGTGATTTTTGTACATTGACTTTGTATCCTGAGACTTTGCTGAAGTTGCTTATCAGCTTAAGGAGATTTTGGGCTGAGACAATGGGGTTTTCTAGATATACAACCATGTCGTCTGCAAACAGGGACAATTTGACTTCCTCTTTTCCTAATAGAATACCCTTTATTTCCTTCTCCTGCCTAATTGCCCTGGCCAGAACTTCCAACACTATGTTGAATAGGAGTGGTGAGAGAGGGCAGCCCTGTCTTGTGCCAGTTTTCAAAGGGAATGCTTCCAGTTTCTGCCCATTCAGTATGATATTGGCTGTGGGTTTGTCATAGATAGCTCTTATTATTTTGAAATACATCCCATCAATACCTAATTTATTGAGAGTTTTCAGCATGAAGGGTTGTTGAATTTTGTCAAAGGCCTTTTCTGCATCTATTGAGACAATCATGTGGTTTTTGTCTTTGGCTCTGTTTATATGCTGGATTACATTTATTGATTTGCGTATATTGAACCAGCCATGCATCCCAGGGATGAAGCCCACTTGATCACGGTGGATAAGCTTTTTGATGTGCTGCTGGATTTGGTTTGCCAGTATTTTATTGAGGATTTTTGCATCAATGTTCATAAAGGATATTGGTCTAAAATTCTCTTTTTTGGTTGTGTCTCTGCCCAACTTTGGTATCAGGATGATGCTGGCCTCATAAAATGAGTTAGGGAGGATTCCCTCTTTTTCTATTGATTGGAATAGTTTCAGAAGGAATGGTACCAGCTCCTCCTTGTACCTCTGGTAGAATTCGGCTGTGAATCCATCTGGTCCTGGACTCTTTTTGGTTGGTAAGCTATTGATTATTGCCACAATTTCAGATCCTGTTATTGGTCTATTCAGAGATTCAACTTCTTCCTGGTTTAGTCTTGGGAGAGTGTATGTGTCGAGGAATTTATCCATTTCTTCTAGATTTTCTAGTTTATTTGCGTAGAGGTGTTTGTAGTATTCTCTGATGGTAGTTTGTATTTCTGTGGGATCGGTGGTGATATCCCCTTTATCATTTTTTATTGTGTCTATTTGATTCTTCTCTCTTTTTTTCTTTATTAGTCTTGCTAGCGGTCTATCAATTTTGTTGATCCTTTCAAAAAACCAGCTCCTGGATTCATTAATTTTTTGAAGGGTTTTTTGTGTCTCTATTTCCTTCCGTTCTGCTCTGATCTTAGTTATTTCTTGCCTTCTGCTAGCTTTTGAATGTGTTTGCTCTTGCTTTTCTAGTTCCTTTAATTGTGATGTTAGGGTGTCAATTTTGGATCTTTCCTGCTTTCTCTTGTGGGCATTTAGTGCTATAAATTTCCCTCTACACACTGCTTTGAATGTGTCCCAGAGATTCTGGTATGTTGTGTCTTTTTTCTCATTGGTTTCAAAGAACATCTTTATTTCTGCCTTCCTTTTGTTATGTACCCAGTAGTCATTCAGGAGCAGGTTGTTCAGTTTCCATGAAGTTGAGGGGTTTTGAGTGAGTTTCTTAATCCTGAGTTCTAGTTTGATTGCATTGTGGTCTGAGAGATCGTTTGTTATAATTTCTGTTCTTTAACATTTGCTGAGGAGAGCTTTACTTCCAAGTATGTGGTCAATTTTGGAATAGGTGTGGTGTGGTGCTGAAAAAAATGTATATTCTGTTGATTTGGGGTGGAGAGTTCTGTAGATGTCTATTAGGTCCGCCTGGTGCAGAGCTGAATTCAATTCCTGGATATCCTTGTTAACTTTCTGTCTCGATGATCTGTCTAATGTTGACAGTGGGGTGTTAAAGTCTCCCATTA